>NC_000009.12:118845552-119470552 GCF_000001405.40 Homo sapiens | reverse complement strand
AAATAAACACACAGATATACAGCTAATTGCTTGTCAGCAAAGGCACCAAGAACATTCCCTGGGTAAACAGTAGTGTCTTCAATAACTCCTGATAGGAAAACTCGATATCCATATTCAGAAAAATGAAACTAGGCTTTTGTCTCCCATCCTATGCAAAAATCAACTAACAATGGATTAAAGACTTGCTATGGTTTGGATATAGTTTGTTTGTCCCCACAAAAACTCATGTTGAAATTTGATCATCAGTGCAGTAGCATTGAGGGTCCTAGCGGGAGGTATTTGGGTTGTGGGACTGAATTCCTCATAAATAACTTGATGCTATTCTCATGGCAAAGAGTTCACAAGACTGGATTAATTCTCATCAGAATGGATTTGTTCCTATGAGAGTGGGTTGTTATAATGCCAGGACATCTCTCAGGTTTTCCCCTCTTCCTACAGGCCCACTTTCCCTTTGATGCTCTCTCAGCTGTGTTGTGATGCAGCATGGTAACTCTCACCAGAAGCCAGGGCCATGCCCTTGAACTTATGAGCCTTAGAACCATGACCTAAATAAACCTATTGTTTAAAAAAATTACTCAGTCTTGGGCATTCTTGTATAGCAACACAAAATGGACTAAGACAAGGCTTAAATGTGAGACCTAGAACTATGAAACTTCCAAAGAAAACAAAGGAGCACTCCTCTAGGATATTAGTCTGGACTAAGACTTTATGGAGAAGACCTCAAAAGCACAGGCAGCAAAAGTAAAAATAGATAAATTGGGTTATATATCTTCTGCACAACAAAGGAAACAATGGACAGAGTGAAGAAATAGCTCGAATACTGGGGAAAATATTTGCAAACTATTCTTCCAATAAGGGATTAATATCTAGAATAGACAAAGAACTAAAACAACTCAATAGCAACAAACAAATAAACAGACAAAATACTCCTACATAATTCAATTTGAAAATGAGCAAATGAACTGAATAGACATCTTTTAAAAGAACATATACAAATAGCTAACAGGAACTTGAAAAAATGGTCAAGATCACTAATCATCAGAGAAATACAAATCAAAACCACTACGGAGTAACACTTATCTCAGAATGGCAGAGAGAGGGGAACTCTTATATTGTTGGTGGGAATATAAATTTATACAGCCATTATGAAAAATAGTATGAAGGTTTCTCAGAAAACCAAAGATAGTATTACCATATGATATCTCACTTTCGCTACTGGGAATATAGCCAAAAACAAAAGGAAATCGGATTATTGAATAGATACCTGCCCTCCTATGTTTATCATAGCACTATTCAGAATAATCAGGATATGTAATCAACCTAAGTGTTTATCAACAGATAAATGGATAAGAAAATGTGGTCTGTATACACAATGGAATACTATTCAGCCAGAAAAAAGGACAAAATTCTGTCATGCCACTCACAGCAACATGGAGGAGCTTGGAAGACATTATGTTAAGTGAAATAAGTCAGGCACAGAAAGAGAAATATCTCATGTATTTCTCATATATAGAAGCTAAAAATTTAGTCTCATGGAAGTAGAGAGTAGAATAGCGGTTACCACAGCTTCACAGTTTGGGGTCTCATATTTAAGTCTTGTCTTAGTCCATCTGAAGTTGGGCGGGGGTGTGAATAGTCAGAGATTGGTTAACAGACACAAAATTAGAGCTAAATAGAAGGAAAAAGTTCTAGTGTTCTATAATGCTATAGGGTGCCATTAATTAACAGCAATTAGTTATGTATTTTCAAAAATCTAGAAGAGTGGATTTTGAATGTCCCCAACACACACCAAAAAGTAAATAAACATTTGAGGTAATACGCATGCTAATTACTCTGATTTAATCATTACACATTGAATACACACATCAAAATATCACATTGTACAGCATAAATATGTACATTTATTATGTCAATTAACATTTTTTAAAAACTCTTTCCAAAATAATTTAAAAAATAAGTTTCACATGTATAAAGAGCAAAATATGGGCATAAAATCATAAACTGAATAATGGTAGAATAAGGTAGAAGGCAATTCATAAAAATAAACCTAGTTTGCCAAGGCCTTCTTATAGAAGTCAAAATACCCAGTAGAAACAGAGAAAAACACAAACTGACTGATATGTGTGTGTGTGTGTGTGAGAGAGAGAGAGTTGCACACACATTTGTGTTGATTAACAAAAGGGATACATTCTGAGAAATGCATCATTAGGAGAGATTTTATCATTGTATGAATCTCGAAGAGTGTACTTACACAAACTTAGGTAGTGTGGCCTACTACACCTCTAAGCTATATGATATAGCCAATTGTTCCTAGGCCACAAACCTGTATAGCATGTTATTGTACTGAATACTGCAGGCAATTGTAACACACTGGTAAGTATCTGTTTATCTAAACATACCTTACATATGTAAAGTACAGTAAAAATATAATATAAAAGATAAAAATTGGTACACCTGTATAAGCACTTATCATAAATGGAGCTTGCAGAACTGGAAGTTGCTCTGGGTGAGTCAATGAGGGAGTGGAGAGTGAATGTGAATATGTAGAACATTACTGTACACTACCATAGATTTTATAAACACTATACACTTAAGCTACAAAATTTATTTTTATATTTGAATTTCTTCAATAATAAATTCACCTTAGTTTACTGTAACTTTCTTACTTCACAAACTTTTAAACTTTCTGAACTTTCTCTTTTTGTAGTAACGTTAAAGAGGTAGCTTAAAACACAAACACATTGTACAGCTGTACAAAAATATTTTTCCTTATATCCTTATTTTATACACTTTTTTCTATTTTTAATGATTTTCTACTTTGCAAACTTTTTTGTTAGAAACTAATCCACAAACATATACATTCATCTAGTCCTACATAGGGTCAGTATCATTATTATCACTGTCTTCCTCCTCCTCCATATCTTGTCCCACTGGAAGGTCTACAGGGGGAATAACGCACACGGAGCTGTCACCTCCTATGATAACAATGCCTTCTTCTGGAATACCTCCTGAAGGACCTGCCTGAGGCCATTTTACAATTAACTTTACATATATGTAAGATGTAGAAGTACACTTTAAAATAATGATTAAAAATATAATAACAGTAAATACATCAACCAGTAACATATTTATTATCATTATAAAGTATTATGTACTGTATATAATTGTATGTGCTATACATTAATATAAGTTTTCTTATACCAGCATCACCACAAATATCTGAGTAATCCATTGCACAATGGCTAAGATGTCTCTGGGCAATAGGAACTTTTCAGTTCCATCATAATCTTACAGGGCCACTGTTGGTCCATTGTTGACCAAAATATTGTTATATGGAACATGATTTATAAGTGTCTACATAGAAATATATAGAGATATATAAAACATATATATATGACTGAGAGAAATAGTTACGACAAATTTGACAAAAGGTTTGTATACAAAATATATAAATAGTTTTTACAGTCATTATCACAAGGCAAACAACCCATTTGATTAATTAGTGAAAGCTGTAAGCCAGCAAATTAAAAAATTGCTAATTAATATATGAAAAACTATTTAACCCCATTCACAATTAAACAAATTAAAACTGAGGCACAATTGAAATAATATTTTTCATTAATTCAAACAGGTTTGTATGTTGCATCTGTATCTGCCAGGTAGATGATGCCTGTCAAACATGTATACACTGACCTTCAGTTAATCCTTATAGCAAATACTGATAAATGTTCTATGGTTTTTGTCAGTTCCTTGTACTTAGTGGGTAGGCAAGAGACTAACCCACATTTCATTAGGAAGAAACCAAAAGGAGATTATCACTGCCTTTTTGCCCCAGAACACAAAGAGGGTGGCTAGATTAATTTTCTGTTGTGAGTATAATGAGTTAGCCCAAACTTAGTGATTTAAAGAATACGAATTTGTTATCTTACAGTTCTGTATTTGAGAAGTCTGATATGGATTGCTCTGGGCTAAGAGCAAGACACTGGCAGGGCTGCACTACACTCTGGAGGCTCTACAGAAGCGTCTGTCTTTGCCCACTCCTTGGCTCACAACCCTTTCCCCCATCTTCACAATATCTCCCTGATTACTCTTCTATAGACATGGTTCTCTCTGATCACAGCTTGGAAAGGTTTTATGTTCTTAAGGATTCACGTAATTAGACTGAACATACCTGTATTATGCAGGATAATCTCCCCATCTCAAGATTATTAACCATAATCACATTTGCCATCTTTCTTTTGTCTTGTACGATAACATTCACAGGATTTGGGGATTAGGACACAGACACTTTCTGGGAAACATCCTGCCTACCACAGCTGAGCTACTTGCAGGCTCAGTAGGGTTTCTACTCTGTTTGAGTTGTACCACCTACAAAAAGACTTCTTGTGAAGGATTTAGGACCAACAAAATTTGCCCCTGTCGTGAAGAGAACACTGTTCAGTCTTCAGGAAATTAAGTTTATTATTTGATATGGTTTGGTTCTGTATCCCCACCTAAACCTCATGTTGAATCGTAATTCCCATCATTGGAGGATAGACCTGGTGGGAGGTGATGGGATCATGGAGGTGGATATCCCCTTGTTCTCATGACAGTGGTGAGTTCTCACCAGATTTGGTCTTTTAAAAGTGTGTAGTACTTAGGCCAGGCGCGGTGGCTCATGCCTTTAATCCTAGCACTTTGGGAGGCCGAGGTGGGCGGATCATCTGAGGTCGGGAGTTCGTGACCAGGATCATCTGAGGTCGGGAGTTCATGACCAGCCTGACCAACATGGGGAAACCCCGTCTCTACTGAAAATACAAAATTAGCCGGGCGTGGTGGCACATGCCTATAATCCCAGCTACTTGGGAGGATGAGGCAGGAGAATCGCTTGAACCCGGGAGGCGGAGGTTGCGATGAGCAGAGATCATGCCACTGCACTCCAGCCTGGGCAACTCTCCCTCCGCTCTCTCTCTCCTGCTGGCCATGAGAAAACGTGCCTGCTTCCCCTTTGCCTTCTACCATGCTTGTAAGTTTCCCAAGGCCTCCCCAGCCATGCTCCCTGTACTGCCTGTGGAACTGTAAGTCAGATAAACCTCTTTTCTTCATAAATTGCCCAGTCTCAGGTATGTCTTTATGGCAGTGTGAGAACGGACTAATATGGTATTCTTTACTAAATTAAAATAACTCATTTTCTTTGCTTGTGCCTATTGACATCATTCATCATAATAGTCCTGTGACAACCATCCAATACATTATTAGAAAAAAATCTCAAAAATTGATGACATTGTGTGTTGTGAAAGATTTGGAGACATGGTACTTCTCTATAATGTCGGTGAATTTGTAAATTGGATCAGGCTTTTTTTCTTTCTTCTTTTTAACTTTTTTGAAGGCAGTGTGGCAGTTATCTATCAAAATTCCAAAAACATGAATACTCTTCGACCCAGCAGTTTCTTAGGTATCTATCCTACAGAAAACATTCTCACATTGCACAAAGACAGGTACAAACTTCAACACTGGGTTAGTTAAGGCATATCTGGAAGAATTTCCATGATCATTAACAGAACAAATGTTAAACATATTCTGGTAGATTCACACTTTGGAATATGAGACAGATTTTAAAAGGATGAAATAAATCTACATAGACTAAAATAAGAAGATAACGAAGACATAGCAAAGTAAAAGAGCAAGCTACAGTATGAGAAAATATGATCATGTGTGTGTAATTCATGCATATATATAAAGTCCTGAAAATATTTGGAAATATATAAGCAAAATTTTAACAATGATTTCCTTTGAGGGGACATTGATATGGACTTGGGTGTGAGGGCTTTGAAGGTAGTCTTTTATTTTTACTTATAATTTCAATAAAATGTATTTAAAGTGAAATAATTTTAAAATGACCAAATAAAAGAAAAAAATAAACCTCTGATTATTCCCATTCATTTGATGACTCTATAATTGCATATTCTCCCTAAATCAATGAATCATCAAAAGACTGAATCCAGTTGGTCTTACTCCAGGGATAAGCATCATTATTCCAATTTTTCAGACAAAGTGTTATGAATTAACTTTTTAAATAACCCACAGCTACTTAGTAGCAAAATCAGAATTGGAAGAGCCATTTCTCAGTTCATTCATAGCCATATCTAGTTACAGCATAGCTGGGAAGGGGCAGAAGCAGGTGTCTGGATACTTTTCTGAACCACTATCTTGTAAGTGTAGCCCCCAATTCTTAATTTTGTAGCCGTGTCCTTCCCCATACATATTTGCACCTTCTCTCACAAAAGGCAAATGCATCTCTCTGCCTCTTGACTTTGAACTTGGCCATGTGATTTGATTTGGCCAATGGGATGTCAGTAAACATGACATAATCAGGGGCTTAAAATGTGCTTTTTCAATGGGGTTTGTCCCCTAGAGCTTCTGTCATCTTCAGGAGCAGAGTTTTCCTCATGCAACTGCTGTCCCTGGGCTCCAGAATAAACCCAAGTGGAACACAGGCACTCCAAGTAACCAACAGAGATGCTGCATGAAGAAGAGTCCCCTCAGCTGAACTGCAGATCCATGAGCTAATGGTTATTCTTTTATGCTCCTGAGTTTCATACTTTTCTTGAAAGTTTTCTAAATAGTCTTTCTGTTAGTCAACGTTCAACCAGAGAAGCAGAACTACTGATTACACACATGCACACAAACAAATACAGGCTCATCACACAAGCTTATACCTATACATAAAATTCCTGTTACTGGTTTTTGGCCTTTTGCAATTATGAGAGCTAGTTAAGTGTGTCTGCAAGGCCATTGTCTCTGCATTGAATGCTAGATAGAGCTCAAAGCTCAAAGGGCTGGAAGTCAGAAAGGTAAGATAGATGTAAAGTTGGGAGGTTGAGGGCAGACTCAACCCACAAGCTTCAGCTGAAACCCCTTGAGGATGGACTGAAACTTGTTGCTTCTGGCCTTGGTGATGTAGGTATTCTACAGACACCATACATATCATTTGTCATAGAGCTAAACATAGCACTTGGCCCAGCAGTGGTAGAAGCTGGAGGACCCAGGGGAAAATAGAGCAGTTGCAAGCCCAGCTGCTACTTCAAGTCAATGAGGTGAGCCAGCAGGTCAGTGATAACATGTGTGAGCTGTTAAATGGCTACTAGTCCGCCCTCCAGAGCTTTGCAGGGCTCTCCCTTATGGTGCAACCTAACCAGAAACATCAAAATAAGGGAGGAATTCTGGGAAGTGTAGTTCAGCCTACCTATGTAGACCCATTATAAAGTCATTATAGCTTCTGATATTCCAATTTAACAGGTAAAGAAATAGTTTCCCCAGAGAGCATGTGGGACCTGACCGATATCTCATAGCTGGTAACTGGTAGAATTGGAACTTGAATCAAGCTGTCTGATCTCTGGCCCCTGTGTGATCTCCATTCTACATATTATAAATAAATCTTTCAAGTCATTTTTTACGTATGATGACAGCTTCTCCTGAAGCTGGAGAGATTCATCATGAGTGGGAGCAGGGAAGGCTCATTGAGAGGCATGAGGCATTTAGAGGAAGGTCAACCTAGGTGGAGTCCAGGAAAGCAGGTGTCATGGGACAGCCTGAGATCAGGAGGTCTTTGAGGAAAGAGTCAGATGTATGGAGAATACACCCCCAGGGTTTGTTCCTGCGTTTCATTATTGTGCATTGTTTTATTTATTTTGGCTGATAAACATTATGAAACAGGCAGGTAGAATGCGGCAGACTGAAACAATCAGGTAGACGTTAGGGCAAGACCTGGAGACCTCCCCAGGAGTGGGGAAGCACTAGAGAGGAAGGACAAGAGAAGACAATCTGAAGCAACAGAAAAGACACACCATGCAGTAGAGCATTGGGCAGTCTACTGCTAGCCCATGCAATACTTTAACAAGGGCTTCCCATGAGTGTGGCTTGGGGAGTCTATGGCAATTTCTTGAGAGCCAGATAGATGGACAGGACAAGAGTTAGAAAGTGACAGTACCGTGGCCACAGCATGAAGGTTCAGAAATAGAAATCTCATCACCAAGTGGAGAGACAGGGAGAAAGAACTGGCACCGATGCCTCTGATGTCCTGAGGGGATGCTTACCACTGCAGGGCAGACTGTATCCTCCAAGAGGATGTGGATATCTTAAGTATTCTGGTTACCATAACAACACTAGCCTGGCACCCTGCATGACACATGACAGTAGTCATTCAAAAAGCATCTATGGGCCGGGCACTGTGGCTCACGTCTGTAATCCCAGCACTTTGGGAAGTTGAGGCGGGCAGCTCACCTGAGGTCAGTCGTTCGAAACCAGCCTGGCCAACATGGTGAAACCCCATCTCTACTAAACATACAAAAATTAGCAGGGCATGGTGGTGGGCGCCTGTGATCCCAGCTACTCAGGAGGCTGAGAGAGGAGAATCACTTGAACCCGGGAGGCAGAGATTGCCGTGAGCTGAGATCGGGGGCCACTGCGCACCCCAACCTGGGTGACAGACTGAGCCTCTGTCTCAAAATAAATAAATAAATAAATAAATAAGAAAAGAAAGAAAAAGCACCTATGAATGACTGAATGCATATCACAGGCTTTGGTGAAAAACAGCTTCAGATTCAAAATCTCATCTCCATCATTAAGATGTCATAAAAACTTGACACTGTATGGAATCTGCCTTGGCCTCAGTGTCTTTATCAATAATATGGGAATAATAATATCATTTACCTTACAGGTAAAAGATAAAAATATAAATGATAGAAGCTATATACAAGATCTGGCTCATAATAAATAAAGGTCCCAGGAGTGTTAGTTTTCTGTTATTCTGGTTTGAATCTCGAGTCTAGGTCAGGAATATAATCAAGGGATACAGTTATTAAAACTAGGGTCTCAAGAAGGGGTCTGGCTGCATGTAAAACACTATGGAAAAAGGTGAAAGAAGAACCAGTGAGAGTGTCAAGTTGCTCTTGACGTTCCTGAAGGTTAATCAATGGCTTATATAAATTCCCCATCAACTCACCCCTAGGACAGGCTAGCCCCATAGACTGGAGCAGGTTTTGGAGTAGGCAGGTCTTTGCCAGTTACACGCTCCAGAGCTGTCTGTCTCTGAGAGCCAAGGCCCGAGGGGAGGCAGTGGCAGGATGAGTGCTAGATGATGCAGTGGGGTTCTGAGCAGAGAGCAGCTAAAAGACTGCCCAGTGATTTACAGCCTTTAAATGGCTCTACCCTTCTGCAAAACTCTTAATTTAATAGACAAACATCTTGGGATAAGGGCTCACTAGAGATAGAACTGATGGGATAAATGTTGGAAGATTAAAGACCTAAGGAGGGGAGTGCATAACTCAATTATGAAAATGGTAAAGAACTTTTCCAGCAGGAAGCCTCCCCACCCCCTCTCCAAGTGGCAAACTTGAAAAAAGCCACCAACAAAGGATCTAAGATATTGACTGTTTCAGGAAAACAGCCACACCCTTGAAAGGGACCTTAATTGCTGCATTGCCCAGCATTTTTTACCCACATGTTATGCAGATGGGAAACTGAGTTGCAAGAAAGTGGGGTGTCTCAATAACATGTGTCATTAGCAAAGTTAGTGCTAAGATTTTGGCGTCTAGGCTTCCCTTTGATTCACAGTAGACAGTAAACTATTGGTTCTGACTTGCACACTCTTGTACCCACAGTAACTAGCAAAGTGCTGTACACATAGTGGGTCCTCCATTAATACTAGGTGAATAAATGATGTGTCTACAGGGCTTTCAGGACCATCCTCCTGGAAACCTATCCGTTCCTTCTTCAGCAAGGTGCCTGAGGTTATTGATTGCCCGGGAATTGAATGTTTAGATTCTCGTTGCTTGAATGCTTGCTTTCCAGTCCTCCCAGCTCATTGCTTCTTTATTTCTCCCAATTCCAGCATTCTTTCTGTGACACAGACATTAGACTCTGACCTGAGCATTGAAGTAAGAGAACCAAAGGAGACGTGGGTTGACTCAGATAAGGCAGTGAGGTGAAAGATCATAAGTGGATCACTTAAGTTGGCTAAGAGTTGAATGGATGTGGGGTTGGGGGATGACCAAGGCTATGCACTTGATGTTGTCAACCTAATTTTTCAATCTAAACATTAGTGTGTAGACTACAGATAAAATGCCAGAATTGGCCAGCATGAGAAAACAAAAATGGTAAGGGGAACTAGATATCTTACATATATGGAAAACCCAGACTAGGCTCTTTGGAGAGGGATCTGTGGGCTATAGACCAGCCTTCACAGGGGTTCCTTGATTGGTCTTTAAGGAATTGTACTTTGAGTCTTGATCTGACAGTACTTTCTCTTGTAATAACTATTGATTAACTGTAGCCAGTGTTTCAAACTATGTAAGAGTACCTACAGACATTTGTGTACAGTCGCAGCAGTGATATAACAAAGCTTAAGTCCTACATCTGATTTTTACTGTGTGCATGACCTAGAGCAATTTATGTAACCTATATAAGTTTCAGTTTTATCTTTTACATAGTGGACATGACCACAGTATCAACCTCAATGGGTTTGGGGGAGACTTTATTTTTAATTTTTATTTTCTTATTTTTTTCCCCAGCATTCTCGCAGGTTTTGGGGAGACTTTAATGAGACTTAGCATAATGCCTGGCCCACAGTGGATGTTCTCTGGGAAGTTAGTTAATCTCTCTCTCTCTTTCTCTGTGTGTGTGTGTGTGTGTGTATGTGTGTGTGTGTGTGTGTGTGTGTGTTTTGAGGGGATGGATGCTTTATTTCTGTGTGCTGCTCCCTCGTGCTCATCAGAACATCCTCAGAAGGCCATCAGAATCAGCCATCAGCCTGTGCCTGTCTTTAGGGAAAGTGTTTTATGTATCTTCTCAGTTTTAGAGTGCTTAGTCTCATTTTGAATACAGCTACACCTGGTTTTTGACTTCCATTCAGAATTTAATTTACCTTTACAACTTTGTGTTCCCTTTCATCAACTTTTGTGTGGAGGATACTCTTATTTTTTCTCTGTGTAGTTTCTTTGATATTTTTTCTAAATTAGGTTTGGTAAACCTCTTTCTTGGTTTTGTTCACCTGAAAGGCATTTATTGAACACCTATTATATGCTAGATGTGATATCTTTTGTATATTTCATAGTACCAAATCTTCATACACTGTAGTGATTTTTGAAGATTAAAAAAGAACTAACAGGCCAGGTGTGGTGGCTCACACGTGTAATCCCAGCACTTTGGGAGGTTGAGGTGGGTGGATCACGAGGTCAGGAGATCGAGACCATCCTGGCCAACATGGTGAAACCTCATCTCTACTAAAAGTATGAAAATTAGCCAGGCATGGTGGCATGTGTCTGTAATACCAGCTATTTGGGAGGCTGAGGCCGGAGAATCACTTGAACCAGGGAGTCATAGGTTGCAGTGAGCCGAGATCCCACCACTGCCCTCCAGCCTAGCAACAGAGTGAGATTCCCTCTCAAAAAAAAAAAAGTAACAAAGGTAACATAATTACCCAGGGTGCAGTTAACATTGTATGTAAACTTCATTCGCAACCATAATTTGCAACATGCTAACTAACAGTAGGAGTACATGGAAGGTTTATTAATTGAATTTTCTATGGCATGAAGTTCAGAAAAACAGCCAGTACACTGAATAATAATCAGGACTCAACAATTTTTTGACTAATAAGAACACTGGATCAAATCTAAAAAGATAAAATTGAATATGGAAAAATATCAAGTATTCACTTGGATTTAAAACTCCAACTCTATAAATAAGAGATGAAGAAAATAGGGTTTGGAGAGAAGACAGGTTTAAAGTCTGAGGTTGTATTTCTATTTAAGTATGGCAGTGGCATGAGTCAACAATGAACTCTGACTGGAACAAAAAGTGCTAATGCTATTACAGGCTGAACTAAGAGTTGTTTCATGCTCGAGGGGGGAAAATGATAACCCCACTGTAGTTAAAAAATGGTCCAACCATATCTGCAATTCGCAGTTCAACCTCAATGTAAACTTGATGATGACAAACCATCATGAGGCTAGAAGAAAAGGAAGAGCAAATCAGAAACAAAGAATGGTTGGGGAACTTTCTTATTCTTAGCCTGGAGAAAGAAAATGTTGGGAGAAGTATCTTGGTAGCTATCTGCAAACATCCGAACACTTGTAGAGGAGAACACTGAATGTTAGAATAGTACAATAGGTGGAAATTGCAGGAAGATATACATTAGCTCAACATGAAGAATCACTTCCTAAAAATTAAAACTGCCTCCTCAAGAAATTAGCTGACATGTAGGTTCACCCACTTCTTTGAGCACTCACACGTGGGATAATCATCAGAACCATCAGATGGCACTGTTATAGAGGGAGTTGGAACGGCTTTGTATCAAGTCAAAGAGCATAACTTACACATTTTATATGCATGATAAATATTTGTTGAATAAAGAATTAGTCAGATAGAATTGCTTCCTTAAATAACAAGTGTGATTAACTAAAAAACAAATTTTCACTACATGGAGAAGTAAATTTTGAGAAGCTTGATTAAAATTCTAAAATTGGAAAAGGTATAAAGACTTAAAAAAGGAAGGTGCTCACCAAAGTCGAAGGTATGAAATATACCATAAAGTTTAAAAATAATAATACTTATTACTGACTCACATAGAGGATCTCAGAGTTTACAGCACACTTGGCCCCATGATTTTTGATCTAAATCTCACCAAAAGAAGTGATATGAAAAGGCATAATAGCACTCTTATTGCCCTCATTTAACATATGAGGTAACTAAGGTTCAGGCAGAAAAATGGATTGGCCAGGATATAGAGCTGGGTTTCAAAGGTAAGGATTTTTATTCCAAATTCTTTGTTTTGATTTTGTTTTTGTTTTAACTACCTCACACTAATAGGGGACAAAGGAACGGAATAATCTGGAGAAGCAGAGAAGTTACTACTTTAAATGTGGTGCAGGCTAGAAATATAAGAAGTTGCAAGTCTTGTTTTTAATAAAAATGAAAGAGTATCATTTCCAGAAAGAAAAGCTCAAAGGCCATGAGGAGGAGAAATGAAAGAAGTTTATAGACATTCAAATGGCTGCTGTTCAGATGAGGTAGTAAGCCACAAGGCAGGCTGAATTCTGGTGTGTTTGTTCCTTCCTGGCCTTGATGTGGCACAGCAAACAATGAAGTTGGAAGGAAGGGGATGTAGGAGAGAATGATGCTTCCTTTGGGAACCGGGCATTATTGCTTTGCTGTGGTGAACAGGTAGTTTTGAAAATTACACACTATGGTGGCAGGTAATTTATTTTTTTTATAAATTGTGAGACCTGAGTTGAAATGGAGAGGGAAAAAAAAGACATCTAAAATGATTAGAAAGGAGTTCTATGAGCTTGCCTGTTTATGGCCAGTGTGATTAGTTCTGGGGGTTACCCAAAGGAGGCAATGTCCATCCTGCTCTGATGAGCCAAATGTGAACTTGGCCAAGGACTTTTCTAGAGACAGTTTATGCTGGCATCTCCAGATGTGGTTGTTCCCTGCCCCCTCTCCCTTAGCATCTTCTAATGCCATTATTGTAGCACATATCACAGTTTATTATAATTACTCCCATCTTTTCCTACCTGTTCTGTGTGACTAGAAGATCCAGCACTCAGGCTCAGAAGGCTTTGTGGATATAGTGGTGATGAAGACCAACACTGTACCAGAGTGTTGATGCTTAGAAAAACAAATTGTGAAAAATGAATACCTACCATTATAGATGAAGTCACTGAAGCCCAAGAAAGAGAACTGATGGTCTGAAGGAAATTAGGGAAAAATACTTTTTATGTGCACTGTTTCAGTATACAATAACGAGTAATGTAGACCCTGCCCTCCTGGAGCTTGCCATCTAGTGGAGAAGACAGACATTGAATCAGTGATGCAGATCCCCAATAGACAAAGTGCAAATATATATACATATTTATATATATATGTATATATATTTATATGAATATATATATGTAATAATTAAACAAAAAGTAACTTTGCCCTAAACTAGGGGTTATTTCGAATTCTGTGATCCACTGATACCTTTGAAAGTCTGATGAAAGTTATGAATTATCTGAAACAACGTACATATGTACCCAATATGTACAATTTAGATATCGTTTGAGGAACCATTCATGGACCCCTAGATTTTGAATTCTTGTTCTGAGTCTTTCTTAGGTGACTTTACCTACTTCTAGTTCTCCTTTCTTTTGGATCATTCCCAGTGTGTACTCTCCAGATCAGATATCTTCCCTGCAATCTAGAAGCCTGGGCAGCTGTCTATGGAGCAGTTCCCTAATAGTTCCACCAGACTACACTGCTATCAGGAGGTAGCAAGAGCTGCACTTGGTAAACAATTACATGTGCTGTACTAGTTTGTTCTCACACTGCTAATAAAGAGATACCCAAGATTTGGTAATTTATAAAGGAAAGAAGTGTAATTGACTTACACCAGCATGGCTGGGGAGGCCTCAGGAAACTCACAGTCATGGCAGAAGGAGAAGCAAACACGTCCTTCACATGGCAGCAGGAAGGAGAAGTGCAGACCAAAGGGAGGAAAAGCCCCTTTCGAAACCATCAGATCTCATGAGAACTCACTCACTATCACAAGAACAGCATGGGGGGGCTGCCTCCATGATCTAATCACCTCCCACAAGGTGCCCCCCTGCAATGTGTGGGATTACATTTCAGATTACAATTCAAGATGAGATTTGGGTGGGGACACAGAGCCAGACCATATCATGTGCTAAAGATGGGGTTAGCAGTGGCATTGTAGGCCTAAGGAGATTGATAAAAAATCTCCTGGTGCACAGTGGAGATAGTTAATAGACAGTCATAAAACTGCTTATCACTCTGAAAAAGGTTAAGAAGAAGATGACAAGTTTAGAATTGTTAGACTATGAGTGTAGGTTAAGCCTTGATTTTGAGTGACATTGCCACAGGTGAGAGTGTAGAATGAGAACAGAAAAGAGTAGGGGAAAAGAAAAGAGGAGGAAAAAGAACAACAGAGAAGGGAAAGAAAGAAGGGAGGGAAAAGAAAAGTATATTGAAGGAAAAGATATAGTCAAACAGAATCCTGGGAAACCTTAGTATTTACAAAGTCAGTAAAGGAAAAAGAATCTTTGTAGGAGCCTGAGAATCCTGGAAAGAAGTCCATTTTGAGGAAGAAGTAACCAATACCAAATAGTACAGACATCCTATTTAGAAAATAAGAAAGTAAGTAAGAAATAAGAATGTCCATTGGGTCTTGAAATTAGGATATCATTGGTGACCTTGGCAAGAGAAGATTGAGTGAAATTTTGGAAGAGTTCCAATTCCATTGGCTTGGGGAATGAATGGAAAGTAAGAATGTAGAAACAGTCAAGGCAGAGAAACCCTTCAAAATGCTCATCATTGAAGGGCTAAGGAAAGATGAGGTGCAGGGAGAACATGGCATACTGGGGGAGCTGCTGTGGAAGATAGATGTGATTATTGATAGGAAGGCAGAGGTAGAAAAGGAGAGTTAAACATCTCAGAAATGAAAGACCCACTTGATAAAATGAAGTCTTACAGGAGATGTAGAGAGATGAGTTTAAAGACATGGAGCAGAAGAAAAAAATCTTAGGTACCACAAGGTTCGGAAATAGGACAGAAGGCAGGGAACAAGTGTAGATGCAGTTAAGTTTGTAGGTGGGTCAGGGAGGCAGTGAGTTGAGGGGCTATAACTGAAATCCTGAGGTTGTCCAAATGGTTGGAGGTTCTGTCCTGCTCCTCACTTTCTCTTCACTGCAGTCAGTTTCCTGTGGGGCCCACCCCACCATTCTCTTTACGGTGGAGACACTAAAAGCCACAAGGCTGGTTTTAAATAGCCCCGAAGTCTGTCTCTGAGTCATTGACCCTCCATGAACTCAACCTTTTTAGAATACAACCTTTAAAGAAAGTTTAAACATTAGACATCAAAAACAAGGGGAAAAATGTTTTTCCTGATGCTATTTGCAAATGTCATTTTAGGGTTGAGGAGTCTGGTTGGGAAACTGTGAATCCCGTATCATTTTCTGTGGGTTACTTTAAAGTCTGAATAATATAAAACCTTCTGCAACCTTCTTTCAGACCTTGTTGGAAGTGAAAAAAACACGATTTCTGGTCTGCAATTGCTGTCACTTCCTTTCTTTAGTCTCAATCTCTTCATTTGAGGAAAGTGATTCTGGGCATGGTGATATGCTAGGTCTCTTTCAACCCTGAAAAAGATTCTACTTGAGAAAATTGCTTGGAACCTGATACAGTTTGGAAATATGTCCCTGCTCAATTCTCATGTTGAAATTCCCAATGTTGGAGGTGGGACCTGCTGGGAAGTGTTCGGATCATGGAGGTGAATCACTTCTGAATGGCTTGGGCCATCCCCTTGGTGATGAGTGAGCTCTCAGTCTGAATTCACAGGAGATCTGGTTGTGTAAAAGTGTGTGGCACCTCCCTCATCCTCTCTCACTCCAGCTTTTGCCACCTGATATGCCTGCTCCTGCACTACCTTCTGCCATGACCTCCCTGAGGCCTCCCCAGAAGCTGAGCAGATGTTGGTGCAATGCTTGTACAGCCTGCAGAACTGTGAGCCAATTAAATTTCTTTCCTTTATAAATTACTCAACCTCGGGTATTTCTTTATAGCAAAGCAAGAACAGCCTAATACAGAATCCAAAGTGTGTGTGGGGGGGGATGGGGGGTGGTTTAGATAGGCTCTCACTCTGTTACCCAGGCTGGAGGGTAGTGGCATGATTATGATTCACTGCAGCCTCAACCCCCTGGGCTCAAGCGATCCTCCTTGCCTGTCTCCTGAGTAGCTACGACTGCCCCAAAGTTTTTATTAAGTGACACATTTAGCTATGAATCATAACTCACAGGACCAAGAAAGGAAGGAAAAGGAAGGATAGAATCCTGAGCAAGAAAAAAAAAAGTAAAAGCAGATGTCCTATCTTGATCTGATCTTTTCCAGGAAAGTTCAGCCCTTTTTCAAAAGCCCTCGGCACAAAAATATTCTGCCTTATGTCATTGACTCACAGGGGCAGGTCAAAACTAGTCTTACATCTGTTGCTTTAACTTGACCTGAGTATAGAAGAGAGCTGAAAATGCAAGAGATCAGGCTATAGTATTAGGGGAAAATGCAGCTGAGAAAATCCAAGGAAATGTGCAGAAAATGTTTTTCATTTGCCACTTTTTGGGGCTGCTTGAGGTAGAGACTCAGTATCTCATTACCCCTTCAAAGAATCATCTGCCATGGTTTTCAGTTTCCCTACAGGACGAATTGTGAATAGGTTCATTAGGCTGTGAATTAGTGGTCTGAACCTTTAGTTTGAAATCGGGTTTTGCAGTGTAATAAGCTGAGTAGACTTAGGCCATATAAAATCTTGAAATAATCATTTTGTTCATTTGTCGAATTGGAAGTAGCTTATATATTTACAGGAAAATTTAAAACCATATGGTATATGAGGAGTTTGCTGATGTTGGAGCCTGATGAACCTGGATTCAGATTCTACCACATTTTCATCATCCCTTCACCATTACTATTCGGTTTCTTCTCTGTTTTGCTCACCTATCCAATACCTCTTCTCCATCTGTCACTCTTTGCTCAGACATTGCTACCTATTTCATGAGAAAATTGATGAGAACATCTACAAACCCTATCACTATTGCCAGCCTATTGGGATTTGGGCCTCTATACTTTCTTTCTCTCCTGTTTCTATAAATTATTGTTCATGCCTATAGATATCATCTCTGCCTTTCTCTGTCCCAGCCAAACCTCCTCTCAAGGTCACTGCTTTAGTAATTTAGAAATCATCCTAACTTGCCTAAATCATAATTTTTCCCCTCTCCAGATAACCTTCTCAATTAGCATAGAAACATGATGTAATGCCCCCACCCTGGTTTTAAAAAAATACCCTAGACTCCAGGATCATGGAGACAGCCCCATTTGTAGTAAATACCACCTCTATTCTTCCAGTTCTTCAGACCAGAACTCTGGGCTCGTCTTTGGCTCTTTTTTTCTTTTTCTCTCATACTTCTCATGACTACTGCTATCATCAGCTCTCCAGGAAAATAGCAGCAGCCTCCTCTCTGGTCTCCATGCTGCCACCCTTGCCCCTGCAGTCTATTCTCCTCCTAGCACCCAAGTAATTCTTTTACAATATGAACCATCGTTGTCATTTCCCTACTCAAAATCTTCCTCTGATTAATAGCTTCCCATCTTATTCAGAGTATAAGAAGTGACTCTGACTGGACAATAACTTAGGCTGCCCTGTGTCATCTGGACCCCTTGGGATTTCATCGAGGAAAAATATTCTCCCCACTTGCATGCAGCTCACACCAGATTCACTTTCTTGCTGTTCCTTGATCCCACCAAGCTCATTCTCTCCTTAGAACTCGAGCTTGTGCCATTCTCTTTACTTACCATGCTCTCATCCCAGATGGCTTTCTATATATTGGCTTCTTATTTCTTCCATGCCTCTGCCCAACAATGACTTTCAGAAAGGTCTTTGTCAACCATCCTATATAAAAGCAGCACATGCTGTCTTTAACCTATAGTTTATAGTTTTCCCATGGCACTCATTACCTCTCACATGATCAATTCCTTTATTTATTGATTGGATTATGATCTTTCTTTCATATGAGGATGAAAGCATGCTACTCTGTTGTATCTCCAGCCCCTAGAACAGTGCCTGCTATATAATAGAAACTAAAATGGCTTCAGATAATTCATTCAACTTTGCTAAGTCTGGCTTTCTTTAATTCTAGAAATTGAGATAATATTGCCTATTTTGTAAAATTGCCATAAAGATCAAAGATAAGATATATGAAATGCATGGCATGTAGGAAGAGTACAATGAAGGGCATGCATTATTATTAATGTTGTGTGGATCAACTGGAATAATGTATGCAAAAGTCTTGGCATACTGACAACAGTCCAGGTTTTATAGTTGCACAACTGAGTTCAAATTTCAATTCTGCTTTTTACAAGGAAATGGACTTCAGACAAGTTACTTAACCTCCTCTCAGTTTCAGATTTTTCATCTGTAGAATAAAAATAATAGTATCTTACTTGCACAGGTAATAAAATCCTGCTGACATATTGCAGGTGCTTGATAGAGATGCAATACTGTGAGGTTCAAATAAGGTCTGCATATAAAAGTGCTTGGCACAGATTGTGGAATTGCTAAAGTCAGGAAAATATATTCTTGACCCACAAGTGCTTGACAGTACAGGCCACTCTTAAATCACTGTGGCAGGAAGAACAATGGCCCCCAGAAAGACTACATCCTAGTCCCCAGAACCTGTGAATAGTTAGGTTATATGGCAAAGAGGACTTCAGGTTGCTAATCTGCTGACTTTAAAATAGAGAAGTTATCCTGGATTATTGGATGGTGCCAATGTAATCGCAAATGTCCTTAAAAGGAAGAGAATGGCAAAAGCAAAGAACCAGAGAGATGGTGGCATGAGAAAGACTCACCTGGCATTGCTGGTTTTAAAGGTGGAGGAAGGGGCCATAAACCGAGGTATGTGGGTGGCCTTTAGAAATTAGAAAGATCGAGGCAACAAATTGTTCTCTACAATGTCTAGAAAGAAATGCAGCCCTGCTGACTCCTTGATTTTAGCCCAATGACACCCATTTCAGACTTCTGACTTCCAGAACTTTAAGATAATAATTTGTATTGTTGAAGTCATTAAGATTGTGGTAATTTGCTAAAACAGCAACAAAGATAATCACTAATCAACTCTGTAATACAGGTGATAACAGACCTGCCCCTCATATCTGTGAGGCTTAAGGCAAGATTAGAAATAGAGGGTCCTGGCCTGCAGCCCACTTGCCTTCTCTTTTTACTCCAGCTTTTTCTTACATCAAGAGGATCTTCATGTGCTTGTATGTGGAAATCCCAGGCCTCAAATTCACCCTTCCATCTAAGACATACCCTTCAGGCACCCTTCATACCTAAAGATGTACACATCAACAGCTGAGTCCATTCTCAAGGCGCCAGATCCATGGATAGGACCCTGCAAGTGGACTTGGAGCAGTCCAGGTGGATCACTCTGGGCATGATGCAGGGTCTGGAAGTTTGGCTATCCCCTATATGGGAATCCATATAGTTCTCACCTCCTTTCCCCGAAGAAGAACCAGAGAGAGGTTCTCTAAAGTAGCACTCTAAGTACATCTTTCGGTGATGATGGCAGTACTCTATATATGACCTGGCATTTGTAACTATGGAGCATGCCAAATGTGGCTAGTTGACTTCGGAATTGATTTTTTTTCATTGTATTGTATTTTAATTAATTAATTTAAATTTAAATATCCACATGTGGCTAGTGACTCCTATATTAGTTAGCACAGCTCTAAAACACAGGGTCCATGACAGGGTGTCCAGTTGACAAGGTTTTCAGGCGATACTGATGATGAGATACATGAAAAGAATGGGGAAAATGTTTTGAATGCAAATATAAAGAAGCTATTAATCCTCTAAGGAGAGAATCCATGGTCTTCTTAAAGGAAATTAGTATCTCAGTTAGAGTTTGATAGCAATTCTGCTCTCTTTCTCTTTCCTTCAGATATTTTGGCACATGCTCTCCTTCTTTCTGGGTAAATTTTTTTCTGGCCTCTTAGTGCTTGGTGCTAGCTTACAGCATCAGTTAGTCTTTGCTGTGTAACAAATCACCCCTAAACACTGCAGCTCAAAACAACAACCAGTGATTTTGCTTATGATGCCATTTGGCAGTTTGGGGTGGGCTCAGCAGATAGTTCTTCTGGTGGAGGAGATATTGATACCTATCTGGTGGAGGAGATATTGATCCCAGTCTTTGCTGGGATCAATCACGTGTCTCTAGTCTACTAGTGGGCTGGTTAAAATGATCTCAGCTAGGATAATTCATCTCTGTCCTACATGGTCTCTCATTCCCCAGCAGGCCACTTTGTTCATGTAGTGGTTGCAGATTCCCAGGAGAAAAAATGAAGGCTCCCAAGGCTTCTTGAAGCTTAGTCTCAAACTAAGATACTAAGGAACTTCAAAATTATATAATGAAGATAAAATACAGGAGGAAATAAAAAAAAGTGAATGTTTTAAAAAATCTACCTTTCACCTCTCATAGTTTTCCACTATCCTGTAGTTGAACCTATGTGCCTGTCTTAGTTCAGGCTGCTACAACAAAGAGTCATGGACTGTGTGTCTTAAAAACAACAGAAATTGATTTCTCACAGTTTTGGATGCTGAAAGTCTGAGATCACAGTGCCAGTATGGCCAGGTGCTAGTGACGGCCCCCTTCCAGGTAACAGACAGTTGTCTCCTCCTTGTATACACATGAGGCAGAAAAGAAGATGAGAGAGAAATCAGGTTTGGTTTTTCTTTTTTGGCACTAATCTCATTCATGAGGCTATACTCTCATGATCTAATCATCCCCCAAAGGCCCCACCTCCTAATCCTATCACATTGAGGCTTAGGTTTCAGCATGAATTTGGGGGGAATACAAACTTTCTGTCCATAATAGTGCCAAACACTAGACTTCTAATATTTGTCTTTCACTTAATTTTTGCCTAACTTCATAAAGAAGACACTTTAATAAATATTATCCCCAATTTAGAGATGTGAAAAGCAAGGACCAGAAACTTTTCAAGTTCACACAACACACGGCAGAACTGGGGTCAAGCCTACCGGTGTCTGATTGTAAATCAGAGTTTCTCAGCCTTGGCACTACTGGCATTTTAAACTAGATTATTCTTTGCTGTGGGGGGGCTGTCTTGTGCTACGTAGGATGTTTAGCAGCATCCCTGGCCTCTGCTCACCAGAACTCAGTAACAATCTTCCAGTTTGGACACCCAAAATATCTCCGGACATTGCCAAATGTCTCCAAGGAGTGGTGGGAGAGACCAGAAATAGCCCCTAACTGACCACTGTTCTAAACCATGGTTTTCACTCCACCCTCCAATAATGCCTCTCCTTGAGTGAGGGAGTGGAATCCTACTTACAGTCAGTGCTCAGTATATGCCTTCAGACTGAAGAGGAGGATTGAGGCAAAGCTGGGGCAGTAGGATTGAGGCAGAGCTGGGCCAGGGGTCAAAGCTGCTACCACCATTCCAGCAGGCTCCTCTCAGAGCTCTCTATTTAGCATTAAGCCTTTCCTTTTTCCAAATGCTCTCAACTTCTCATTATGAACTCAGCATCCTCTACCGGGTCACAGTTGGTGAGAACCAGCCAGTCCTCCCAGAATGTGAAACGATGGCCTCAGAGCAAGCTAAAGAGACAGCTCTAAGAAGTTGGAATGGCTTTACCCTCAGTGGCAGGGAGCTAAATATTTCATCTTCATAAAATAAACATAGATCATCTCATCATGAAATATACATAAAAATGTTTAAACATGTTAATTATTAAACCAATATTGATTCATATTGGATGAGGCATTAAGGGAAATTTAGATAATGTATTTAATATCTCCTCCACAGTTGACTAGTATCAGAATTCATCATATCTAACCACCAATAATCATAAAAGTGGCAGACAATATTTATGATCAGGGGTGAGTGAGTACCAGACAGGAAGCAATGAGGACGGAGGAAATATGAGGATCTAAAGGACAGAGCCTTTCAGTTGTCACAGCTCATCCTTGGAATTTCAGACATAAATCACTGGGTGCAGTCACATCATCAAAGTTTGATAAACCTTTCATATTGGGACAGTTATTGAATATCATTTGGACCTGGCTTCCTTCTCAAAAATGAAATGGCATGGCTGATGCAATGTAAAGAGAGAAAGAGAATTGGAGCAGAGCTTTGAAATCCTGGATTTGAATTCTATCTCACTGATTTTTACAGCCTTAGGTTCTATTTACTCGTCTGCAAAATGGGGTAATAATATTTGTGGGTGGCATTTTATTCTCATCGTTATATATGTTTTAATCTTACCTCACCAAATGGATCTCAAATCTCTAGGAGTAGAAGTTTTTGCCTTTTGTGTTTTTTTCTTCTGTGTCCTGATAACAATTTATTTCGTTATTTTAGTTATTAAAAGCCCTGCCGTGGAATTAGAAAAATCTGGATTTGAATTCTGAATCTTGAGCAAGTTTCTTTGTGCCTCAAGTTCCCCGTCCTTATAACAATTCACCTGCCTCATGGGTTCACTGTGATTATAACCTGACACAATGTGTGTAAAGTGTTAAGAATGTAGCATACAGGACATGGTAGGTACCTGGTGGCTGTTAGTATCCTCTTAGAGCAGTGACAGCGAACTAAGCTTATAATTATTCAATGAAATTTCAACAGGCTGTTTTTATCAGTAATTTATGAACTTTGAACACGGGATGTAATTTTAAATATCAGTCCCTGTGGATAACTGTGGAATCATGCAAACTAGCTTCTAGCCCAGACACTGCCTCTATTGGGGCCAAATCTTGAGAAGAAACTCGGCTTGTTGTGCCTCCAAGTTTAGTGTCCTTCCACCTCCCCCCAGGTTCTAGTGCTTGGAAGGAAGAATTTCTCTCTGATGTGAAGACATTCTTGGGAAGAGCTAGTTCGAGTCCCTTCTCTGCCATCGATTCAATCTCTGAGACTCAATTTCCTCATCTGTAAAAGAGAGATCAAAATATCTAACTCACTACTTCATTTTGAGTATAAAAGAAACTTAAAAAAAACACAGACACATTTTGCCAATTTAGATATATTAGCTATTATATTTTCCAAATTTTGAGATATACTTTTTTATTTAACATTTCTGAAATTGGAATATCTTACAATTGACATGTACATTAATGTAGTGCTTCTCTCTTTTTCTCAAGGAGCTCTTATTAAATCAGTAGCATGTCTTATCATTGGAAATGTCTTTAAATCAAGACAGAATGATATTATTATCCATCTCACCATAATTGTATAGACCCTCCTAAGAAACAGCAGTGCTTCCCCCTAGATCAACTATTCTGGGGTCAGGTAGTTGCTAGTAAGTGAAAAAAGTCAGTGAGACCTAGATGTATTCTCTTATTTTCTTCTGCAATAAAGTATATTGACTTACTGTGGGGGTATTCCTCAGCTAAGATGTGGGGAAAATGTCAGACACATGGATATTTCCCAAGAACATATTCCTGAGATGCATTTTTGCATCCAGGAAAAGTTGATGAGAAATGGTTTGTGTATCAGGACCCATCAAACTCTGAGACTGAAAACCTCTCCAGCAGTATTTCTTGGCTACCAGATGTTATACAGCTGCATTGCAAATTGTTATCTGAGCTCAAAAGGGAAGAAAAGAGAGGACTGTTGAAGCCGTGAAGGGACATGACACAGTAAATCGTGCATTTAATTTCAACTTAATGTGAGAGATAGCATGCATTAGATAAATATTGTCTGATCATTAAAAACATATTTATGGAAGTTTAGCAACTTTGTTGGGGATGTGTGACTAATAATACAGAATTGTGAGGCCTCGGAAACATATTTGTCTTAATCGATTGGTGTTTAGTTTGGATTATTGACTGTTAAATCAAAATAAAAGTTTTCAGTTGAGGTTTTGCATTTCATTCATGACAGATTTGTCTTCATCCACATACTCATATTGGATACCAAGTTTGCCCATAAAAAAGCCCACTCTAACAGAATCATAGAATTTCTCTGTTGGAAAAGTTCTTAGAAATCCAATCTCCTTCCAGCTTTTTTCCGTGTAAGTGCATTTTATCTGCTTTGAATTACAACTATATTTTCTGAATAGATGTAGTGTTACTATTTTGAGGAAAATGTTGAAAAGAAAACAGATCATCTGTATTCCTTTCACTATACCATTCCCTTCCATTTCATTTTCTGTATATCTCTGTAGGTTTTGTACATAGTGATAATTGTGGTATATGGGTAAGTTATTTCTAAACCTTCTTCTTCATTGTTACTACATAGTTTTCATGATTGCTAGGTTTAATAACATAATACTAGAATAACCTAATACTAGAAAATGGCTGTGCTGGCTGGGCATGGTGGCTCATGCCTGTAATCCCAGCATGTTGGGAGGCTGAGGTGAGCAAATCACTTGAGGTCAGGAGTTCGAGACCAGCCTTGCCAACATGGCGAAACCCTGTCTCTACTAAAAATACAAAGAATAGCCAGGTGTGGTGGTGTACATCTGCAGCTCAGCTACTTGGGAGGCTGAGGCACGAGAATCCCTTGAACCTGAGATGGAAGGCAGAGGCTGCAGTGAGCTGAGATTGTGCCACCACACTCCAGCCTGGGTGACAGAGCAAGACCCTGTCTCAAGAAAAGGAAAGGAAAGGAAAGGAAAAGGAAAGGAAAGGAAAGGAAAGGAAAGGAAAGGAAAGGAAAGGAAAGGAAAGGAATGGAAAGGAAAGGGAGGGGAGGGGAGGGGAGGGGAGGGGAGAGGGGGAGGGGGAGGGGGAAGGGGGAGGGGAAGGGAAGGACTGTGCTATGACATACTGAACTATTTTCTTTCTGCTATTGAGACTTTTAAGTTGTGTCTGGTGGAGGCAGACTGCCTAAGTTATAATCTTGTTTCTACCCACTTATCAGCAATATGACCTTGGATAAGTACCTTAATGTTTCTGTATCTCAACTTCCTTATTGGTAAGACGGGGATAATATTAGTATCACTGCATAGAGTAGTTGTGAAGATTAACCCGTGTTAAGCATTTGAAACTGACACACAATGGACACCTGGTAAGTGTTAGTTATTATGTTGATAAATAAGTCAGCTGTAATTATTATGGATATTCTTCCCTAAAATGTTGAAACATGTTTTTCTTAAAGATGATACCCAAGCCATTTTCATAAAATTTCATAGAAATTGTGACTTAGACCCTTTTTGAACATTTCCAAAGTCAAATAATCAATTACCTACCTAGACAGGTTATTTTACTATGGGATGGCTTTAATCATTGGGAGTCTTTTCATGTTTAATCTAAATGAAGCTTCCAGTGAATCCCATGCAATAACTAGGTTCTATGCCTGTAATCATGCAAATTTTTTCAATACATTGAATCTCAAAGCATGTTCCCCAGGACGCTAGTCATCCCCAAATTCAAGCCATTCAAGTTGCATTGATTCCACCTTTAAAATGTTTTGAAACCATTCTCTCTTTTCTATTTTCATCACCACCACCCAGGTTAAGCCCTCATCCCTCCAGCCCTGGTTACAACAAGAGCCTCCTAGTTGGCTTCTACATCTGCCTTTGGCACATAGCCACCAGACTGGTCTGATACAAAAGCTAATATGATCACACAGTGTGTCCGTGAATGGCCCAGGCTACCTCTAGTGACCATGTTCCTACCTCTGCAAGTAGAGAACTATGGTCTTAAGGACGTTGGCTTTGATTTTAGAAGAAAAAAAACTAAAAAAGCACGTGAAATACTCTACAGTTTGCACAAAACCATGAAGATAAATCTTTCAATTATGCAATTAGAGACTAGGATGCCGAAAGAGATGTTAAATAGATCCTTTCAAGGTAAAGTGTTACATGATTAAAGTTATATTATTTTTCCCAAAAAGGCAAACACAGGGAGCACCAACATGGCAAAAAAAAAAAAAAAAAAGCATACAATGATGTGGGGGTTTATAAATAACTTCAGGAAAGAATTTGCTGCAATAATTTTATTTGTATATTTATGTGTGTGTGTATATATGTTTGCATATGTGCATATATATGTGTATTTGTGTGTATATGTTTTCCCCTTTTTAGGTGCTCTTATTTATACTTATAAAAATAGTATACACTCATGTTTAATTGATGAAAATGTTTTCAAATGTCCTGTCCTTATGTCCTGCCAGTCTCTAGAGTAGGAAAGCAATATTGTTGTTCTAGGATAACAAATAAGAGGCTCAGAGAAGAGAAGCTTGCCTATATAAGTTAAATGGGGAGATCAAGACTAGACTCTGAAAACACAGAGGCAGAGAGAAATAGGGCAATAAGGTCAGATTCCAAAGTCAGAGAGATCTGGGTCTGTATCATACATATGCAAAACCATAGGCCTCAGACAAAGCTCTTTAACCCTTCTGACTAGTTTCCTCATCTGTACAATTAGAGCTCAATGCCTGCTTTTTAGGACACTTGTAAAGATTAAATCAGATAATGTCTGTGAGGCACTTGGCCCAGAATCTAGCATCTACTGGCTGGCTCAGTACGTGAGCTTTTTCCTTCCCACCATCCTGGCCCCTTTCTCTTTTTCTTCTGGCTCCACTTTCCAAAACAACTCAACTGAGATGATGTAATGCTTCAATTGCCTGACCCAGGCCTGCTGTGGGATCGTGGCCACTGGCCTTGCTTGATAAAAGCACTACATAAATATGCCTCCTGGAAATGCTGACATGACCCCAGTTACCGTCAGGTGACACCTTTGGAGGAAAAGAAATGGATGTTTTGGTCCCAGCCTGTAACTCTAGAGAGAACTGGCCATCGGCCCAGCTTCATAGTTGGGCATCTCTGGACTCACAGGTGTTAGTTAAACCCAAGGTACATTACATCCCATCCACAGATTAAAGCTCGTTCTGGATGGATATGCCCTTTAGTCCACCTGTAGTTCTTTCCATCTCACCCCTCTTCGTATGTTGGGCATGTTCAGAGATATGTGGAAAGAGCAGGGTTTGGAAAGAAGATATTCAAGTTCAAGTCCTGCTTTGCAACTTGCTGGTTCAGTGACCAAAGACAAATTAACCCAAAGGCAAATTCAACCTCAGTTTATCCAGAAAGGAAGAATGATGATTGCTTGTGTCAGGGGTTTAAGCCAGGATCAGCCTCCTTTGGAAAAGATGATAAGTATGCTGTTCTCCCTCTCATGTGGCTTTTCCTGGAGGGTATCCAAGTTAGCTTGACTCTGTGAATGTCCAGGTTCTCAAACTTCCCTGGGCAGGGACAGGAGAACACTGTCCTCCAGATCTCCGACTCTCACTTCATCACTGGACCAGAGAGGACTTGCAGGACCCCTAACTTTGGATTCTATCTGCCTGGTCAGGCTCAGACACAGAAATAAAGACAGGGCCTCAGTATCTGCCTGCCCCCTTCTTAGACTGGGGCAGAGGCAGGAACCGAGCTGCATAGACATGAGGAAACCATAATCAAGACCCTGGAGCGTTTAAGGTGCCACTTGGCAGAACACATCCTGTCTTTAGCATGCCAGCAGTAATAAGCAGGAAAGAAGTACTAGGCTCAACCAGTGTCATTCACTGTGGATGGGGAGCAGTGTGGGATGCAGCAGAGGAAGAATGGCAGTGGTTGAGAGCACTGGCTTTGGAGTCAGCCTGTGAGATTTGAATTTTGACTTCCTCATGTCTCAAAGAGGTGATCTTGGGTGAGCTGTTTTACCTTTTTTATCCTAATTTATCTTCTGTCAAATAAGATTAAAAATACACCTACCTGTTATGTTTAATAAGATCACAATCACGTGTTAATACATATCAAGGCTTAGCAACTCTTGAATCAAAGGAAGCTCTGCATGAGTATTATTTGTTATAACTAAGAGCTATGCCTACTGGGTACCAGTTTCCAGGCTAAGCCTTTTACCTGCATTGTCCCCTTTAATCCTCAGGACAACTCCACAAATTTAGTTATCATCAGCCCATTTTACAGATGAGAAAGTGGGGGATAAGATAAGAGTTGTTGTGTCACCTGCCCAATGTCATGCAAGCCAGCTTCACCCTGGTCTGACTCCAAAGCCTTGACTCTGAACCCCTGAACCCATATGCAGTGGGAACTTATATTTTCATCTATAGAATGATAACAGTAAACATCTATTGATATGTTAAGTATCTCTAAATATATGCATGTATTTAATCTTCATAGCAACTTTTTGGGGTAGGTGGCTTTATCATCACAATTTTTCATATGAGGAAACTGAGGGTATTAACAAAAGTAATCTTGAAGGTTTCTTCTCAATCTATAATTTATTTAATTAAATTCAATGTTTTCCGAGTGTGTTCAGTGGAACACTGATTTTGAAAGTTTCTCTGTAAAATAAAGGCTTCCTGTTGCAAACACATTTTGGAAACACTGCCCAGGGAAGCCCCTCTTTGAGCTACACAATGCACATTTACATATCAAAGGGACAGAGAAGCCCGGTAGGGAGAAAACCTGTTAAACTTTGTTTAACCCAGTGTTTTCCAAATGGATTTGACCAGAGAGACCCACCACCCCTTCTCTCCTGCCTCACACACCTGCACAACATCTGTCAACATGCTGCAAAGCCTTTTGGCAAAGTTCATTCTAATTCAACTCAACTTACAATCATTGAAGGTCAGGTCTGTACCCATCCCTATAGCTGCTGGACTTTCAGGGCTTGCAAGAGAAGTTGTTCTGCCTTTCTGCAAGTTTATAATCTTGGTAGAAAAGAAAAGTGCACAATAAATATTTAGAAAATACCCCAAATCATTAATTTAGATGTTTGATGCAAAAGATGCCTCCTCTGGAGACAGGAAAGTGGTGGGGGAGAATAGGAATAGCCTGGATGAAGGAAGAATTTAAGCTGAACCCCATGCAGAATGAGTACCTCAGCCTGATCTGCAAAAACAAGGCAATTGGGCTATTGAGAAATCTCCTAGTATCAAATAAACACTTATTTATCAGTGATGGGGAAATCCCATTCCTAGGACTAGGTCTTGCAATAATTTCAATAACATGGGTTGCATATAGTTATTATTAGCATTATTATTATTATTGAATTAGATGATTAAATGGTTATAAAACCTAAATATCTCTGAGCAAATCCTGTGTTTGATTTGATTCATCTGTTTCTAGTACCACCGCAAACTCTATGACTCCTGCAGTGTTCTTATCCATTCCTGTTGCTTTTATCACCCACTGCTTAAACAAAATAAACTGCCTCTCACAAAGAAGCGATGTGGATCACCCAATTCAGCAGCTTCCTCTCTTTTCTTTCTAATGTTCTTACTCTTCATCTCTATTACTTCTGAATTGCACTAATTAATGCCTAACACATTTGATTTTCTTTTTGAAAAAATCCAAGAGATTAATAACTGTATTTGGTTAGGTGACCTGGAGAAGAAAGGGTGTACCAGGCAGTGGGAACAGTAGAAGCAAATGCTAGGAGGTGGGGAATGGGCACATGCACAATGGGCTTCAGAAGGCCAGACTGAAGTGGTGGGTGTGTCTTGCCTCTGCAGCTTGGGATCACCACTTGGCTTTGATGAGCTGCTGAGTTCATAGCAACATCTCAATCCCTTTTGCTGCTTCCATACCATTACTCTCCTCTCTGCCAAGAGATCCCAATGCAGCCAATTTTCTGGACCTGTGTTCATCTCCCTGACTCCTGTGGGTTCTGGCGTCAGAGTCAGTCTCCATGATGGAGCTCCTGCCACATCCTGTCACATCTTTTCCTTCTTAAGTGTATTGATTCAAATATTCTTTAGAATTTTGGGGCAAAGTGGCTAAAACTTTGAATGAAGTTGCTTGGCTTAGAAGCCATACATGTTTATATAGCATGTCTAACATACACTAGTTATTGAGTGCTAAATAGGCACTCTGCTGAATACTAGAGGTATGAAATGAGGGTTTCTGGCTTTAAGAATCAACAATTAGGCTGGGCGTGGTGGCTCACGCCTGTAATCCCAGCACTTTGGGAGGCTGAGGCAGATGGATCACTGGAGGTCAGAAGTTCGAGAACAGCCTGGCCAACGTGGTGAAACCCCATCTCTACTAAAAATACAAAAATTAGCTGGGCATAGTGACGGGTGCCTGTAATCCCAGCTACTCAGGAGGCTAAAGCAAGAGAATCGCTTGAACCTGGGAGGCGGAGGTTGCAGTGAGCTGAAATCATGCCATTGCACTCCAGCCTGGGCAACAAGAGTGAAACTCCGTGTCAGAAAAAAAAAAAAAAAAAAGAATCAACAATTAGATAGGAAATTAGCTCATGTTTATGGCATGATTTGATACATAACAGTCATGCATATAATGTGAGATAGGAAGACACCAAAGGGAAGGATCCTATCAGGGTTTGATGCAGAAATTTATGCAGGAGGTCACATTTGATTTGACCTCAAAGGATGAAGAGTCAGTGAGAATGGGAAGAAAATATACACAGAAAACCCAAAGCACATCCTTGTATAGGGGATAGAGAGTGGAGCATACTGATTAATACACAGGCCCTGCAGCTAACTTTCTGCATTCAAAACCCTCCTCTGCTATTTACCAGCTGTGTAATCTATAACTGGGGATGTCCAAACTCATGATTCTCGGGAGCTGCAGTTTTTTAATCTGTAAGATGGGGAAAATAATAATATCAACCTCATCATGTTGCCACAGAGAATAAAAATGAGTACACACACATAAAGCAGTTAGAAGAATATCTGGCACATACGTTTTGAATACATGTTAGCCAGTATCATTAAATTTAAGAATTTAATAACAACTCTGACTATGTGCCAGGCACAGTTCTAGGGGCTGGAGATACCACAATGAACAAGACCCGCAAGGCCACTGATCTTTCGGAATATGTGTTCTATTGGGGAAATATAGAAAATGAAGAAAATGTTTAAAGGTGATTTCAGATGATGTTGAGTAATTCGTGCTGTGATGGAGTGGTTGTTTAGTGTGGTCTGGAACTGTCTTCCTGTAGAGGTGATATTTGAGCTAAGACTCCAACATTGAGAAGGATTAGCCATTTGAAGATCTAGATACAGAAATTTCTAGGAAGAGAGACAGCAAGGGCAAAGGCCTTGGGTGAGAACAGTCCTTCCAGGTAGAGGAATGAAAAAGAGGCCAGGCTGGTTGAGGTGGAGTGGTTGGGGGTAGGGAGACTGGTCAGAGATTAGATCAAAGAGGTAGATAAGAGCCCATGAGGTAGGCCCTGCAGTGTAGAGTAAGGGATTTGGCATTTATTAGACATCACACAGTCAGCTAGTTGCCGAGTTGAAAGAGAAATGACAATGACGTGAACAGAAGGCTTGGCTATTTCTGAGTTTAAAAATTTACTAGACCTGAGGAGGGAATGTATTTTCCTTATTATTTTTTCGGCCACTTTGGACCAGAAGGAATTATCTCTTTTGCTTTCCAAAATGGGCCCTTTTCACTAATTAAAGTGAGAATATTAGTAACCAGTGAGCTCAATTTAGCCCTTATTTTGTACTCTGGACAGGAGAGAAAAATAGAAATTATAACTGAAACATAATCATGGCCTTCATTGCTCTGTAGCAGTGGCAGCTCTCTCATTGATTTAGCCAACTGTGGTGTAGGGGAAAGACCTGGATTTGGAAGATGTTTCTTTCATTCATCAGCCAGGGGCCTGGCTAACAACTGATCCCACACTTCAAGGAGTGACTGGAGATGGCTTCATGGAGGAGCTACTGACAAAGGTGTGGAGAGGCTTAGGGAGCCACCAAGAGATGATAAAGCGACTTGAGGATAAAGACAAAGGGATCTTGTTACCATTTCAGGCCTGATGGGACAAGGTAGAGAGTGATTGCAGGGACCCTGAAAGAGCCATCTTTGTAGGAAAGGGCCCTTTAACAGAGCTGTGGCTTTAACAGAATGATGAAGCTTCTGCAGAAATGCAGATCAACAAGGAGAGAACAGGGGTGGGGGAAATGAATACCTGGACCTCTGTCTCTTCTCGTTTTGATCTTCTGCCAGTCTTTCACTGCTGAACCTACAAAATGCTAGGAAACAATTTATCTGTGGTAGGTAGACTACTAGCTCCTCAAAGGTATCTACATCCTAATCTCCAGAATTTATGAATACATTGCTTTAAATGGCGAAAGGGAACTTGGGCAGAACATGGAATTCAGGTTGCCGATCAGCTTAATATAGGGAGATTATCATATTATCTGAGAGGCCCCCATGTAATCTGAAGTGCCCATACAAAGCAAGAAGGAGGCAGAAGAAAACTAAGGATGGCCACATGAGAAGGACTTCCCCTGACACTGTAGGCTTGGAAGGGGGCCACAAACCAAGGAATGGAAGTGGCCTCTAGAAACTAGAAGCGAAGAAACAGATTTTCCCCTAGAGCCTCCAGAAGGAACAAAGCCCTACCAACATCTTGATTTCAGCCTACTAAGACTCATATCAAAATTCTGGCCTCCATAACTGTAAGAGAATACACTTTTGTTGGTTTTAGCTGCCAGATTTGCACTTTGTTATGGCAGCTACAGAAAACTAATACAAAAGCCCAGCTAACACATGCCATAAAAGGACAGAGTAGAGTGGAGAAGAGTAGAAAAGATATCTTTGGTACAATGAAGAATATTTACCTGAGTTCAAGTCTTGGGTCTATCCTTATTCTATGGCTTTGGTCAAGCCACTTTGCCTGCTGGGCCTTAGTTTCTTCACCTGTCAAATGAGGGCCATCCAGCTACTTCAGTGAATCACTGTGGGGATTAAATGGCAGACTGGATGTGAAAGTGTTTTATAAACTAGCATTTGCATAGAAGTAAGGCATCTGAGACATCTGCAATATAATGACCACAGGATAAATGATTCAATGAAAAATCCGCACTTAGACATTCTGAGTTCAAAGACTTACCTCTTGCCTACATGCTTTGCCCATTATGACTTTTTTCAATGTGAAAAATTAGGACATGTCTCTAAAGCATACTTCCCCATAGGGCCCAGAGCCAACCTGGCTGAGCTATAAATCTTTTCTTTCAATGTAAAGATTTATGGTTCTTGTTGGAAAAGATAGGTTGCAACATGCATATACATAGTCATGCATCCAGACACATCTTGGATGTTCTAGAAAATGAGACTGCCCATGAGAGACATAAATAGGAAGTTCATGACTTTTTAATCACACATCCCACTAGCAAATCTATCAGCCTCGTGCACATATAGACACTACACATCTTCATATTAATTAATACACGTCTCATAATGGACACTCAAATAATTGAGCTTTCCAGCTCTCCATGAAGCACATGCATGATAAAACTATACTCACATATATACCCCACACCTTCCTTACCTCCACTGGACTCACAATGAGTTTTGAGGTGAAATAAATGCTTAACACTGGGAGAAAATGTGTCTCCTGGATGACAGTCATGAGGAAAAGTCAAATTACTTTTCATGACTTTCAAAATGGCTTGAAGAAGACAAGTTGGTTTATGTATTAAATTTATCTGGAATTTACATTTTGATTGGGCAACAGTCTGGGCAAATTCCACAGTAACCTATCGATCTGACAGAGACATCTGACAGCTCCGAACAATTGCTGAAATGGCTTTTAAAACCCAGCTGGCCAGTGAGAGCTGGGGACATTTTCCCAGAGAGCCATCTCTCATTCATCTTCTAACAGTTCTCACCTCCCCCACCAGCCTTGGGGTGGCTTTCAATAAAGCCAATGGGGACATATTTCTAGAGATATGAAATAAAAAAATCCTCCTGGAGCCTGCCTTCATTGCTTCTCCTGCCTTTGGCTACCCATTTGTCTCCTTTGATCACAATTTCAGGGCTCTTTTCCTGCGTACTAAATTCACAGTCAGTTCAGAGGCTTCTTGCTTGATAATGATGAAGACAGTAACTAAGTGTGTCTCTAGGTTATTACCTCTGGCATCTTTCTAAAATGCTTCCCCTTCTCTGTGACCCCGGTCCAGATACTGAGCCAGCATTCATCCCTATTCTACTCCTGTCCAACACACAATGTCAACTATGATTTTTAAAAAATTATTCCAAACCAGCATGATTTCTTTTATCCTGTGTCTGCACCTATCACTTCACACTTATCATCTGTCTTAGATTACTGTGGTTTAACTCCATGGAAATAAGTATCTACTATGTTCAGGGTATTGCTAAAAGGAATGCAGAGATAAAGACAAGTTTGCAACAGGCCTTCTAAAATATTATAATTTAAAAGAATGGTCGTTCTCAAAGTGTGGTACTCAGGCCAGCATCTTCAGCATCATCTGAGATCTTGTTAGAGGTGCAAATTTTTGAGCCCTTCCCCCCTGCTACTGAATCAGAAACTCTGGATGTCTTTTAACAAAATTTCCAGGCGAGTCTAATGCAAGTGAAAGTTTGAAAACCATATTTTAAAGTATCTGAGACATACACACAAGCTGATATTGATTTCTACAGAAAATGTGACAACAGAGTGCTAACGGAGATTCAGAGGAAGGCTTGATGAACCCTCTCAGCCAAGGTAGGGAGAATTTGGAGGACAACAGGAAGACTTCAAGGAGGAAAGGTCACTGTGCTAAGCTTTGAAGGATGATCTAGAGGACATTCCGAGACTCAGGACACAGGGAAGCAAAGGAATAATGCCAGCATGGCAAATGTCTACCACTCATACTGCCCTTTTCCATTACCTAAGCATGGCAGACATTACTAATAGATCATGGCAATTTTTTTTTTCTGTTAAACATTGTGGGAGCCTCAGGATCTTTTAAAACACACTTCCCCTGGTAGCCTGTAGCAATCAGTTTGAGTTGGCAGAAATCAGCCTATTTCCTGTTTCTGGAGCTGAGTCAGGAATGCTCTGACCTTCCAGTGGGGAAGACTTAGGAGAATAAGATTTAGGGGGTGCTAGATTACATAGGCTTGAATAGGGCCTTAAATGGCAAATAGGAGTTTGGACTTGTGTCCACAGGCAGTAAAGAAGCTCTTAAGGATTTGATTCGGAAAGTGATGTGATCAAGGCTATTTTATAATTAAATGTTTTGTCTTACTTCCTTTAGATAGGAGTTTCCAAACTTGGCTGTCCATTAGAATCACCTGGGGAGCTTTTAAAATTTCTGATAGCGAGACCACACCCTTAACTAAATTAATCGTAATTTCTAGGAAATGTGATCTGAGCATCAGTATTTTTTAAAGCTTCCCTGGTGATTACACAGGGAGGCAAATTTGAGACACAGTCATTTATATTATAAATTTATTGAAGTGAAGATTCTTTGTTATCCCTCCGTTCCCATATCCTGTGTCATCAAGCACAATGTCTTACATAGGGAAACAGAATGTCTTACGTGGGGATTGTTAGTGAATTAAGGCAGCATATAATTGGGCCGATGAGTTTCTCAGTTACCTTTTATGTAAAATCGCCTTCCCTTCTCAGATGGGAAGGTTTCAAAAAAGGCACAAGCCAAATGTCTTGAAATCATAGCAGCATTTTTATCCTAAATTTAGTAGTTTGGTGTTCTGTTGAAAGAACTAGTGATCCCAGAGTTTACCAGAGTTGGATAAACAGTGATTTTATTCTTTTTGTCCCTGTTAGAATGGCTTGTGGAGAGCGAGAAATACAGAGGAATTGGAGAAAGGGTCAGACAAAGTATTGCACATTAAAATGTGGATGGGATTACATGAATGAATAGGTTGGAAATCTGGGAGGAGAGTAGTAAACTGGGAGATCAATGTTATTTCCTGAGTCTGGTTTTGCTTTGTTCCTCCCACATCTCAAATTTATCCCCAAATCTCATGGCTTACTGGGTAATTACTCATTTCTCCCTTTGCGTAAACTACCAGTTTTTTTTTTTTTTTTTTGGATATTTTTCTCCCCAGTTAGAAAATAATTTATCATTATCTTTGCATCTTTCATAGTAGTGTTTAATTCTCTAAATTTGTATTCTTGTTAGAGAAGTTGGTGCTGCTCAGAATGCCCTTCCACACACTCTTCCCCCACAAAACCAGCTTTTGCAAGCTCCAGTTTAAATGTTTCCTTCCTGACTTCTCAAGACAGATGTGTTTCTCTCAAAGCAATGACCTCTGTCAAAGCACTTATTCCATTATAGGAAAATGATTTTCCTATTTCTCCCTTATTTGTCCCTTATGATAAATCTAATATGTATATATTCTCTTACACAGAGAATTTCTGTATTTAAAAATGCAAAAAGTGCTTTGAAAATCCTTTATAATTTTGTCTTCCAGGCAAAAATCACTCATAATGGTTTAACATTTGAGCAAGTTTTGTTGCTGTGTTAACTTAGTTGAGGTCGTAACTTGTATGGAGGAATATTCATAATTTTGGAAATACAGTATTGATGTAGACTTTTTTAAAATTAAGAATCCTTCAAGACCATATAGCATATAATTCCATTGGTATGAAATATCCAGAATGGCAACTCTGTAGAAACAAAAAACCAATCAGTAGGTTGAGGGTGCAAGAGGGATTAACTGCAAAAATCCACAAGAAAATATTTCGGGTGATATAAATAGGATAAAAATAGATTGTGTTGGTGGTAGCCCAACTCTATAAATTTACTAAAAAAAATGAATTTCATACTTATAATAGGTAGATTTTATGTTACAAAAATTATACCTCAATAAAGCTATTATAATAATAAAAAACCTCCCCAAATCTAATTTACAATGAGTACTCTAATTTCCATCATATAAATGTACTACCATTTTAATTAATCAATACTCTTATTTGAGTATGTTTTTGGTTCTGATTAGGCTATTATTAAAACATGTGCACATGTGGTGCACAAACAAATGTCTGCAATGTATATATATGAGTATTTTGTCTATGTTACAAATTATTTTTGCACCTTTTTTTTTTTTTTTTTTGAAATGGAGTCTTGCTCTGTCACCCAGGCTGGAGTGCAGTGGCGTGATGCAATCTCGGCTCACTGAAACCCCTGCTTCCTGGATTCAAACAATTCTCCTACCTCAGCCTCCTGAGTAGCTGGGATTACAGGTGTGTGCCACCATGCCCAGCTAATTTTTGTGTTTTTATTAGAGATGGGGTTTCGCTATGTTGGCCAGGCCAGTCTCGAACTCCTGGCCTTAGGTGATCCGCCCACCTCAGCCTCCCAAAGTGCTGGGATTACAGGCCTGAGTCACCATGCTCGGCCTCTTTGCATCTTATAAATAGCTTTAAAATATTTGAATGTATTTATCTTCAGATGCAATTGTTCAGCTGCTATTTCAAGTGATGCAGAAATTTATATTCCCAGCAGCAGAGAAGTGTGCTTATCTCACAGATCCCTGTTTGGAGATTTTTTTTTTTTCTAGTTTTGCTAATTTGAGAGGTGAGGATAATAACTCATTGTTTTAATTTGCGTTTATTTAATTGCTAGCGAGGTTGCCTTTTTAAAACATATGCTTATTCAGCATTTGTATTTCCTCTTTTGTGAATGCCTCTTCATGGCATTTTATAGCCTGTTTATCAGTTAGAATCTGAATGCATTGCATAAATTTTCTTTATATGTTAAGAATAACTCTTATTCTGTTACATTTGTTTAAAAATTTTCCAGTTTTCCCCCATAGTATTTCAATTTTACCTTTGATGTTTAGGTAAAGCTACTTTATATTTTCATATAGTAGCATCTAATCTTTCTTTTTATATAATTTCTTACTTTTTAAAATTAAAATTACCCTCTTTCCAATTACCCCTCAATATAATCAATTATCAATATTCCTTCTTGCTTTTAAATATTACATTTAATTCTTTTATAAATCTGTAATTCTTTCAAGTAGACAGTATTGGGGAATGTTTCCCTGCAACCCAAGGCTTCATCTTTGGGTAAAAGGGCTCATAACCATGTATTAAAAATAATATTTCTAGCCTGGGCAACATGACAAAACCCTGTCTCTAGAAAAAATACAAAAATTAGCCAGACATGGTGATGGGTGCCTGTACTTTCAGCTACTCAGGAGACTGAGGTGGGAGGATTGCTTGAGGCCAGGAGGCGGAGGTTGCAGTGAGCCAAGATCACACTATTGCACTCCAGCCTGTGCAACACAGCAAGACTCCGTCTCAAAAAAATAAATAAATAAAACAATCTAATAATATTTCTTCAATAGATTTGTGATATTATCTCAATGTTGTATTAAATTTCTATTCTTATACCAAAAACATAATGTTATTTTAAAATTATTTACGCTGTATAATATATGAGAGTACATCTTTCTAATAATTATTTTTATAACTGACAGCTATTTTTACCTATTATTATTGTGGATGAATTTCAGAATTACCTCATTAAGTTTTTTAAAAGTCCTGTTAAGATGGTTGGAAAATCTGATACATCTGTAAGTTAATTTAGAAGAAACTACTCTCCTTTCATAATTGGGCCTTCTGCCCAGGAACACTGTTTATCTTCCCATTTAGCCAAGTATTTTTTATATTTCACTGTAAGGTTTTGTGGTTTTCTTCATAAGCATCTTACATATTTCTTGTTAAAGCTATTCATAGGCATTTTATGTTTTCTGTTGCTATTGTGAATAAGATATTTTAAAATCATACTTCCCAACTAGTTATTGCCAGTGAAGAAAAATGCTATTATTTTGGTGTATTTATCCTGTAACCAGTCTCTTTTCTGTACTCTCTTATTAGTTTTAATAGTTGTTCAGTTGATTCTCTTGAGTGTTCTAGATATCAACATATATATTTTTATAAAGAATGATAATTTTGTCTTCTCATTTTCAGCAATTATCATTCAAGCAAAGCCATCTTTATTGCAAAGAATGGAGACCTCTGTAATATAGCACAGGAATAATGAATGCATCTGGTCTGTGTGGCAGAGGGGCTGTGACTGAAAGCACACCATCAGGCAATGCTGTAGAAGCGGGAATCTGATACAACCTGGTTTAATGAGAACTGGAGGTAGGAAGCCGCTAGAAACCAAAGCCACTCTCTCTGGCTTTTAGAAGCTATATGATACTCTATGATATTTTGTTTCCCTCCATTTCTTGTGTCTCTAATCTCTCCTTGTCTCCATCCTCTTTTTCTTAGAAGAATTTTTCTTCTGCCAAGTGGCTGCTAAACATATACCTGTCCTCTTAGTGCTAACATCTAACATACACCCACTATCTTCTCTCTGGTTTTATGTCTAACTGCTCAAGAGAGAGACTGATCATTACTGCCAGGCGATGGATTGGCTGACCTTGGTTCAGGCCTCCACATCTTGTCTGTTCAGCATTGCCAAGATTGGGGCTGGTTTACGTGATGGAAACACAGCCTGTAAAGTCTTTCTCTTCAGGTCTATTGCTGCTGTTTTTGGCAACTTTTGATGGTTTCATACCATGAATGAAATAGCTGTTCCACTCCTTCTCTATTCTTGGAGGAGTTTATAAAGTATAAGAATTATCTTTTCCTTTAAAGTTGGAAAGACATTACCTAGAAGAAAAAAAATTGTTTGAAACCAGCAGTTTTCAGGGAAGAAATTCTTTGGTGACTCTTTCAATTTCTCCCATAATTATTGTTCCAATCAGGTCATGAGTATTTCTCTATTTCTTTCCTAGATCATGATCTCCTGGACAGCCAGAACTATGTTTTATTTATCTGTTTGTGGCCAGTTTCCAGCCCTGGGCCTGGCCTTGAGCAAGCCCTTGAGTTGAAATGATTTAAATCAGAGATGGCACAGATAATAAAAACAGGAATGGATATGGAGATAGAGGATGAGAATTTGGGTATTAACTTGGTTATTTACTAATTGGAGGGATTGAGGTAAGTTGCTTCATTCTGAGTCTCACTTCTCAAATTTGTACAGTGATGAAGTTTGGGATTGGAGTATATGTGGAGAGGAACCTCCAAAACCTTTACCGTGCTTCAACATTCTAACTTAAGCTTAAACGAAAAATTGAATTTTTACCTGGAAAGAAAAAAAATACTGTTCAGAATCCTGTGTTAATAGTTGTTGGTATTAATAAACAAGTAAATAAAGTAAATACATGCATTAGGTTTTATTTACCCTCCTACAGTGGAAGATAATCATTTGTTAGTTCAAGCCCTGAGGCATTACCTTCGTGACAGCTGGTGAGGTACGTGTGTAAAATTGAAACATTTTTATGAAAAATCCTAACAAAGCATTGCTGTGTGTGCCTATTATTTTAATGTGAACTAACAGCCTTATTCGAGCAATTTGTCACATTTGAAAATATAAACTGGACCCCTTATTCATGCATTTTCTGAAGATGCTGCTTTGGTGCTGACATTTGTTGGTGCCCTTGGTCATAGGAGTGTGTGTGGACCCATTCATATTCTCTTCTGATTTAGATCAGTGGGCAAGAAGGTCTTACACACAGTTACAGATCTTTCATATGCCCTTTGTGTTCTCAATTATGTAGGGGATTTTGACTGGCTAGCTGCAATCAGTCTGTGAGAAAGATGAAAGAAAATGACCATGACCATCACACACTGGAGTAATTGGGTGTCTTCCCTGCCTCCTGGTGATGACCAAGGACGGTTCCCATCAAAAACACCTAAATTCAAAGAAGTCAGCAGTCTGCTGAATGGAGTCCCGGGATCAGGTTACATCAAACTCCAGCTTCCAACGTACATTTCAAATATGAAACATAAACACCGATTGCAAATCTGAAGACATTTTCATTTAGCCCTAGGCCAGGATTTTTAATTTAAAAAAAATAAACCTGTCAAGGTCTGCAGGAAAGGCTCTTAGATATTCTGGCCAATGGTTTATTTAAAAATCCAATAATGCAATTTCCTTAGCAGCAGGAGGCAAGAGACCTTCTCTAAGCTGAATGTCCCATAACTGGATGGTAGCCAGATTCCCAGTACGTGAAACAGAAGTCCATGAAACAGAAACACATTCCCAGTACATTAAACCCCTTTATAAAAGGGGTGCTACCTTGAAGGCCCAGGACAGGATATTCTGAATGCCATTTCTCCCCAGAATAACTATGTATATTGGGAGCAAGAAGACCTGGTAATCGAATCTCACTTACTATCCATGTGAACTTGACCATTCACATGGATTATTTATGTATTTATTTTACTATTAATTTATTTTTGATTTTTTTACTTTAAGTCTGGGGATACATGTGCAGAATGTGCTGGTTTGTTACCTAGGTATACATGGGTCATGGTGGTTTGCTGCATCTATCAACCCGTCACCTAGGTTTTAAGCCCCACTTGCATTAGCTGTTTGCCCTGATGCTCCCTCTCTCCTCACCACCCCCCAACAGTTTCTGGAATGTGTTGTTGCCCTCCCTGTGTCCATGTGTTCTCATTCTTCAACCCCCACTTATGAGTAAGAACATGCAGTGTTTGGTTTTCTGTTTTTCTGATTGTTTGCTGAGGATGATGGCTTCCAGCTTCATCCATGTCCCTGCAAAGGACATGATCTCATCCCTTTTTCTGGCTGCATAGAATTCCATGGTGTATGTGTACCATATTTTCTTATCCAGTCTATCATTGATGGCATTTGGATTGGTTCCATGTCTTTGCTATTGTGAATAATGCTGCAATAAACATATGTGTGCATGTATCTTTATAATAGAATGATTTATATTCCTTGGGGTGTATACCCAGTAATGAAATCACTAGGTCAAATGGTATTTCTGGTTCTAGATCCTTGAGGAATCACCACATTGTCTTCCACAATGGTTGAACTAATTTACATTCTCACCAACAATGTAAAAGTGTTCCTATTTCTCCACAGCCTCTCCAGAATCTGTTGTTTCTTGACTTTTTAATAATCACCATTCTGACTGACATGAGCTGGTATCTCATTGTGGTTTTGATTTACATTTCTCTAATAATCAGTGATGTTGAGCTTTTTAAAATATGTTTGTTGGCTGTGTAAATGTTTTCTTTTGAGAAGTGTCTGTTCATATCCTTTGCCCACTTTTTGATGAGGTTGTTTGTTTTTTTTCTTGTAAATTCGTTCCTTGTAAATTCTGGATATAACACCTTTGTCCAAAGGGTAGATTGCAAAAATTTCCTCCCATTTTGTAGGTTGCCTATTCGCTCTGCGATAGTTTCTTTTGCTGTGCAGAAGCTCTTTAGTTTAATTAGATCCCATTTGTCAATTTTAGCTTTTGTTGCAATTGCTTTTGGTGATTTCGTCATAAAATCTTTGCCCATGCCTATATCCTAAATGGTATTACCTAGGTTTTCTTCTAGGGTTTTTATGGTTTTGAGATTTACATTTAAGTCTTTACTCCATCTTGAGTTAATTTTTGTATAAGGTGTAAGGAAGGGGTCCAGTTTTAGTTTTCTGCATATGGCTAGCCAGTTTTCCCAGCACCACTTATTAAATAGGGAATCTTCTCCCCATTGCCTGTTTTTGTCAGGTTTGTTGAAGATCAAATGGTTGTAGATGTGTGGTCTTATTTCTGAGGTCTCTATTCTGTTCCATTGGTCTATATGTCTGTTTGATACCAGTGCCATGCTGTTTTGGTTATTATAGCCTTGTAGTATAGTTTGAAGTCTGGTAGCATGATGCCTTCAGCATCGTTCTTTTTGTTTAGGATTGTCTTGGCTATGTGGGCTCTTTTTTGGTTCCATATGAATTTTAAAGTGTTTTTTTTTTCTAATTCTGTGAAGGGTGTCAATGGTAGTTTGATGGGAATAGCATTGAATTTATAAATTACATTGAGCAGTATCACCATTTCACAATATTGATTGTTTCTATCCATGAGGGTGGAATGTTTTTCCATTTGTTTGTGTCCTCTTTTATTTCCTTGAGCAGTGGGTTGTAGTTTTCCTTGAAGAGGTTCTTCACATCTCTTGTTAGCCATATTCCTAGGTATTTTATTCTCTTTGTAGCAATTGTGAATGGGAGTTCATTCATTCACATGGATTATTTAAATAAAAAACTTAAATTTTAAACCCCAAATTTAAAATGTGTCATATAACTGCTAGCAATCTCCCAACTTTGGTTGCTTATAGACCAAGAGTAGAGAAAGAGTCTATGTATTGTCTAGCCCTGCCCTGTTGGTCAGAACTGGCCCAGAGAAGCACCACTGACTATTTGGAGCAATCAAACTTCCTCTCTCTAGAATTTAAAATCACTAACCAGAAAAAGGGACTCAGCCATGGGCACTGAAGCTATAAGAGCCAATGATCTCAAGGGTCAAAACACATTTTGGAGTAGCTATGACGGACTATGGTTAATCTAAAGAAACTGGTTCTTAGACAAGAGACTAGCACATATGGATATGCAGAAGCAGGAATGGGAGGCTATGTAAGCCCAAAGAGCAAGAGAGAGGATGCAGACATCTGATAATATTCTAGTTCCTATGTGGTCTGGAAGTTGAGTTCATGAGAGTTTCTGCCTTCCATTGTCTTGAATTTCTCTGAGTAAAATTTTATTCCTGGAAAGCAACTACAAGAGAATGTCATAACTTTTTATCTGAGCAAACTTTAGGTATCTCTTGTCTTACCAAATAATTGAATTCACAAATACTTATTGAACATGCTTTATGAAACAGGATCTATGATGAAAGCTGATGAAAAAGCAATGAACAAGATGGGTACATTTTCTGATTTCATAGATCTCGTATTTTAATGGGAGGATAAAAAGACCAAAATAAGATAGGAAAACAAAACCCATATGTACATAAGTAAGTACAGGTTGACACATTAACAAATAAAAAATTAAAAACAAATGAAAAGACAAAACATGTTTTCAGTTCAAAGACTTAGTAGTGTTAAGACTGATCTATAGATCAAGATTTAAGGCAATCCTTATCAAAATTTCACTGGACTTTTTTACAGAAATTGACAAGCTGATCTTAAAATACATACTGAAATGCAAGTGACTCAGCATAGCAAAACAATCTTGAAAGACAAAAAAAAAAATCTAGAGAACTCAATGTTCTAAATTTTAAAACTGAACACAAACTGACAGTAATCAGGCATAAGGATACAAATATAGATAAATGGATAGAGAGCCCAGAAATAAACCATCATATTTTTGGATAGTTGATGTTTGACAAAGGTGCCAGGACAATTCAGTAGGGGAAAGCAATAGTTCTTTCAACAAATGGTGCTAAGATGACTGAATATCTACATTGAAAGGAATGAAGCTGGGCCTCTTCCTCTCGCCATACACATAAATTAACCAAAATAGATCATAGCCATAATATAAGAACTAAAACCACAAAACTCTTAGAAAAAACATAGGAATAAATCTTTGTGACCTTAGATTAGTCAATAATTTCTTAAACACAACATTAAAGGCACAAGTGACAAAATAAATTGTATTTCATCAAAACTAAAACCCTTTACGCTTCCAAGGACACCATGAAGAATGTGAAGAGACAATTTGCAGAATGGAGAAAATATTTGCACATCATACATTTGATAAGGGATTTGTATCTGGAATACATAAGGAACGCTTACAATTCAATTATTAAAAGACAATCCAATTTAAAAGTGGGTGAAAGATACAAATTTACATTTCTCCAATGAAGATATACAAATGGCCAATAAGCACAAGAAAAGATGCTCAACATAATTAACCATTAAATAAATGCAAATTAAAACCAAAATGAGATATCACTTCACACACTCTAGGATGTTTATAGTTAAAAAAGATAGTAAATGCTGGCAAATATGTGGAGAAATTGAAATCCTCACACACTGCTGTTGGAAATGTACAATGGTACAGTCACTTTGGAAAATAGTCTAACCGTTCCTCAAAATGATGGAGAAAATGAGGAGTGAGTTCTAATAGGTATGGGCTTCCTTTGGGGGTGATGAAAATGTTCTTAAATTGATCATGGTAATGGTTGCACAACCCTGTGCATATACTAAAACCCATTAAATTTTGTACTTAAATTGGGTGAATTGTGGAATAATATTGTTAATAATATCTCAATAAATATAAATATATTTCATTAAAAATAAAATATAGGGGCAACGTTTCTTCCCTTGCAGGAACATTAGCAAAATTGAGTCCCCGGCTATTTGTTTGAATTTGTATTATTGTTGTAAATCATCCTAAATAGTTCTTAACCAACCATGGACTCAAAGTGTCATAGCTACTTATATTTGTGAAAAAATATATTCTTTAAATGGAAGGGAACATCCCTACACATGATATCTAAGAGTGAAGGGACATTCTTAAGTATTGTTATCAGGAATTTCAGAACACAAAGTGAAATTTTTTGCCATGCAAAAAATTGCTTTAACGTATATTTTTTTCAAAATCAGATAAAGCATTGAACTTGATGATGATGATATTACCGTATGTTAACTACTTATTATGTACCCAGTCTGTGCAAAGCACTGCATAAGCATTAGTTTCTGTAATCCTTCCAACAACCTTCAGACATTTATTTTGTTTCCCTTATTTTTGATGGAATGATTGAAGCTCAGTCAGATGGGTTAGTTAACTTGTCCAGTATCACACAGTTCATAGGGGCAGTTTGAAATTTGAAAGCCAGGAATGGTTGATTTCCAAATACATTTTACTGTTAATCTCTAATTATGCTTTTCCTTTACTAGTACGTTTGTGTTTTTAGTTTTTCTGTTTTTATATTTTAAGCACATAATTATGTAACTAATTATGTGCTTAAAAGTATAAAATTAATGCAGGTCCTTTGTAGAAATCTTGAAAAAATAGAAGTGTGCCATAGGTGACACTGGGAATAACTGGAGTTTGAAATGGGGAAATAAAATTGCTGATAAAATTATAATATGTGTTTGTATTTAGTACTATTAAAGGATGCTTATGACAATGAAATGTACGTTATAAAGCAATTGAATTGTATTAGCTGTTTACATACACAGTTGACCTTTCAACTGTAGGGTCATGAGTTTGAAAAGTGGGTCCACTTTTACGTGGATTTTTTTCAGTTAAGTTTACATTGAATGTGCTTGCCTCTCCTGCTTCCCCTTCCAACTCCTCCACCTGTTCCATCTCTGCCACCACTGAGACAGCAAGACCAACTCCACCTCTTCCTCCTCTGTAGCTTACTTAATGTGAAGACTACAAGAATGAAGACCTTTATGATGATCCACTTCCACATAGTGAGTAGTAAACATATTTGCTTTTCCTTATGATTTTTCTTAATAACATTGCTTTTCTGTAGCTTACTTTATTGTAAGAATACAATATATAATACATATAACGTACAAAATATGGGTTAATTGACTGTTTTTGTTATTGGTAAGGCTTCTTGTCAACAGTAGGCTATTAGTAGTTAAGTTTTGATGAAGTCAAAGTTATACATGGATTTTTCACTTCACAGTGGTCAGGTGCCCCAATCCCCACATTGTTCAAATATCAATCGTATTATATATGTTATATTACTTTACATATATTACAAAATATATTATGTATTACATAAGTAAACTATATAAGTAAAAATATCTGCAAAGAGAAAGTTCTATAAGTATTTGTACCAAAAGTATTTATACCAACTTGTATAGATTTATACCAAAATACCAATTGTCTCTGAATGGATTTAGGCATGTATCTTTATTTATTTGATTTTCTATATTTTTAAATTGTTTTAACATGATCATCTTTGACTTCTCAATGAATCAATTTCTGGATGCTTTCCATTTCCTTTGGAAATATGAATAATGTCCTCTGTAAGTTAGACTCTTAGTTGGTATACTGGTCCTGAGCGTTCTAGCCCACTTCTGTTTTAGCTGACTTTTCATTAACCTACAATTACAGATCTCAATCTCATCAGATAAGAAGGACTTTATTGTAATGAGGGCAGGGTGAGCACCCAGAGTCAAACAATTAGTAAACAGACTCCATCGACACAGTTGAGTTGCTCTTCAGAGCAAAAGAATCTCACACATAAAGCTTCAGAATCCATGCACCATGTTCCCAGGCAGTTACTGCCTTCCCCTCCCCGCAACTTTTTTATTAGTCTTTGAGATTTGTCTCTTTTTTTTTTTTTTTCTGGTCATTTCCCTCATATTTTTAATTATTAGTATCTCTAGGGGAACAACAGTAACAAAAGTGGTAACAGCCAACAAACCAACCTTCACTAGTTAAATTGGTTCAGTTAAAAAAAACAGAGACTTTCACTATTTTGAGTCCAAACATCATAAAGCATTTATCTCAGCAGAGAACACATTGGCAATATTTGGATATTTTCATCTCATTTTAATTATTTGGAATAACTTGGGAAACCAGGAATATCCAAGAAGACTGATGGCAGATTCATCCGTTTTTATTAATGATTACAAATTACATTTCTTAGAAATGACAACATACACATTCACAGCTCTCTAGGAGTTCAGAGAAAGTCATTGCTTTTTTCAGAAGAAAAAAAGGTCTTTAGAGTGAGTTTTTCTTCTCATGATAATAAATCTCAGAATGTAGAGCAGACAAAGACCTTAGTTACTGAGTCCAACTCCCATATTTTACAGACAAGGCACTGAGGCTTAGATAGGGAAATTGTTAACCCAAAGTAACAGAGCAAAACACTGGCAGAGCCAGGGAACAGAACTGAGTCTCTTGACTTTAAGTTCTTATCATACAAGGTCAGGCAGTTAAAGCAAATAGATAATATTCACCAGGGTAAGACAATAGGGAATGGTTTGAACTGGAGTGAACTGGAAATAACACGGTCTGCCACTATTCTGGAAAACAGACATACATCTTCAGACTGGATTTGGCCCCTAGCTTTCTGTATGCATGCCCTACTACATCAAACCTCTCATTTATAAACTCGAACACATTTATAGATGGGTTACATTATTTACATTGAGTTGATGACTCCACGGTTTTAATAAAAGGGCCCTGGAGACTTTAACTTAGTCTCCAGCTAAAAAAATACCGTTTGCAGTCACCAATCTCAACTTGAATCTTTCCAGTGATGGGGAACTCACTCTCATAGAATTTAGCACATTTGATTGGCAGACAGCCTCAGTCATTAAACTTATCTTCATTAAAATAAAGCAAACTTCTCTGTGACTTTTCCTACTAGCCAAATGTTTACAATTGAAGCCAAACAGGGTTAAGTCTCATTCGTTTGAAGAATGGCAGCTTTTAGAATACATGAAGATAGTTTGCATGCTCTTCCACATTTTCTCATCTCCCTTAACCTTTCTTTATATGATATATGATATTCAGCTGGTGGTGTATTCAGAAAGGTGAGGGGAAAGTCCCTCCAAACCAAAATAGCTCTTATAATAGTCCATCATTATGTCTAAAATTAATTCAAGGTACTAAAGTATTCAAAGAGATGTCAAAAGAAGTGGAAGAAAGGTTCAGAAAGGAAACATGGAGAAGGTATTTGAAGTTAATAATAATGGCATGTAACATCTATCAAAATCTTATAGGATGCCAAGGACTCTGCTAAAATATTGTATTCAACTCTCACAACTACCCAATAGAGAGGCATTTTGTCCCCATTTTATAGATGAAGAAATTGAGCCTCAAGAAGGTTAATTGACCTGCCATTGTCACTTAGCTCGAAAGGACAGAACCAGGATTTAAGCCAGATCTCTCTGATTCCAAAATCAGTGCTCTTAAGAGCCTCGGTCATATTGTCTGTTCTTTATAATTTGTTGACTTCTCTCTCTTCTGTTAAAAAGATACAACTTCAGATAAGAACTGGACGTTCTTCTATGAAGAAATTTTAGCTGTTTCCATTGGTCAATGGATGAACAAAGATGATACATAAATTTTTTGCGTAAAACAAGAACCCTTCTCTTCTAAGCTCCTACCCACTTTTTCAGATTTTTTTGGTAACTTTTTCTTCAAGCACCCAGTATACTAAGCACAAGAGACTACTTGCCACCGAGAAAACTTGCTGTATACTCTCTTAGCTTTGTGCTTTTCTCTCTGCTTTGAATGTTTTTTTTTCTACCAAGAGAAATTATATCAAATTTTCAAATCAGAGCTCAAGGTACCCCCCATCCATTTCGCTTCCTAACCCCATCAGAATTAATCCATCCTTCCTCTTTCTCATTAATAAATTGGTTCATATCTTTATCACCGTAACTCCACATTTAAACTCATGCCACTTTTAGAATGTGAATTTCTTGAGAGCAGGGGGCGTATTTTATTTATTTCTCATTTATAAACAATACATAACACAGTGCCTTGCATATTTAAAAAAATAGCACCTACTATGTGCAAGATGCAATTCATACTAGGAGCTATAACATCATAATGCTTGACTATTTCTTTATTGCCTGAACAAATGTACAAAACTAGAAAGACTAGCCTTCCTTCCTCTGCATCAATTAGCATTTTATTAAATGTGATGAATTCCATTTGCTGCAAAACTATGGCCCTTAAATGACTTTCATTTGGATATAGAGATGTACTTTCACGTTCAGAGAGCAGAAGATAAAATCAGGTGCCCTGTCATTATTACAACCACTGCCATTATGGTTATGATGATGAATATGAGATTATTATTATTTTTATTATCTTTAGCAAATGAGTTTTCTTTTCTCCAGAGCTTCCAGGAATGTTTCTCATGTGTTTTCAGCTGCCCCATCTTGTTCTGACACTTCTGACAGGGAGCTGTATAGAGATGGGAAAAGGATCTGGAGGCTGACCTTGGACTTGGGCTGGCCTGCTGATTGCAGACTGCCCGGGCTGCTGCCACTGCTTTGTCTCTCCCTCCAGCTGCACTCAAGGCCACCATTGATCAGCCCACTGAATGCTTTACAACTACAGCTTTGGACAGGCCATTGAAGAAATTGATTGCAGTCAATTCCCAGCAGATTGAGCCACATCGACTTGTCTCCTGGTCCCACAAATAAGCACCTTGACTCCCCTTTTTAATTACCCTAGTAAGCCTTCTGCATAATGGTCAGGGCACAAGTTGATGAGAGAGACAGACAGAGAAAGAGAGAGAAAGAAAGAGAGAAAGAGAAAGAGAGAGAGAAGGAAAATGTGGGGGCTGAAATAAAACAGTCTTCCCTAGAGTTGGGTGCTTTCTTAACTTGTGCCAGGAAACTGGGTCACATTTGCTTATTATGAATTTAGCATGTAGATTATTAGAAAACTTGATTACAAAATCAAGAATCAAGTTGGGCTCAAGACTCAATTCAGCCAACTAATTTAGTAAATTTGACAAGTTATTTTACATAGCTGGTACCCGTTTCACATCTGCAAATGAGAAAATTGCTAAGGTAATCTTAATAACTACAAACATGTGTAAATATTAATAAAACCATCACCACTACTACCAATATGATGAAGACAAAGATGGTAATGAGTGCTAGCATTTATTGAATATTTAGAGGTTCCCAGCACCATGATAATTTACTTACATGAATATTTTTTCTCAATAATTTTTAAGATATCATCCTATGATATGACATAGAAAATTTTTTTCTCTGTTTCACTTAAGTAGACACTGAAGCTCAGAGGTTTAGGCTATTGTCCAAATTCATAATATTAAGGATCAAACTCAAGCTTCTCTGGAGTCTATGTGAAATATAAGATAGCTTAGAAACTATGTTTACATACATTCTCTTGATTTCATATTAAGCCTTGCAGCTCTATATATGCATACTAGGAGATAAACTTGATAGGAGGCATCTTGGCTTAACAGTCTTGTGGTCAAAGAGGCCCAATCCTACTTCTGTCTCAGCACAAAGGGCAGCTCTGTGCCCCTAGTATTTACATATTTGCATCTTTGCTCTTAAGAAAAACTGGAAGTTTAAAATGACTGTTGTTTCTATCCTATGCATCACTCTCAAAGCTTCAAGATCATTCAGTGATTGATTCCCACAATATGAGCAGCAGACTACTTGCTTCATCTCCTGGAGATCAACGTCTCCTGGAGGACTTGTTCAAAAATGTATTCCTGGCCTGCTCTAGCACTATTTAATCCAAATTCTTAGAGAAGGGGTCCGGGACACTGCATTTCAACAAGGGCCCCTGGTGATTCTTGGGAATACTAATGTTTGAGAACCACTGTGACTGAGAATCATGTTTTATACAGAGCTCGAATTCAAGGTAATACCTCACCCTCATACCACCCAGCAGGCCCTGCATGCCACAACCCTCACAGAGGGTTTTGGCATTTTCCTCATTCTTTGTAGTCTGAAACCTTAGGTGTCTACCCATCAGCCATCCCCACATCCCTTCCTCCTCCTCCCCTGCTTCCTTGAATACAACACCCAGTTTCATTCAGGAGAATGTACATAGTCATAGAGGATGAATCATAATTGTTCTAGACCATTGAGCCATCCCTATTCTTTTTTCCAGTGACTGGTTAGAGGTGAGAATGTCATCTAATTCTGGCTAATATGAGGCAAAGTCTTTTGGGAGAACTCTTGGGGAAACATTTTAATTTCTCATAAAAGATAAATCTACATAGGGGGATGGTCCTTTGCTCAATTCCCTCCCTTCATACTTTGGACACAGACCTGTGAGGATGTGACACTTGGAGGTTCTACCTCAATCCTGCAATTAGGAGGTGACAGATGAGAAGCCAATGAGAAGCTAATATGGTGAGGATGGCAGAGCAAATAAATTCCTGTGTCCTTGAAGACAAGCTTAGAGCCACTCTACCATTCCTGAGGTCAACTGATTCTAGTCTAATTATATGAATCATAGAAGTCTTTTTGGGTAAGCCACTTAGTCAAGCTTTCTCATTGCAGCTCAAAGCATCTTAAATTTCTCCTTACCCTATATTGCCCTTAACATTTCTTCCCCTTTAAAATCAATGTAGAAAAATCATGCTGAAGCTTTATTGACCCAGCCTGCTACCTATCATGTGAGATTGAGAGATGAAGAGAAATTAACATGGCCATTCGACCCTGCTGTCAAATATCAGATGTTCTAACGAATCTTTGGAATATTCTGGCTTGTGGTAAATTGGTAGTAGGATTCTCTAAACAGAATTGGTCCTATAGAGTAGGGGTCTGAAAACAATGGCTTGCAAGCCAAGTCTGGCCTATTGCCTGTTTTTGTAAATCTCATTGGGACACAAACATACTCGTTCATTTACATATTGTGTATGATTGCTTTTATGCTACAATGGCAGAGTTGTGTTGCTGTAACAGACATCAAATGGCTCAAAAAACCCTAAAACATTTACTATCTGGGCCTTTTATTTAAAAGTTTGCCAATCCTTGATATCAATAATTCAGTTTTTGGTCAAAGAGCAAATCTTCTATTTTAGATACCAAATGGAAAGGATACCACAGTCATCCCATTGGAAAAATTAGAAAATCAAACTTTGCTCTCATCAAACAGAAAGGCAACCCACTTCACCAAAGGTGTAGACAGAAGGGATAGTTGTAAGCAGAACCGAAATTTTCTCACAGAGAAGAGACTTAACTTTTCCCCAACCTCGAGGCAGGAGAATGGCATGAACCCCGGAGGCAGAGCTTGCAGTGAGCCGAAATCACGCCACTACACTCCAGACTGGGTGAGAGAGCGAGACTCCGTCTCAAAAAAAAAAAAAAAAAAAAAAAAGAAAGTCTTCCCCAGTCTGTTAACAGGCAGAAGAGTAGAGGCTGGCAAAGCTCAAACCCGGATGCTTACCAGAGAAGTGGAACATTCCTTGGGAGACATGGGCACAGTCAAGGGTAAAGCTCGATCAATTACTAAGATTCAGAAAAGAAAGAAAGCTCAAGTTGAGAAAGGTGGCTTCTAAAACTAAGTACCAGAAGTAATGGGACTTGGGGAATTAAGGATGTAGGATCAGGTAGTTCAGCCTAATTTTGATGGACTATAGTTTGTATATTTGCAGTTTCCCTTTAACTTGTTCTTAAAGGATGTCATAGGGCCATCCTGGCATACAAATAGCTGCTGAGAGATAATTGGGTGGCTGATGAAGGACCCACATTTCTGTGTAGCATGAGAGAGATGACTTGAGCCCCATTTTTTTTTTCTTTAGGGTAAGAATCACCAGATAATCTCCTTGTCTACAGAATTATGTAGGCACCCAGATACATAGCTTGTTTTAGGCAAAAGGCAAGCCAAAATACCTTGCTTTAGTCTTTAAAAGGACACTTATGGCCACTGGAACTACATAAAATGCCTGGCTTGTAATCTTGGGCAACAGCTGCACCTCTGAGCCTGTTTCCTGGTCTGTAAAATCAGCATAGGGAGTACTGATAAAAATATGCAAGGGTGTGCATATTACATTTACAAACACTTGTAACAACTGCCTCCTAAATTAGAAACTACTCTGCAAACAAGAAATGTCCTCATTATTGAATAAAAGTACATTCTGATAGGCCTGCAGTTGAGTGAACAGTAAAAACATCCCCTAAATTCACCTGTTAAATGGGGATAATTTAGGACTCTGTCTAAGAGGTAAGCAAATGCCAAAACAGGCTCTTTCTGCTTAATCTAATTGACACTGAGGTGATCCTTGTGATAGTAACTAGCCACCAGGTTTAACTTCTTCCAGAGTTTGCTCCTTGTCAGATGCAATAAAGGAATACAACTTGCATGCAAGCGTATGCCCATTTTCCTGCTTGCTAGAAGGAGAATGTGCATGCAGCTTGGTCCTCATAAGCTCCAACATTTAGATCAAATGGAATACAGAGATTTAGTTGGTGTAAGGCCAGAAATACATTTATGGGTACTAGGATGTTTGTAGCAGCACTATCTGGAACATTGGAAACTACACTAATACACCAAAATAATTAAAGGGATACTTAAAGTCCACTGAACAGGATGTTTGTAGAAGGAGCTACATGTTTAGGCAGCCCATGGTCTCGTGTCCAGCTCAGAAGGAAATAGGTAATGTCCAAATCATGAAGGTTAGAAAGTCAGTGAAACCAGAGTAGTAAGCAGCGTTGGGGATCTTTGACTGTTGAGCATAAACAATTTACTCCATGCCTAATTTGGGGCCTGTATCTTTCTAAGGAAGTTCTCTGAAATACTTCAGAATTCATATTCATGTGCAGGAGCTGCTGGGCTCTGAATTAGACACAGTCTTTAATATAATACATTTATATGATATATTTAAAATAGTCAAACTCATAGAATCAAAGAGCAGCGTGCTGGTTTCCAGGGAAATGGCAGTCACCAACTGATAGACACAAAGTTTCAGTTAAGCAAGATGCACAAGCTCTAGAGATCTGCTTCACAACATGGTAACTCCTAATGTTAACACTAACCTATCGTGCAGTTAAAAATTTGTTAAGATCATAGATCTCACATCAAGTGTTTTATTATAAAATTTAAAAATGATGCTACATGTATCAAGTATTGAACTTGAAGGGTGTTAGCTTGTCCCATCCCTTTCTACTTTTTAACACAACTGTAGCTTGCTTGTATTCATAGTATCAATCCTATTTTTTCACTTGTTAAGTATTGTGATGTTTATTCAGATTCAGAGATTTTCTCTGTTGATGCTTTGTACATGGTCATATCCATCCAACACTGAATTTGTAGTCACCCTATGTGAAACACTTTACAAGAATGAGAATAAACGACCTACAACTGAAAGCAAAAGTATGGATGAGTCTTACACATATACGTTGAGCTAAAGAATTAAGGCACAAAAGAACACATACAGAATGATTCCATTACATAAATATAATGTACGAAAACAGAAAAAAATACAGAAAAGTACAAAAACAGAAAAAATAACCCATTGATGGACATTGCAATAGTGGTCACCATCAGAAAAATAGTGACTAGAAGGGATCATAACACAGGTTTTTTCGGGTGCTGTTCATGTTCTCTTTCTTGATTTCAGTGCACAGATATATTCAGTTCATAAGAATCTATCAAGCTATGCATTTATGAGATTTCCATTTTTCTATATACATTATATTTACATAAAAGGTTTTAAAAAATGCATAAGGAGCAAGGGATATAAGACAATCAAGCTCATCAGCAACTCAGCCCCAAACTAGTCACAGCACCTTGGGCAAGTCATTTTACCAGGCTGAATGTTGGATGCCTCATCTGTAAAAAGACACTAATGATCCTGGCCTCATGGAGTCACTGGGACTATTAAATTGAAAGGATCAACTACATGTAAAGTACTTAGCACAGGGTCTGGTACACAGCAGGCACCCAGTGCCTGGCTGCTGTTATGATTATGATCCTTCCATTGTCCAGGCTGACACCATTTCAGACTGGATGATCTGATGTTGACTATAGTCTCAGGTCCATCAAAAGACACACACTCCCTGCGTGCAGAGGGGGGCACCCAGACTGTGCAATGAAAGCAGAGAAGAGATGAGGAGTAGCATAAGACTAGAAAATAAAGCTGGAAACGCTCATTGAGGAAGAGACCATTGAGGTTCAAAAATCCCAGAAGTTGGATTTTATTTTGTAGATGGAAGTTACTGAAGACTTTATATTTTAACAGAGAAGACACATGGAGCTGAAACTCAGCCAGATCAGTTTCTAGAAAGTTAAAAGAGATTAAAACAGAAGATTTGGAGATAAACTTTACCTTATAGAAAGTGTGTCAGGTCTGCAGAAGTCAGAATATGATGATGTTCTTGTTATTATTATCAATACTGTAAGCAATAACAACCACTGCAGTCACTATTATTTTAGTGTGCACCTGCTGGATACCAGATATTTAAAGGTACTATCTCATCTAATCCTTACTCAAAGCACAAGGGGGAATAGCTGACATTTACCAGGTTCTTACTAAGAGCTAGGTACTCTTCTAAGCATTTTATGCGTATTAACACATTTAGTCACTATGACAGCCCAGTGAGATAGGCACTATCATTATCTCCAGTTTATAAATGAGGATACTGCAGCAAAGAGAGATTCTAAGGCCATACTGCTATCGAGAAAAAGAGCTGGGATTCAAATTCTGGCAGCTCAACTCTAGCGCCCATCCTTATGCCTATTATGTTATGTTGACATCCTAGGTGTTATTAATCTTATATTCTTATGAACTAACAGAGACAACAGTCAAATTACTTGCTCAAAGTCACAAAGAGGGTGATATAGTTTGGATATTTTCCCCACCCACATCTCATGTTGAAATATAATCCCCAGTGTTGGAGGTGGGGCCTGGTGAGAGGCGATTGGATTATGGGGGTGGATTTCTCATGAATGGTTTAGCACTGTATTAGTCAGGGTTCTCTAGAGGGACAGAACTAATAGAATAGATGTATATATGAAGGGGAGTTGATTCAGGAGTATTAAATTCACATGATCACAAGGTCCCGCAATGGGCCATCTGCAAGCTCAGGAGCAAGGAAGCCAGTCTGAGACCCAAAGCTGAAGAACTTGGAGTCCAATGTTTGAGGGCAGGAAGCATCCAGCACAGGAGAAAGATGTAGGCTGGGAGGCTAAACCAGTCTAGTCTTTTCACGTTCTGCCTGCTTTTTATTCTGTCCATGCTGGCAGCTGATTAGATGGTGCCCACCCAGATTAAGGGTGGGTCTGCCTTTCCCAGCCATCTTACTCAAATGTTAATCTCTTGGCAACATTCTCACAGACACACCCAGGATCAATCAATACTTTGCACCTTTCAATCCAATCAAGTTGACACTTAGTATTAACCATCACAAGCACCATCCCCTTGATGCTGTACTCAAGATAGTGATTGAGTTCCTGTGAGATCTGGTTGTTTAAAAGTGCATGGCACCTACCTCACTCTCTCTTGCTCCTGCTTTCATCATGTGACATGCTTGCTTCCTCTTTGCCTTCCACCACAAAAGGAAGATGCTGAGGCCTCCCCAGAAACAGATGTTGCTATGCTTTCTGTACAGCCTGCAGAACCATGAGCCTAATAAACCTCTTTTCTTATAAATGAAACACTTCAGGTGTTTCTTTACAGCAGTGCACGAGTGACCTAATACAGACGGAGAGACCCTAGTTTGCTTGATGAAAATGCTTATGATCTTCATCACTATCCTATCTGCTAAGGCGATAATTTCTAATCATGGCTGGGAACAAATGAAACCTCAGTCAAATGTTTTAGGAATGAAAAAAATAGCAATAACAATAATGCTTATTTATTGAGCACTTATGTGCCAGGAAATGTACATGTTATACATGTTTATAGGTATTACGCATGTTTGTATGTGTTAACTAACCCTTACAGAAATCCTATGAAGAAGTTGCATTTTTTAAACCCTATTTCACAAATAAGGAAACTGAGTTTCAGAGAAGTTACAAAAGTAATGAGTAAGAGATCCAAAATATATCTTATGCAGCCCAACACACATACAAAAATGGTCTCATTACTCCACTAAACTGCCTCCCAACAACAAGAGTGCTGGTTCCAGAATCCTGATTCCCTCCTCTCTCCAACCCCATCCCCGGTGAATTCTGTACTTACTGGTGTCCTGGGGCAGTTTTGAAAGCATTCCAAGTCTTAACCACTACAAGAAATTCTCAGCTAACCTTTCCAGCGTAAGCTGCAGCAGCAAATTCCTTCCCAGGTTAGTAGAAAGCCTCAGGGCACAGAAGAGCAGGTGCTTGCCTGACCCAAGTGTCACCTGCATCTGATATATCTCATTAGCCTAGGGGAGAAACGCAGTCTGGCCTGCTCTTTCTCCTAGATGCAGTCTGGTGCACCAGAAGGAAGAGCCAAAAGCCTGCTTGTGAGGGAGCCAGAGTGGCTTCTCTCCTGAGAGCATGGGAAGGGCATGGCTCCCCCTATGCGCACAGTCTTATGAGTGCATGGACTCTGTTCTGATGTAAGGCAGCCGCTATCCCAGCAATGTGGCTGTGGCCAGCCCTGGGCTTAGAGGAGCAGCTTCTTCCATAGCAGCAGGTGAGAGGAGTCAAAGGCTCCCCTTCCATGAATGTCTTCACTTTCAGCCCTGTCTTGGGGTCTGGAATCCTCCCCTACATACTAAAGTGTTTCAGTAAAGCTCCTTGTATCAGTCAGGGTTCAAGTACAGAAGTAGCGAAAGCAGACTAAAGCAGAGTCAGTAGGACACACATGCTCACACAGACACATGCACACATGCACACACGTATCTCTCTCTCTCTCTCTATTGGAAAACCAGCAGACTGGAAATTCTTGTATAGAAACTACAGTTCATTGTTGGGATTTCTTCTGTCTCTGAAAAACAGTCTTGCTCTTAAGGTTCTCAACTAATCGCATGAGGCTCAGGTTATGGAGAATACTCTCCTTTGAAATCAATTGATTGCACATGTTAACTACGTCTACTAAATACCTTCATAGAAGCACTTACATTAATGTTTAATTTTGCAACTTGATAATATAGCCTAGCCAAGTGAGCACTTGGCACATAAAACATCACACTCTTCATAGTATAATGGAAAGGCTACGAGAATAATGGTTCTGGCTCGAACTTTCTGTTATCTTGGTGTCTTAGTCTGTTTCTATGGCTATAACAATACACCTTAGATTGGGCAATTTAAAAACAACATAAATATATTGCTCACAGTTCAGAGACTGAGAAGTCCAAGATCAGGGTATCCATAGATTCAGTGTCTGGTGAGAGTCTGTTCTTCATAGACGGCACCTTTTCACTGAATCCTGACAAGAGAACAAGGGAGTTTGCTCAATCCTATTTTATAAGGGCACTAAGCCCATTCATGAAGGGAGAGTCATCATGACTTAATCTTTTCCCAAAGGTCCCACCTCTTAACTCTATCACACCAGATATTAGGTTCCAACATATGAATTTGGGGGAGACACTGACATTCAGACCATAGCACTTGGGGATGTTCTTTCTTCTTTCTGAAACTCAATGTAAACTTCTGTAGAATAGGTGGAGTAAAGAAAGTAAAAAATGAGAAAAACTTGTCTTTAGATATTTTGAAGTGTGTGTCTTTAGATATTTTAAAGTGTGTTGTCTTCAGATATTTTAAAGTGTGTGTCCTGGAAGGACTACTTAGGCTTGTTCTACGGAATTTCTGAGGGCAGAATCAGGACCATTGTATGGAAGAAGAAATGCAAGCTGGGCATGGTGGCTCACACCTGTAATCCCAGCACTTTGGGAGGCCGAGGTGGGTGGATTGCTTGAGGTCAGGAGTTTGAGACCAGCCTGGCCAACACGGTGGAACCCTGTCTCTATCAAAAAATACAAAAATTAGCCAGGTGTGGTGGCAGGGGCCTGTAATCCCAGCTACTCAGGAGGGTGAGAGAGGAGAATCTCTTGAACCTGGGAAGTGGAGGTTGCAGTGAGCCGAGATCTTGCCACTGCACTCCAGCCTAGGCAACAGAATGAGACTCCGTCTCAAAAAAAAAAAAAAAAAAAGGAAATTTAGGGTTGATTAAGGAAGTTTGTCTCACAATGAGATTCCATCATGAGAGGGCATGCTTTATTATATACTGACCTCTTTGCCTCAGAAGAAGTTCAAACAGCAATTGAAAACAAATTTATTTGGGGGAGAACAATGTAGAAGGAATTACATTTTAAACTAGATAAACTAAAAAATGCCATTTGTATCATTATTCTTCACCACTGGAAAGTTTGTCTTCTTTTCTTCCTCTGGAACCTCCCTTCACCCAAAGTTTGTCAACTTACTGTGCTGTGGGCAACATAAAATGTAAACAAAGCCTGAGAGGAATATTACTAATTAGCGCCTATCAGATGCATTTACCAGGTTTATTCATGAGATTAAATGTCCATACCAAGGTAATCTCTTAAATCAATTTAGATCCTCTCACTCAGCCGACACTGAAAGATGAAGCACAGTAATATGTTTTTATCTGGTGTGTCAAGTAAAGCATACACCAGTAACTGCTGTATGCACAATATTGCTTTGCATAGAGATCCAATATGACCTAGGAAAGTCCCGGGCCTTGGGCTGCATGGTTACAGAGTGAAATACATGGAAACCTTTAGTAGATGTATTACAAGAAGATTACAGGACCGTGGCATAGGGAGAGGTTAATTATGATGAGGACAAGAAAATACGTTTTTGTAGATGGGAAATTTGAGCAGAGGCTGAGATGGAAAAGACTTGAACAGACGGATGTTCTGGATAAAGGAATTATAGATGAAGAGTACAAGTTGGTAGAGTCAGGGTCTCAGAAATGTTGTTAAGCCAGACCTAGAGACGGTGAAAGAGAAAGATATTACAAAGGCCATTGGAATAATGATTACATGGTTTTTAGAAAATTGGAAAAGATCATGGGGACCAAAAAAAGGGGGAAGTTGAAGGAGAAAATAGTGACAATTTCAATTTTTAGGAAATTACCAAGGGACAGGCTTTTTATTAGGTTTTTTCCTTGCTAGCTTTACAAACCTCCTATTTGAAGATGTCACAGGGAGTTGCCATGTGCCTGAAAGACCACTGGCCTGGTGGAGAGTGTGTTGACCTCACTACGTGGCCTTGGCTATCTCTCAAAGCCTTCGTTTCCCAGTCTTCAAGATGTGTATAACATTCCCTGCCCTGAGGGCTGGCATGGATGCTGCTTTGCAAGCTGTAAATGGCTATGCAAACACTCACATACTCAGGGATGGATCATGTTGGTCTTGGGGGAGTTTATAGCAGCTTTAAACCAAATCGATAATCAGCTATATGTTGCCATCAAGACAGAGGCACCAGAGTTGACATAGAGCCTGGTGACAGAGGTGTCCACCTTGTGGCCATCAAAACCATGTGCTGGTTGTCTGTGGAGTATGGCAGCTGCTCAGATTGTTCAGTGTGAAATTAAATTTGGGCTCCTGGGTGAGCAGGGAGGAGGGCGTGAAAGATATGACACTGGTTAATTTCATGTTTTACAGGCCCAACAACCCCAAAAGTACATTTCTCAGTGAAAACCGAGAACCTGCAGGCCACTACACGCAATGATATGCAGTCCAGGGGCAAAATGAAGATAGAGAGAGAGAAAAAAAAAACAAAACATAAAGAATATATCATTTCCCGAAATCAAATAAACTCAAAAACCTTCCATTTCAATGGGTTAGATTGACAGGCAGAGAGAGAAAGGCAAAAGAGGGTTTCTTTTAACTCTTGCCAATACTTTTACACATAACTGCAAACACTTCTATGCTTGGCATTCAAAGGTCCTAGCCTCTGCCCCAGTCCATATTTCCATGGTCAGATCTGGTTTTATCTTGCTCTTGCTCAAAATCTTTCCATGCCACCCTGTATACAGTATAAAACCTAAACTCTTAAGTGTAGGAAAAATGCTCCCTATTACATTGCTTACCCCATCTCCAGCATCATGTCCTTCAGCTTTCACTCTCACCCAACCCCTTCTCGACCAGCAACATTCATTAGTGGGTTTCCAAATCTATGGGCTCCTCCACCTGTCTCTGCATTTGTATGTGAAATTCCTTCTCCCTAGAATTCCCTTTACTTTGGATCTTCCCTGGGTTTCAGCGAAATGCAGGCAGTATCGATAACAGCTAAGAGGGAAAATTTTGGTATCAAGTAGACCTGATCCTGGCTTCTCGATACACTGCATACTGACTTTCCACATCCTGCCTACAATCCTTGACAAATTACTTAACTCCTCTGTGAGTTTCCAGTTGGCTTCTCTTTATGAAGGAGAGAATGTCCTCTACCTTTTCTGGTTATTATGGGGACTCAGTCAGTTAATACATGTAAAGTATGGAGCACAATGCCTGGCACAAAAATGTACTTGGTGAATGACTTATTTTATTATTAATTTAACTCATGTTTTACTATGACAACTCCCTTAATCATCACATGCAAACTTAGGTATGTTTTCCATGAATGATCCAATTTCACCTAGAATATGACTAATTTCTGCCATCATTATGTCGTACTGTATGTAATAGTCATTTGTGTGTTCCTCTCCCCACCATCAGGCTGTGTGAATGGGTGCATAGATCAAGTTTGGTTATCTCTATATGCCCAGTGCTTAGCCAAAAGCCCAACACAAAATTCATACTTGATCTATGGGTGAATTAATAAATGACAAAATGAATGATTAATCACATGCATGGATCACCCTTGAAGGCCTAGATCAAGTGCCAGCTGTCCTGGGAAGTCTTAGCTGATCCTATCTGTAGAACAAAACATCCTGTCTTCTGTGTCATGGCTTTTTTCCAAAATCCTTACCATATCGTGATCCCATTGTGAGCTCCACACCGGAGGCTCTATGTCTTATTAATCTCTATGAAGCCATTAGCAGAGGACCTGGAACTCAGGTTAAAATTCAGCATAGGTTATTTTTCTTCTCTGTTGTCATTCTTTTTCTTCTCCTCACTATCACTATTCCCAGGGTGTCCAATATTTGGGATATCATTAGGGTCAGGATGGACTAATGGCATGCCAGATGCAGGGGCAATCATGTAGCTAGATTTAGTGCCCAAATGACATATACACTTGCAGAGTGTGGCAGGAGTCCCTGGAAGATTGTCCACTGGCTGCCATAGACAATCAATATTCAGGAGAAGCTGTAAAAGAAATAAGAAAACTAAGAAGACCTTTACTTATGAGCAAGAAGGTCTGTGTCAGCTCATGAGCAATATCTTGGGACTTGTTGGTTCTTCTGAGGAAGCTATCAATTGACTGAGAGTTTTGAAACAAAGGAAAGTTTTGAAACCACTCCAGATAAACAAATCAGGAGTTAAAAATAACTATTGGATTTGTGCATGTATATTTGGAACTATTGGTAGAGTGTGTTTGTACATGAGACAAAATATGGATAATACAAATTTAGTGTGCATTTATTATCTGTCAGGCACTGGGGTAAACACTTTACTATGTATTAACCCCCTCAATACACACCACAACCCTATAAGTTAGGTATTATTATTACCACTTTAAAAATGAGACTCAGGTACAGTGAATAACCTGTTCAAGGTCACGTGGCTAGTAAGTAATAGACCTGGATTTGTGTCTGGGCAGTTGACTCCAGAATTGATATTCTCATGAATATATAGGCGTTCTGGGGGTATTAAAAATAACCGAGAACACACTGGGCCTTTCAGAGGGTGTAGGGTGGGTGGAAGGAGAGGATGAGGAAAAGTAATGAGTACTAGGCTTAATACCTGGGTGATGAAATAATCTGTACAACAAACCCCCATGACGCAAGTTTACCTATTAAACAAGCCTGCACTTGTACCCCTGAATTTAAAAGTTAAAAAAAAAAAGACGACAAACTGAACTTCAAAGAAAATAAAAGAAATAACTGAGAGACATGTGACGTGGAATGCTTTATAAAAACATACTCAACAGGCATTTATTGAGCACCCACTACTTGTCATGCCCTGTGCTAGGTTAATTGGGGGATAACAAGATAAATAGGACATAGCCCTCCTTTCAAGGAGCTTGCCAGCTGGTGAAAGAAAGGATAGACCAAGGCTGGGCGCAGTGGCTCATTTCTGTAATCCCAGCACTTTAGGAGGCCAAGGTGGGCCCATCACTTGAGGTCAGGAATTCGAGACCAGCCTAGCCAACATGGTGAAACTCCATCTCTACTAAATATACAAAAATTAGCCAGGCATGGTGGTGCATGCCTGTAATCCCACCTACTCAGGAGGCTGAGGAATGGGAATCACTTGAACTTGGGAGGTGGAGGTTGCAGTGAGCCAAGAGCGTGTCACTGTACTCCAGTGTGGGGGACAGGAGGAAACTCTGTCCCTGCCCGCCCCCAAAATAAAATGTGGAGGGTAGACCTAAATAGATATTAAGGAATTTAGTTCAGTTTAATAAACTCATTTTTACCATTGATTCTGTTCCAGGCCCTTGGTAAGCAAAAATGGATAAGACATGATCTAGACTTTCAAGATACTCAGATAGTATCAGGCCATACTAAGTTTTATAACAAACATACCAAATGCCGCATGATCATTTAACACTAAATTCCTCACAATATAAACCCAAAGCCCCTATGTTGATCCCATTGCATATTACCACAGCCTCTAGTGACTTTATCTTTTAGAAGAAAGGTCCTTCCAAATGGGAATTCTGGTCGTCAGTGTCTACTCCAACGGTTGGGACTATTCCAGGCTCCAACTCACTGAACTTGCCTTATCTGATGTGGTTAACCAGGCTGCCATGGAACACACTGGTTATTGTATCTGCTATGCCCAATCTCTCCTTCTAAACCAAACTGCCCCACGAACAGTGCCCTTCTGTTTGTAGGTAGATGTACTTGCTAATTGGACTATGCAAAGTCACTTGATATAAGAAGAATCAGTTCATTGGCTGGTAGTGAAGCATGAAATAGCTTGTCCTGGTAGGGTGACCTGAATCCATCAGATTTCTCTTTTGGGAATTGAAACCCGAAGGACAGAAAGAATTTGGTTCATTGGAAGCAAACAGAGAAACAGACTAACTAAACAGGTTAATAGAAGAGTGCTTGAGTGCTCCTCAGAAGGCTGACATGTCCTCATCACCATATTTTCTGCCGTCTCTGAGCTGGGATAGTCAACAGTCCCCGGGCCCCCATTGTGGATTCCAGAAGAAGGTCCCCAGGCTTGCATAAGCCCCAGTGGCTCCCTCTCCCTGGAAATCATAACTGATGGATGGGCTTATACCCCTTTCCGTACTAGTGTGTGAGGACAAATCAAAGGAGGCAAATGTCAACAGACTCCTGATAAGCTTTGTTGATCACTTGTCGATGAACACCAGCCCCCAGTGCAACACACACTTCATACCTTCTCTTGCTGCCCCAACCCTCACCTGCCATGCCATGCTTTCTGTTGAGTGGGGCCTAATGATTTCAGCAAGGGACTGACCTGGCATGATTTACTTTGGAGGTTCATGCTTATAAAGACAGTCAAGGCACTTTTCAGAGGGATGTGTAGCAGCAGAACACAAAAGTATCTCTTGAACATCTACTGTGGGCTATGGATACAGAGGAAAAAGGCTGCCCTGGGAGACCTCCTAGAGTTATGAGAGAAACAGCCTTATAAATGGACAGTTCGAATCTGGGATGCAAGGGGCTTGGGTGGAGGAAGCACCAGGTACTGGGCAGGCAGTGAGAGTCTACTCACTTGGCCTGGGGAGGAAGGATAGTGTGTATGTGTGCATGTCTCAGGGTTGGTCAAGGAAAGCGCTGCAGGATGTGATAGATGAGCTAAATTTTTGAAGAGAAGAAGGGGTTTTCAAAGAAAAGGAAGGAAAGGAAAGGGGGCCAGGGCATTCCTAGAGATGAAAACAGCATATACAAAGACTGGAAGTTGCAAGAGAGCATGGTTGCTCTGAGAGCAGCCAAGATGGGGCTGCAGTAATGAGGCTGCAAAGATGGCAGAAGAGAGCCTTAAGGGAAACTTATTTTCCTGAACACTATGGAAGGAGGGCCGATTTTAAGCAGGGAAGCTGCTGGCCAGTCTGGTGATGTCATGGAGCCTGGATTGGGGTGGGGATCCTGGTAAAGCTCTGTGAAACGGCTGCAAGTTTACAAAGAGGGGACGGACTTGATGGCAGATGGCACATGCACACTTCTTCCCAGGGAGGGAGAGGCATGTGACCTCGTGTGACCTTGAGTTCAGCCAGTCCTTGGTTAAAATCCCCACCATGCCCATGGCCTGACTGTGTGGCTATGGACAGGGTTTGTCACGTCTCAGAGCTTCCACTGCATCACCTGTAAGTCAAAGAAGCAGCCTTGGGAATATCAATTGCGAAAGGCCTTGATGTATTTATGCTGTCTCTTATTTATTGGTTAATTGTAAGCAGGTGAAGTTGGGTAACTGAGTGCATGTGTGTAGATGGTGGGGGGTTGTACAGTTCTATGGGTGAGCCTGAGAAATGGCTGGAGCCCCAGGTGTATCTCAAAGGTAAGTGGAAATGCTCTCTACTGTAAAACTGAAACCACCTGCTCTCTCAAAAAGATCTCATAGACCAGCTGGGGCTGACTCCATTCTGCCTTAAGTTCCCCTCATTAAGTAGGGGCCTCAGGTGTAAGCAGGGCCTGTAGGCTTCATTGGCATTTCTGTTCCTACAGTCGCAACATTCTTTCAGAGACCCAGAGTCTCCTTAGAACCGCCATGACTTGCGGCATTCCACCATCCAATGCCCACATCCCCTGACCCACTTTCTGCTGGCTTATTCTGGTGGCAGGGAGCTCAGGTCCCACCCTAAGAGCTTGTCTCATCTCTCCCCCTTCCCTGCTCCTATTCACCCCATCCACGCAGGGCTCCCCTAGTGTTTTGTCTGGTTTTGTTTTGAATGACATGCTCCTTCCTTCCTCCGTCAGGGCCTTTCTTCACTTACTGCTCCCTCTTTCTGAAACATTTGTTCTCGTTCACTTCACCCAGCTGAGTCATACTCATCTTTGATGCCCCATTTATTTATCCCATCCTCCCAGGGGCCTTTCCTAACCCCTCACCCCTGATGGTCTGACCAGTTTATCCTAGTTATACACTCTGATAGCTCCCTGCACACCTCTCTCACCACACAAAGTTGCTTATATACTATATTTTGTGATTGTTTTTGTTTAATATCTATCTTTCCCCGTAGACCAGTGATTGTCAACATATGGTGTAATTTTGCTCCCAAGGGACATTTGGCAATATCTGGAGACATTTTTGTAGTCACAACTGAGAGATGCTTTTCCTAGGTAGAGACCAAGGATATTGCTAAATACCCTATGATACACAGAACAGTCCCCTCAACAAACAATTATTTGGTCCAAAATTCAATAGTGCTACTGTTGAAAAACGCTGTCATAGACTGAAAGCTTTATATGGGCAGAGATCTTGGCTATCTTGTTCATAGCCTCATGTCCTGCAATGGGCCACTAGCACCTTAACTGATTTATGGGTGATGTTTGATAAGAATCTGGTCATAGTCTTGTGCATAAATCCATGCTTATGCACCCCTCCCTTCCAATGACCACTTTTTTCACATACAGGACCTCCCACCCTAGAACTGTGATTCACACATAAAGGTATGCCATATATGCACACATCTCCTACCACCTAATATGTAATTCACCTCTTCCTCATCAAATAAGTCTCCTTAGTAGTTACCACCCATGCCCATTTGCATCCAACACCCTCCCATGTGTGTTTTTATGTGTATGTGCACCCGCATAGATGTCTGGCATACTCACCTGTACCTGCACCTCTTCTTATCACACACATCAACTGGGCAGCAGAGGCTTTCTGTTTTATCGCACATAAAACAGGCTGAACCCAACAGGCACACACACACACAAATGCACACACATGCTAGTACAGAAGGTGATGTGGGGAGGCAGGGGCAGTGCACTTTACCTCCCTGTGGCCCATCCTAGCCATAGGACTATAACATTTGTGCCATCAAAACTAGATCTGAGACCAGACATCAAGCAGAAGTATCAAATCTAACTCCTATTAAAACCTCTCTCTCTCTCTCAGACACACACACACACCCCTTTACAAATTTTCTCGTTAAAACAAGAACTCAAACTGCAGAAAATAATTTTAATCAACGTCATGCTAGTGCGGGCTGAGGGTGAAATAGCATATTAATGCTTTTATCTCTGCTGGGGACATGGCTGACTTCACATTGATTCCATTCGAAGTCATACCCCAGGTGTGTTCCCATGGCATTTCTGCATTAAGCAGCTGCGAGACCAGGTCTAACATCTTTTATTATCTCGGCAAAGCTGCACGCACTGAGTGGTGGGGCCATAATAAAAAGATCCAATACCCCATTAGCACAGCTAAATATTTGACTTCTAAACTCAAGTGGAAAATGAAACTCAGTGCCTGGAGAGGAGCTGGTGAGGGGTTGCAATGTCTGGGAAGAGAAACAAATTCTTTCTTGTTTTATAGCACTTTAGGTTTACGATGCCTTGTAGATGCATCTTTTCACTTAATTTTCACAACTGCTACCCGTTGTAGGCATTATCATCCCTATTCATTGGTGAGGGAACCGAAGCTTGGAGATGTGAAGTGACTTGTCCAGATGACTGGCCCTTAAATCCGCATGGCCTGACTCCCAAGCAGATGTGGTCTCTAAGGTACATGGTGCAGGAGTCTTTCATCCATGTTGGTTCCCTTTTCTTCTGCATCCTTTGGCTCAGATGCTAGGTGTTAAATAGAGAATTTTCTAAACAGAAACTATGATTGCAGCTTCACGTTTGGGAAGAAACTACCTTCCTTCCTTTGCTCACTTCTTGCCCTCTTGCCTTCCTTCTTTCCTCAATCCCTTCCAACAAAAACATATTGAACCTCACCACCTCCTGTGTGCCAGCTCTGTGCTGAGTGCTTGGGATGCAGCAGTGACTAGGACATTTGATGTCCCTATCATCATGGATCTTCCCTCTAGCAGAAAGAATGGACTAACATTTCTAAATCACAACAGAAAATGATGAAACAGAGAAACGCAAGGGGATGGAAAAGTTGAGGGGATCTAGAAGGATGGATTATGGAAATTGCCCTCAGATAATGACATCAAAGCTGAAATTCAGTTAGGACTCAGTCATGAGAAGGCAGGGGGAGTGTGCAGATGGAGGGAATTCCTAGAAGAAACAACATGTACAAATGCTCAGAAGTATAAGAGGACATGCTGACTTGAATCACTGAGAGCGGTTTGTTATGGCTAGAGGGTAAATTGGTTGTAAACTGGCCAGCAAAGTAGGCAGTGGCCAGATCTCCAAGGGGTTAAGGCACTGAGTTAAGAGGCTGTTATGCTAATACAGGTGAAAGTTGACAGTGGTTATGGGAAAGGATAGGACTTTTTCAAGCTTTAATGTGTAAACAAATTACACCTAGAGATCTTGTTAAAATGCAGATTCTGACTTAATAGATCTGGGATAGAGACTGAAATTCTGCCTTTCTAGCATGCTCTCAGATGATACCCAAGGTGTGGTCCACAGACCACACTTGAATAGCAAGGTCTAGACCGGTGCTGTCCAACGTGGTCACCACTAGCTGCATGTGGCTAATTGAGCAACTGACACATGGTTGGTTCAAACTGAAATGTAATGTGAGTGTAAAGTACACATTTGATTGTGAAGACCTAAATAGAAAAAAAAGTAAAAATGTTTCATTAGTTTTTAATTGTTTGTACGTTGAAATGATACTATTTTGGATATATTGGATTAAATACAATATAGCATTAAAATGAAGTTAACCTGTTTTTACTTTTTGAATATGCCTACAAAATTAAATCACATCTATTGATTATGTGCTTACCTGTATCTTGGTTTAAGTGAAATATATTATTATAATTAATTCTACCTGATTGTTTCTACTTTTTAAAATGTGGGTGCTAGAAAATGCAAAATTACATATGTGGCTCATTATCTCTCTACCAAATTGCCCTGTCCTGAGCTGTCTCTCTGCCATGGTTAATTTGCTCAATGTTTCTTTAAGACAGGGCACTTTCCTACTCTGAAACCTGTGTTCACTGCTTCCCCTTCTTAGAATGACGTCCTAGCTATTAATACTAGCCAACTAATTCATCAGAAAATGTTGGTTTTCCTGGAGCAGGGCTTCCTAACATTTGAATCACCAGAGGAACTGGTGACCTAACCCTAATTGGTTCTGCTTTAAATACTTTACCTGCAGTGATTCTAATGTGTATTCAAGGTTGAAGATACTAAAAAGGAATTTAGACTTAATCCGACCCTTATTTTTTAAATGACTAAACCAAGGCTCAGAGTCAGAGACTCATTTAGGGTCACAAAAAATCAACCCAGGTTCCTGGATCCTTATCATTTCTCAATCTCTTCTTTGCAGCCTACCTCGAATGTCATTCACATAGGCTTACCATTGTGTTCCTCCTTCAATGGCATTTGCATTTAATTGTCTTGATCACAACTGGAAGGACTCTGAAAGCCTGTGGGTACCCCAAAAAAGTGGAAAAAGTCATCCTTCTAGGACTAGCACCTCTGATGTATACTAGGGGACTGAGACCATATTCCAAAGTAATAAAGGCTCACGTGGTACTAAACTAAAATAGTGACCTATCTAGGATGTGTAAACTTACTGGCTGGCAAAATTAATTCTTCACACACACACACACACACACAACTTTATGTATAATTTTTTTTTGTAGGTAATGTCAAAACAGGAGGCCTTCCATGAACATGAAGCCACTTGCTGAATGGCCCATTCGGCCCCAGAAATTGCCTCTGCCTGGGAGTCCTTACACCATGCCTTGCAGGCTGCCACCTGGTTTGCCAAAGCCGTACTTTGGTTACAGTTCATAACCAATGTTATTTTCTTGAGGACTGAATTTTGGCTTGTCTTTTCTCTGTGATCTCTGAGATATCATCTTAATTAAAATATCATAAAGAATGTCAGTAGGAGACCACCAGGCAGCTTTGATGGCAGACCAGCAATTCTTGCCTTTACTTGAATGCATCTTTCCCCTTCTCTGGGAGCTCATATTTTAAAGCCTGACACAATAGATTTAGGTAATTCTCAATTATTCTAATTTTCCCTAAAATACCCTTCTGGGCAGGAAGAGGGGTTTTTTGAAATGTTGCCTAATAATATCTAATAAATCAGAAGGTAATTCAAGGCTGGTGTTTATTTTTCATTTTTTGAAATGGAGTCTCACTCTGTAACTCAGGCTGGAGTACAGTTGCAGGATCTCAGGTCACTGTAACTTCCACCTCCTATGTTCCAGGGATCCTTCTGCCTCAGCCTCCCAAGTAGCTGGGACTGGAGGTGTGTGCCACCATACCCGGCTAATTTTTGTATTTTTAGTAGAGGTGGGGTTGGCTAGGCTGTTCTCAAACTCCTGATCTGTATTTGATGGAAAAGTTTGGGCCTGAGCTTCATCATTCCCATGTCATAGAATTCCAGACCTATGAAGTGTCTTAGAAGTCACTGTTGTTGAATCCCTTTAATGTATGGATAGATGGATATTGCCCAGAGCTGGGGTGACTTCGTCAAGGCCATAAAGGCAGTTAGTGTCTCAGAGGGAACAAAAATCAAGTTTCTGGACTCCCACATCTTTTCATCACCCTCAGATGTAATTGTGTGCTTGTTGCCAAGAGGCCCTGCCAGGGACAACTTCAGTGTTTCTCAAATGGCCAGACACACCAAAATGAGCAAAGCCCTGCTCTTGGCCTCAAAGGGCTTAAATTCAGCATAACTTTATAAGCATAACTGGGGCTATGATTCCCGGTATTTTTTCTCATCTGCATATATGGGCTTCCACCCTTGAGGAATTTTTGGGTTTTTTTTGTTCACTGCTACATCTCTATAGCATCTCTGTCCAATAGACATAGAATGTGAGTCACACATTTAATTTTAAGTTTTCTAGTAGCCACATTAAAAAAGTAAAAACAAATACATGTACATAATTTTGGACATTTTATTTGAATAAATATATCAAAATTTTATCCTTTCAATATCCAATCAATAGTAAACAGTATTAATGAACTATTTTATATTACTTTGTTCATACAAAGGTTTTGAAATCCAGTGTTCATTTCATATTTACAGCACAATTCAGTTTAGGGTAGCTCTGTATCAGTGTACCAAACCGTGGCTACAGTGGCTAGTGGCTACCTTATTGGACAATTCAACTCTAGAACTTGGAAAAATGTCTAGCACATAGTAGGACCTCAAAAAAGGTATTTATGAATCAATGGACTGGACTAACAGAGTCCACTTCATCGAACACCTAATACAGTGTATCAGTATCAGTGGAAGGGAAACAAAGCCAGGGAATGACAGTGACTTACTCTGTCATGGTCCATTAAATTGCTTTCCTTCCGGACTAGAAATTAAGTGCAGCACCCAGCCAGGGACCAGGCCCAGCCTACCCTTGACCATGAGTAATCCAGGGCTCAGCACAATACCTGACACATAACAGGTGCCCAGTGAATGTGTGTGGAGGAAAAGGTCACTTTACTAATTGGTAAGAGAGCAGGGTAGAAGACCTGGGATTCCTGCCTCCTGCTCAGGGCTCTTTTCACTACACCCTGCTGTCATGAAAATTGATTTATACTCAGGACCTGGAAGAGTGCATAACAACTGCATCAAGGACATGCTAGTGGGGTGCAGATACTGAGGCACTGATTACTGTTTAAATTTCTTTGTGAATAGGTGTCCAGTAGGCACAGTTGGAACTGATTGTGTCAGGATCTGAATCTGCCTGCAGTAGGAACGCTGGATGTCATTTACATAGCAGAAGACCAGCACTGGCTACCCTGGTTCTTTTTAAACAAACATATGCTTTCGGATGTGCCTGGGGCTCACTGGACTCGGAACCTTCCCTCTTAAGCCACGGGGTGTCAGAACTGGGAAAGCATACTTCCGACATTCTCTTCTGCTTTATTTTGGTATGTCTAGGTTCTCCTCATTCTTCAGGTCCCAGCCAAAAGTAACATCCTGCATCAGCTGGTGCATCCAGGAACACTTTTTGCTCCTTTGGCTGACAAAGCAAAGTTTCTATTGCTTTTTACCTTGTCTCACAGAGACTGCTTTCCAAGGGAGAAGTTGTATCTCAGAATCAAGTAACTATAAAATATCTGAGCTTAAAGAAATCTTGCACATCTCCTAAAGCAGTTTCCCAAATTTCAGGTGCTTGCATACTATCTCACAATCTTTTATCTTTGTTTTTTGAGACAGGTCTCGCTGTGTCATTCAGGCTAGAGTGCAGTGGTTTGAACACAGCTCATTGCAGCCTCTACCTCCTTCTGGGCTCAAGTGATCCTCCAACCTCAGCCTCCTGAGTAGCTGGGACTACAGGTGCACGCCACCATACCCAGCTAATTTTAAATTTATGTAGAGGTGGGGTCTTGCCATGTTGCCCAGGCTGGTCTTGAACTCTTGAGCTCAAGTGATCCTCCTGCCTTGGCCTCCTAAAATGCTGGGATTACAGGCATGAGCCACCATGCCCTGATCACAACCTTTGTGGTAGCTATTGTTACATTCATATTGAATCATTTGCTTTCAATCTTTCTGCTTTCTAAGGTTAAATCAGTGTATTTTTGAAGGAAAGCAATATCTTTGAAAACATGATCATGATATGTATGTTATAAATTGTCTCCATATAAAATAAACATATAGCTATTTTGCTATAATCATAACATCCTTATTATTTATAAATAGCTATATATAGCTAAACAGCCTCTCTGTGCACCTCCTAAAACCAACTATGCTTCTACCAGTGATACATATATCTTGCTTTTAAAACATTTTTCCAGGGCATAAACTTCATTAGACAGAGCCTTGAACTGAGACTCAGGGAGAGACAGGTTCTGTCCCCAGGCCAGTATTAACAGAGATTTGGTGGTAAGGCTGGTTTGGCACTCAGTCCTGTGGTTCTCAGACCACAACTCTATCAGCATATTCTTCTCCAGTTGCAGCAACCAGTTGTGTGCTCCATGCATCGGTCTGATGTTACAAGAAAATAGGGGCTTTCAAGTCATAGGTTTGAACTCCAGCAGTACGTTGTCGCTACACGAGTTTCCGCCAAGTTTATGCTTAATCCTCTCCAGTCTATTTCCTTTCAGGCAGTGGGGATGATGCATTATCTGGAGTTGTGAAAACATTTACAATTTTAACCTGGCTCACTAAGGGTCTCATTCCATAGACTAGCCAGGAGCTGTCCAATAGAAATATGAAATAAGCCACATAAGGCATCTAAATTTTATAGTGACAACATTTTAAAAAGGAGTAAAAAGGGGTGAAATTAATTATTATACAATATTTTATTTAACCTTTTGTATCCCAAATATTCTTATTTTAATATGTAATAAAAATAAAAATTATGAATAAAAGTTTCCTTTTGTTACATTAAATTTGTAAAATCCAGCATGTATTTTATACTTAAAGCATATCCCAATTCAATTAATTCTTCTTCTTCTTGAATTTCCATCAAATAACTTGATCAGAATTTAGATTTTATAAAGCTTATACAATTGAAAATGTAGATTCATATACGCAGGATTTCCAAACATACTTAAAATTGTTCCATTAACTGAATTATCAGCTTTTAACTTTAAAAATATTCAGATCAAAATATTTGAAAAAATAATAAAATATAAAAATGCAGCAATAAAAATACAAACATAATACAGTACAATGACTATTTCCATAGCCTTTGTATTGTATCAAGTATAAGTAATCTAGAGGTGATTTAAAGTGTACTGGAGGATGTGTGTAGGTTCTATGTAAATACTACACCTTTCCGTATAAGTGACTTGAGCATCCGAGGACTTTGCTATCCTCGGGGTGGAATCCCCTTCAGATACTGAGGGGCAACTGTATTTAAAATAAAAAAAAAGTAAACATCAAGTTCCTTATCACGCTGGCTATCTTTCAAGCTCTCAATAACCACGTGAGACTTGCGGCTACCATATTTGACAACATAAGTCTAGCATCTAACTTCGTTTGTTTTTATATTTCCTGTCTTGTAAAATAGTCATTGAATGTGTGTTGAACTTAAACATCTTTAAAATATTTGCACCTTTGATTATCCTGATCATCACAAGATCTCATGAGATAAGCTGGATAGAAATTAATATCCTCATAGTAGAGATGGCAAAACCAGTGCTTAGGGAAGTTAAATGACTAGCCCAGGGTCACACAGGTAGTAAATGGTAGAGGCAGGCCTAGAACTCTGGGTGGTCGTTTCCTGAACAAGGCTTTGCTCAGCATCCTTAATCAAATTTTTCATCCTTAATGAAAATTTTTAGTTTACCTACCATTTAAAGAGCAGTTAGATTTGAAGACTAACCCGTCAAATGTATTCCTTTAAAATACTCATTTTATCACATACTTGGTGTTATGTGTTAATAGTTTGAGCCCATCATTTTTTTAAAGCTGAAAGGATGGGAGATGAGGTTATTGGCAAAATGCTGAACTAATTAGCTTCACTGTAGGTTTACTTAGAAGGCTCATTTTAGCAGCTGTATTATTTAAGCATCAGATAACTGATTTGTTAATAACTCTTTTTCTTCCTCTAGTGAGTATAATTTTCTTCTCTGGGGTTCATAAAGGTAAAACTTTTCCCACATAGAGGCCTGATTGTCATGTTCAGTCTTTGATAAGGTTTATTCTTATGCCAGGTTTTCTGGTTTTTCTTCTCTTTTCTCTCCCACCCCCGCCCCTCCCCTGCCCTGGGTTGCAGGCTGTGTGGGAGTGCTAATCTATATAGGATCTCTTTTTCCCCTCCTCTGTTTGTCTTCCTTTGACTATTTTCTCATGTGAAGGCAAATACAATAATAACATCTTACTTTCTAAAGCTCTTTTCATCCTGATCGAATTCCGAGCACCACAGAACACATTGCATTTCAAAACTTATGGAAATGCAGTCTTACAGGTTACAAATTTAGACAACATGAAAAGTCAGACACACAGGGCCCTTGAAGCACATCAATTCACTCACAACATGCCTCGTCCTCTGAACAGCTACAATTAATCGTCGCCAAGCTAAGCCAGGCCTTTTGCTAAAGGTAGCACAGACCTTGTTAAAAGAAGGAGAATGATGTTTATCTATGTGTCTACATTTCCATGTGATTACTGGGAGACCATGCAGCTCTGTTGGGTTCAAACCAGCAATGTTGGAAGAGGAGTTTTTACTCTCACTGCAGTTTCCCAGACGAACCAAGAGTTTGCATCTATTGTAAAGCTCATCTCTCCTATCCCTTCTTTCCAAGGCTGTGAAGTCCATGTTCCTTTTAGAAACTGTTATATCTGCCTATAAGAATGTAGAAGAATAAAACTCAAATGCCTATCATCTTGTATGAGGCCCTACTTAAATAATAGCCCTGCCTCATCTCAAATAGTGAATATCTGTCATCCACACCGGCCAACCTAACCCCCTTCACTGCCTGTGCTCTCTGCCCCTCAGCCACATTGGGGATTTTGTCTGGATCAAGCTGCTTCCAGCTTCCAGAACCTCTTCTTATGCTCTTCTGTCAGCTGGCTCCTTCAAATCTCCCCTGTCCTGGCTCAATAGCATCTTCTCAAATGGGCCTGCTCTGCCCACCTGTGTATTTTTGTCATATTTTACAGCAGTATTGTTCCTCTTTCAACTCTTCACTATATGCCTCTTGTGTTTTGTTAATTTTTTCAATTGTTTAGTGTTTGGTCCTCCTCATCAATGTTCAATTTTAGCCATAAAATTGAGTGTGTAGTGGTAGCCCCAGGAGCCTGTTATTTTGCAAAAAAAGAGGGATTGGAGATACACTCACTTAGTAGTCTTTAATTACAACAAATATCAGTGTGTAGGATCCAAGAGTGATTTTTAAATCTATCATCTATGTTGGAGGAGAGTAACTGAAAGAGCAGCAATTCTATCCATGTGTCTCCCAGCTTGTGGCTGGAGGAAATCATTGTTCACCTGGTCAGATTGTTAAGGGAATATGGCCAGGGAGATTTTGAATTACTACCTTTCTCATCCAACTACCTGACATTATTTTTTCCAATTAGTATTCTCTCTGGGAGCATCTTATTCAGCTCTGATATTTATAGCTAATTTTTTAACGGTATGTAATGAAGGGAGCCCTAAAATGAGAAGGAACCAAAAAAAATTCCTTTCACTATCCTTTAGTCCTAAATCAAAACTCAAGGTGATTTTTGGCAGAAGAAATGAGCTTGTACTACACTACAGCCAAGGAAACTTTGGAATGGAGGGAGATGGAGGACAGAGAAAAGAGGAGAAAATTTACCCTTGTTTAATGTGGGAATTTCCAAAGTTCTCCCACATATATTGTCTCATCTAGTCTTTAAACAAGGCTAGAATAGGAGTTATCATCTGCATTTTCCATATAAAGACTGTGAGATGCAGACAGGAAAAGAATGACTTGCTTGGGCAAACTGATGGGTTGTGTATGTATCAAAAGGAGTGTGTTTCCTTGTGTGTTTATGTGTTTCACTTGGGTTTCACTTCAAGTATTTGATCTGTCTTGGTAGTATGTGGGAGAAGAACTGCTAGGAAGGATTCCGAAGCTGTGTCAAAATTTAGCCAGAAAGCATGGTGATTGATTAATTATGTCTGTCAGAGACATGGGAGCAGTTGTGGTTATAGGGTAGTGTGCATGCTATGTAATTTAGAACCTTGGTAAATCCAAAGTTCCAAAGCCTGAGCCATCGATGCAGTCTAAATTTTGAGTCGCTGAGATACCTGGATTCTATTTCTGACTTTTCTAGTAATGAGTAGTGCGGTCTTCAAAGGTCTTTAAAGCCTGACACAATAGATTTAGATAATTCTCAATTATTCTAATTTTCCACTTCCTTCTCAAAGGTTATTACGAGTCTATATAATCAGAATATTGGAGTAGATGATTAATAAGGCTTTATCTAGCTGAAATAGTCTATGATTTTATAAGAAGTTTATAATGACTGTATTCGTAGAACAAGCATACTCACATAGTGGCTCATTTTATTCTGATATACCAGCACATTTTTTTCTTCTCTTTTTCACTCAAGTAGATTATGTATACAGGATGTTTACTTATATAAATAATTTAACTATTTAAAATATCCATATCGACTCATATAGTGTTAAATTTGAAGTATGTCATGTGTTTACTCTAGCACATATTGGGAGGCAGTCAGATTCTCATTTATTCTTATTTTTCAGGGTGACAACACTTGACCTACACAATACACTCTGTTCACTGAACATATGCTGTTGATCATGAAAGTCACTGAGTAGAGAATCAGAGAAGCAAACTTGTAGGAAAAGGGGATCAAAAGACACTATAATTCATATAGTCATGAGGAATTTTCTTCCTTTCTATGACAAAATAAAACACGTTCATTATAGAAAGATTAGGGAATAGAGAATTGTGTATATAGTACTTGATAGCAGGAATTATGTTTATCTCACCAACCATTGTGTCGTCAATGATTTGTAGAGTGTCTGGAACTAATTAACAAATATATTCTGAATATATAAGTAAGTAAATGAATAACAGCAAGAAGTAAAAACAAAAATCACAGCTAATCCTGAAACACAGAGATAACTAGTATTAACAGGTAGTGTATCTCCACCTAGACTTTTCACTGGGCAAATATATACATGTTTATCTTTTAAAACCAGCTTCACTGAGGTGTAATTTATACACAATAATTGTCACCAGTTTTAAGTGTACAGTTCATTGAGTTTTGACAAATATGTGTACACATAACCACCACAATCAAGATATAGAACATTTTCTTTACACCAATATCCCTTGTGACCCTTTGTAGTAAATCTCTCCTCATCCCTGACCACAAGCAATCACTAATCTGATTTCTTTTATCATGAGTTTGCAGTTTCCTGAATTTTGAGTTAATGAAATCAAACAGTGTGTTCTTACTTGTGTCTGGCTTCTATCACATAGCAAAAAGGTTTTGAGATGTATTCATGTCATTACATATCAGTAGTTGGTTCCTGATCACTTCTTTATGGTTATACAATTTGTTTATTCATTCACCAGTTAGATAGTTAGGTTGTTTCCAATTTTGGTTATTGTTATGAAGCTATTATTAACATTCCTTTGCAAGTCTTTCTGTGGACCTATGTTTTTCTTTCTTTTGAGTAAATATCTAGGAACAGGAATGCTGGGTTACATTTTAACTTTATAAGAAATTGCCGACTGTTTTCCAAACTGGTTGTATCATTTTGCATTCCTACTAGCAATGTAGGAGAATTCTATTTGCTCCATGTTCTCAACAACACTTGCTGTTGTCGTTCTTTTCAATTGTAGTCATTCTAAATGGGTGAGTAGAAGTACATCATTGTGGTTGTAATGAGTATTTACTTAATAACTAATGATGTTGACCATCTTTTCCTCTATTGATTTGCCATCAACATACTCTTTTTTGGTGAAGTGTTTCTTAGAATTCTTCCCCTTTTTTCCCCTCCTTTTTTTGCTTCTTTTGTTTTAAAATAATCTAGTTGCTTATCTTTTTGTTAGGGAGTTTATAATGGGTTATGTGTATGTGCTATTTACAAGATCTTTATCAGATATATACTTATCATTTATATTTCCCTAATCTGTAATTTGCCTTTTTATTTCAATTACAATGCCTTTGAGGAATGAAGGATTTTAATATTGATCAGGTCCTATTTGAAAATTCTTTACAGTTGGTGCTTTAGGTATCCTATGAATGGAATCTTCTTTCTCTAACCCAAGGTTACAAGGACTTTCTTATATATTATCTTCTAGAATTGTTTGTAGCCTTTATATTTAATTATATGATCCACCTAGAGTTTAATTTTTGTGGCTCGTGTAAGGTAAAGGTTGAGATTCATTTATACATATGTGGCTATATCATTGTGCCAGCACCATTTGTTCAAAAGAATAATACCTTTCTGTCTTGGATTACCTTGGATCCTTTGCCACAAATCAACTAACCAGTTATGTTTGAATCCATTTCTAACGGTCTATTATGTTTCATTGATCTGTAAGTTATTCTTAAGCCAAAATAACCGTGTCATAATTCCACAGCTTTATATAATAAGCAATTCTTCCAGTCAGGTAATTTGAATCCTCCAACTTGTTCTTTTTAAAAATTATTTGGGTTATTTTAGGTTGTTTGCATTTTCATATACATTTTACAGTCAACTTTTAAATTTCCACAAAAAATGCTTATAAGGATATTGACTAGTATTTATGTGAATGTATATATTAGTTTGGGGAGAACTGACACCTTAAAAATAGTAAGTTTTGTGATTCGTGAATATGGTATATATCTCCATTTATTCACCTTTTTTTCTTTCGGCAATATTTTTTAGTGTTCGGTATGCAGATACTGGCATGTTTTATTACATTGTCTTTAAGTGTTCATGCTTTTTGGTTCCATGGTAAATAATATTTTAAAAATTGTAATTATTAATTGTTCATTGATAGTATATGGGGAAACTACTTTTATACATTGATCTGGTATCACAAAATCTTGCTAAACTCACTTCTTAGTTCTAGTAGCTTTGAAATAAATTTTGGAGGGAATTTAGACATAGGTAATCATGTTATCCACAACTAAAGGCAATTGTAATTGTTGTTTTGTTATCTGTATATCTTTTATTTTCTGTTTTGATTTGTTGCTCTTTTCTTATTACTCTTGCTCTTGTTTTATTACTGTAAGATTGCCAGTGCAATAATGACTAATAAAAATTATTCTTGCCCTATTTTTGGCCTTATGAGGAATCTATTCTCTCTTTTTTTTTTACCATTAAATAAGCTAATAGGTTTTTCAAATAAATGCTCTTTATCAGATTAAAGTTTCTTCTTCCTTTCCTTTTTTTTTTTTTAGTTTACTGAAAGTTTTTTATGAACAAGTGTTGCACTTTTTCAAACATTTGTTCTACATAGATTGAGATACTCACATGGGCTTTCTTGTTAGTCTAATAATATGGTGAAAAACATTGATAGATGTTGAATATTGTTATATAATTTAAAAATTGTCTCATCTTTACCCTTGCTTCCTGGGATGGATCTTCTAAACTCTTGTAATTTCTTGATTGGTAAGAGTGTCTTTGTTATTCATGGCGGTGTCTTTTTCCCCTTGTTAAATCTGGTTAGAGCTTTCTCTAATTTTATTGATTGTTTCCAAGAATCAGATTTTTATTTTATTGATTTTCTCAGTTTTTTTTTGCTTTGTTTTTCAGTCTCTATTTTTATCATTAGTATTTTCTTGCTACCTACATTAGATTTCATTTTCTTTTCTTTTTCTAATTTTCATATAGAAATTAGAGCATAGATTTAAATGTGAGTATATAATGCTACAAATTTCTCTTTCAGCACTGGTTTACCTACATCTTATAGTTTTTTCATGTTGAGTTTTTATCTTCATTCAATTCGAATAGTTTTCTAAACTCCTTTGTTATTTCTTCTCACACTCATGAGTTATTAAGAAGTGTGTTGTTTAATATCAAATATTAGAGTTTTTTCAAGTATATTTGTGTTTTCTGGCTTCTAATTCAATTCAATTTGTGTCAGAGAACATATTCTGTACACTTTCAATCATTTTAACTTTATGAATATTTTTAGGGGGCTAACCATAATTTTTGGATATTCTTAATTAATTCCTTTGTGGGGATCCAAATTTTTATTTGATATTGTGCTCCTTATATTGGAAAGATTTCCTTTTACATTCCTCATAATGCAGGTCTGTTGACAAAAATTATCTCAGTTTTCCTTGATTTGAAAATACTTAATTTGTCTTAAAATTTTAAAATATGTTATTATTGGGTATAGAAATCCTGCTTGAAGGTTGTTTGGTTCCAGCACTTTAAAAATGTGGTTCCATTGTCTTCTGACCCTCATGGTTTCTCACAAGCTATGTACTGTAATTTTTACCTTTGTTCCTTTGGAAGAAATGTGACTTTTTCAATACATTTTCTTTATCATTGGTTTTCAGCAGTTGAATTATGATATGCCTAGGTGCAGTGTTCCTTAATTGCTTCTGCTTTGGGTTTGTTGATGTTTTGGGGTTATTGAGTGTACTGTTTTACACACATTTGGAAAAAATGAGCTACTTTTTAAAATTTCTTTTTCTTTTCTATCACCCTGCTCCTTATATTCTGATTATGCACACATTCATCTGCTTGATTTTTTCCCGGATCTTACTGAAGTCTAACGTTTTTTCTGCCTTTTTTCCCCCTCTGCTTCATTTTGGAGAATTCCCATTACTATGTCTCAAGTTCATTGATCTTTTCTTTGGCAGTGATTAACACCGTCTATTTTTTATTTTAGATGCTGTATTTTTGTATCTGTAACTTCCATTTTCATCTTTTTAAATTCCATTTCTCCTCTCACCATGTTCATGTTTCCTCTGTTTTTCTGAACATAGTGAATATATTTATAGGAGTTGTTTTAAGTTCCCTTGCTTTCAAATTTCCTTATCTACATTATAAATATGATTCTACTAATTTGTTTTATTTTCTGATTATTATCAGAGTTGCTAGCTTTCTTGGATGCCAGTAATTTTTTATTGGATGTCAGATATTGTAAATATGTATCATTGTATGCTGAATATTTTGTATTCATATCATATGTTTCTTTGTTCTGGCCCACATTACTATACTATACTATACATTACTATACTTGGGAAACAGTTTATTTCAAGATTTGCTTTTAAAAAGTTTTGTTATGACTGGTCCAGCGCAGCATTTATGCTGAGACTAATTTAATCCTACTCTTAAGGCAATACCAATCTCAGAATTTGGCCCACTGCCTCACATATTAGCAGTTCTTTATGCTCTGGCTTGCAAAAACAGGCACTATTTCTAGCCCTCTATGAGTTCTAGAAATTAGTCAGCCTACTGCTCCTGGAAATCCTTTCTTTGATCTTCGTTAACTTTATCTCACACTTATATAGGTCATACTCAGCTACACATCTGAGAGGAGTCCTATACAGATCTCTAGAGATCTTTGTGTGGCCCCTTTATCTCTTGTACTCTGCCCTGAAAACTCTAGTTATCTTGGCCTCCCTAAACTACGATCTTTGTCTCAAGTTGGGAAATTTCTGGGTTTCAATTCTGTTCTATCTCCTTGTGCTACTACCTCAAAAGTGCCTCTCAGAGTAATCAGAGGTAGTCAGTGCACACCTTATAACCCTGTACTGCCTGTTGTTCAGTCTTGTCTTCAATTTGTTTTTCTTTAATGTTGTCTAGGTTTCTAGTTATAAAAGCGAATTCCCATAGCAGTTATTCCCTCATGGGCAGATGTGGAGATCTCATACATTGTGAAAGGGATCATATTACACCTGCTGTCTTGTAGATTGTTTTGTTTATCCACTTACTATAAAATTTTTCCTAAAACATTAAATGTTCTGCAGCAACTCAATTTTAAATGCTGTTGAGTAGTGTATGAGTTCATTTAATCAATACTTTATAGTTGTACATATAAGCCATTTCATTACCAAACACAATGTCATTGATATTTGTATACCTTAAAAACAAAATTTTAAAATTAAAAAACTAAACTTTCACTGCCTCTAGTCAGAGTACAGAACTAGTTAAAAAAAAAGTCATAGAATCTTCATCAGAGGGTTGTTTACCAAAACCTAGATTATTTGACTGGCTTGATCAAGAGATTTGGAACAGAGACATTTAATACACAGTTGCAAAAATGCCACTGAGGTTGGAATTTTATCTACTAGCCTCCTTTGATCAGAATCTTGAGCAAAGAGAGTATACTTCTATCTTTCATGCTTAAGAAAGAGAGAGATACATAAAAACTGTATGATTAGTTAATTTTCAAATTTATCTTCTAAGGCGGGCCCTTGTATTATAATTAATTTAGTTCAGTTTTCTTCACCTTCCTCATCTTCAACTACTATAAGTTAGAAAAATTGTGAAGGGTCATTTTAAAACCGTGGCCTTGGTGGTACTCCTGATAGTGCATCCCTAGAACTAAAAATATCCTAAGTCTATCTTCTCTATATATGTAATTTATTCATAAATGTTATACATTATTATATCTATACAGTATGTTTGTCATCACCTACATACATAAGAAAAATAAACTTTGAAGGATGAAATGTATACAGAAATAGAATTCTAATATTTTCTCCTCAAAACTCAAAATAGATCATCTTTCCATCTCTACAATGTGTGTTTACCCACCTTGGAGACCATTTTTCCTCAAATATAAAATAGAATAAAATAAATAAATGAAGACCAGGATAGGTAACTGACTTCTTGAGTTGACATATGACAATTCAATAAAGCACAAGCTATTATTCACATTTTATACATAAGGGACTTGAAGTTGAGATGGGCTAGAAACACCTAAAATTGTATATAAGGTAAACAGGAGAGTTCAGTAAAATGTAAGTCTCCTCATTCTGATTCAATGAACTTGCCTTTGCATAACTGTGTCCCCACCCTTTGAAAAATGATACTTCATGCCTGATATATAAGGACAATGTATCCAAGCAGCCTACTACCGTTAACTAAAAAAATCCTTCAAGATAGGCCAGGCTCAGTGGCTCACGCCTGTTATCCCAGCACTTTGGGAGGCTGAAGCTGGCGGGTCACGAGGTTAAGAGATGGAGACCATCCTGGCCAACATGGTGAAGTCTTGTCTCTACTAAAAATACAAAAATTAGCTGGGCGTGGTGGCACGTGCCTGTAGTCCCAGTTACTTGGGAGGCTGAGGCAGAATAGCTTGAACCCGGGAGGCAGAGGTTGCAGTGAGCCGAGATCGCGCCACTGCACTCCAGCCTGGTGACAGAGCAAGACTCCGTCTCAAAAAAAAAAAAAAAAAAGTCCTAAAGATATGATTAAAGTCTTAGTTTGCAAAACAAATCACAAAAGATATTTTATTAAATTAATACAATTTAATGAAGATATTAGTAATCATATTATAATATGCAGGAGATGACATTTAATCCCATGTTTCTACATCATTTGCTCTTCATTCTTTCTCTTATTTCAGGTATGGGAAGAAGTGAGGTCAGTGGGAATTAACTTTTCATTTCCAATTAATGAGGTGAGATTTTTGGAGAAAAGTAGGCCTAAAAAATGGCATGGAAATGGGCTAGAAGGAGGGAGGCAGAGCACTTGGAGAATAAAGGAATCTTTGGGGGAAGTCCCAAATCCCAGCTGTTATCCACCAAGTAATCACGTACTGCAGAGAGTGAAAGACTGGACCAGATTCAGTCACTGACCTGGAGATGAAATTCTCCATTTTCCATTATCAACTCAGCCAGAAATTTACTCCCCCTGGAGCCATATTTAGCCAACTTGCTATCTCCCTCCACCCTGCCTGGTTCATAAGCACAGATATAGGCATGGAGGTGAACAGACCCAAGCATTATCTTCCCAAAGGGCAAACTATTTTTGTACTGCATCAAGCAGAGTGCAGGGACCAGAAATGGTTGTTGCAAATAAAATAACAATACTAAATCCTGTTTGCAGTCCTGAGAGTGATGGGTCAAAGGAGATAAGAAGAGAAGATGAAGAATCAGAACTGAAAATCTTCAGCCCACTGGCTATAGTAAAGTAAATACATTTTAGAGAGGTGCAGTTTGGTATTGGAGAAAGAACATAGATTTGACAGTGGAAAGAACTGTGTTTACGCTCCCCATTTTACCTTCTCCTGTGGCTAGATTTATAGCACACCACCTCTACGTTACTGGCCTCAGTGAGATGACATTTCAAATGGGAATGCAATTTTTGATGCCACATAGAGTCGTTCTGGGTATTAATGTGAGAGTAAACATGAGAGTGTTTATTATTTACCTTCTACTCATTCTCTAGGGTCAAGACTAAGTGACCCTTCCCTTCCACTCTCAACGACTTTTATCTATGTGACCGTTCTTCTTCCCAAATCTGTTCGAAGAGCTTGTCCTAGCCACATTACAAAAAGCAAAATGAAATAGATGAAATTAATTATAATCACATTTTATTAAATCCCATATATCAAAAATACATCACTACAACATATCACCGATATAAAAATTATTATAGACATTTAACATTCCTTTCCACACTCTGTCTTCAATACCAGTTGTGTGTTTCACACATACAGCATATCTTAATTCAGACTTACCACATTTCAGTTGTTCAACAGCCACGTGGGGCTAGGTGCTGCCACTTCTAAGAGCTGGTCCAAGAGGAGACAGCTTTCTCCATTTCTGTGGATGGGTTACTTTCCTAAGGTTACTCTTGGCTGGCAAAAACCATGTCAGTGGCCTGGGGAATACTCTGTAATACCAGCTCAGTTTTAGAATTTTAATCAGTTTAACCATTTTATTTCTGATATTTGAGATTCAAGCATCAGATTGAAATTGGGATGGAGCAGATTTTAGAACCTGACCTTTAAAGATCATTTTAGCTCTAATTCCTGATTCAGTGCCCCACAAATACTTCCAAAGGCATCTCCTGTTGTTCAGATAAATAAAGCTGAGAAGAGAGTGGGTCAGACCAGATTAAAACCCTAGTGCCCTTCTTTTTCCATCAGCAATGTTTAAGAGTTAGAATGCCATTGGATTCCAAGGGATTCAGTTTGTGCAGCATGAATGCAGATGTGCCCAAGTGTATAGGACCCTTGCTCAGTCTACCATATCCTAAATTTGGCAAGCTCACTAAAGCATGGAGGTTTATTCAGTTTAAATTGAATGAGAATGGTGAAGATTGTTAAAAAATAATGTCAACCACAACAAAAATCAAAAACAAAAATAAAACAGAGATCCCTCACTTGCTAATAAAATAACATTTATTCCAAATCTTTAGACTAGACCAAAGATCTCCTAGAACCAGACAGTCCCAACTGAATCTGTTAATCCTAAAATTTTAAGGCGATTATGTGGAAAGGTTTTCTTGTATTTCTAAAAGCACAGAAGCCCCAGGAGAGGTTTAGTTTCCCCTACATTTTGGTAGAGGCCTGTGTGAGAGGTCTAGACCTAAGACCATTTATTAGGCAGTTGAGACCCACTGGTCTTATCTAAGGCAGACGGCACCTTCCCAGGAGACAGATGTTTGTGCAATGAATTTTGGGCACAGTTAAATAGGCTCACAACTTGAGGGGTATTTGTTTGCAGAAGAGAAATGCAGTTTGCATTCCACAGGAGACCTAGAGAGCAGCAGAATATCAACACAGCTCTCCAGGAGCATATTCAACCAGGTTTAAGGTAGCAATGAACAGGCATAACTATTCTGACTTGGGAATAATGCATGCTGCTAGCACTTGAAAATGGGTTGAAAAAAACATCTCTCTATCTTTTCCCAGCTCACAAGCTGCGTTTTGTGAGAACAGTAAGAGGAGCTAGGAACCAGGTCTGATCTTAGCTCATTGATCATGGGACTTTGCAGCAAGTCTTGTCTATGGAATATCAATGAGAAATGAAGGATCCCTTGCTCATGAAACCCCTTGGCTTTGAAGAGCAAGTGGCATCTATGTTGTCCTACCCTGGGTAACTTATAGGACTTAGGAAAACAGCCAGAAAGAGAGCACTTGTTGGGCCTTTTTCTAGCTCCTAGGTGCATTTCTGCTACCAGTTTTGTTGTTAGTGTTGTTTGCAGAATGAACTTTTTTTTTAAAGTGCTACCTTGACCTACTTTATATAGCATATGATAAAAATCAGCCGGTATAGTGTGTGATAAAAATTAAACATTGTATATAATAGGGAAGTGTTTTCCATTGTTTGAGTAGTTGTCATAATACAGGTTAATGCAGCAAGCAGAAAGTATATTCTGGTTGCTCACTATATGTTAGAATTTTCTAATATCTCTGCCTATAGAAAGAAAGAGATAAAGAAAATTATATTAAGTGTTTGTGAGCTTAGGTGTGTTGATTTTTTTTCATTCCTTCACTCAGTAGACATTGACTGAATCCATACCCCATGCTAGATAATGCCTTAGGTTCTAGGTTTTAACCCTAAATCTACCATATATAAACCATGAGGTCTAGGGCACTTTCTGCACCTTAATCTCCTTGACAATGAGATAATACACGATCTGCTTTGGTCATACACTGGATGAAGAATTAAGTGTGTCAGATGCTATGCCAAGCTATAATATTTTTAATCCTTACTCAGTTAGTTCTCTAAGCTAAGTATTATGGGCCAGTTTTACATATGAGGCCGATTTTACATATGCAACTTGGAGAAGTGAAATAGCCTAGATTAATTGAATTAATGGCAGAGGAGGGATTTAAATCCAAGTTCATCTGGCTTCAAAGATTATGCTGTTAGTTATAGATTTCATAAATATGAAGGTCTTCTAACCACACTGAACTATTTTGTAATGTTTTGTTATGACATAGCTAATTTCATGTACCAACCCCAAATATCTCTATAGACTCTTAGGAGCTTTGTGATTGCTTTTACCCATCAGCTTTTAGAAGGTGGGAGATAATCTGGCAGGACAGAAAGTGGATCATTGTGCTTCTTAGGTGCAGTGCATCAGATAGATCAACACTTCAGCTGAGATTTTGTTGCTTTAGCTGAGACTTGAGCAGCAGAGTGGGTGCTGGATTGGGTCTTGAATCTATACCTCGTGGGTGTAATAGAGCAGGTAGCTATGCTGCAATTAGGTCCTGAGTACACACTAGAGCTCATGGACACACCAGTCGTCAGAGATGAAAGGTACTTTCAAGATGCTTTCACTAAATTTTCTCAAAACAGAGGCCTACAGAGATTAAATAGCTTTCTTAGGTCTGTATGAGAGTTCTCCAGAGAAACAGAGCTAACAGGATGGCTAGAGATATTATTGATAGATAGATGGATAGATAGATATTATAAAGAATTGGCTCATGTGATTATGGAAGTTAAGAAGTCCCAAGATTCTGGGGAATAATTTGACAAACTGGGCTGAAGATGTAGCTTCAGTCTGAGTCTAAAGGCTGAGAACTAGGAAAGCTAATGTTACAGTTCAAGTCTGAAGGCAGGAAGAAGCCAGTGTTTCAGTTGTAAAGCAGTCAGGCAGGAAGAATTCTTTCCTACTAAGAAAACACAGGGAGAAAGGGTCAGCCTTTTAGTTCTGTTTTGGCATTCAACTGATTGGGTGAGGGTATCCATATTAGGGACAACAATCTATTTTATTCAGTCTAATGATTTTAGTGTAATCTTGTCAAAAATACTCTTATAGAAATACTCAGAGTAATATTTGAGCAAATATCTGGACACCCCATAGCCCAGTCAAATTGATGCATAAAACTAACCATCATGGAGTCACACTGTTGAATAGGGGAAAAAGCCATGAAGAGAACACACAAGCCTTTGGATTGGATTTTTGGATTATTTTCTTTTACACACTGATTTCATAGAATCCATGATGTATTGATTAAAAATAGCCACTTGTATACATTAACAAAACCAATTGATCTCTAGATCGAGGAGTGGGAAAATGGCATATACAGATTACTGCTAAGTGTTTTATTGGTATTTTCAAAGATAGATATCTGAAATATGCTCTGTAGTTTACTTGATCCAAGGAAAAGAGGTAGTTAAAAAACATTTTAAGCATTCCCTTCCTAATCACATTCACTTTCTCCTGTTATTTGTGATGCTTTTGAGTTGAGACATGTAAAGTTAAAAAAATAGAATCAATTTTGCACTATCTTTGGTAATGTTTAATAACATCATTAGAACATTTCAAGATTAACTGTGACCATTGAATTGTAAAATGTGTAAGGTTCAGCAGTATTTAAGAATCTTTCTGATAAAGTGTTCTGGGATTCTGAAACAACCTTGAAAAAGATGTAAGAAAAATATTATCTCCATGTTGAAGATGAAGATACTGGTTTAAGATGTTGCTGAGGGTCACCCAACTAGGGTGAAGGTGACTGTCCCAAGCTTCACCTGATATTTTTAAGGTGAACATTCAAAAGAGAATATTTAAAATTTCAAATTATTTGTTTATATCTTTGCCTAGGAGCAACTAATGGAAAGATTTGATTAGGGTCAAAGAGGCTGGCAATGTGGACATTTGTTGTGTGACATTTACATAGACATGTATAGCACTTATCTCTTTTCCATATTTCTGGTAATAGTACCCCACTTCTTTCAGAAGAGTCATTTTTTTTCTTAGTTATTCTGGTTGAGATAATGTTGAGATATTCCCTGGATTCGAAGTGTGAGAGGAACATGATGGGCAATCAGTGATGGGAACACAACATTATCGCAGCCAGTAGGATACAATCTTGAGATTTTGTTTGGGACTGTTGGGAACAGTTAAGATTGGCATTTGAGCTGTGCATGGAGAAAGTCAGCCTGAGGACCAAGCCAACCCAGAGAAAGAAAGAGCCGAGAGAGGCAGGATGTGTCCTTGTGACATGGAGACAAACCTGAAGAATGTTTTACCTTTTGACTTTTCAGTTACATCAACCAAGAAATGCTTTTTTTTTCTTTTTTTGCTTCATTCAGTTTCATATGAATTTTCTGTCATTTACAGGCAAGAGAGTGCTAATTGATATAGCAAGTTTGATTACTCCCTCTCAAAATCTGTCTGAAGTTGCTGTAGCCCCCTGGGGTGTGTAGTGATCCTGCAAGATTATTAGCATGGAAAAGTATGCAGCTTGGTTGTATCACGGTCTGATTATTTTTTGTTTATAGCTTGATTTTTTTTTAGACAGAGTCTCACTCTGTTGCCCAGGTTGGAGTGCAGTGGCGTGATCTCGGCTCACTGCAACCTCCGCCTCCCAGTTTCAAGCGATTCTCCTGCCTCAGCCTCCCAAGTAGCTGGGGCTACAGGTGTGCACCACCACGCCCAGCCAATTTTTGTATTTTTATTAAAGACAGGGTTTCACCATATTGGTCAGGCTGGTCTTGAACTCCTGACCTCGTGATTTGCCCACCTTGGCCTCCCAAAGTGCTGGAATTACAGGTGTGAGCCACTGCGCCTGGCTGGTCTGATTATTTAATAGTGTCATTATCAGCAAGATCTAATACAAACAAATGTCCTAGCACAGAAGAACAATGATTAAATTCATTAACCATGGCTTTGTTTACCCTCTCATTGTTAAATCAAACACACATCCTTGGTATACCTCTCCCTAGTAAAGCTTTCAGTGACCACATATTAACAAAAGAGGATTTGATGTCTACAATGTCTGAATTGCATAAATGTATTTCACACAAGCAGCAGCAGGGACTCAGGCTCTGTACATAATTTTCTTTGCTGACGTCTGTAATAAAACACAGATAATGATACAGGATATGCAGCACTTGACCTTCAACATAGAAAGGTAAAGATATTCTTAATTCCGAATTTAGATAATTCTTTCTATTTCATCTTGCCATTGGACAGACATGCTTTTATCTCTAAAATCTACAAAAGGCCTTCAACCATCTCAGGTAGAGAACATGTGGGACTGAAACTTAGGTTTCATCTCCTTTGCCTTATCCAATTGATTGGTAGTTTTGCTTGAGGATTTTGTTTTGGATTTTGCAAGGGAGAGTTCCATGATGGATTAGTAATGGCCCAGGCAAGAGGTGGACAAGAGGTAGTACTAAGGAGAAATCAAGAGATATTGAAAACTGACGAATATGTGATAGTTTGAAACAAAGACTAACCAGCTAAATTCAAGCTAATTATAATAGAAGTAAATTAAAACAATGATAAAAAATATATTTGTTATAAAATAACATCCCAACCATACCTCCTCAAAATAGTGAACCTGAAAATGAACCTGTAAAGAAAATGTGTTTATATGCCAGTGTAGTGTCACTTAGCACTCAAGTAGAAGAGACTGCAGTCTCTGTGTTACATAGGATAGTTTGAGAAAGTGCAAACTAGCTGAGCACAGAAGAGCACAACAATTAAGAACACAGACTACAGGGTTGCTTCTTTTTTTTTTTTTTTTTTTTTTTTTGGTGAAGCCACAAGCATTCTGCTTCTGTGCTTTTTATCTTTTATTCATTTAATTTTTTTGAGATGGAGTTTCACTCTTGTTGCCCAGGCTGGAGTGCAATGGAGTGATTTTGGCTCACCGCAACCTCCACCTCCCGGGTTCAAGCCATTCTCCTGTCTCAGCCTCCCTAGTAGCTGGGATTACAGGCATGCGCCACCATGCCCAGCTAATTTCGTATTATTAGTAGAGATGGGGTTTCTCCATGTTGGTCAGGCTGATCTCGAACTCCCGACCTCAGATGATTCGCCTGCCTCGGCCTCCCAAAGTGCTAGGATTACAGGCGTGAGCCCCTGTGCCTAGCCCTGTGCTTTTTTGTTTTGTTTTGTTTTTGTTTTGATACAGTCTTGCTCTGTTACCCAAGTTGGAGTTCAGTTTAATTTATTAAACTAAATACTATTTGTGAAGCATTTTGCAAGCTTTCTGGAACATTATAAGCATGAAAAATGCAAATAAAAACAATGAAAACCAAAAGCGCTACTACTAATGTCGTTTTATGTAACCCTTGATCAATAGCAGTGACTTGGTTAGAATTTGTTGTGTGTGGGGTATTCACGGTATGGAAGTGGCATATGCATTTGGGGTATTGGGAAACTTTCACATTCAAAAAACAAACAAACAAAAACTATCTACCCTGTGTCATCCCTTTTACTTTAAAGGCATCTAATGAGAATTAGTAAGAAATCATAGTAAAGTGCATTGACCTGTGAGCCCAGTGATCTGTATTTATATCTCAGTCTGATACTTATCAGTTCTTTTCTCATTGGGGATGATAATCACATCTACCTCTTGGGATGTTTTGTGGTGATTATATGAGTTAATACACAGAAAAGAATTTTGAAAAATGCCTGACCTGATGTAAGTACTCAATAAATACTGTTATTAATAATCATATAGCTCCTTTTGGGTGCCATAACCCCTCCAAGCATGGCTCCCACTGAATGAGGCTGTCAGGCTCCATGCTAAATGCTTATCTCATTTAATCATTACCACAACCTTATTAGTGTAAATATTACTTCCTAATGAGATTATATGCTCCAAAAGAGAGTAACCTATTCATTGCCATTAGACTAGATATTTGGTTCAGAGAAGATGCTCAAAACATAAGTTCTGGGTAAACTGTTGGATCCTCATTTGCAAAATAAGGACACTGAGACTCGGACACTGAGAATGGTGCATGTGAGGTTCCTGGTAAGGCTTACTGTGTTTCTTCCCAAAATGTGTGATGACAGGTTTGGGCTCAAACTTATTTGACTCCAAAGTCTATTTTTCACATCCACTAAGCTCACTGACTTGAAAATAATTAGTGTATATTCACACTTCAAAAAATGATGTCGCTGGATCAGAAGACCATTTTACTGGGAGCAAGCTGTGGGGGCAAAGGAAACTCATTTTCACATCCCCACCCTCAATAATTATGTTTATCCAGATGGAATGTACTGCATCAACAGGATAAGACTTTATATAGAAAATAAGTTGCTGGATGGAATAGCTTTGCAAGTCGGGTGGGAGGGTGTTTTTTTCCCTCTCTAGCTTGGAAGGTGTTTATGAATAGACATGAGATGGATTATCAGGGATTGGGATGTATTATGGGAATCCCCAGATAGTTTAGCACCAGAAGTTATTGCCACCTAAGAAAGTGATAGTGGAATTGAAAGGGAAGACTACGGAGACATTTTGATAAAACTATATTTATAGAGTATATTAATTTTCTATTGCTATGCAACACATTCCCACACATGTAATAGCTTAAAATATACATATTTATTGTCTCACTGCTTCTGTAGATGTCCAGAAGCAGAGTGACTGGATACTTCACTCAGGATCTCATCAGACTGAAATTAACGGGTCATCTAGGGCTGTGGTTGTCATTTGGGCTTGGTGTTCTCTTCTAAGTTCATTGGCTGTTGGCAGAATTTCCTTTCTTGTGGTCATTCCTGCTAGCTGTCAGCAGGGACACCTGTCAGCATCTAGAAGCCACTCATGGATCCTTGCTACATATCCTCCATAGGCAGTTCACAATCTGGGTGTTTGCTTCCTTTTAGGCTAGCTGGAGCACATCTCTCAGACTTCCTTTTTTATAGCCAGTGAAAACGTGTTTTTCAAAGCTAACATGGTTTAGCTGCCCCACCCAAGATAATAATCCCCCTTTTGTCATATAATATAATGTAATCACAAGAGTGATATCTTATTATATACACAAGTTCTACCCACACTCAAAGTAGAAGGAATTCTACATGGCCAGGGGGCATTAGGTGTCATATCAGAATTCTGCCTACCACATAGGTTAAGAATACATGGCCCAGAGGGACAAACAGACTTGACTTGTGTAGGGCACAGGGCTTACTAGAGGTAGAATTGAATTAATAGAAATTCACTTGGCTCCAATTTCATTTCTCTACTTTTGGTCTCTCTGAATCAAATGTTTCAAAGTTCTGTATCTAAAACTCTGTCACTCTGATTTATAATGCTTTAAGATACATTTGGTGGCAAGTGACAGAAACCCAAACCAAATTGTTTAAAATAGAAAGGAAAGCGATTGGTTTGTAGAGTTAAGTATGTGTTGAAGACTTCAGAAACCTCTGGATCCATTCCATGTTTCCTTCCTTCCCAGTCGGACTTCTTCATTGCAGTGGCAAAGGTCATTTTCAGAACTCCAGGTTTGAATCCTACCAGCTAAATATGCCCATTATCACTATTTTGATTTTAGGAGTACTTTTTAATAATGGGTCCAGCAAACATTCTGGATTTGACTCTCTGGGACCAGTGGGTATCAATCTCCATGCCTATACCAATCACGGTGACCAGTGGGATAGAACACCCTGACTGGCCAACCTTGGTCATGTGCCCTAGAGCCAGGGGATAGGAGCAGCACCTCTAGAACAAAATGAAGTGAGAAACTTAGAAGGGTGGTTTCCTAAAGGAAAATAAAGGTACTGACAGCAGAAGAGGGAAATGGACATGAGGAGGCACGTGCTAAAAATAACCTAAGTAGGGCTCCCCCTCGTGGAGTGTGGCAGAGCTTGAGAGAAATGATAGGAGCTGCCTGTTAGAAAGAGGAGTTAGGAGGGAATGAGTTGAAGTGGAATAGATTGATCATTAAGCCACCTAAAGCAGTGTTTAACACAGAAATAAAGAGAGAAGCAGTACACCAGCCTTGATGAGTTTGAATACCTGGTTCAAGCTGTGGGTCCATCATTACAAAGGGTTATCCTTCTATGAGCCATTCTTTGTCCCCAAGCCTCTATGTCACCTCTATAAAGGGGCTACCTGGTGTGCCTACCTCATCTTTCCATCATCACAAAAAGTGAGATTGCTAAAAAAACAAGACAAAACAAAACAAAAACCAAAAAGTCAGAGCAAAACAAGGAAGATACTATCTGAGATTTCAAGAGAACTTGCATATACTGAATTATTAATTCAAGTAGAATATTGAACGAATTTGCAATAGGGATGTTCCTTGAGCTTCGGCAAACAGGATAATATTTTTTCAACACCTTTCCTAAAACCTTTTTTTGGAAGTTGTATGTCACCAGGGCAAAGCCCTGGGCAAGCGCAGGCTTAACGAAGCTAGAACTTTAGCAACATGGAAAGGAGAGGGAGGAGAGAGAGAGAAAGCTGGGCATGTCTAACAAAATCATTTTGCACACTCTCGTGTCCAAACACATCCATGTTCACAGCTGGGAGAGCCTGATGGGAGACTAAGAAGGGTCCAAATCCTGGTCAAGGAGTTAGTAGGTAGAAGCATGCCTCCAGAGATTCGGTATGTTTGCTGAAGAACCAGAGCCGATAGCTGGGAATACCAAGAGCAAGGTTCACATATGCAAATAATCGTCATGAAAGAAAGTGAAGAATGCCACAGAGTTAGAGGAGAATGGATAACTTAAAGACTGAAGGCTTGAGAAAAAACTTCTGTTTATTGAATACATTTGTATTGGGCTTTTCCCATGTAAAGGGCTAGGTAGCTTAGCGGCCATGTTTGGCTTCTATAGCAGGGTGGCCTCAGTTCGAATTTTGGTTCTGACATATGATAGTGGGCAATTTGTTCAGCCTCTCTGTGCCTCAACTTTCTTCATCTGAATATGGAGGTAATAATCATAATGACAATAATGACATCATAGGGGTGTTAAAAGGATTAGATGAATTAACATTTGTGAAGTACATAGAGCAGTTCCTGGGACATAGGGCATAGTTCACACAAATACACTGTGTCTTCATGTACCAAGCTCTCACCATGAAAATATCTTTTATGCCTTTGAGTTTTAGTTCTAGCTGGGGTAACATATATAAAACAAATAATGTCACTGATAATTGTTGAATTACAGTGATGATACATGTTGTGACAGGGACATTCAGGGTTGTGAGAGAAATGAGAGCCTTGTTCTGGGGGTCAGGGAAGTGACATTTACACAGATACTCAAAGGGTAAGTAGGACTTGGCTAGGAGTGGAAAGCAAGCACAAAGCCTAGAGGCAGAAAGGAACTTGGTAAACTCTAGTGATTGGAAGACAGCCAGTGTGACTGGAGTAGAGAGAGGGGACATGATATTAGAGGGAAGGTTAAGGCCAGATCATGCACAGCTTTGTACACTTCATGTAAAAATGTGCTTTATCCTAACTGAAGTGGTCACGGATAAAGCACATGAACTAAATGTTTAAGGAAGGGTAAGATTTGGTCATGCAGAAATGATGGGCTGCTAGGGAGAAAAAGACCTGGGAATAAAGGGACCAGCATGCACAGAGAAAAGGAAGCTGGGAATGAAGAAGCAGTGAGCGGTTCATTTTTGCTAGCATAGAAGGTACAGGGTGATAACTAGGTATAAATAAATTTGTAAAACAAAAAAACAAAAAAAACAAAAAAACCCACAAAAACACCAGGACCAAATGATGGAGGGCATTAAATTCTGAGTAAAATGGTTCTGACTTTGGTATACAGTTAAAAGTCTACCAGGTTTTAGATAAGTAGAATGATGGATGAGAGTTGTGTTCTAAGCACATTGCCCAAACAGAGTTGGTATGGGCTGGGAAGGAGAAAAGAAAGAGAGGGAGGGAGGAAAGCGGGGAGAGAGATAGGGAGAGGGAGAGACAGAGTGAGAAAAGGAGAGAGAGAGACATTGAGAGAGAGAGAGAGAGACTAAGAGGCATAGAAGTTTTTATTTTGGAACATGATCTGGCTCTGTAGCCCAGCCTGGAGTGCAGTGGTGTGATCTCGGCTCACTGCAACCTCTGTCTCCCAAGCTCAAGCCATCTTCCCAGCTCAGACTCCCAAGGGCATACCACCATGCCTGGCTAATTTTTGTAGTTTTTTTTTTTTTTTTTTTTTTTTTTTTTTTTTTTTTTTTTGGTCGTTGTTGTTGTAGAAAGTGTTTCTTCATGGTGCACAGGCTGGTCTCGAATTCCTGAGCTCACGTGATCCACCTGCTTTGTCCTCCCAAAGTGCTGGGATTACAGGCATAAGCCACTGCGCTAGGCCAGCGTTTTTTATTCAATGAAAAGAGGCTCATAATAGCCTAGTTGAGAGACATGGAAGGCTTAAATGTTGCTCACACATATTAATCACTCAATAAATATCAGTTATTATGAATTCAACTGTTTTTAAAACTAAAGAAAAATAGCTGTTTATAGGTGTAAAATGTTATACCTAACATTGAGGCAAAATTTTCCTCCTTTTAGCTTTTCAATATTTCCTATAGACCCTGAGCATGCCTGCTACATTCTATGGTGTATTCTGATTATTTAGGCATGAGTATGGCTCTGCAATGGATTTCAGACTCCTAGAAGACAGAGACCAGGCAAGATATTTATCTCGGAATCTTTCATACTACCTCACAGTCAGTAGGCGCTTAAGAAATACAGGCTTCTTTCAGCAGTTGTTCAGCCTATTCTGAACCCAAAGCACCCCAGATTAAGGGATTTTAACTCCTTTGAGATTTGACAGGAGTAGTGAACTTAAGCTTTTGAGACAGTGGCAGGTGGCTGAGAGTCCTGCACAAACAGGACAAAATCTTATCTTTATTTAAGGAGGGGTAAGTGAAACCTCCATTTCATCACTGAACATTTATCTATATTTCTTGTCTATTTCTAGAAAAAAATGATGCTTACCTGTTTATTAATTTATTCACTGGATTTCCCTTTGCAATTTCTTAAGCTTAAGTCTAAGTAAAGCAACCTATAAAATCTAAGGTCAGATTACAGGCCAGAAAAGCCACCTATTCTAGAGTCCTAAAGCTGGGGTCCAGGGATAGATATTCACAAATGAGATTGGCAAAGACAAATTTAGTGAAACTCCATGTAAAATTGTGTGAGATTTTTTATAGTACATTTTCCACAACAGAGAGGGTCTATAGCAATAGTGAGGTTCTTAAAACAGTCTGTGATATTAAAAATATTATCCATTGATTTTCAAATCTATCATACTATGAATGAAATGCTGTGAAACATTCCATTTTCTTATTAAATGCCATTGTACAAAAGGTCCTATTTTAGTGTCACCCCAAAATCTACAGACAGGAAGTTCTTTCTTAAGTCTATCCTAATCTGTTGGCAGCTCCTCCCCATGGAAGCCCTTAGTAAATTCGGTGGAAATAGCAAACAGCTGCTCACCAACACCCACCCCAAAGAAAGAACAAGACATTTCTCACATATCTCAAGCTGCCTTAAATGTTCTTTCTTTGGCAAAGAAGAAAAAAAGAAATATATTTTTGGCCTCTAAACCTTTTCCCACCCGTGTGTATTTCTGCAAAAATGTTATCCATATGGTTTTGATTGCATTCTCCATAAGTCATTAGAAATGCTTTGCACTGAGAACTTTTCTGATGACCAAGGTGTCTTCGGAGACATTTTAAAATGGCCCTCTTAGCCTTTCTTCATAGAAACAGGAAAGCTAAACTGAGCCAAATGCAAATGAACTAAGACCTGGAAAGGTTGGCATTTTATTCAAAACTCAGAAACCATAAGGCTCGAGTGAGCCTTAAATCTGTCCATGCAAAGTCTTCACCTCCTTCTCCAGGGACAAGATACACTAAATCATCCATTGGGATGGGACACAGATAATGCAATGGATCCAGACATCTAAGTTGATATTTAGGGTTGGGTGCAGTGACCCCATAAAATTCCAAGAACTTCCAATCACCCCAGGGCTTCCCCATTATTCCCAGAGGATAAAGATTTTGGACTTGGACTTGGGTGTTGAATTCCTGACTCCATCACCTACTAGCTATATTTTGGCATATAGCTAGTTTGGCATATACTCAAGTTTTTCAAGACTCAATTTCCTATGCCATAAAGATGGGATAGTATTATCTATTCATACTGCAAAGTATTTTCAGAACTGTAAGCAATAATATTCAGAACATTGCAAATAAAATGCTTGGTGCACGGTAAAAGTTCAAAATTCTCTCTCCTCTTTCTCTCTGTGTAGTATTGGTTGGAACTAGAAGAGCTCTTTTTTTCTTTAGGGAAATATTGACTGGGTGGGGTGAGGAAGAGAAAGACTGGACAGTATTCCAAAGCATTAAGTCCCCACTTTCTAAGGTATGTAGACCACAACCCATCTTGGGAGATTGATTACAAGGAAAGGGTTAAGAAGAATCAGTCAGAACTTTGGTCTTCACCTGAAGTTGCCTGACTACGTTGTCTCAGATTGATTTCAGAACTGCATTATCAGCAGGGCAGCTGTTGCCTACTAACAGTCATGGAAGTAGATCTCAGCTGGGGGATGATGGGGAAACAAAGAGAAAGATAGGGACGAATAAAGGAAGGAATGGGGCACAGACAGAAAGAGAGAGAGAGAAAAGAAAGAAAGGAGGAGAGGCAAGAGATAGTGACCTGGGGTTTCATACCGCGGTGGGTGGGAGAAGGAGTGTGTGTGGTGGGCGTATTTCTTCGTGGTCAGAATCAAAGTCAGAACTGACCTGGGGAACCTGTGTTCAAGACCTGAACCTGGACCAGAAGCCAAGGGAAAGAGAAAGTTGCCCAAGAAAAAAGGGAGAAATTTCCACCAGGCGAAAATAGAAATCGCTGACTGGGTTTGTGGCTGGAGAGCTGTCCGTGGTGCTGACTCCTCCTCATTGGGATTCCAGTGAAGGCTGAGAAGCTCTGCACTGGCTGCTCCTCCTCTCCCTTTCCTCTCCCCTCAGTCCTGACCTTCTGAGACCCAGGATCATTCTGGCTAGCTCGATGTCTTCTCCTCTCTTTCTCCCTTTCTCTTTGTCGATTAAATAATTTTTCCCGAGTTCCCAGTTCATCACTCAAACATTTCTCTTCCATTTTGTTTCAAGACTCCTCTTCCTCCAATTAGTTCACTGGCTCCTAGATTGTTCTAGGCCTCCCTGGTGGTCACATCTCTCTCTTATCATCCTTTGAATTAAAAAACAAACAAAAAACATACAATGGCAATCATAAAAGCAGACAACATGCACTGAGCACTCACTAGGTGTCAGGGAGCAGTCTAAGTGCCTTTGCATACATTAACTCATGAGCAGTCTAAGTGCCTTTGCATATATTAACTCATTACAATTCCACATCAACCCTATTAGATGGGTAGATATATTATTATTCTATTAAACAGACAAGGAATTGAGGCTTAAGGGGTAAGTGATTTCACCAAGACCAGACAGCTACAGGACTCCAACCTCTCTGGAGCCTGCACTTCTACTGAATCTGGCTCTTTTACATATTCCAACACCTTTTCCTATGACTTCCTGCCCCTCCATCTGGTAGCCTTAATGCTTTCTATTCTTGCCTAATCTTCAGGGGACTAGGGATCTGCATTGCTGATTTGGTTTAAATCAGAAGGGAAGCAAAGTAAACAAACATACCAAATGTGCGCTGTGTGGGAATTATCATACGAGGGCTTTATTTTCTGCTTCAGGAAGAGGCCCTATGTTAGCAGCCCCAGCCTGCATTCAGGCTGATTGCAGAGTATTTTGCTTTTTATTTTCATGTCTTAGTCCCTGTACCCTCGCCCCTTCCCCGCCTCTGGTGGTCTCCAGAGAACTTCGTGTCCCCTCAGCTTCTCCCTCCTACATCCTGCCTACGTAGAGAAGCTCTTGCTTCATTCTGGGAGGTTACGTGGGCTCTCGCCTACACACCGAGAGAAACAAACAGTGTCAAACACTCACAGAGAGACGCGCAGACACAAACGGACCCACACGGGCAACTCCCGAGACAAAACCCACACTCGATGGATCCACGCGGCCGTGGAAACACCTGCCGCCCCAGAAACACTCAGGTACTCGCGACACACACAGTACAGTCACGCTTAAGGGCACCAGGATTCCGGGTTTGCGCGTATGCGCGGTCCCTTTGGATGCTCGTGCGCATAGACACAACACCCTACACGCCCCAGACCCACGAAACTCCCTACGGCTCAGCCCCAGCCCACCCGGGCCGCCCTTCCCTCGAGGCGGCCTCCCGTCTCTCCTCCTCTCGCTTCTCCTCCTCCTCCGCCTAAAGATGTACAAAACACTCCTCGGAAGCAACCCCGGCGTTCAGCTCCTCCCTCCCCGCCCCCCGGCCGCCGCTCCCCCATTCATTTTCGGCCGTCGCCGGCTAAGTCCCTCCCCCGGCGTAGCCCGGCCTCCGCCGCTCCCCGCCCGGAGACCGCGGCGCACTTGGACTTCCCTCTCCATTCGCCAGCCGCCTCGCTCCCGGACCCCACGGCTGCAAACTGATCTGGCGCGCGGGGAGGAGGAGAGCGCAGGCGAGCGAACCCGCGAGAGAGGGAGAGAGCGAGCGAGCAACAGCGAGAGCGAGAGCGAGAGAGCCGGGAGGCAGAGGGAGTAGTGACCGCCTTCCGGAGCCGGGATTCATGCCTGTCCTCGGGACCAGCGAAGGGGACTTTACGGCTGAGTATGAGCCAGGCTGCTAGGAGCCAGGTACCCCCACGCCTGCAGTCCCCGCGCCGTGCCCGGAATGCGAGCTGCACGCAGGGCTCTCCCAAGTTCCCACCGAGCCGAATAAAAAGCGTCCTCCCGCAGCTCTCCGCCAAAGACGGACATTGACTCCAGGTAAGGCGGCGCCGGGTGCAGCGCCCCGCAGCCCCGCTGCCCTTGGACCCGGCCCCGGGCCGCATTCGGGGCGTCCCCGCGCTCCTCTGCCCCTCCCCCTACCGGCACCCTTGTCCGCTCTTCACCTGGCCGCCCCGCCGCCTCCAAGTCTTCTCCAGTTCTAGGGAGGGGGTTCCTGTGCCTGGGGCTCAAAGGGCTAATTGCGGGTTTGAGTGAGTGGCGTGTGTGTCCCCGCGCGCTCCCGACGTGTGCACCATGGTGGGAACTTGATGTGGTGCTAGTGTGTTTGCGTGTGCGGCGTCGTTTGCGTTTGATGCGTGTGTTCGTGGTGTGTGTGTGTGTCCGTGTGTGTAAGGGAGGGGTGAAGAGAGAGAGGTCCTATAACCTACTTACGGCGCGATGTGTGTGTGCATGTTTGTACGTATGTGTTTGTATGTGTGCCCTCGTGTGTCTTTTTAATTAGGTCTCTCCAGCTTACACGGAATGGGACCCTTACTATAGGATCACGTAGTCACCGGGAAACCCGCTGTGGACTTCCTCTTGGGGCTCTGGGCTTGGGGTTTGGGGAGGATTATGGGGCTGTAGATGGCACCTTATTTAGCCCAATGTTGGTACGCTTGAAGGAAAATTCCTCCAAACGGTGGAATCCTGCTACACTGGGACCCACAGCTTAATATGAAAGAGACATGGCCAACCCCCGAGGCAAATGAGACGCTGTCACTTTAAATTCTACACTGGGCAGACTCCAAGATTCTGATGGGAATTTGGAGACACTGGATAGTGGGTGACAGAGAAAGGGGGAAGTCAGCGGTGGGCTCCTTATCTGGGGCTTGGAAAGTCTGGGATAGGGATTTACCCTGCATCCCCGTTTGCAATCAACAGAGCCCCTCCGGCTTCTGTTGGTTTTGGGGAGGATCTGGCAAGTTTGCATGGATCCCCCTCAGGGGAAAGGAGAAAGCGTCCTCGGGGACTTGCTCATCCATCACAGTTGCAAAGGGTCTCAGAGGAAATTTCATCTGGGGCGGCTGTGGATGATATGGAAGGAGATGGATGGGGCACTTTCCTAAGACAGATTCGTCTTTCTTTCCCCATTTCAGGCGGGGAAGCCCCCAGAGAGTCTCTCCCTAAATATGCCTCTCCATGGCTCCCCTGGAGTTAGGGGGATATTGAGAGAAGGCAGAGAGGTGGAGAGGGAGAGAGAGAGAGCAAGAGCGAGAGAGAGGGAGACAGAGAGAGAGAGTGTTTCAGTACTGAGGGAGATCTACAATTTGAAAAGGGGCTGTGAGTGTGGAACCCATGACAGAATGTGGCAGTAATTGACTTAAACTGCTGTCGGTTTGCACCTCGCGTCTCTCACTTGGCTCCAAAATACTGCCAAGGGCAGGGGGGCGGTGGAGGAATCTCAGCCAGGAAGGTAGTTTGGGTCAAGGCCCTCTTTCTTCTTTCCTCCATCTCCTGGGAGGCTCTTTAGGTAGGTCCCTTGGCCACCCTGGCTTGGTACTGTTGGGCTTGGGCTCTGGGGCCAGCCATTGATTTGATTCCCAGCTGCCTCTTAAAGGCTTGCCCTACTCAGCAAAAATGCTGAGTTTTACTGCTGTTAGCATGGCTTCCAGACTCGGCAGCTGTTACTTTCTCAAGGTAAGCGGCAGCCGTTCTGCTCTCAGGCAGGGAGGCTAGGAGAAGACAAGGGCTGTGACGCTGGGACACAGCCTCTTGTCTAGCTCAGCACGGAGGGGCCGCTGAAAAGCCCTCTTAGGGGAAAAAAGTAGAAATATATTTGGCCTAAAAAATGTACACATATATTCTAGGAAGATATATATATATATATATATATCAATCACACACACACACACACACACACATGTGTTCATATTCTGGGGAGAGATAAAAGCAAACATGTATTTGTAGGAACCTGCCCTAGTGGGTGGGTTCTACCTGCAGGCACTTGCAGACATACCATTCTCTGTCCAGAGGCTGATACCTCAGGCTGAAGCCTTCACATAGCCACAGAGAATCTCCTTCAGGAAACTCATGTCAGGGCAGAGCTCCCTGGATTATCTTGGGTAGGGGGTACTAGGGCCAAGGAGGAGACCCATTTTTGGGAACTGCCTCATTTTCTCTCTTTCCTAATTCACAGACGATCGAAACTGGAAGGAATATTAAAGAGCAGAAAGGCAGGACTCTGTGGCCTAAAGAGGGAATGAGAATTCCCCAACATTCAGTAGTGGGTTAGTGGCATGCCCAGGACTAGAATCTAGGCTTATCAATCAGCTAGATCAATACCCTTTCCACTCCTCCCAGCAATATACACTCTAGGACTGTATATTGCTCCCACCCCTATCTTGCCAACCTGCCACCATGACCCCTACCAAGACAATCGCTTGTCTTCCCTCATCAAACTTCACATTTTCAGAGATGCATTTCAGGGTTTTTCTATCTGGAAACATGGCCCTGAAGAGAAAAGATCCAATGCCTCAATCACTATTCCCGAAAGACACACACACACACACACACACACACACACACACACACACACACACACACACACACACGGTGGTGGGGGGAGGACTGAGAGAGAGACAGAGAGAGAACATAGATTCCTTCTCCAATGTCTTTAGGGAATTACCGACAAGCAAGGACCCAGTACTGAGTGTGACTGGTAGGCAGAACCCAGCAAAGTGTCTGGTCTGTATCTAAGATTTTTATTAAGGAATGCACTGGTTTCCAGAGAGCAAAATGTACACCCATCTACCAGTGCAAATACTTCAGGCAAATTAATTTCTTTATATTAATTAGAATCTCACCCCTAGACATTAATACATATTACAGGCACAGAAGCATATGCAAGCACACATGCATAGGTGTGCTTATACACACATGTGCACACAAAGATCCAGAAACCTTTCCTGCTTGCTACATTTCCAAAAAAGAGAACCTCCACACCAAATTGTGTTCTCCCATATAAAGCATCTCCCATGTGAAGAGTAGGACCCATAAACTCCAGGGAAGGAGAAATGTAAAGCCCTGTGAAAGAGAGACCCTGGAGAAGTCAGAATCGAGTTCACTCAAAAGCGTGCTCTTAGACTTCTAGATGCCTGTTTCGGGGTGCAGGCAGATACTGAAAAACATGGGGGTTTTAGGCCCATCTGCAATAGAGCCTTTTCCATGCAGGATTTTCCGGGGCTAGATGGCACTTTAGCTCCCAGAAGGGGGAGCTGTGACTCCATTTCAACCAAGGAGAAACAGCTCAGAGATGCCAAATCAGCTCTTGGGCCCCCGTTGAGTTTAGACGACCCAGCTCAGGCTGCAATGAGTATCTTTGCCGCTGGTACAGGCAAGAATTGTAAAAACACCCTCCCCTGATAGGTTCGAATTCAACATCTCTTTCTTAGTGCTTGCAAGAGTTTATGTTATGGATCATAAAGTCCTCTATTTTTCTGAAAAGGTCTTTGCCCAAAGGCCCCTTCAGTTGTGCAAGGAGACATTTTTTGATTTGCAACCTGTCTCTTTTCCCCTCCCAATTCCTTAGAGGAAATCACCAGTACATTATCACTTGAATGGGCCATTAAGGTTAGACATACCCTACCCGTCTTTTCCTGCTTTTCCCTTGCTGAAATACAAAGCTTAACAAATTGGCTGCTGAACTACTGGTAACCATGTTAAAGACAAGATGGAGGTCATGTGAAGAAGACAGGTCCTTAAATGTCATTCTTCAAATAATTTTTCCAGTTGTGCTCCCTTCTGCAAAGATTATCTTTATTATTCTTTCCACCATCTCCCACATTCAGCCACGACTTTTAACAAAATTCCACCCATATTTCAACATCTAGCTCAAATGACCCTTCCAAGAAGTCTTCTCAAGATCTTATTTTGGAATTAATCTCTTTATCACCTGATTTTTCTGTACCATTTTATCTGAAACTCTATTTTAGTTTGTGTCTCTGTTTGCCCTGCTTTATAGCGCTGGGGGTATAGGTCTATCTTACCCTCTTCAGTATGGTCTCAGGAGCATCTTTGTATTCCAGGGACTGACACAGAGTAGTTGCTTTATAAATGTTTGCCCTTGCATTTCCTGTTGCATCTCAATAGCAACTGTCATCTCTCTCTCTGTCTCTCACACTTTCTAGCTAACAATTGCTTCATGTTCATTTAAAGCAATGCCGTTACGGCATTTTTGCCTATACCAAGAATATGGGGATTCCAATGATAATATAGACAGATGAAAATTAGACCCTACCTGGAAGTGAATATTGACTTCCTGTGTTCCAGGGTCTTTAGTTTTGTTCTCTCATGTAGTCGTTCTTTCCACCCAGTGGGACAGATACAGCCCCTTTTACAGAAGAGGAAAGTGAAGCCCAGGTTGGTTAGACTCCTTGATCAAGGTCACACAACCATCACAGCTAGAATTTGAAACTGTCTTCCTTCTTACGTCATCTCTGCTCTTTTCACTGGACCACTGAGTTAATGGTAACTATTATGAATGGTTGGCAACATCGGGTTGTTCAATAGGTGCTAGGAATAGCTGGGAGTTATTATGAGCTCTTTGAAATTGATGGTATGAAGGTGTCATGAGTCACTGGATCAAAGAAAACCTCTGAAGGTTTCTCAATGACCAAACTTTTCTGTTTTCAGGAATGACGAGTCCTTTTTGTAATGCCAATAATACATGACCATTCAGTCTCAGTTTTAGTACTTTTAGTGATAGCAAGTTCATTACCGCACAAACCAGCCTATGTCATATTTGAAGAGCTTTGTTGGAATATTTTCTTACTTTGCCCCTAAATCATCCTTCTATCCATATGTCTCTGAAATCACACAAGTGCAATTCTCTTCCAGTTTTCAGTTCTTCGAATATTATGAAAACATAATTATTTCACAACAGTTTTCTTTCTGAATAGAGGGGATTGTCTTCACAGCCCTGTCTTCTGTAGCATCTGCTTGGAGGCCTCTTGGCACCCTGAATACTGTCCTAGGGAAATTGTCTAGTTTACCTCACTTTTAGGGCTTCGATGCCACCAAAAAAAAAAAAAAAAAAAAGGGAGGGATGACCTGAAATTGAGTGAGGATTTATTCAACAAATATTTATTGGGTGCCTACTGTTTGCCAAACATTGCTGTAGACGAGAGCTGTCAAATAGAACTGTCTGTGATGATGGACATGTTTTTTGTGCTGTCCAATATGGTAGCCACTAACCATGTATGATTGCTGAACACTTGAAATGTGGCCAGTGTTGCTGATGAACTGAATATTTAATTTTATTTAACTTATATTAATTTTTATTTTAATTTACATAGCTATATGTGGCTCATGGCTACTCTATTGAATAGCACAGGTCTGGGCTTTAGAAATGTAGCATGTACATGGCCATGGCCTTGTTTGTTTTCATTAAGTTCACACTCTAGAGGAGCGAGATGAATAATCAATGAGTAAACAAATAGATAAGCAAGATAATTTTATATAATATTAAATGTCACACCACTAGTCGTGGTAATGTGGTAGAAAGGAATGTGGATGGTATAATTTTCGATTGAGTAGCCAGGAGAAGCCTCCTCTGAGAAAGTGATGTTGGAACTGAGGCTTAAATGAGAAGGAATCAGCCATGTAATTTTGTGGGGAAAGAGCATTAGAGGCAGAGAGAAGAATAAAATGGAGTTGGCCAGGCTTGGTGGCTCATGCCTCTAATCAAAGCACTTTAGGAGGCTGAGGTGGGAGGATCGCTTGAGCCCAGGTGTTTGAGACCAGCCTGGGAAACATAACAAGACCCCATTTCTACAACAATAATAATCATCTTTAAAAAAACAGCTGGGCACCTGTAGTCCCAGCTGCTCCGTAGGCCGAGGTTGGAGAATCACTTGAACCTGAGAGGTTGAGGCTGCAGTGATCTGTGATTGCACTACTATACTACAGCTGAGCAAGCAGCAGAGTAAGACCCTGTTTCAAAAAACAAAACAAAACCAAACAAGCCACGGAGTCATTTCACTGGGACAAGCTTAGGAAGTCTAAGAGATGGACTACCTGCCAGTGTGGCTGAAGCTTTCAAATTGGGAACATGACATAAAAGGGAATTAGGAAGGTAGGCAGGGGCAGATCACAATGGCCTGTACAGGAGAGTGAGAAGTTTTGACATCTTTTCCTTGACATCTCTGGTTGGAAGGCAGGTAGTTTGAGGACTAAAGAGAGTTTGAGAATTGACAGAAGGTCATTGTCAAGTACTTTTGATGGGTTTTTATTATGTCCATTTTTAATCAGTAATTTCTACAAGTTTTCTCATTTTAATTTCTACTCCTACTCTGAATGCCATACCCTGGAGATACAACAGTGTAAAGTGAGGAGGAGAAACAAGAGTAGGGGAAATGGATAGAAAAGGAAGGAGAGAATGAATATGTGGGGATAAAGTAATTTAAATGAAGTGTTGTGAAAAAGAATGAAAGCTGGAAGTTTTCAGTTTGGATCAGCAAATATTTATTGCATATCTTGTCGTGGAAAGGCTTTGGACAAAGTGACTTGGGGGGTATGGTGATGAATCTTGCTAGGTGCTGGCAATCTAATAGTACCGATCTGCAAATCTATAAATAATTATCATTCATGATAGATTGATAATTGTCACTTCAGAAGTTCTGTGAGAATTTTGGGTAAGGGGAAGTCTAAAGGAAGACACTTCAGTAGTGATAGTGGTGAGGAGGATGTCGACAGTGAACTATAAGGTCTCAGAGATCACAGGCAGTATCTTTTTCTGTCTCCATTAATTCGGAATATTATACAATAAGAGCACAGGGACTCAGGGTACCTGATTCCAGTCCTGGCTTCTATCACTATATATCTAGACCCCCTCAAGAACCTATCTTTATCTCTCCAGGCTTGCCTTCTGTAAATTGAGAAGGGCCCAGCTGTGGCTTGCTTCACTGAAGGTATATTGCCTGGCTTTATGAAAATGTTGCAGTCAGGCATGGTGGCTCACGCCTGTAATCCCAGCACTTTGGGAGGGCGGAGGGGTTGGGGGTGGGGGGGTGGTGGATCATGAGGTCAGGAGTTCGAGACCAGCCTGACCAACATGGTGAATCCGTGTCTCTACTAAAAATACAAAAATAGCTGGGCATGGTGGCGTGTGCTTGTAATCCCAGCTACTCAGGAGGCTGAGACAGGAGAATCGCTTGAACCCGGGAGGCAGAGGTTGCAGTGAGCTGAGATCGCACCACTGCACTCCAGCCTGGGCGACAGAGCGAGACTCTGTCTCCAAAAAAAAAAAAAAAAAAAAAAATGCAAAAACTGTAGCTGGGCGTAATGGTGCACACCTGTAGTTCCAGCTACCTGGGAGGCTGAGGTAGGAGGATCACTTGAGCCTGGGAAGTAGAAGTTGCCGTGAGCCAAGATCATGCCACTGCACTCCAGCCTGGGTGACAGAGTGAGGCTCTGTCTGAAAAAAAAACAAAAAAAAGAAGAAGAAGAATATGTTGCATGACAAAGTTCTTGTAAAAGCAGAGAGAGACACACACAGTAGCTGTGCTTCCTCATAAGATTTAGATGTCTTCTAAAAAATAAGGAAATTTAAAAGAGGTCATACCTTACAGCACAGACTGTGTTTCGAGACAGTGTGGCTGAGTGGTGGTGAGATAGTGATTCTATGCCATGGTGGCAACTCCTGATATCAAAGTGATTAAGGGTTAACATGAAACCCACTGTCCTCATGGAACACAGCAGCCCAGAAAGACTGCCTAGAGATCCATAGACAGTCCTTGCTACTGAGGGGGCAAAAAAGACAATTAAGGAGATAATGAGGCTGAGAAAAAGTGAAATTAATTTTTTTTTTCATATGAGGGTGAAGGGGATCTTTGTCTCCTGAGGGAACTATCTTTTGGAGATTGCAAGTGGCCTTAAGGAGAATAGACTGAATGAGACTGGGTATGAGAGAGAAAGTGAAGAGTCATAAATTACCCGGACTTCCTGCTATCCCCACACAGGAATGGAGAGCCTGGTGAGGACACAAAATATATCATTCTGAACAAATTTTGTTCTCAGTTTGCAGAGGTTTTCTCACAGGGTGCGGAGTTGTATACCGGGAAGTTGGGGCCATCTTGGGATAGCTAGGAGACTGTATTCCCTCAAGGGTGGCAGGTAGATTGATAAGGTAATTAACAAAAGCAACATGCAACCATTTTTGTGTAAACTGCAAAGGTCAGAGCAGCAGGGCTCTTAGCAAATGGCCTATGTGAACAGCTAGAACCCTTTGTAAGGGTTAACCCAGTACTGGCCCTGGGAGGTTTCTAAGATATAATTTATCTAGCCTTGCAAAGGTCCTACAAATGAGCCATTGGGAACCTCTGTGAGAAATAATGGAGCTTGGGGATAATGGAGAACAGCCGCGTTTAGCCACGTTACAGATTACAAGCTGATTCAGTTGGAGGAAAGGCAGACATCCAGGATATGATTGCTTTTTGGGGAAAAAGTGGTGAATTCTCAAGTCTCCATTCTAAGATTTAGCAATCTGCAAAAGTAGATGAAACTCTAGTAGGCTGTGGAATTCCTAGAGTCCCCAGGAGCTCCAAGATAAACCTAGAAGAGCAAACAGAGAGCTGTGAAAGAGACAACTGCCTTCCGTAAGTACGTACGTTTCCCTTTACATGGTAGTGGATAAGCCAGATTTCTTATGGAATTTGATGGGTTCTGAGTTTACAGGCGCATGATAAAGGAAGGACCTACAGGAAGCCTGGGCTGGGACGACAAAAACATCTGCACAAGCATAGGGGCCATTAGAAAAGAAAATCAGCACTTTGGTATGCTTAGGAAAGATTGAAAAATAGATTACCTGGCAAGGGTTGGTAATACAGTTTTGCTGCTGGGACACATTTTGGAGACACAGTTCTTTTAGGTGAAGTGGTCCACATCAAATGCTATTGCCAGAGTTAGCCGAGGCTAGGGAGGACTGAGAGAGCTTATAAAGAATTTTATTCTGAATGTATATCAATAGGACAACAACATTGAAAGTCCAGTGAAGCCTTGCAAGTGATTCCTGAAAATATTACCAAGTCAGCTCCAGTTTTTGCTTACCGCTCTCTCTTCCCTGACAGTGGGAATGATACATGTAGGCAGAGCATGGACTGGAATTTGAAGGGGCTCTGGAAGGATCTTCATCCATAACATTTAGAGATGGCTGAAATGTCACTGCCCTAAAGCCGTTCTTGGAGTGGAAAAGTGGATGTGCCAAGCATGTGACATATTCTTTGTGTTGCAATGGATATTTGATGTAGATATCCTACTGAATATTCTCAACAAGCTCATGCATAGGTAGTATTGTGCCCCATTCTAGAGAGGTTGAAACTGAGCTCAGAGCAGTAATGCCACTTGACCAAGGCCATATACTGAGTCAATTGTGTTTTGTTGTGGATTTGAATCTACTTCTTTCTGACTTGAAAGTACAGAGGTTGAAAGCTTGGGTCTGCTGGAGTTTGAATACCTGCTCTGCCACTTACTAGCTATTTGATGTGGAACACATTACCTGATGTTTCTGTGCCAGTTTTCTTATCTGTAAAATGAGTACTGTAAGAATAGTAACTCCAGGTTTGGCATGGTGGCTCACACCTGCAATCCCAGCACTTTGGGAGGCTGAGGCAGGAAGATCGCTTGAGGCCGGCTGTTTGAGACCAGCCTGGGCAATATTTAGCAAGATCCTGTCTCTACAAAAAATTTAAAAAATAATTAGCCAGATGTGGTGGCATATGCCTGTAGTCCTGGCTACTTCGGGGGTGCTGAGGCAGGAGGATTATGTGGGCCAAGGTGTTCAAAGTTGCAGTGAGCTGTGATCATGCCACTGCAATTCAGCGTGGGTAACAGAGTCAGATTCTATCTCAAAAATAACAACAATAATAATAGTAACTTCATAGAGGCATGTGTGTATTTAATTAGTTTATATGACAGGTGCCTCAGACAGTGCCTGGCAGATCATCAACACTATATAAACATTAACTGTTACTGCCTTTTATGATTTCCACCCCCTCTTATATTAGATTAGCCATTGCTCATACTCTCAGGTATGTGCTCAAACTGGAAATAACATGTAGAAAAAAAGTATTATTAGGTTCAAGGCACTGCCTTCCAAATGAATGTGCTCAATTATTTCTACTAACCTCCCCACCATGTGGCAGTGGGATAACAGTGATTAGAGGAGAGAGTGAGAAAGTAGAATAAGGCGTGGGAGAACGCAAAATGATAGAGGCAGATTTTTAAATTCTCTATAACAGGCCAGAAATGAGATATAGATGTAAAGACCAGATATAGACATAGGATCACCTACCATAAAGGCAGAAAGTTATCTTCAACACAATCCAGCTGAAATTCCAACCTCTCTCTCTCTCTTTTTTTTTCTTGGAGATGGAGTCTCGCTCTGTCGCCCACGCTGGAGTGCAGTGGTGTGATCCCAGCTCACTGCAACCTCCGCCTTCCGGATTCAAGTGATTCTCCTGCCTCAGCCTCCTGAGTAGCTGGGACTACAGGCACACGCCGCCATGCCCGGCTAATTTTTTATATTTTGGTAGATACGGGGTTTCACTGTGTTGCTGAGGCTGGTCTAGAACTCCTGACCTCAGGTGATCTGCCCACCTCAGCCTCCCAAAGTGCTGGGATTACAGGCATGAGCCACTATGCCTGGACTCTCCTTTTTTTTTTTTTTTTTTTAATACATATAAACTCTTTTTAAGATCAATCCGTATCTGAGTTGGTTTTAGAACCTTCGCCTTGTGCAGCCCATCTCACTTTTGATTTGGTTTTCTAATGTATAAGACAGGGTATTCATCAGGTGCATATGGGAAAGTAGATGATTGACAGCATGATGGATGCTCTTGTGTGAACTGTGTTTATCAACCTCCTTCTTATGATTCCCCTCTTCATCCTTATTCTCATTTATTTTATTAGGTGTTTGCATGTTGTCACATGTTATATCTCATTTAACCTTTACAGTAACACTCTGAAATTGTAACTATTCTCCCCATTTTCCAGATGAGAACATTGTGGGTCAGAGGTAAAAGGATTTGCCCCAAGATATACAATAAGTGAGAGCATCAGGTTCTAAGCCCAGTGTATGTTATCAGCAAGTGTATGTTCTGTATGTATGTATGTTCTGTCCTTGAATTGCCATTCCTTTATACACCAGCTGAAGGCATTGTGGATTAGCAGCTTGGTGGTGTCCCAAAGACAAGGTTGAATACTGCTGCCTGATCTCTATTGTCTTGGGATAGGTTAGTCATTGCAAATCTTCATGCAATGAAGTCTGTCATGCAGACTCTGCCCTCAATCCTGATCCTGTACATGCCTAAATGAGAAAGGCATCCATCTTTCATATTCCAGGAGATGTTATAAATGGTGCCACTGGAAGGAGCTTTCTTAAATCTCCTTAACAATCTGCGTTTTGCTTTCTCTCTTTATCTGTCAGCATCATGAATATCTTCCACTCTTCTAGTGCTTTCTGGCTGCCAACTTCATAGCCTCTTAAAATAGTAATTTAACTTCACAGTGCCTCGGCAGGAAATCTTAGCTTAGCATGCTTATCTGCACCCTTAGTTCAAATGCTGCTGACACCAGGATCAGTAGTTATAGAATGAGCTGCTTTCTAACTCTGGGCCACAGCCAAGAGCCAGAATCTTATTCTTCCTGGGAGTAGAACCACCAAAGCCACCAGTCATAACAGTAACACTTTTTCAAGCCAGCAAATAGCAGGGTTGAGTTAGCCCAAATTGTGACAGCCAGATGTTGCAATCTCTCTGTCTGTCTCTGTTTTTCTCTCTGCTTCACTTATACACACACACACACATGCACGTGCACACGTGCATGTATAAAGAAAGGAATATTGAACATGGTTGAGAACAGGTAGAAGAGCAGCTGATATACCAGAAAATGTCCAAAGCAGATTTCTTCTTCTCTAGTAAAAGAACATGAGCCCAGATATGGTATTAAGATCACCTACTATCAGAAGATAATCTTGGGGTGGGACTTCTATCTAAAAATGGAATGAGGAACACATGTGACCAATAAATGTAAAAAATACAGGATATTTTGTTCTCCAGTAATCAAATAAATGAAAATAGCAATGCGATGCTATCATCAAAATGGCTTTTTAATTTAATGGCAGCATCCAGTTTTGGCAACAATGCAAGGAAAAGAACACTGTCACACAGCATTGGTGGAAATCTATATTGAGTATACCCTTTTATGAAATATGACTTTCATTCTGTCATAAACAAACTTTTGTTTTTTTTTTTTTTGAGACGGAGCCTCACTCTGTTGCCCAGGCTGGAGTGCAATGGTGCGATCTCGGTTTACTGCAACCTCCGCCTCCCAGGTTCAAGCGATTCTATTGCCTCAGCCTCCTGAGTAGCTGGGATTACAGGCACGCACCACCATGCCCAGCCAATTTTTGTATTTTTAGTAGAGATGAGGTTTTCACCATGCTGCCCAGGCTGGGTCTTGAACTCCTGACCTCAGGTGATCCACCCATCTCGGCCTCCCAAAGTGCTAGGATTACAGGCGTGAACCACTGTGCCCAGCTAAACAAACATTGTTTATTGAGCACTCATCCTTTGCCAGATGCTTTTTTATGAGCTATGAATACAGCAGGGAATCAAACTGACCAAGTTCTTACCACCATAGAGCTGACATTTAATTGAGAAGATAATTTATAAATAAAGAAGTAAACATATAGTGTATTGGAGAGCAAAGTGTGATAGAGAAAAAGGAGATAATGCATGTGGACCAGATGGCCTGGTGAGAGAGGACTTGGTATTTTATATAGGTGGGTAGGAAAAGCCCTCACTGGGATGGTGACATTGGAGCAGAGATCTGTAGGAAGTCAGGGATAGAGTCAGGTGGATATCTGGGGGAAGAGCATTCCAGGTGGAGACAGCAAGCATAACATTTTTGAGATGGGACTGTCAGTGTATACAGAAACCAGTGTGACTGAAGTGGAATAACCAATAGGAAGTAGGGGGAGAAAGAAGAGATACATTATTGTGAAAGCAGGGGTTAGATCTCTATCTCGATCTTTATAATTTCTATCTCTATTTCTGTCTCTTATCTTTATCTCTATACCAAATTTTTAAAAAGAAAAGAAGGTGCAAATGCTTTTGAGGAAAAAAAAAGTGTCCCCTTCTAAGAAGTCAGCTAATTACATGTGTACAAGTCTGTGAAGAAGAAATGTTATCAGAGTGTTTGGAGAAAAAAGGAAAACAAAACAGAGCATAGAATGGAATCCTCTGTGGTCCTTAAGAATGATATTAGGAAAGCACATTTGTACATTAGAAGGTGGGATGAAGATAGGGTGTATCTTTTTTTTTTTTTTTTTGAGACGGAGTCTTGCTCTGTCGCCCAGGCTGGAGTGCAGTGGTGCGATCTCAGCTCACTGCAAGCTCCGCCTCCCAGGTTCACACCATTCTCCTGCCTCAGCTTCCCGAGTAGCTGGGACTACAGGCACCCACCACCACGCCCGGCTAATTTTTTTGTGTTTTTATTAGAGATGGGGTTTTACCATGTTAGCCAGGATGGTCTCAATCTCCTGACCTTGTGATTCGCCCACCTTGGCCTCCCAAAGTGCTGGGATTACAGGCGTGAGCCACCGTGCCCGGCCGGGTGTATCATTTTTAAACAGAGCTGACAACAACAGTACCTTCCTTCTAGTTATGCTGTTGAGAATGAATGTCGCATGTACAAAGCACTTCGCAACATGCCTCACATATAGTAAGTACTCAATAAATGGCACTTATGACATTTATCAACATCAAATTTTTGTGAATTACCAATTTTAAAAAGCATAAGGTTCAAAATATCATATAGAGCATGATTATTTTATATGATGTATCCTAGTATTTGAATAGTCATCTTTGGGTGACGGGTTGTAGTGAATTTCATTCTTTGATTCTTACCTGTATTTTCTAATATTTCTTTAATGAATGTGATTTGCTTGTGTAGTCAGCATTTTAATTAGTGGGATATGGGGGATCAGTGAGCAATTTGTCGTAGGAACAGGAGTCAAAGCAGGGGAGAAAGCTTTAGTTCTGTTTTCTCAATTTCTAAGTCATTCATCCACCTTAAATCAAATTTAAATAGACTTAGTTTTTTTCTCTGTTTTGCTCAATCTTGGCCTGAACAATAATGCCTATAAAAACTGGAAATTTGTCAAGTGATTTATACTTACGTTTTTTCTCTGAGACAGGGTCTCACTCTGTTGCCCATGCTGGAGTGCAGTGATATGATCATAGTTCACTGTAGCCTTGGATTCCTGGGCTCAAGCAATCTTCCTGCTTCAGCCTCTTATGTAGCTGTGACTACAGGCACATGCCACCACACCTGGCAAGTTTTTATTTTTATTTTTTTTTTTTAGAGACGGGGTTCTTGCTATGTTGCCCAGGCTGGTCTTGAACTGCTGGCCTTAAGCGATCCTCCTGCCTTGACCTCCCAAAGTGCTGGGATTACAGGTGTGAGCCATCATGGCTGGCCTGATGTATACATTCCCTGGACCCTCACATCCCCTGAGTTTTCTCACTTGTAAAATGAAGCCTGAGATTCGATGGAGATTCTAAGAAAACCACTGAAGCCCACCACAAAAGCAGGGAGAGGTTGAGCAGGTGAGCCTGGATCTGAGATCATCCCCACCTTGCCACCCACATCAGAGCAGCTCCATGTTTTCCACTTGCTTCATTACATTTTTGTGTAAGCTTTGAATAAGGGGTTCCCAGGCTTTAAAACATGACTTGAAATCATTAGTTTACACTTTAAATCATCTCTAAAAGTGGATTTATGAGTGATGGATTTTGTCCTATTTTTTCATTTAATTTTTACTAATATTCTGTATAGCATACTTTAGGAAACTCTACACTAGACAAATGTATTTTCCATAAAAACCAGAATATTAGGCATGTCAAAAAATGTATACAAGCAATTCTGATGATCCATATTATTTCAGATATGATGATGATATTTTTAAAAAATTACCAAAGAATAATAAGAAGGGAAGTTTCCCAATGGTAAGAAGGGGTGTTTAATGTAAGTTTCACCTCTTTCTCTCTCCCTCATTCTCTCCCTAGTGGGTCAAGGGAGAGGGAGGGGTTAAAGATGACTTCCTCCAAGATTGTTCCAGATCTATTGAGGCCTGCTCTGTCTAAATAGTGCTTCCAGGAACAGCAGGGTCTCAATTATCTCACCGTGGGCTGTGAAATTGTAAAAAAAAAAAAAAAAAAAAAAAAAAAAAAAAAGTGCTCAAAACAAAATTAAGTTTAATTTGCTTTAATTGAAAAATAAACACATGCCATGTACAGCACTCTCAATAGGAGGAGAAAGGGCTAGAAAATGAAATGAACAGTTGGGTGTAGAAGGCCCTCAATTATTGGATACTCTGAAATGGGAACTGGTATTGATTGAGAAAATAAATTCAGAGTTAAATTCAGGGACAGAAAATGTGGGCCTCCTCTCTAAGCAACAGTTTTCTTAATTTCTCATGATGATATTTTTATTATTATTAAGAACATAAAGCAGACGTGGAATAAAGGAAGGAACTCTAACATGAGACCACAGAGTTGGAGTTTCACTCTAACACTGGCGTTATGTGATCTTTGGTAAGTGTCATTTCTCAGCCTCAGGTTCCTCATCTGTAAAATGGGGATAATCATTCATATATCACTGGATTCCTATGAGGATTGAATAGTTAATATACATGGAAGTTCTAAAGTACTGTTAAGGGATGATGGGAGAAGGATAAAGAGGAAAAGGAGGGAAAGGTGGAGGAAGGTTAGAAGGAGGCAATGAAAAATAAGGAAGAGGAAGAGCACCACAATGATTTGATCAGCTCATTCAAGCTCAATATTTATTGAGAGTCTTCTATGTTCCAGGCCTTGTGCTAGATGCTGGGAATAAAAGGAAAAGAAATAGCTGAGGCTTGCCTCGGTGGTACCGAAATTCTATCAATAGATGTTCTGAATCTTTAGGCCATAAAATGAAGTCAAGGAGGAGATTGGAGCTATGGGAGGTGTTTGAAAAGCCTTGAGGCATGCTTTAAGAGCTCTTCTTTTTAGTGGCCATTCTTTCTTTGCATGCTGACTCTACCTTCCCCATTCAAATACAGACACTTTGGCCCTGACTTAGGCTCCTACTTTCTCAAAGAAAAGGGTCTGGAAACCTCATTTGTATGAAGTTGATAGTGATTTAAGATTGTAAATTACAGTGTCAGAGTCATACTGTTGGCATCTTTGAATCATAAGTTGCAGGATTTCATAATTTATCAAATGTTGGAATCAGAGAATCTTAGAACAATAAAAATTCAGTCAGAATAGACTCATAGAGTATAATATTTATGGAATATAAAAATTAAATCTGACCAGGCATGGTGGCTCACGCCTGTAATCCCAGCACTGGGGAAGTCAAGGTGGGTGGATCACCTGAGGTCAGGAGTTCGAGATCAGCCTGGCCAACATGGTGAAACCCCATCTTTACTAAAAATACAAAAATCAGCTGGGTGTGGTGGTGCACATCTGTAATTCCAGCTACTCAGGAAGCTGAGGCAGGAGGTTCAGTGAGCTGAGATCGCACCACTGCACTCCAGCCTGGGTGACAAAGTGAGACTTTATCTCAAAAAAGAAAAAAAGAAAATCACATCTTAGAAATCATAGAATCATGAAATGAAATGAGAGCCTTTTAAAAGACAGCAGCATTTTGTGGTTATCTGGCCCACCATCTTTCCCAATTCAAAAAAAATACATATGTAGCACTAAAATATAAATATTCTTGATTATAATTATGTAGGAAAAATGTCTATGAAGGAAACGTCATGCTTAATAACACTGTGTTAATCATACTGACCAAAGGCACTGATAGTAAAGACAGATGGAGCTTCTGCACATTATAAAAGTTCTTCTTGGGATGGTTGCTGACTTTACGGATACCTAAGACAAACATTTATCTTGAGTAATAGAAAACTTGAAGCAGGCTGGGTGTGGTGGCTCACACCTGTAATCCCAGAACTTTCGGAGGCTGAGGCAGAAGGATCATCTGAGGTCGGGAGTTCGAGACCAGCCTGGCCAACATGGTGAAACCCCACCTCTACTAAAAATTAGCTGGGCATGGTGGTGGATGCCTGTAATCCCAGCTACTCAGGAGGCTGAGGCTTGAACCCAGGAGGCGGAGGTTTCAGTGAGCCAAGATTATGTCACTGCACTCCAGCCTAGTTGATGAAGTGAGACTCTGTCCCAAAAATAAAAAAAAAATAAAAAAATAAAAAGAGAAAAAAGCAAAGAAAACTTGAAGCAGAATAGGAATAATGACTTTGCTCATTGACTTTCCTACTATAATTATTCATGTTGGCCCAACTTATTCATGATGTCATGTCAGAAAATAAGCCCCTAAACATCGGTCTTTCCTAGGACTGTAAGCTTCAAGAGGGTACAAGTGATATGTGACTATCTGGTTTCTATGGGGTCTGTAGAAAAGTGCTTTGCATTGTTAGGTGCTTTGGGAGTTCAGTCCTAACTTTCCCTCAGCGCTTCCTCTTGTATACACATGATGAACTATTGTTGATCTCCATCCTTGTGCTTCCTTTGAAGCATTGGCTTGTATTGCCAAGACTTTTTTTTTTTCAAACCTGGCATCCATTTCATGTGTGGTAGTTGTTTGCTTCGCCTTCCACGTTCTTCTACAGGACCTCAGATCCAATGGCATAACTTGATAGATATGGGAAGAACCTTGCTTAAAGAAGTGTTTAGAGTGAGTAGAGCTCTTCATTTCGTATCAGGGCAGCTCTGTGTGTGAGTGTGTATGCAAGTGTGTGTGCTGCTCACATAAAATGTAAGCTTGGAAGTTTTTCACGTGCAAATGAGTTTGAATGTGTTACATGGATTTCTAAGTGCATTAATAAGTGGATAAACTTGTGTGGATATAATGTGTTTATGAATAGATGAGAATACATGGACACAGGGAGGGGAACATCACATACCTGGGCCTGTCGGGGGTTGGGGGGCAAGACAAGGGAGAACATTAGGACAAATACCTAATACATGTGGGGCTTAAAACATAGATGACGGGTTGATAGATACACACAAACTACCATGGCATATGTATACCTATGTAACAAACCTGCACATTCTGCACATGTATCCCAGAACTTGAAGTAAAAAAAAAAAAAAAGACATAAATACACTTGTGGTTTTTGACATACATTTGTTGAACATCTACTATGTTTCTGATAATGAAGCAGGTACATTTTTATATATATTTGATTTCACAACCATGAAGCAGGTATTACAGTTTTTATTTTGAAGATGTGTCAACTAACACTGTTAGAATTGAGCCGGCCAGGGCTAGTACTTGAAATGGAGTTTATGTGTTTTGAATGTGCTGATGTGTGAGAGTAGGGATGTGTGTGTGCACATGTTCATGGACGTGCGAGTGTGTGTGCAATCTTTTTTTTTAATGTGTATTTCTTAATACATGTGGAGAGATATATCTTTATATTATATGAATGTGCATGTCATAAATATATATGCACCAGCTGATACCTGAGTCATCCAGCAAAGCAAACCCATGTGGCTGATCTTAGGGACCAGGGGAATGTGAACTGTATGAGCTGTAGGAGAAAGCACCCAAGAGATAGAGAGCGGCAACTTAGTATAAATTCATCCGTGTTACTGACGTGGCTGTGTGTTTTCCAGTAATTGTATACCATAAGTTATTAACCCTCAAGAGCTTGTTTTAAAAGTAAGTACATCTAGGCCCTGTCCAGACCCAATAAGTCAGATTTTCTCGGGTAGGGCTCTGACTTGAGTGTTTTGTTAAAGTTCCCCTGTTCTAAAAAGCATCTCAGACTAAGATCCTCTGCTCTGGCAGCCTTCATCCAGAGCAGTTGTTCCCAGATGCTGGTGTGTGTCCCCACCACACGTTGGATGTTGATTGACAGGCAGGATTCCAGCCTTCAAAGTCCTGGAACCTTACTCACTAAGTCCATGGTCAGGATCCAAAATCATCTAAAGAGCACCCAAACATGTCCGTTTTGAGTGATCCTGAAACTGCAGTTTGTGAACTGTGCATCTAGATCTTAAAGCAGACTTCAAAGATGGAAGAAGAGGGAGAAAAAGGAAGCAAATGCTGGAGAGTGTTCATGATACAGAAGCTTAAGAAGGAGAAAGAAATGAGGAACTGAGAGTAGAGAAATACGAAGGAAGAGGAAAATAATTTTCTCAGTGTCACATAGGAACAGAGCTCGGATCTGAATCCAGGTTTTCCTGCCTACGTGTTTTCCCCTCTGCACTTCCCCTCCACAGATCCCCCTGCTGGGGGCTTTTCGCTGACTGCAACCCGAACCCACATAAATCTTAAGCAGTCTGACACCCAGCGAAGCACAAAAACATTCCACATTCACTGCACTGATGCTTTGAGGGGCTGAAATAGAACTTTGAAATTCTCCTTCACTTTTAATTAAAAAAAGATTTAGGCCAACCCCGGGTTCCCAGTTCTATTTAACTGAGACGGCTTTTAACCGTTGCTGTATTTTTATTGTTACAAGTGTACCGCACCAATCCATCTTCCTTGTAACGCATCTCGGTTTCTGCTCCATCTGCTGAAGAGAAAACATTTGCAGAAATCTCTCGGCTTCTCTCCAAGAGCTGAAACTTAAGTTGTAGCAAGGAATGCAGTGCAGGGAATGGGGCTGGCCATTGGTGAAATCAGGAGACTGGTAAAATCTGTTTCCAGTATGTTTTTGATAATTGTTTCTTCACACTAACAGTTGTCCCATATAAGCAGCCAGTGCAATTGTGTTCCCCTGTGTGTATCTAGGAGGACTCCAGGCACCACACATTTTGGTTTTTACACTCTCCCTTACAATGGAACCAACAATTTTGTTCTTAATTTTTGCCTGTCCCCTATCCTTAGCAAGCTCTTACGCGGGGGTTTTTCTAATAAACTGTCCTTAGTTTTAATTCATAAGGACTATATTTTTGTGTGAGAGGGGCCTTGGAAGACTTGGGTTCAAGTCTTTTCTTTGCCATGTTTCAACCTGGCAAATAACTCAAACTCTCTGAGCCTGGATTTCCTGTAAAAGCCCCAGGAGGTTGTCAGGATCAAATGGTTTAATTGAAGCACAAATGCTTTGCAAATTGTGAAATGCTACATTTACACCACACATACCCGGCCAGAGCATTCACTTGTCAGTGATTTGATTTGTTTGCTTATTTATTTATTAATGGGTCATTTGCTGGATGAATGCTATGCACCAGGCCTGGCTTCACTGTGCGTGATACCGAAATGAATAAGGCAAAGTCCAAATCCTCCAAAAGCCCACACATATGACACCATAGTAAGTGTTGACCTAGGGTCATAAATAGGCTGTTGTTTCCTCTTCCTATGGGATCAGGAGATTCTTCAAAGAGAGAATGACCTTGAAGTGAATATTAAAGAATAAAAGTTTCCCAAATCGAGAACAGTGACCAAGCCAAATGCTGACAAAAATAAGAAGCAACAGCAATTCTCACTGATTGCTAGTGGGGATGCAAAATGGTACAGCGACAGCTACAAAACTAAACATACTCTTACCATAGAATCCAGCAATCAGGGTCCTTGACATTTACCAAAGATGTTGAAAACTGATGTCCACACAAATACCTGCACACAGATGTTTATAGCAGCTTTATTCATAATTGCCAAAACTCGGAAGCAACTAAGATATCCTTCAATAGGTAAACTGATAAACTGTGATATCTAGACAAGGGGATATTATTCAGAGCTAAGAAGAAATGAGCTATCAAGCCATGAGAAAACATGGAGGAAACTTAAATGCATATTGCTAAGTGAAAGAAGTAAATCTGAAAAGGATGTATATTGTATAATTCCAACATATGCTAGAAAAGGCAAAACTATGGAGATACTGATAAGATCAGTAGTTATCAAGGGAGAATGGGGCAGGGGAGATAAGTAGATGGAACATGGAGGATTTTTAGGGTGGTGTATGTATTCTGTATGATGCTATAATGGTAAATACATGTCATTATCCATTTGTCCAAACCCATAAAATGTACAACACAAAGGGTGACCCCTAATGTAAACTATGGACTTTGGGTGATAATGATACATCGGTGTAGGTTCATGGATTGTAGTAAATGTACATTTCTAATAGGGCATGTTGATAATGGGGGATGCTATGCATATGACTGGATAAATGTATATGGGATAGCTCTGTGTTTTATTTTGCTGTGAACCAAAAAGTGTCCTTAAAAATGTCTTAAAAAAAATAAAAGGTTTATTAGGTTTGGGAATGGTAATGGGGTCGGGAGAGCATTATAGGCAGAAGGAACAGCTTGGGAGAAAGTGGCCATGGGGTAAAACAGATTGGGGCTTGCAGAAAATATTTGCAGGGAAACTAGGAAGCAGAGGCAGAGATGTTGGGAAGCGGGTGGACAGTGAGATGTGGGGAATAACAGGGTGAAGTAACAACAGATAATTGTTTACATTTAGAGGTGGGAGGAAGCCATTGATCAAGGTGAAATCAAGGTTTGATTGATTTCAATAATAATAATAATGTCCAATAATAATAATGATAGCTACCTTTTAACCAAACAGTATGTGCAGGACACGGTGTTCATGGTTTATATTCATCATTTCATTGAAAGCACAAAGAAAGTAAGATCCTGTGAAAGAGGTATGATTTAACTGGTGTGGGAACTGAGGTTAAAAGGGTTTCTGTGACTTGCCCGCATAGACAGTGGGCCCCATAGCTTGAGCCAAAGGCAAGTCTGTCTGCTTAAAGTCTCTGCTCTTAATCTCCTCATTGCCCACATTGGCATTTCAGGAATACCTGGATAGCTTGGAGAAGGAGCTAGTAAAGGGAGGGGCTGTGCAAGTAGCAGATTGCAATTATTCTTGAGGGTAAAAAAATCTCTTGGAACTGTAAAAACGGAGTCACTCTGCTGGCAGGATTGCAGGCATTAATTCCAAGCCTTTTCAAGGTGATTGATATTTTGGGGCAAGAGGGAGAGCTTCCAAGAAGTAAGTCTATGTGGGCAACTTTCTGCTGTACCTGAAGAAGAGGTAGGAATCTGTGAAGGAGTTGGGCCTTCTGGCTCTTGCTAGTTAACAACCTCCACATTGGGTCTAGTGAACTCTGTAGAGACACCTAACATGTCCGATTAATGTCATGGAAGCTGCCTTTCTTGACAATCCACCACAGGCAGAACCCCAACGTGAAAAGGCCATAAAACAACCCAAAGCCTTTACTTTATTCCTTTTCTAAGTATGTTTTGGTAGCATTTTAAGTTCCTTGAAGGAAACACCATAGAATCACAAGCTCTGTGGTCTGAAATGCCTTTGAGATTTTCATTCTCTTTCTTAATTTTGTGAATGTCACTGTCAGAACCCCTCAATTCTATCTTGCGATTCTATTGTTACAATCTCTGCCTGTTGGAATTGTTTTTTTTTCATGTACGTACCTTTCTGTGTCATCCACCTTTGGCCAACTCTGGCAGGCTGATGGCTCTTAAGTGCTGGTCTAAAATTTGGTGTCAAAATTTGAAGAGTAATATTTTATTTTGATGTTATGCCCTGACTGTTTCTTGTTGGTGGTTAAAATGTCCTTTCCCTTACAAAATTCTGGTAACGGTGATTGCAGTGTCTGTTTTGTTAAATAACCTTTCCTAGAACTAGAAAATGTTGATAATTTCACATTGGTCCAAAAAATTGGTTTTACAAATTTGATTTGGCCATGGGGTCAAAAAGGCTGATGTTGATGTTATGGATCAAACAGAGTAAGTCTGTTTCATATTTCACATTTGAGTACAGACTACTATTATATCTTTAATTTATTATCTTCTGTAATATCTTGGTAATGTCTTGCCCATAGTAGGTCATCATTAAATATGTATGTAAATGAGTCTCCAGGCAATCAAAAACATAGAGTACCTTTTTTATATTCTGGCCTGTTTGATGCACTGTTTGATGCATGCACTTAATAAGTACATTTAATGTGATATAAATCCTACCGTCAAGGCATCAGAGTTGAGTATGCTTTGTGGTTAAGAGGTCAGGTTCTGGAACTAGACTGCCTGGGTGTGAGCTCAGGCTTCCCCTCTAACTAGCTGTGCAATCTCAAACAGGTCACTTAGCAATATAGTGCCTCATTTACCCTGTCTGTAAAGTAGGTGTGATTAAAAAAACAAAACAAAACAAAAAAAACCACCTCATAGAGTTGCTGTGAATTTAAAGATCTTAGAGCAGTGCTTGACACATGGTATGTGCTCAGTGGTTGTTAACTCTCATCATCAAAGCTTACACATCGGAAATGGTGTAGTAGGGAGTCCACGTTGATTTGGTTCAGAAGACTTGGGTGCAAGTTTCTGCTCTGCTACTTACTAGTTGAGTAAACTTGGAAGAGTCACTTAACCTTCTAGTATAAACCTAATTAGAACTAATGGTACAACTTTAGAGATGGCTAACGTGCATGGGATGGAGAAGTTGAAAAAGCTGCCATGAAATGGAACCTTAAAGGATGAGTAGGGTATTGCTATGAAACAGACAGTAAGATGGGGTAGCAAAGAGGTGAAATCACCTGTGGAAAATATTTGGAGCCACTTATTTTCCTCTTTCTGAAATGTTCTTTGAGGAATTAGTGAGATCAATCATTTCTTTTGGGATGGAAGAGATTGAAACTATTACAGCTAATAGAGCATTCTTTTCCATAGAGACATCCAGAAATAGAATTTTTTTTTCTCCCAAGAAATTTGTTACCATGATGAAGACCTTCTTATCACAAGGGAGTTGATGAAAAGATGAAACTAAAGTCTAACATGGAGTTAAGAGAACAAAAATTGTTAGAATGATGTTGTTCAGGGTCTGGAATTGTTATCAAATATACTTAAGACAGGATCAATCTGGAAAGTGTTTCTACACAACATGGGTGGAATCAAATGTGTATGTGAATATTCAATGAGACAGGGGTTTTGGGTGCTTCCGGCTCTCTCGATTTCACTTGTTCCCAGAGATTAGGCTGCCATCTGGATGCTACCTGCATTCAAGATGTTACATGCATTCTTGCTGATTTTCAGAAGTTTGTCAACAATGTCTTTTATTTGTCTTCGTGCAGAGAAGAAATAAGTACTGGAGCATTAAAGTTATGGGAGAGAACTGATCATGTTGGGAACAGGGCAAGAAGTCTGGGGCTCTATTTTTTTATGTGCTTATGGGGTTTTTGTAAGCCACTGCAGGGGCTACGTTAAAAAAGATATCAGGCATGAGCAGAGGATGGTCAATGGATAATCTGATTGAGTACTTCTTTCAGTGGAACAAAGCTATTTGCATATTTAGGTGGTGGCTGTGGCATTTGAGATTGAATGTGTGGTGTCAGAAACTGGGAAGTGGAGGTAGGTTCATAACCTCAGCACTGGGTATCAGGTAAGCATTTTAACTAGAGCATCTTGGAAATCCATCCATCCACCCACATTTTCATCTGTTCATGCAGTGAACTTGTATGGAAGGGCTGTTCCTTGTACTAGAGGCTGTGGTTAAAATGAGAAAGTAGATCTGTTCCTGCTCCAGAGGAGTTTAATCAGTTGATAAATGTGTTGTCCACCTATTGTGTTCTAAATTCTGGTAACATAAAAGTGAGCAAGACAGTATGACCTTTACTTTTAAGGAGCTTACAGTGCAGGAGAAAGAGTAATATTAGCCAAACTGAATATAGCATGAGAGTGCTAGACTATGTGTGTGTGTTTATACATATGTATTTATATGTATTTTCCAAAATAATAATAATGTATATTTATTGAGCATTTACCACTGCAATAAAACATTTTATATGCACTGTCCCAAATAATTCTCCCTGCTGCCTTCTGAAGTAGGTAGCATGTAGTTATTATCCAGATTTTACCAATCAAGAAACAGATTAAGAGATGTTAAACCAATTACTTAGGGAAACAAAAAGAATCACAGCAGAGTGGGAAACAGACTGAGCTCCTCTGACTCCCGCTTCCTCCCCTGAGCTTCTCTCCATCTGTACCATCTCCCCAACATGCTGTAGGGGCTCTGGAGGAAGGAGCAACTAAAAGGGTTGTGATTGAGGATGGGGAAGCGATTGAGACAGAGGAGGGAAAGGTGTAGATTGGGTATATTAGGTCTAGTAAGAGAACATTAGGAGGACATGTTGGGGAAGAGCATTTCAGGCCTTGAGAACAACATATGTAAACACGTGGAGGTCTGAACAATCATATATTGTTGAGTGGCGCAATGAAATCTGAGTAGGTGGGTTGGGGTCAACCAAGGAGTTGAGGTGGGAGAGGGACATTATACATTATACTTCCTCTGTATAGCACAGCCTCAGGCAGATAGTGCATCTCAAATTTCAGTATCTGTCAAGGATCACTTACTTATTGGGGACTGAGTGAGGGAGGAATGATTTACTGACCTGATTAGGAAACACCCTACAGAGATGGAGATAAAGAATGAGGAAGAAGGTATTAAATGTAGAAAGATGGGCTTCTAGATACAAGAACTCCTTTGGGAGGCAGGAATGGCTTTCAAACAGGGTATTGGTGCCGTGCAGGAGGAGCAAACACGTTGAAGAAGCCAGATTCATAAAGTGAAATGTAAGTGTAGTGAAAGTAGTAAATTCAAGAGGTGAGCGGGGGAGAAGTGTTGCATGGTGCCAGGCGGGGAATGGAGCAGTTGTTAAGTTCAAGGTTTATGACTTGAAGAACGTGACCCATATAACCCGCTTTCTCTTACTGATGTGTTTTTAATCGGTTGTTCTTCTAAAATTCACCCTTCACTGACTCCATATCTCATTCCCCGTAGGCAGTGCGGAGCAATCTGTTTGCATCTGCACTTTATACAGCTGTGGGTCCTTCTCCCGTCACACCTGGTGGGTCACATCTTGGACACAGCACAGCAGCCAAAGTACCATTCTGCTGAATGACCTGGAGGAAGCTCAGCTTGACACTATGTTCTAATAATAATGGAAGCATTATAGTGCATGCTTCCTATGTTGCAGGCACTCTGCTAACGGCTTTACATGTGTTACTTGATTTGACCCAGGCATCCGCCCAATGTATTATACTCATCTCTATTTTATAAATCTATAAACTGAGGCAAAGAGAAATAAAGCAACTTGCCAAGGTTGAACAGTTCTTTAATATTATAATAGAACACCTAGGATTTGAACTGGGGGATGCCTCAGTTCCAGAGCCTGTGCTTAACTTCTCTAGCATATTGCTTGCTTGATGCTCTGCATGGATTTTCCAGCACAAGTGTAAGGACAGTTTGGGGCAGTTTTGAAATAGTAATTATGTCTTAAGAACAGGGATGAAAGTAATATCTGGCCATCACAAATGCCATTGAGTTGATTTTGCTCACAAATCGCCTCTCATTCACGGGGTAGTCTTACAGGTCTTATATATCCAAGACCAGGCATACGGTGTCTAGAGGTCTGCCAGGTGATGATGCAAATGCTTGAAGGCTCCCATTTTGTGGAGACATAAATGGAGGCTTAGGCAGATGAGGTAATAGTCAGAAGGTAATTGTTGTATTTGGCAGGTTTGGGATGAAAACTCAGGCTAATCTGGCTCAAAATTTCTTGTTCTTATATGACACTTTTTGCAGGCCATTTCCCTTCTTTGTGTCTCTGTTTCTTTGTCTGTGAAACAAAGGAATTGGATTAGATCAATGTTTCGGAAATGTTAGTCTTTCAGGCACCACTTTAACAGTTTCTATTGTCTTTTCAATCCATCTGCACTACTTAATATTTCTCTTTGAATCAGTCCACTTCTTAAATTCACATATTTCCATAGGAAATTTCATATCATTACAACTGAAAAAAGTATTATTTACACTACATAGAGGGTAACTGTATGAGTAAATATAGTGAAAACCAAAAAACAATACAACCATTTTTGTTTATATTCTAGCATGCATATTTGGCTATATTCTTGCCTATCCAAGTCTCTGATCTTTATAACTGACTTCTTTGTGTTAAAAAATAATACAGGCTGGGTGCGGTGGCTCATGCCTGTAATCCCAGCACTTTGGGTGACCGAGGGGGGCAGATCACCTGAGGTCAGGAGTTCGAGAGCAGCCTGGCCAACATGGCAAAACCCCGTCTCTACTAAAGATACAAAAAAAAATTAGCTGAGTGTGGTGGCGTGTGCCTATAGTCCCAGCTACTTGGGAGGCTGAGTCAGTAGAATCGCTTGAACCTGGGAGGCAGAGGTTGCAGTGAGCCGAGATCACGCCACTGCACTCCAACATACGTGATAGAGTGAGACTCCGTCTCAATAATAATAATAATAATACAGATGCTCTTGGACTTATAATGGCGTTACTTACCAATAAACCTATCATAAGCCAAAAATGCATTCAATACACCTAATCTACCAAACATCGTAGTTTAGCCTAGCCTACCTTCAACATGCTTAGAACACTTACCTTTGCCTACAGTTGGGCAAAATCATCTGGCATCACCGCACACTGTAGAGTGTCAGTTGTTTATTCTCATAAAATCGTGGCTGATTGGGAGCTGCGGCTCACTGCTGCTGTTGCTGGGTGTTGCAGGAGAGTGTCCTGCTTTCTACTGAATGTGTATCCTTTACACACCATCCTAAACTCTCAAAGTCAAACCATTGTAAGTTGGGGATCATCCGTATTTACAAATGTTAGAGAAAAGCTCAAGACATCGTGACACCCAAATGAACATTTTTCCTTGATATAATCAGGATTAAGAGAGAACTGGAAAGGGATTTTTCTTTCTCATTATGTGGGTTAAAGTTACGTTATGAAAAATCGAGTCTCCATTTAAAGCCATGCCTGCTGTGGCCAGTGTAGGCAGCTGTCATTTTTCTGAAATGCTGGATGTGGGGATCTGTGGTGTCTTCCCAACTTTTGCATTCCTTAACTTTAATAATCCTTTAGGGGCCTCCATGTACTTAGAGATCCAGTTTGACAGTAGTAGACTTGTTGAGAGATGAAGTGAAAGGCATGAGTCTAGACTGTGATATGGAAGAAGGAAGTCCAAAGAGAGCCGTTGCTGTGCTTGGCTATCTTAACCCTTAGAAGAGAGCCAGGGATTGGAGCTGATAAAATACCCAGTGCTGGACATTTGTGTCCAGGGTCATGTCTCCCTCTTCGAGCCTTTTCATTCTTATCCTTTTGCTGTTAATGTTCACTAGCTCCCTACTCTGTGGACCTTCATACGATTCTTACCTACTTGCCCCTCCTTTGTTCTCTTAAGGACTGATACATTTAAAAAGCTGTGTCTAAGGAAGATTTGCCTTGTGACAGTTCTTTAGGAGGAATGAACATGAATCACAAGTTTACTCTCCCCATCATAGGTTGGGCATTTGGCATTTTTTATTTCTCGTCTCCCAACAACTCAATGACGTAAAAATGAGTTAGGGTCTTACTTTACACATCAGAAAATGAGGTTTGGAGAGTATCAGTGACTCAATTGAGTCCTACGACTTCTGAGCCCTATATAGAATGGGATTGTCTCCAAATCCTGTACCCTTTTTCAGCAGTTATGATACATTGAAGATTAGCTGGACTGGGGAAGAGGAGGTTCTTGGATGGGGCAGCTCCTGGATCTGTCCCTGCATCCTGGGGGTGGGACTCACTGTCACACCTCTTGTCTCAGCCTTTTTTTTTTCCCTCAGAGGTTGGAATATGATGCTAATGAGACTCTACTCATGGATTTTAGCCCCTTGGGGGCCAATTAACTTAACTTTACTTCAGCTGCCGGGAACCTCAGATCTAAATCCAGATCAATTAGCTCATCCCAGGTGCCTGGTAATATCTGTTCCTTCACTCATTTTAACTATTCTTTGTTCCATTTTTATTTTTAATTGTCCTGATTTATATCTTATTTAACTTTGTAATATCACCTTAACTGTGCCTTGGGGGTAGGTGGGGTATGAATTCTAAATAAATAAGTAAAATCATTTTAGGTGTCAACTCTGGAGAGGAAGAACAGCTCATGGATCCTCCTCTAGATGGAAGCTGAGGTTATTCCTGAAACAGTGGCTTGGGAAGGTGAATTCTTACTGAAACACAGGGGGAGCTTGGGGAGGGGCAGGGAGAGGGAATGAGTGTGGGAGCAGCTGGGCAGACAAACCCTGTCCATGTGGGTGAGTGTAGCCTAATAGTGGAACAAGACTGTTCATGAGAACTCACTGGGGAGCCAGAACCCACCCAGGATTTTGGGGCCATGTAGAATGGCCTACATTCTAAAGGAGGAGGTTGCAAAGAAAGTTACATTTGCTGTGCTGTAGTGGGAGAGCCTTAGATTTGAATCCTTTCTTTTAAAATAATGAGTGAGTTGTGTGACGGTGGGTGAATCACTTAACCTCTCTGAGCTTGTTTCCTCATCTGTAAAATAGAAGAAATAATTCCTGTAGAAAATTAAAAAGACAGCAAAGTGCAGTGCCTGGCACTTGCTAGGGGATAAGTGATGAAATCCATTTATTCCAAAGATATGTATTCATTCATATCCAAAGATTTGCATTCATATTCATGCATTCATTCCAAAGGTATGTATTGAGCTTACACTATGTGCTAGGCATTGTTCTAGGAATTGATGATATACGGTTGACCCAAACAGATAAAAGTTTTGACCTGACCTCTTGATGCTGATATTCCAGTTGAGAAGACTAATAATAAATAATCAAATGAAATATATAACACGAAGTAGTTGTAAGTTCTGTAGGGAGAAAAGAAAGCATGTTAATGTCTAGCTCAGAAGTTGGCAAACTGCGATCTGTGGGCCAAATCTGGCCCGCTCCCAGTCTTTGCAAATGAAGTTTCACTGGAACACAGCCATGCTCATTTGTTTATTGATTGTCCATGGCTACTTTCTGGCTACAGTGATAGAGCTGAGTAATTGAGATAGAGACACTGTGGCCCATAAAGCCTAAAATATTTACTACCTGGATTTTTATAGAAAACCTATTCTACTCTTGGTCTAGAAGAAAACAGGATTAGTAGGAGCAGCAGTCCAGGTGAAAAGAGAGGCTAAGGTTTTATCTTCCCCTCTCATTTAGTGCCTCATTTTTCCTTCTCTTATTTCATCTTCCTTTCACTGTCCTCCTCTCTTTCTCCCTCTCTTCTTTTCTTCCTTCCTTCTTTCTCCCCACCCCCCTGTGTTTTTGTTGTTGTTTTTTTTTGTTTTTTGTTTTTTTTGAGACGGAGTCTCCCTGTGTCGCCAGGGCTGGAGTGCGGTGGTGTGATCTCGGCTCACTGCAAGCTCCGCCTCCTGGGTTCGCACCATTCTCTTGCCTCAGCCTCCGGAGTACAGGCGCCCGCCACCACGCCCGGCTAATTTCTTCTTCTTCTTTTTTTTTTTTTTTTGTATTTTTAGTAGAGATGGGGTTTCACCATGTTAGCCAGGATGGTCTCGATCTTCTGACCTCGTGATCCGCCCGCCTCGGCCTCCCAAAGTGCTGGGATTACAGGCGTGAGCCACCGCGCCCGCCCCCACCCCGCCTGTTTTTTGATCTGAAAGATTCCTTCTATTTCAGTCTTCTCCACTTATGGAGAGAAGATTGAATTCCAGAAACCGGAAGTGACTGCCAGAGTAAGGTGTCCCGGGAGAGGCCGTGAGGGGAAAAACACCTATCATTGTTGTTCTTCTCCCTGCATCTTTCAACAAGTACCCAGCACATTGTTAGGGGTTAAGAGTAGACAAGAGATATAAAAAACAGGAACAGCATCTAGTACAGTGCCTGGGACGTAATGCATGATGCATGGTCAATGAAGCTTAGCTGGCTTAAAGAAAAAAAAAAAAAAGCCCAATCTAATTGCAGAGGCAAAAAAAAAAAGAAACAAAAACAAAAACAAAAACCTCATAATCTGAATACCAGAAACTAATCAGAGCCTTAGAGATTGGAGATTGGTGTTTTTCAAGGAAGCAGCAGCATTGGCCTAGATATCCTCTCCTGCAACTCAACACTCCTCCCTGCATCATAGCTACCTCTGAGCCCACTTTAAAAACTGCTGACTTAAGCCAGTATCTTTATTTCAAACGTGGTGGAAATTGAGTCTCAGAGAAGAGAGTAACTTGCCCAAGGCTACCTGCCCAGCAAGTTCAGGGGGAGATATGGAGGAGCCAGGATTAGAACCCAGGCATCCTAGGTTCCCAGTGAAACACTCTTCTGACTGTAGTACTCTGCTAAGTAACCATGGAAATATGGTATATCTTTTGAAGGACAAAAGACACTTATATTCCCTCCAAGCTATAGGATTTGAGAAGGGGCTGATGTCATCAGGAAAAACTTCCTAGAAGAGGCAGAGCTTAGGTGGAACTTGAACTAAGTCCAAGAGGCAGAAACAGGCAGAGGAACTGCTCTGTATCTGTAAAGACAGCAGTAAGTTTCCCAACCTGTCAAAATTGGACTGACTGTGGTCACAGGTTCAATTCTGGTTAGAAAGCAAAAGCAAGACTAGGGAATTAGGTTAGATGTAGTTAAGGGAGAATCTTGGGCTTTTAATTAAGATGTTTGGACTTGATCCTGTAAGCCTATAGTCACAAACAGGTGCACTTGTCAACACATGGCTATGTTCTTGTATTTGACACTCACAGGGCTAGAGTGGAAGAGAGAACATTGGTCAATGCTTTAAATAGGAGAGATTTCATATACCTGTATTTCCTCCTGGCTTATCCTGAAACAAGTGACCCAGCAGCCTAAAGATCTCATTCCTACGTGGAAGCTCTCTACTGTCCTTCCAGACTGGGACCTGTGCCTACGATTTGTCACCGTATTCCCTTTTTAAAGTCTACACCTGGCCACGTCATTCCTTTGTGTTTACTGCCTGGACTGTGGGTTTTTGAGTTTGCATTCTCTGCAGAAGTGGTGATGCGCTAAAAATTCGTCATCATTGACAAGATGGAATCAATGTTAGGGGCTGTTTATTTTCTCATCAAACATTTATTGAGCATCTCTTTCCGGCAAGGGTTTAGAAAGGGGAGGATTGAGTTCAGGAGCTGAATTAGGAGGCTGGTCCAGTCAGATGAGAGAGGACGAAATCTGCTTAGAAATGGAACCATCGAGATGGAGAAGAGGTTGGCCCCTTCTCCCTCTCTCCCATTAATCCTTTTCTTAAAGAAAAGGCTTCCCCATCCCATTTCCGTGGAATCAGATGCCTGTCCATTTAGACCCATTCACCTGGTTGCTTTTATATTGTATTCATCTAAAAGGGAGCTATCCTCTTTCATTCTCATATTTTCTCTTTTTTTTTCTCTTCTCTCTCCCATTCTGTCAAGCAAACACATCCCTTCTGGTCCCCATTCCCCACAATTCACCCTCTGCATACAGAGTAGATGGTTCTGAACCTCCAAGGGTACGTGTGTGCCTTTACAGACCTGCTGAGAGCAGACCAGGAAGAGCCAGGCTGGCAGCGTCAGTTCAGTGAACTGCCTTTTCAAATCAATACGACTGCTTTGTTTCCATCTCTGCATTTGACTGCAGCATTCTTGCTCCCTCTGCTCCCCAGCACACACTCTCTCTCCCACATTTCACTCCCACCCTCACAGCCCACCCTCTCTATCACCTCTCCAGCGTGTTCCCCAAAGGTCCAAATGTTTCTCCATCCTTCACACACATTACAGCGTGATTGCTCTCGGAGTAATGAGAAGCCGAATTTGGGAAGTTGACTTCCTGGGAAATGGTTCCTATGTTAAAAACAAAGGAAAACAAAACCCACCAAAAATAAATCAACGTATGTAGGAACAGGAGAGGGTGTTTGCAGTCATAAAAACCATATGCAGGAGGAGGCATGAAGATGTGGTCTATACTTTTGGTTTCCTGCCATTAACTAGCTGTGGGACCTTGGGCAAGCCTTGATTTCCTTTTTCATAAAATAAAGCAGCTGCATTTCATTCTCTTTAAGGACCGTTTAATTTAGGGTATTCCAGAGCACTTGAAGGAAACATCACCCTGACATTTCTGAGGGGTTTTCTTTTCAATCTATACCTGACATGTAAATGGTGATGCCAATAACACATAATAAATGTGCACACCAAGAGACTTTTACCCATACATGTCAGCCTTAGCAATAACTACCTCCCTGGACATCAAGCAAGTCTCAGGTGGCATTCAAAAGAAGAACATCCTGACTGCACGAAATCTTAGTGGTTCTCAAGGAAAGCCCTTTCTCTTCTCTATGGGCCATCAGGAATAAGATGAACATCAAACCATGTTGTGAGGCTGTACCTCCTGAAGGTAGAAGGCTGGATTGGATGATACCTTTAGGCCAGTGCCCACCTGAGGAAAGTGTTGATAATCTCACAGAAAGCAGATTTTAGATTTAGAGAAGTCTGAGCACACTGCATGGCACTTGAAAGGTGTCCATTAAGTACCTGTTGAACAAATCACTGATATTAGATAGGTGTCCATTAAGCACCTGTTGAATGAATCACTGATATTGGATAGGTGTCCATTAAGTACCTGTTGAATGAATCACTAATATTGGATAGGTGTCCATTAGGTTCCTGTTGATCAAATCACTGATATTGGGTAGGTGTTCATTAAGTACCTTTTGAATGAATCACTGATATTGGAAAGGTATCCAGTAAGTACCTGTTGAAAGAATCACTGATATTGGAAAGGTATCCAGTAGGTACCTGTTGAGTGAGTCACCGATAGAGTGTGTCATAGAATGCCTGAGTTAGAAGGGCCCTTAGAGATAATTTAAAACTTCCAACTTTCTGCACAGACTAACTGAGGTCTGTGGATGGGATGAGCCTTGACTCAGATCACATGATGAATTAGAAACCTAGCTGGGCCCTGAGCTCAGGCCTCCTGACTCCCACATCAGTGCTTGCTGCACTCACCAACTCTCTTGGCATCTAACCACGTAACTTGGCTCAAGCAGCCTTAGGTTAACAGTTTCCAAAGGCCCTTCTGGGATTTCTGTAAATTATCTGAGCCTTTTAGGGGACATTCAGCTGGTGCCTTCTCTCCTCCTCCTGAGCTGGCTGTTTGTGTCCGTCTCAGTCGGGAGAATATTATAATCTTTCTCCCTGCTCTCCAGCAGTGCATGGCCACCCCATCACTCACTCTAACAGACCCTGCTGAGCTCCCACAGTATATCTGGAAGCCATTTTCTGTTTGGAAGTCAGTGGCGCTCAGCCAACATTTCAGTAATATTTGCTTTGCTAAGGCTTAGACAAATCAAATCCATTCACTTCCTCAGACTCGATCTCTCTTGTCTGGCACAATGTCCCCTCATCCAAGGCGAGCCAAGATTGAGCATGATTCTCTCTCTCTCTCTATTCCCCTCCCCCACCCCCTCCATAAAGTGCAAGTTTCTTCCTTATTTCACCAGTACAGAATTATAGTCCAAGACAAGTACTATGATTCTTGGAAGGAACATAAGAAAACACTTAAGTCTACCTTCCTCGTTGCACAGGTGCAGAGACCAAGTTCCAGAGATTTAGGGATATCAGTTGCCCCAAGTCTTGCCTCTATAGTAGTAGTGGAGGCTAGAATTGGGGTATTTTCACTTAGCTTAGTTAAGTGTCAGCTAAACCTGATGGCATGCTCTAGTTTATCCTCCACAAATAACCCTGCTTCTGACTTTATCTTGCCCTTGTTGAATTCCTATGGCTGGGGTCTGATTAGGGAGGAGCATGAGAGCTTGCTTGGGTAATCTTAGGCACACTACTTCAATTCTCAGTTTCCTTGCCTGTGGGGTGATGATTCAGTTTCCCCGTTGTGCCAACAACACGGTGTTGTGAAAACCGAATGAGGTAATGTACCCCTCAATTCGAAGGTGTTAGAAATATGCCTGCTCCTGCTGGTTGGCATGATTGGCCCTCTTCCTTGAGCAGGAATTTTCATTAGTTCAAAGTTGTGTTTATTCTATAATGAGCATTTGGGGCATCCTGGCAAGGAAGCAGGTATGATATTTTGAGGCAAAGGATCTCTTTCAGGAAACCTTCCATTCATCTAACTACCTCCTGTGTGCTGGGCCCCACTCCCAGCAGGGAAGCGGCCTTCTTCTCAGACTGCATTTAGAGCTGCCTCTGTCAGGGAGTGTATGGGCTAGAAATAGACCAGGCATTTCCTTTGGAGTTTCACAAAAATGGATCCTCTGGGTCAAAGGCCCCTTAATCTGCAAAACACAAGCTGTTTGCCTGACTTGAGGCCCCAGCAGACTTCCTAGACTTGAAGGGGCTTTGGTATGGAAAATGGTTTGTGTTTTGAAGATTAAGGGCCCTTTCATCCAAAAGATGCAATATATATTTTTTTTCTTTCCTTAGGCTCCCAATGAAACACCTTGTTCCTTTCTGATTTAAAGCCTGCAAGCTTCCTTTCTTATGCATAGATGGATTAAGGTAGACTGCACATTCACAGCCTATGAGATGGAAAGAACTTCAGTGAATACTCAGTGTCCCCTCGTTTAGGACAAGCCCTTCTCTCCTACTCCAAATATAGGCCATTCATCCCCACAAATGCATTAAAATAATACGGGAGCGTTTTAAGACTACAGATTTTTGGACCTCACCTCCAGAATTTTTAATGAAATCTGGAGGGGAAAATTTATTTTTTTTTATTTGAAGATTAGAAATATTTTAAGAACTTTTTTTTTTTTTTTTTTTTTTGAAACAAGGTCTCACTCTGTCACCCAGGTTGAAGTGCAGTGGCACGATCTTGGCTCACTACAGCCTCTGCCTCCCAGGCTCAAGTGATCCTCTCACCTCAGCCTCCTGAGTAGCTGGGACCACAGGCGTGCACCACCATGCCTGGCTAATTTTTTTGTATTTTTGGTAGAGATAGGGTTTTGCCATGTTGCCCAGGCTGGTCTCAAATTCCTGAGCTCAGAAAATCCACCTTCCTCAGCCTCCTAAAGTCCTGGGATTACAGGCATGAGCCACCACAGCCTGCCAGAAATTCACTTTAAAGTCAGAGACTGCTTGAGACTCACAAGCCACACTAGATTAAAGACACATAGCTTGGGGACCAGAGTCCTCAACCCAGTAGCTGACAGTTTAATGTGAATTAAGAGCCTAAGCTTTGAATAGATCTAGCATCAAATCCCAACTTTGGCTCTTACTATTAATAGTGTGACTTTGAACAAGTTACTTTGCTTCACTGACCCTCAGTTTTCTTATCTATAAAGTGGGAATATTAATATTACCTAGTGTATCTGTTAGCTATTACCGTAAACTTGTTATATAACAACCTCTCTCTTCCCACCACCTCACCCAATTCATTGGCTTTAAACAGCTGGCACTTGAAGCTCATGCATCAGTGGGGCAGCTAGGGCCAGCTGACCTAACCCAGGCTCACTGATCTAGGCTGGGCTGCTCTTGCTCCTGCAGTTCAGTGGGGAAGGGGGGTGCTCTACTCTAATCTTGGCTTGGCTGAGTCATGTTAGCTCGAGAGCCTGCTCTGCATGTCTTTCATCCTCCCTCTGAAATATCAGGCATGTCCTTGTGACAGTAGCAGGAGCACAGAGGTTAAGTAGAAACTCACAAGGTGTCTTGTGTACAGGCTCAGAACTGACACACCATCACTTCTGCCTCATCTGACCAAAGGGAGTTATGAAGATGAGCCCAAATTCAAGGAAAGGGGAATAGATTCTACCTCCTTAGTAGAAGGGCTAAAAAGTACATGACAGAGTGCCTAATGATAGGGAGGGGTGATGTGTTGGGGCCATTAAAGTAATCCACCACAACTATCCCATAGGTTGTTATGGAGATGAATTGAGGTAACATCTACAAAATTCTTGACACAGCTTCTGTCATACAGTAAGTGTTTACAATTTTTTTTTGTCATTAGTAAATTATTATTAATATTGTAAGGACTAAAAATGGTAGCTAGAATGGTTATATACAGAGTTCCTGAATCTAGCAACACAGATGGGAAAATAGATCCTCGGAGTGGTGACGTAGCCTTCTGAAAATCATACACATGGGACTGGTTGGGCCCTTAGAAATCAGAGAGTGCACAGCTTTTTATTCAGAGTTTGAAGGTAACAGGAAGGACCCTGGTTCTAGCTCATCAGGAGGCTTGTCCCTGCAACAATAGGAAGGCATTTCTTAGAGTTCAGCAATGGCCTCAGCTGATCCTGCTGATCTTCCTCCCCAGCTCAGATAGTGGCTTTTACCCTTTAGTGTATAACATTCACCGGAGAATTTACTAAAAGTGCAGATCCCTATACACTTCTTACTAGAGAGATTTATGATTCGGTAAGTCTGGTGAAGGGTCCAAGAGGTTGAACATTTATTAAGCATCCCTGGCGATTTTGACCAAAGTGGTCTGTGGAATATTCTTCGTGAAACCTCAGATAGTGTCAAGGGGATGGAAATAGTGAATTTCTTGTATCTTTGTATCTTTGGTTGATTCTCACGTTAGTAAAGCTGGAGGTCTTGGGCAGAATGGCAGCTGTGTAATCAATGGAGGTCTAGAAAAAGCTAGGAAGAGAGAGTGTTAAAGGATTAAGACAGACTTCATCATCTACATATTTACAAAGAAACACTCATGACAGCAGGAACACCCCCAAACCAGTACCATAGAAGGAGCCAATTAAATTCTACTGGAACCTCCCGATGTTATATATGGATGCAGATGTTGTTGACAAATTGCTGTTATTTCTTTGGGCTCTGTGTGCTGCTAGCAGTAGCGAACCAAACTGAAATTGTTTTAAGGCAAGAAAAATCCAAAACCCAAAACAACAAAATCATGTGATTGTCTTATGTAACTAAATCTTGTGAGCAGAGCTGGGCAGCAGGTTGCTCCAGGGTTTCTCTAGTCTCATCTTAGAACAAGTCTTGGTCCTGCCTTTCCAAGGCTCCTCCTCATAGTGATAAAATGCCTGCCAACCCTCCAGCTTCTCTTCCCTTTAGGTTCAGGTCTGGTAGCAAAGCCTTGCTTTCTTGGTCCTGGGGGTCTTTTACATTTTACTTCTTTAAGTCGAATCATGGACTGATCCTGAAACTACCCATCACACTACAAGAACTGAATGTGGGAAAGCAATAGAACTCCAAGTAAAAATTGATGACTGTTTCTTGTTGTTGCTGTTGTTTTGTTTTTTTGAGATGGATTCTCACTCTGTCACCCAAACTGGAGAGCAGTGGCACAATCTCGGCTCGCTGCAGCCTCCACCTGCTGGGTTCAAGCAATTCTCCTGCCTCAGCCTCCCAAGAACCTGGGACTACAGTTGCACACCACCATGCCTGGCTGATTTTTTGTATTTTTAGTAGAGATGGGGTTTCACTATGCTGGTCAGGCTGGTCTTGAACTCCTGAAGTCGTGATCCCCCCGCCTCAGCCTCCCAAAGTGTTGGGATTACAGGTGTGAGCCACTGCATCCAGCCTTGATGACTGTTAAGAAGAGAAAACAGGCCCCTGAGAGGCAAATATGAAAGGTCAATCACATTTATTGCATGCCAGTTTTTATGTTAAATGTAAGGATATAGGATTGTGTTAGAACCTGGGCCTTACCTTTAGGATGCTCATCATTCAGTCTCAGAAACATAAATGTCAACCATTGAATGAGATAGAAACACAAAGAAGAATGGACAATGTCAGCAAAGTCCCAAATATGGGAGGGTTCACTCCTACTGGTGTTCAAATAAAGGCCTCCAGAGAAGATACTGGAGATGAATTGTCAAGGGACAGTAAGAATTTGCTCTTTAGTACCTAGAGACATGGAGGCATTTCAGAGAATTTGCAAAACCTTGAGGCAACTGTAAGAAGTTTGGTATGCTGGAGGGAAGAGCATGGGGGAGTGGATGGTGGTGAGGTGAGTTTGGAAAGTAGGCAGGGTAGAAATAAAATGCCTTGTTAAAGAATTTGGACTGTATCCTTCAGGTGATGAGGAGGTAAAGATCAGTCTTAACAGGGAAATTAGATGGCTCTGGTTTAGCAAAAGGCAGAGAAAGAAAATGGTGAGCACTCCTAGTGTCTTTTCGAATTCTGAGACATGTGGAAAAGGTTAAAAAAAATTGGCACCCTCTGTAATATGTTCACATCCCTCACTGGTGGACCATGGATGTGCTTCTGTGTGGGAAATAAATTGTTCTCTATCAAAGTGAAGAATTATGAGAAAGTATAAGACTGAAAGCCCAGCTCGGGGCCTATGGCAGGAGTTTAGATCCAAGTCTACTTCTCATCCAAGTAGAACATTAAATAGGTATCACTGGCTAGTGGATTCAGAAACCAGATTACATGGATTTGGATCTTGCTGCTGCCTCACAGTAGCTTTGAGACCATGGGTCTCAGAAAGTTCTAAAACTTTCTGGCTTTTTTCTCACCTATGAAATAGGAATGATAATCACATCTTCAGATGCTTGTTTTGAGGGCTCAGTGAATTATGCCTGTTTTATTAAAATAATTTACTGGTGTTACCTCTCTGACTGTTCATTTTCTCATCACTGAAATGAAGAATATAAATCTTTGTCCTGTGTATGTTAAAAGTGGCTGAGAGATCAAATGGGAGCTCAGTTCCTTGGCAGCATGAAGTTTTACTGGAATGCAAGGATGGTGTGAGGAGAACCTTGAGAGAGTGGGAAGAGGCAGAGTGCTCAATCTCAACACTGAACCTGTGATTGCCGGCCCAGGCACATCCAGCATCTGCTTAAACACTCATGTGTCCCCTGCCTTCTTTCTTGGATTCTATGATTGTCACAGACAAGTGACAGCTGTGGCTGTACTTTTAGTTCATCATTTAAAAGGTACTCTATAAAAGGATGACAACATTGCAGAAGAATTAGCTGAACCATGGTAGTTTCTATACAAATGAATCCACCAAGAACTTTTCACCTGATTTCAGTAGGGACCTGCTGGAAACATCAGGCCAAGGGTCAGAACTTTTGATGAGTAAATATTGGAATTTGGATTCAAACACAAAACTTAAGTGTTTTATCTATTTGCTCCACTGAATATTAAGAATAATTAACCCCAGGGAAGAACTCAAAGCCACTAACTCACCAGAACAATCTGTTTCTTTATTGAGTCGCTGTATCTTGAGCACCTGTGTAGTGCCTGTTTCTATCTTTGGCATCTATTTCTGCCTCCAAGTCTGCCTCCAAGCTCTTCAATATGCCTCTGTGGGGGCAGCAAACTTTTCTTATTCTTTACATTTCTTACTCATTTTAGTGGTGGGTTTTTATGATTCCATGCTTTTGCTCACACTGCTCTCATGACCTGGAAAACTTTCTCTTGGGTTTTTTTGTTTGTTTGTTTTTGTTTTGTCCTTTCAGCTGGCACATCCTTGTTTGAACCATTCTCAGCTCCCCTGAGAAGTCTTTTTGACTCCCAAGCCAAATCTCAGCTCCCCTGAGAAGTATTTTTGAACTGGCTCTGTTTGAGTTACTTCTTCCTTCCTTTGCTCCAACAACATTGTTCAGGTCTCTGATACTCAATCTATTGTTTTGTAATTTGGGTTTTACAGATTTATCTCCGTTATCAGCCTATGGCTCCCTAAAGTCATGGACACTTTCTATTTAATTACCAAGTGTCTGGTCCAGAGTTTGGCCACCCTATCCCAGACTCCATTCCACTCTCTCAATAAGTGCTAATTATCTTTCTGTCTCATATTCTATTATTTAATTCTAGGTCTATCCTAGAATTAAATATACTAAAGTCTTTCCATAAAGAAAACAAAAAATCTTCCATTGACTCTTGGCTTCCCTCTCTGGTAGGGAGAAAGGAGAGCCATTTGCTCTTCTGCTTTTTCCATCTTAGCCAAGTACTGTATACTCTGTGTCTCCATTGACTCACATCCCATTCATGCCTTAATCTCTTTCAATGAATCTTCTGTTTCCATCATGCTGTTGACAACTGTCAGCTACCTCTGTATTCTTAATTCTAACAGATATTTTGCATCTTTATCTTGTTCTAGCACTCTGTAGCCTTTGAAACTTGAGACCCTTTTCTTCTTACACACCCCTGCTCCCCTGGCTTTGTTGCCATTATTCTCTCATAATTCCCCTTCATCCATCGTACTATCTCTTTTCAGTCCACTTTATGATATCTCTTCCTCTTCATGCTGACTAAAAATGGGCATTGCTTACTATTTATTTGCATTACTCTTGACTCATGAGTTTACTGAGTGGTCTCATCCACTCCTGTAGTTCTAATCACCACTGGTTCATAGTGATTTACAAATATTTACCTCTAGCCCTGGCCTTTCTTCTTCTTTTTTTTTTCTCTCAAGGATTCTGTAGCCTACTAGAAATCCTAACTTGAATGTCAATGGACACCTCAAATGCAACAGATCCAAGAGGGAACTTGTCATCATTTACTCAAAACCCATTCCTTTTCCATTATTCTTTATTGTCATGAATAGCACCAGCATTAACCTGGTTACCAAAACAGACTAAGAGTCATTGTATACACCTTCCTTTTCTCACTTCATCCACCCAGTCACCAAATCTTGCTAATTTTGCTTCTCATTTTTTTCTTTCCATCTAATACAAGATGTCTTGTTCAGACCATGTATAATCTATAGTGTCCTCAATTGCTTCCTCATCCTACCTTAAATCTCTCCACTAACCCCTGCAGTTGGAGTAATTCATCTAAAATGAAACTCTGACATAAAGCTACTGTGTTTAGAAGGTTCCCATGGTTCCCTGTGATCCCATGGAGTGAATCCTAGCTCTCAATTTGTACAGTTCATCCATTCAATAAATATTGATTCAGTACCTACCCAATAATTAGTTCCAGATGCTGGACATACATAGGAGGGGAAACAGGAATCTTGGTCCTCCACAGGGAGGGGAACAACATACACTGGGGCCTGCCTGTTGAAGGCACTGTAGGAGAGAGCATCAGGAAAAATAGCTAATGCGTGCTGGGCTTAATACCTAGGTGATGAGTTGATAAGTACAGCCAATCACCATGGCAAATGTTTACCTATATAACAAACCTGAACATCTTGCACATGTACCCCAGCACTAAAATAAAATAAAAAAGAATCTTGGTCCCCAAGAAACTACCAGTTGTTGGTAATGATATGGTTATGTAATAAGTGATCCCACTGAGGTTTTGCTTCATCTTCTGCCACTCCCTGCCTCAAAATTCCCACTGCAGCAACTGGGAAATGTTTGTAGATTCCATACTCACAACACACTCCTTCATGCCATTTCACATGCTTCTCTTGGTCTGAAATGCAGGCCAAACTTTTCATTACCTCACAAATGTCTCTCTGTCTTCTAAGGCCTCATCTAGATGTCATCTCCAGGAAGCATTTCCAGAGACCCTAGTTTAGGGGCCCGTGTTCCACAGAACCCTGGACGTATCCTGTCTTTGCTCTGTTATTACATTATACTGAAATTACCTATTTCTATGTCCATCTCGCATTCTGGACTGTGAGAGCCAATTAAAATAGAGGATCAAGAAATATCTATTGAATTGTAGCAAACTGGCCTACAATAAACACTCCAAAATATTTATTTCACTTCCCCTTTTGAAAGATCTCTTGCATAGACTGCTGATAATTTGGGGAGAAAGCTCCAAAGGCAGTCTCCCTGAATTTAGACCCTCACATTTCTAAATGTGGGTCCAAATGAAATATTTAAAAAGAAAAAAAGTGCTATACATAACTTAGGTTTATATTGTTAATAAAATATAATAGGATCACAGAAAAAAATTACAAAAATAATTATTCTACATATTTTAACTTTTATTCAGTTTTCCACGAACTTCTCTAGATTCACTATTTCTAGGAGTTTCATGCTTCAAGATGATTTATCAGAAATTCTCTTTATTAACATTTTTACAGTTGATTTGTGGTAGTTCACACTGGTCAAAATAAGAAAACTACAATTAGGGATGATGTGGTTTCTTAGCTTACTGTTTTAAAACCCTGAGTCATAGCACTTAGAATTGGTTTAGGTTTAAGTTCAATTCTGCCATTTTTAGGTACTACAACACTGGAAAAATAATCAGATACTTTAAAAGGGCCTCAGCTTTATCATCTGCAAAAATCAAAATAATGCAATTTAATGTCTTATGGGATTGTTCTGTGGATTTAATGCTATTGGGCATGAGAGTCTGACATAGTATCTAGCAAGTAATACATGCTCAATAATCTTTCATTCACTCTTACTAATAAATTTAGCCATGAATTGCCTATTATAAAGTTGGGAAACAGGGATGGGCATTGCAAGGAGAGGGAACAGTCTAAACAAGGCACTGAGGCATGGAGATTTACAGTGTGTTCAGTTGGTGCAATTGGGGAGAGAATCTGGAGAACAAGATGAGTTGAGGATGGGGTGTGGAAGCATGGAAGTAGGAAAAGGATTCAGCTTATTGTTGAAGGCAAGACTAAGGGGTAAAACAATCAATAGGGAATGGCTGGATCTGCTAGATTAGGTGAGTGTCATGGTTGCATCTGTATTTTGATAGATCACTCTGGCAACAAGGGCTTAGGATGGAGGTGGTAGACAGACATGAAGCAAGACGACCAGTAGGAAGATGGTTGTGATAATCCAAGTGAGAGTTAGTCATGTTCCAAATGGAATGACAGGTGTCAAACGAGGATAGGCTTAGAAAAAAGAAGTGTGTAAGGCAAAGGGAAGAGTGTAAGATTGCTCTGAGGTTTAGAGAGAAGGGAGAAGAATAAGACTGGCAAAGGAAGTAGATGGATGTGAAAGCAAAGTAAATTGACAGGATGTGGAAATGGTTGTGGCAGCAGTGGCAATGGCCGAATAGGGTGGAGGAAAAAGGAAAAGTCCCAAGCTTCTCACAGGCATGATTTGGGAGATTGTATGGTTTACTTGGATGGGGAATACTGGGAGACAGGAAAGTTTGAGAGGGTGATAATGAGTTTGGTTGGGGATATTTTGAGCTTGAGAAGCCTGTGTGATTTCCTAGAGATGTTGATTATGTGGTTAAAAATAATAATGTAAAATATACAAATTATAATGAACACTCATTCCAGAGTTTTCTTTTTTCCTCTCTCCTCTTTCTCTCTTTCTCTCTTTCTCTCTCTCTCTCTTTCTTTCTTTCTTTCCTTTTGACAGAGTTTCACTCTTGTTGCCCAGGCTGGAGTGCAATGGCGTGATCTCAGCTCACTACAACTTTCGCCTCCCTGGTTCAAGCAATTCTCTTGCCTCAGCCTCCCGAGTAGCTGGGATTACAGGCATGCACCACCACAGCCAGCTAATTTTTGTATTTTTAGTAGAGATGGGGTTTCTCCATGTTGGTCAGGCTGGTCTCGAGCTCCCAACCTCAGGTGATCTGCCCACCTCGGTCTCCCAAAGTGTTGGGATTACAGACATGAGCCACTGTGCCCGGCCATTCCAAGGTTTTCTAGAATGTTTTTGTAAGATACACATGTAGCAATCAGTAGAAATTTTTGGCAGTATTCCTTCCTATGAATGTATGTATATAAATTATTTACACATATTAACTTTACTAGCTAATATCTCAATTCCCCAGTGTTCAAGATTCACTTAGAGCAAGGGTCAGCATTAATGATAGCAGATGTAAATCCATACTTTAGTCTTCATGATTATCTTGAATCTTCCAATTCTTGATAAACCTGATTAAATCTCACTTTTGATTGAGCATTGTAGGGTGGCTGGCCCTTCACCATTTTCTTGTTTGTGTTGTCTTGAATTATTTTCATTATTGCCAATTAAAAGTTTCTTCCTAATAGTATTTTGAAGCCACTTGCTCATTTTAGTTAAAGTCAGATGATAGAATCCTAAACTCCATATCACTAGGCACCGATAAAAACACCAAGTTATCACAATACCCCAAAGGAAAAACAGAACCCACTGTGCAGTAGGGCTTCTGCTCTTCACTTCATGACCATTGGTGACTTGTGACTGGTATGTGGGATGAGTCTTGAAGATAGGTAGTAAACAAGTACACTAGAAATTCTAAGAATTTTTTTTTTTTTGCCTTGTATACCCTGATTAGTAAATTCTCATTGGAATTAATTGGACGTTTGTACTGAGTTGGGCACCAAGGTGTTTTAATTCATGAAATCTTCCCTTTGGCTAAACAGGATTCATAGGGCAAGATCAGAAAGAAACAAAAGCAAAAACCACTTGCTTCTTTTCACCCACTTTTTAGACTTAACTCTTGGATCAGGTTTCCTCTGACATTTGGATGAAAGTTAAGGAAAGACCATAATTTTTTCAGGTGAAAATTTGGGGGGTTCACCTCTATTCTCCATACATAGTCTCTGCTCAGTAATCAATCTGTCTAGTTCAGTATATTACAACAAATATTTTATTTAAAGTGGAAACTTCACTCTTCCTCCAGATTTTCCTCTTTCCCCAAGTTACAATTTTACCATGCCTCCTCCATCTTGCTAACCTTGACCTCTGACTTCTTCAAGGCATAAAGTTTGGCCAACAATGGAGAAGTGAGAAGGTAGAAGGATTCTTCCTTGATGAGTATTTTCTGATGATCTAGCATCAGTGCTTTGCAGCCTTGGCAGATGTTTAATGCTAACCTTTTCTTACTGGCAGCATTTCTTTGGGGGTGTTTTTGGAGTTTTCCTTTTTCTCTGGGATTTCTTACTTGTGATTCCTTTGATGTAGGAAAATGTATCTTTAGCTGCTTGCCTGTCACTTATCCTTTGGACCCTTGGTACATGGCAGGGAGATTATTCCAGTTTCCTGTCTCTGGCATCACCTCTCCCTCTGGGTCAGGATTGAAAGCAACCTCACCCAGTTTTCCCTTGTAGGTGGCCCACCTCTGATCTATGTGGAGGGGACACATTCCTTTTACCCATGAACTAGGCAGTTGCTTCCCAAATTGCAGCCCCTGCTCTGCTGCTGGGTTTCAGCCTGCCTCTCTTTAGATTTCTCTCTTTGGAATTTTTGTTTGAGATTTCTCTGATGTGAGTTAGACACCAATCCTCCATGTTCTCCCAAGCTCCAGGAGACCTTTGCCATGCTCTTTGAGTTGTCCTGTGGAAGCTTGAGGTGAGGGGCCTCTATACCCCATTCTGCCCATGAGAAGTTTAGAGGGTAGAAAGGAGGGCTCAGCACTGTCAGAGGCCACTCAAACTCCACTCCTAGTCCTGGCATCTTACTTTTCATGCTGTGATGTGGGTAAGAAGTTAAGAATCCCCAAAAAGTGCATTTTGGTTGCCTGTTTTTATAAGTCCTATATGATGGTCGTGCACCTGTGTTTGGAATATGGTAGCTGTAGTTTTGGGGTTCAGTTGAAACTAAGACAAATAGTTACATTTTAAAATTATGTTTAATTTGGATCTGAACCCCAAGAGATGTGCATCCCCCTGTTACTGCCCACATTTTACAGATGAGGAAACTGAGGCACAGAGGGGGTTAATAACATGCCCAAGGTCACTCAGCTTTGAAGGTCTGCATTACTGGGGAGAAGTCTTATCTGGAGAAGCAGATTTGAGAGTTAAGCCTAGATGAGATTATCCAGTTGACTCAGGTTTAAGAGGCAAGTATTGTGGGTTAACTTCCCAGATGCGATCATCAGCCCAGTTTCTCAGGCACCTGGGCGGAGGGAGGGAGGAGGCATTCCCTTCTACCTCTGGCCCAGAATATGGGTCATGGCCCAGCAATCCATGCAGAAAGCTCCAGAGGATGAGCTTGGTAACAGCGCTGCTGGAAGGTCATTCTCTCATCTCCTCCTCCTGAGTGTGTGCCTCGGATGTAAATAATTTACAATAGCAACAATTAGAGAATGCATTCTGTGTGGGATGAACCCGACTCCCTTAATAACACTGCAGGCTTATATATAGCACAGTTCAGCCAAGGGCCCCACGTGCTCACCACGCCACAGCCAGTGTTGGCGGCTCTGGGTAGACCAGAGCCCTGTGCAGCAATGGGCCTGTGACTCACTGAAGGTCGCAGGAGGTCAAGGGCAGCACTCAGAATAGAACCAGCCTCTCTTTCACAAGCTCTAAACTCCAGTGGCAGGAAATTCCCTTTGTGAATCTTTTGGAAGAACAACAGTTCTGAAATGCATAGTAGTAGATATTCAAGACTGTTGCTAGGGCATGGGGCTTGGGAGATGTGGCCCTTGAACATGGAAATGTATATTTCCGGTGTATTTATTGTTAATTTGTTGATTTTGGAGGCAAGAGGAGAGTGGCTCAACCCAATGGCTCTAAGGGAGAGTAAGTTGGGTTCTACGCTGTTGATAAAAATGTGGAGATGGATGAATGACCTTCTGGAGCAGTGTCATAGAGTATGAGGGTTCATCCTGACCCCCGCTGCCCAATAGAAGTAGAATACCAGCCACATGTGTAATTTTAAAGTTTCTAGCAGCCACCTTAATTTTTTATTTCATCCAGTATTTCCCAGATCATAATATTCCAACATGTAATCAATATAAAACATTAGTAAGCTATTTAAAATTCTATTGGCCAGGCATGGTGACTCACACCTTTAATCCCAGCACTTTGGGAGGCCAAGGGGGGAGGATGGCTTGAGCCTCCCCAAAATAATAAAATTAGTCTCTACAAAAAATAATAAAGTTAGCCAGGCATGGTGGCACGTGCTTGTAGTCCCAGCTAGTGGGGAGGCTGATGCAGGAGGATCGCTGATGCGGTGAGCTGGATTTGTGCCACGGCACTCCAGCCTGGGAAATAGAGTGAGACCCTGTCTCAAAAAACTAAAAAATAAATAAATAAAAAAAATAAATAAATTCCATTATTCTTGCTAAGTCTTTGAAATGCTGGTGTGTATTTTTATGAATAGCACACCTCCATTTGGACTAGCCACATCGAAAGCTCTTGATAGACACATGTGACCAGGGGCTTCCAAACTGGGCAGCACAGTCTCCAGTTCTAAATCTGCTGTTTGCCAGCTTTGTGGTATGAGGCCAGTTACTTCGCCTTTCTGAACCTCAGTTTCCCCTCCTCACCATGTATAAAATGGGGACCAATGGCCGGGTGCGGTGGCTCACGCCTGTAATCCCAGCACTTTGGGAGGCCGAGGCGGGTGGATCACGAGGTCTGGAGATCGAGACCATCTTGGCTAACACGGTGAAACCCTGTCTCTACTAAAAGTACCAAAAAATTAGCCGGGCACAGTGGCAGGCGCCTGTAGTCCCAGCTACTCGGGAAGCTGAGGCAGGAGAATGGCGTGAACCCGGGAGGCGGAGCTTGCAGTGAGCCGAGATAGCGCCACTGCACTCCAGCCTGGGCGACAGAGCGAGACTCCGTCTCAAAAAAAAAAACAAAATGGAGACCATAACCCCTCCCTCTCCTGGTATTTCTATGGGTCACATGTGTAAAGCAATAAGTGCAGTTTCTGGCACATAGTAAGTGTCCACTTAATGTGTGATTTCTTCCTCAAAATGACTTTCACAGCAACTAAAGTATAAGCTCCCTGTGGGAGATGGAAATGCAACCTGACTTCTGATTATAGCCGAGCATTGAACCCACCCTGTCCCTGTCTCTTTTCCTTTCTTCCACTGACATTGCTTTTCCCTGAGGCATCTGCACCATTCATCTCTTTACTTTCTTTAGGTCTCTGCCTGGAAGCCCCTTTATCAGAGATGCTTTTCCTGAGCACCCTCGCATAGAAAGCAGCACCTCCACTCTCAGCCCTCTGACCTGCTTTGATTTTGTTCGGAGCACTTCGCACTCACCACACGTAGAGTCAGTGCCCATTTGTTTCCTCCCCTCTCCCTACTAACCAAAAATAAGCTCTTTGAGGGCCCTGGCTGTTCTGTCCACTATTGAATTTCTATCTTCTAGAAGAGTACCTGACACATAATAGTTGTTCAGTATGGTAATGAATGAATAGATAAATTTATTGACCATCCACAATGCTTTTTGACTTTAGCAGGTAGTACAGAAATGAAATCCACAGTTCATTTGATGAGAGGGAGATAGAGTGAGAGATGGGCGATCAGCTGCCTCAGGGCCCTGGTTCTCCCTAAGTACTCTGCCACCTGGTGTGCTATCCCCAGCACACACCCCATCACTCTCCTACCTTCTCCCACCCACCCAAGGCTTTTGTAGGCTGTCTGTTCTGCTGAAATTTCCTTTTCCCCATCTGTGCTCAATAAAACTGTACATGCTATTTGAAACCCTTCTCAAGTACTACCTCCCTCTTCTATGGGGTTCTCTCAGTGCCTTTGCTGAAAACAGTCTCTCTGGCATCCATTCCTCCGTTGGACTTCATTTCTTTATTATAGTATTTATGGCAGCATATTTCATATTAGAATTGTTCACACTTGGGTGTGACTCCCCCATTATATTTTGAATCTCTGGAGAGCAGGATCTAATTTCAGCTGGAATGAGATGAGGCTGGGGAATGCTGGAAATTGTACAGACTGTGTAATGGGATATTCACAGGTTAGAATCCCAAGTCTGACACTTGGGAATTGTGAGCTTAAGAAAGTTATTCAATGTCTCCAAGTCCTAAGGTGCTCATTTGTTAAATTGGGTAACTGTGCCCATTTTGTGGAATACATCTTTATTAATAACTGCTCTGGACTGTATGCTTTGGCAACTACCAAGAAAATAAACCATTTTAAAGCCAGCATATAGTAGATGCTCAATAAATACCAATAATGTGACTCTCATATTATCTGGAGTCTCCAGCACAGTTGGTGCTAATATGGTCTTATTTACATAATGGGAGTCACTCCCTGCCATCATAACATATATGGGTAACATATGTACTCATCCTTGTTCCAGCCCAACAAAATATCCATTTCCATTAATAAAGTCAAGGACTCTATAGAAACTTTCATTTTCATTTCTGGTGCTCTGCGGATTACTGTGATGTTCTAAATCAACAGAGATATATTCTGACTTCTTCCATGAAACATTCATCTCTACTTGAGGAAATGTAGATGGTATTACAGGCCCTAAGAACAAAGCAGGTTGAAACATAGCCATACATGCCAAGTGCCTGGCCAAGACAATGTGGCAGAATGAGAAGAACTCTTAACCGAGAGCTAGAAGATAGGAGTCTAGCCCAATTTGCCACTCAGGTTATGATCTGTAAAAAGGAGTTGGATTAGAGCAGGGTTTCTCAACATTTGCATCATTGACATGTGGGGTCCCGTATTCTTTGTTGTGGGGGCTGTCTTGTGCAGTGTAAGATGTTTAGCAGCACCCCTGGCCTCCACCCATCAGATGCCAGCAGCATCCCCTCAGTTGTGAGGATCAAAGATGTTCCCTGGGGAGCAAAAGGTCCACACTTGGGAAGTACGAGTTAAATCTTCCAAATTTCAGCTAATTCTGGGACTGTAGGCTGAGGTCTCACTCTCCTGCACACACACACACACACACACACACACACACACACACACACCCCACACATTTCTCTTCCATGTATGACCTTGTTCCACTTTTGAGAGCTGCAATGTTCTGAGCCTTGTTTCTTTGCAAACAGTCTAACAGCTAAGTATTCTCTCACAGGCTCCCACCCTGCACCAGTTTACAATAGAAGCCATGTAGAAGGGCTGTGTGGGTGACACACTGTGACTTCAGTGTGTTGTATCACTACCAGGATCTCCCAACAATCGCCTTCATCCCCTGCTTGCCACTTGGGGGCTCTGGCAGACAGTTTGGCAGCCGTAGTTGTTACTGTTCTGCACTCAACATGTACGGATTTGTTTTAGGCTCTGAACAAGACCTCAGGCCACAGCTTTTGCCAGCTCACTCCTCTGCTCATGTACCTTTCTCCTTTGCCCCTGACAACTGAGACTTGCAGTGACAAGCAGATTTTTGTAGCGACTCATGATAAAACAGTGCAATGGGCAACAGAGAGAAATAACCAACTGGGCAATAAATCACATTTCTCTTTTAAATTTTTTTCTCTTTCTCAGCTTTGCTTTATCTTTCATATTCAGCTGGAAAAGTAGACAAATGAGGTGTCATATTTAATCATGTATATAGATGGGTTTACAGTTGACAAATTGTTTGTGTCCTCACCACATTTTCACATGGAAGACATAAAAATCTGAGGTCTTGAGAGGGGACATGACTGTCCACAGTCATGCAGCTGAGCGAGAGTAGCTAGTTTTCTAAAGATCATTTCCAGTTAAAGGCTTACAGCCCAATGAACAAGACAGACATAGAAACAAATACAGGCATATCTCAGAGATTTGTAGGTTGCGTTCCAGATGACCACAATAAAGCAAATATTGCAATAAATTGAATCACCCCAATTTTTTGGCCTCCCACTGCATATTAAACTTATGTTTACAGTATCCTGTAGCCTATTAAGTGTAGGATAGCAGTGTGTCTCAGAAAACAATGTATATGCCTTTATTAAAAACACTTTATTACTAAAAAAAGGCTAATGATCATCTGAAGTTTCAGTGAGTTAAAATCTTTTTGCTGGTGGAAGGTCTTGCCTCAATGTTGTTGGCTTCTGACTGATCAGGGTGGTCAGGTTGCTGAAGACTGGGTGGCAGTGGCAATTTCTTAAGTTAGACAACAATGAGGTTTGCCACATCAATTGACTCTTTCTTTCATGAAATAATTTTGTAGAATGTGATGCCGTTTGATAGTATTTTACGTAAGGTAGAACTGTTTTCACAACCAGAGTCAGTACTCTCAAATCTTGCCACTGTTTTATCAACTAAGTTTACGTAGTATTCTAAATCCTTTGTTGTCGTTTCAACAGTGTTCATAGCATCTTCATCAAGAGTAGACTCCATCTTGAGAAACTGCTTTCTTTGCTCATCCATAAGGAGCAACTCGTCATCCGTTCAAGTTTTATCATGAAATTGCAGCAATTCAGTCATATCCTCAGGCTCTACTTCTAATTCTAGTTATCTTGCTATTTCTGTCACATCTACAGTGATTTACTCCACTGAAGTCTTGAACCCCTCATGATCATTCATGAGGTTTGAAATCAACTTCTTCCAAACTCCTGTTACCGTTGATATTTTGACTTCTTCCCATGAATCACAAATGTTCTTAATGGCATCTAGAATGGTGACTCTTTTCCAGAAGTTTTCCAATGTGCAATGCCCAGATCCATCAGAGGAATCCCTTTTTATGGCAGCTATAGCAGTATAAAATGTATTTCTTTTTTCTTTATTTTATTTTATTTTTTGAGATGGAATGTCACTCTGTCACCAGGCTGGAGTGCAGTGGTGCGATCTTGGTTCCCGGCGACCTCCGCCTCCCGGGTTCAAGCGATTCTCCTGGCTCAGCCTCCCAAGTAGCTGGGACTACAGGTGCGCACCACCATGCCCAGCTAATTTTTGTATTTTTAGTAGAGGCGGGGTTTCATCATATTGGCCAGGATAGTCTCGATCTCTTGACCTCATGAAATGTATTTCTCAATAAGACTTGAAAGTCAAAATCATGCCTTGATCTATGGGCTGCAGAATAGATGTTGTTTCAGCAGGCATGAAAACACCATTAATCTCCTTGTATATCTCTGTCAGAGCCCTTATGTGACTAGATGCATTGTCAGTGAGCAATAATATTGAAAGGAATCTTTTTTTCTGCACAGTAGTTCTGGATAATGGCCTTAAAATATTCAGTAAACTATGTTGTAAACAAATGTGCTGTCATCCAGGCTTTAGATCACAAGCAGAGTAGATTTAGCATACTCTTAAGGGCCCTAGGATTTTTGGAATGGTAGGTGAGCATTTGGCGTCAACTTAAAGTCACCTGCTGCATTAGCCCCTAACGAGAGACAGTCTGTCCTTTGAAGCTTTGAAGTCAGGCACTGACTTCTCTCTAGCTATGAAAATCATCGACATCTTCAGATATAAAGCTATTTTGTATACATTGAAAATAGGTTGTTGGCCGGGCACGGTGGCTCACGCCTGTAATCCCAGCACTTTGGGAGGCTGAGGCGGGCAGATCACTTGAGGTCAGGAGTTCAAGACCAGCCTGGCCAACATGGCGAAACCCTGTTTCTACTAAATATACAAAAAATGAGATGGGCATGGTGGCGTGCACCTGTAATCTCAGCTACTGGGGAAGCTGAGGCATAAGAATTGCTTGAACCCGGGAGGTGGAGGTTGCAGTGAGTCAAGATTGCACCACCGCACTCCAGGCTAGGCGACAGAGCAAGACCCTGTCTCCAAAACAAGAAAGAAAATAGATTGTTTAGGGTAGCCATCTTCATCAATAATTGAAGCTCGATCTTCTGGATAACTTGCTGCACCTTCTCCATCAGCATTAGCTTCTTCACCTTGTACTTTCATGTTACAGAGATGGCTTCTTTCTTTAAACCTCAGGAAGCAACCTCTGCTGGCTTCAGACTTTTCTTCTGCAGCATTCTCATCTCTCTCATCCTTCATGGAATTGGAGAGAGTTAGAACCTTACTCTGAATTAGGCTTTGGCTTAAGGGAATGTTGTGACTGTTTTGACCTGCTACCCAGACCTCTAAAACTCTCTTCATTCAACACTAGGCTGTTTTGCTTTCTTATCATTCATGTGTTCACTGGAACAGCACATTTAATTTCCTTAAAGGACTTTTCCTTCACATTCACAATGTGGCTAACTGGTGCAAGAGCCCTAGCTTCCAGCCTATCTTGCCTTTTGCCATGCCTTCTAGCTTTTGATTTAAAGTGAGAGATGTAGGACTCCTCCTTTCACTTAAACAATTATAGGTCATTGTAGGTTTACTAATTGGCTTAATTTCGGTGTTATTATTTCTCGGGGAGTAGGCAGGCCTGAGGAAAGGGAGAGAAAGGGAATAGCTAGTCAGTGGAGCAGTCAGAAAACACAGGTTTATCGATAAAGTTTGCCATCTTATATGGGTCCAGTTCATGGTGCACCCAAATAATTACAATAATAACATCAAAGTTTGCTTACCACAGACCACCATAACAGATACAATAATAATAAAAAAGTGTGAAATATTTTGATAATTATCAAAATGTGACACCAAGACACAAAGTGAGCACACATTGTTGGAAAATTGGTGTTAACAGACTGGCTAGGCTGAGGGCTGCCACAAGCCTTCGATTTGTTAAAACTTTAATATTTGCAAATCTCAATAAAGTGAAGTACAATAAAATGAAGTATGCCTGTAAGCATAATACAAGGTGATAAGGGCTAAAATGCAGTTACAGAAAATGAGCAACTATAGCTCAGAGGAGTAAACAAATAACGCTTTTTTAAATTAATAAAAAAAGAAAATGACCTCTGAGGACATGATCTCAGCTGGCTATTGAAGGATTTAAACAGGGTTTGGCCAGGCAGTGGGGATCAGGTGAACAAAAACACTGTCATAGGGAATAAGTTGACATCAGTATCGACATTCATCATCATTATCCTCATCATGATACGTGACATTTATTGAGCACTTACTGTATGCCAGGCACAAGAGGGAGCAATTATGTCGTTTAATTGTCATCTTGGTTCTGAGTGTAGGTGCTATTATTAACCACATTTTGCAGATAAGGAAACTGAATGTCAGGAAAGTTAAATACATGACCTGAAATATTACTGTTTCTAACAGATACAAAGTGGATTTAAAGCTGCCTTTCAATATGGAGTAAGAGAAGCTCTGTTAGAATAAGTAGGGTGGGGTCACATACAGTTAAGCGAGTAAGTAGACTGACAAGGAGGGCGGATCATGAGGTCAGGAGTTCGAGACCAGCCTGGCCAACATAGTGAAATCCAATCTCTATGAAAAATACAAAAATCAGCTGGGTGTGGTGGCACGTGACTGTAGTCCCAGCTACTTGAGGGGCTGAGGCAGAAGAATCACTTGAACCCTGGAGGCGGAGGTTGTAGTGAGCTGAGATTGTGCCATTGCCCTCCAGCCTGGGTGAGAGAGTGAGACTCCGTCTCAAACAAAACAAAACTAAACAAAAAGTGTAAATTGTGTTTACAAAATTGGCATGGCCTTGTGATTTCTGGTCTATCCTCTCCACAAGGTACCTCTCTACCAAAGCTACCCCTTAGGCTTAAGCATTTCACCCTCGCAGCACCACTGTGCCATAAGACCCCCTAATAAAAGAAGCATGCGAGACCCCCTGACAAAATGACCGCCTTCAGTTTTCCTTTTGAACCCTGGGCAACCTTTGAGGCTGAGTCACCAAAAGACAAATTCTCTGGCCATGTTTCTTTGGGTTTGGGAGACATTCCATTGAACGTTGCAGAAGTGAACTGTAAGCAAGCTCCATGAACTCTTCGTCTCTAAAGTATTCAACCTAGATAGTCATGATAATCCATCACAAGACTTTGTGCATTCATCTGTTCATGCAAAAGCAAAATGTGTGCTCAGTGGATACATGCCTGCTGAGAGAAGGAAAAGGAACTCTTGTTTATTGATACCTCTTTATGAGAGGCAGGTTGTTAGTGAAGACAGAAGAGGGTACACTCACTTGAATTGTGTCCCTATGTCTCTTACTGGGTGTATGAGACTCTGTTTCTGCATTAATTCATTTATTCATTTTTTCAACACATCTTCCTTGAGCATCCATGATGTGCCAAGTGCCAAGATACAGGCTCGTAAGCTCACCCTCAGTTTTACTTCCAAGAAAACTGCATCCATAATAGACCAAACAGTTTGTACATGTTCAGACAATATGTGAACAGCAAAATGGGAACATGGGCCCAGATTTCCATAGATTCTATGTTTTTAACCAGAACTGTACTGGGTTTTATAAACTTTAAAGCACTCTACTGATATAAGGTATTATTATGAAGATGTGTTAATCACATTTTTTCTTTTCCTGTGTCTTTTTCTTTTACTCCTCTTCCCCTCTCCTCTCTCTCTTTTGGTTTCTCTTTTTTTCTCTCTCTTTTTTATTCTTTCTTCTATAGGACTCCACAGAATGGAGCAAGAATGAGAGGAAAAAGGCCGGCAGAAAAGCATGAACTGGAGGTTTGTTGAGCTCCTCTACTTCCTGTTTATATGGGGCCGTATCTCAGTGCAGCCCTCCCACCAGGAACCAGCTGGGACAGACCAACATGTCTCCAAGGAATTTGATTGGCTCATTTCAGACAGGGGGCCTTTCCACCACTCCAGGAGCTACCTATCCTTTGTGGAAAGACACCGTCAAGGATTTACAACCAGATATAAAATATACAGGTAAGACCTGGGCTAAATAGCCCTTGCCTTACATTCATATTATGCTTTGTGGAGTCAGGCGTTGATTGGTGCAAACCTTGCTGTGTGCAGAAGTGTCTGGGTCAAGGGTCTGTGCTCCTTCCACAAGCTGTTTTTGATTAATTTTTTTTTTCTTTGCACAAGAGATTAACAATGACAAGGAGAGGATCAAATAATTAATATTTATTGAGTACTTATTTATATGCTGGGCAGGGGGCTTAATACGTATTATATATTATCTCATTTAAACATTCTAATAGCCATCAGATATAGGTTTTGATTGTTTTTCCCACTTTACAAATTAGGTCATCAAGCCTCAGCTAGGTTGAGTTACTTGTCTAATGTCATATAGTTAGAAGTGGTTGGACTGGGATTCAGAATCTGGTTTATCTGGTATATCATAATTTTAGTCAGCCACATCAAGTATAAGTAACGTTGTTTTGAGAATGCTGCTGATGTACCCAATATCCTACCCAAATACATTCAAACATTTGGAAAAATAAAGAAACCTTTTGTTAAGCAGGTCTGTACTGGTTCTTGGACCGTTGACATTCTACTCATCCAAAAAAAGACTTAGCCCAAATTCTTTCCTCTTTGGAACCATCTTAGAGTTTTCACATTCCACTTAACAACCATATCTTTGATAGATCCACAGCTCTCTACACTAACACCTCTTTAATTTAAAATCATTTGGAATCAGAGTGCATTCTTGTATATTTTTCTCACCTAACTGGAAACTCTTTGAGGGAATGACCTATACAGAATTCATTTCTAGATCCTCCCCAGAGTGATTTTTGCTCTGCCTTGTTATCATAAACACACAGTGAATGTTGTGGACTTAAATGAATAAGAGAATGCAAAAAACTCTCTCAGGTGTAGTTAGGTGTGGTCTTAGGAGGATAACTAGTTATAATATCACATGGTGGTGTCTGTAATGCAGTTTTATAAAGGGAACTCTGGTCCATGTTAGATAATCCATATGTGTTGGTTATTGCTGTTGAAATAAGACATATCCTGAATGGAACCACAGATTCAGAATATTCAACAGTAGCATCCTTTTAGTGAGCACTTATCATGTGCCATGAAGGGAGGATGTTCAATCCTCATAACCTCCTCTATGAGATGGGCAGTGTCTTCTACAGATGGGAAAATCAGGAATTTGGAGGTTGAGTGTGTTACTTTAAGTCATCCATCCAGTAAGGAGTGGAGCTAGGGTCTACACACTGATTTACCTGACCCCAGTGCTTTCCTTCCAAGCATTCTGTTGGATGCCTCCCCTGGTATAGCTTCCAAATGTGGAGTGTTGCAAGCTCTAAGAAACTTTTTCCAAACATTTTTCGTTACAATCATTTGTAAACATCTGGGGGGTTGTTTTAGACATGTTGAGAAGTAAAAGGTTGCCAATGAGGATGGGGGATTAAGACCTCTAGATACTGATTTCAGTTCTTCACGCACTGGTCTTGTGACATTAGGTAAGCTCCTTCATCTTTTGCATTCTGCTGTCCTAATTTATCAAATGATAGGGCTGAGGTAGATCAGCAGTTTTCAACCTATGTTATTCAAAAACCTAAGGATTGATTAAAGTAGCCATAGAAACCATTGTGGGGAGTGTAGCAAAGAGGTGACCAGGCAGGATTCTGAGCCCTACACCTCCCTTATACTAGAGAAGGCTTGTATCTGCTTTTGTGTTAAGATTTCATGTATGATTTACTTTGGATTCTACTCCTAAAACAAAGTTTGCAATCATCCAATAAGTTGATTTCTAAGATATCTGTCTAGCTCCAAAATTACATTTAAGATTTAGCCAAAGTCAAATTGTTAATTAAATGACAGAGTTCAACCCAGAAGTTAGGCCCCTGGTCATCTAGTTATTCCTTCCTTCTTTTATTTAATCCTCAAATAATTATTAAGCACCAGCTACAGACTCAACACTATGTTTAGGGCAGATGATACAATGAAGAGTAAAATAAATATAGTAGTTGCTGTCATAGGAGAGACTGACAGTAATTAAACACATGCACATTTCAAGGTATAACAAGTGCTATAAAGAGAAATGTGCAGGATGTGTATAACTGGGAAATCATAAATACCACAAACATTGATTTGGCACCAACAATGTACAAGGATTAGGCGGAACTCTTGTCATAATGTGCATATGAACCCATATGCAAATATGCACCCAGAGACATGCGCTCATCCAGATGCTCATCAGAGCAACAGCCAACTAGGACATGCTCACTGGGGCAATTGTGAATTGATACTTTTTCCTTCCTGTATGCCACTTTGTTGAAACATTGACGTTTCAGCAAAGCATGTCCATAGGCAGTTTCCATTGTGCCTGTCTTCCTGTATGCTAGCATGGACACGGCACGTTACAAACTTGACATTTTCATCATAAAAAAAGAAAGGCCTGACTATCCTAGTGCACATTTTTTGATGCTAGAGGGCCAGCTTTACTGATCTGCCCAGACCTCAAGCTTCCACCAGTTCCCTCCTCCCCAGAATCCTGGCTGGAACCCAGGGTGATTGGGAAGCTTCAGAAAGAAACTGGGAAGAAGCTTTCTCTCCTTATTTAACTAGGTTAAGGCCATCTTCTTTCTCCTGCATTTGTACACAGAGGCTGGCTTCTGCTCATAGAGTCATGGTCAAGTCATTGCTAGTGACAACAATGAGAACCTTTTTAATTAAAACCCAGCAGAAGCCTCTTCTCATGTTGCTTTACAAGCCAAGCAACAGTGTGTGCACATGCAGTCTTTTGAGGGCATGACGTAAATGCTCTGTCACTCACAAACTTGAGTTGCCACCTGAAGGCTTGGGGGAGTTTTCTGCTCTTGAATCTGCCAGGGTGCAGTGGGAGAACTTTTGACCTCGGAGTCAGGGAACTCGGGTGCTGACCCAGCTCCCCTGTCTCCTGATTGTGTGATTTTGGTCAACTAACAGAACTTCTTTGAACCTTTGGTTCTTCATCTGTAAAATAGGAGTGCTAGCTGAAGTCATCTCCAAGGTCCTTCTTATCTCTGAAATTCCATGATTCTGTGAAATAGTGTCATTTGGAAACACAGCATGTGGTAGTGGAAAGGATTTTGGGTCTGGAGTCTAGAGATTTAGGTTTTGTTCATTCTGGAGCCTCTTTCCAGCTTTCTCATCCTGGGAAAATTCATGTATGCAGCACTCACTCACTCATACATTTATTGTTTTAGAATTTAACACCAATCATTATCCATAAATTGTACTACTGTTCGCTAACATAGAGATGACCAAAAAAACCCAATAGATTACAAACATATATCCTCCTATCCCCACATAACCCACGCCCCCTCCTCCACCCAGCTCAGAGTTAGGAGTGAAGGACAGAGGGCATAAAAAGTGAATAATGAAACAATGATCTTTTCATGGATAGAAATGACCGCTCAGATATTCAATTTCCCCCTCTGTAGAAAGGGATAATGATGTCTGCCCTACCTACTAGGTCAATGAGATACAGTTTGTGTGAAAGTGCCTTGTAAAATGTAAGTTATCTTATGCTTGAATTTTTTTCATTAGAGTTTTAAATCATCATTCTAACAAAGTAACTTATTTTCACTTTCTGTTAAGACTATACATATATTAGTCATTAACTCCTCATAGCCACACTCTGAAGGGAAATACTATTATTGTCCCATATCACAAATGAGAAAGGCACTAAGAGCCCATTGTTCATATTACACAACTGGAAAGTGGCACAGCTGGGATTCAAAAGCTGGTCTGTGGGACTTCCGAACATGGGCCCTTAACTCTATGCTGTCACAACTCTCCCTGGTTCTTAGTTACCTGATTTATTACCAAATGCTAACAGGCTTCCTTTGACCATGGGCAAGTTTCAACCGCTCTGAGACTCAGTTTTCCCCTCTGTGAAACTGAGATGATATTAAATGCCTTATGCAAGTGGGATGAGCAATAACTTAGATTTCAAATATATAGAGTTTAGAATTTTCCAGGAGCTTCACAAAGGCATGTCGGAATGGTGGTTCCCTCTTCCACTTCAGATGTTGGTTGTTTACTAGGAATTATTCTTTTATTCTCATGGTAATTTCAAAGTCAGTTAGTCCAAAGATTTTTCCTGTGTTTCCAATACCTTTTTGTGTTTTATTTTCTGTTTTTTTTTTTCCTAACTGTGAGATCATCAGTAGCTGCTGTAAATTTAGCAATTATTTCAAAGATGGTTTTAATAGAATAATTATGGTACTCTTTGGATCTGAAGAGTCAGGGCAAAGGGGAGATTCTGGGAATGGTGGTCACTGTGTCACAAGAGGCGGTTCCATATTGAGTGGTTTTCCCTGCTGGTTGCAGAACAAGTGGTTTGTGGCTTACGTTGCATCTCCCTTTGAGCTGTAAATATATACCTGAAAGTTGAGTGTAAATCAAATCTTGGTAAGCCAAGTCTAATTGCCTGGCTGTATTGCATATTTATTTCAGAGTTGTATAGATCTCAGCCCTCCTCTGTTGTCCTGATAATTTCTTCGTGTGTTTCACAAAAATAATAGGTTTTGTGGTAAAGCTACTTGGCTAAATGGATGGTGCTGGGGATGGATGAATGGTTCTACTAAGATGAATGAGATGTGGTCTTTATACAGCAGTCATTCAAGAGTATAGATTAGGCATCTCGATATGCCAGATATTGTACATGGGGAGTTTATCTTGTGATGAACAGGATTCCTGCCCTCAAGGAGCTTACAGACAAGTGGAGTTTAGAGAGAAGCCCACCCTTGCCCCACTCCAGGGGCTTGTGTTTGAACTTGAAAGAAGCCTTCAGCTTTTGATTCCAGGTATAATCTTGATATCATGCAGTAAAAGAGCTAGATTTCTATTAGTGTGGCATAAAGTAGTCGAAATCAGCATTTCTTAATGTATGTTACAGAGAACTCTAGTTCAATGTAATATTAAAAGATGTTTTCTGGAAAAAAAGAACACCCATTTATTTTTCCATGATGACTCTCATAGTCAAAGAAGCAATAATCATCACAACAGTGATAAGTTAATTGCTAATATTGAAATCTTAAGTGATTAGCATTGTACTTTATCTGGTATAGAAATTATTCCAACTGATGCTTACAATAATCCTGTGCAGTAGGTATTGCTATTATCTCTCCATTTGCACAGCTTGTACGTAGTGAAAGGGTTAATTTGTGATACAGCAGGACCTGTCATAGGCATGTGTGATTCTAGAGGCTGCATCCTTGACCTTGCCCAGCTGCCTCCCAAATGATATAGACCTGCACATGGAAAACCCAAAGTTACACAGGACTTCTTACCGCAGACCTTTATTAATATTAGACTATGTAACAGTATTTGGCCCTATCTTTTTAACCGTACAACCTCTTTTTCTTAGAGGAATTGAAATTCTGGTGAGCAGACTCAGGGAATTGTGGGCTCTGCTTAAATTTGACAGCTTGCGTATTGCTTCTTTGGATTCCAGCCTACGTCAGAGCACACTAAAAGGGATACCTCTTCGTTTTGAGTAACTGGTTAACTGGCTGAGGAAGGCAATCTTCTTGTTAAGCTTTTGCTTTGAGTTATTGGTCTAAATCTACCTCCTGGTTTGTGATGGAAAAAAATTATCAGCTTCAGTTTTCTCATCACAAACCTTTTGTTCTTCTTTCCCCTTTTCATTTCAAATTCCCAAGTTTGGCATTCCCCCTGTGGTATAGATATACAAACCTCAATAGAGGGCAGAACCACAGTTGAGTTCGGTACAATTTTGATCCAATATGCAAATAAGTGGCTGGATATTAGAATTACCTGCAGAGTTAAAAATACTAATGCTTGGATCTTTCTCCAGGTATTTAGATTTAACTGGTCTAGGAGAGACAGGAGCTAAAAAAAATTATTGTCAGTCAGGGATAATTTTGCTTCCTACGGGGACACTTAGCAATTGTATTTGGGGAGATTCTTGGTGTCCAACTGGTGGTGGTGTTTGTTGGGGGTGCTTCTGGCATCTCGTGGGTAGCAAGCAGGGATCTGGGATGCCGCTAAATACCTTACAATGCATAGGATAGCCTTCTCCAGCAAACAGTTATCCAACATACTTTCAGTTGTGTAGAGGTTGAGAAATCCTGCTCTAGCATTTCTGGGGAAGAAGAAAAAAAAAGAGTGGTGGGAAGAATATTTGAATAAATGGTCTTAGATTTTGGTCTTCATGAGTTTGAATTGGGATGGCTTAAATATAGGTACCACTGTAATGACTGGATTCCTAGAGTGTATGTCCATAGAATAAAATGGGGAAAGAATCATCCATGTTTTTGACATGGCCACAGACCAGGATGGCAGTTCAATGCATGAAGAGAGGTGGATCCATTTTTGCTTTCTCTAGCATAGAGGGAGTGGTTAAGGCAAACTAGCTCTCCAGTCAAAAAAAGAAAATTCTCCCTTCTGGGAATTCTAGTGCCTTTTGACTCTGACTACAGTATTCCTTAGGAAGTAAGATATTCAGCCTCCATTGTTAGGTCCAGATATACATGGATTGTGTCATTAAAAACCGGCTTAGACCAAGTGTGTTAAAAGACACTTTTTCTTCCCTTCAGAACATTCCTTGTTGACTCAAAAGATGAGAATGGGATGATGGCCCATATTCATGTTTGTCAATTTCAGCCATTTAAAGGCTGACAGCATTGGTGAGAGGCATGAACCTGTACCTCCCCTTACCCTCCAGCCCACATACATCCCTCGCTTAATCCAAATTTTTTATCAAGGTCTCCCTGAATAGATAAAAGTGGAGGAGGATATCCAGCAAACATTTTTCTGGGCCATCTGGTGCCAATTCAAAGATAATCTTTAGTGTTGATTATTTAAAATTGATCTTCCAATTCTAAAAATGATAGCTTTATTGCTACCAAATTGGTACGTTTACAGTGTTTTACCTCTTTGCTCCCATGCCATTACTGAACTGACTTCTGTGAGTTACAAACCATAGTCAGCTACAATTTCTACAGAACAATTGTCCAGCTTTTGTCACGAGCAGTGTCTGAAAATGGACCTACTTGCCCACCCACTCTTATGGACAGACTGATACAGAGTCTTTAAACTGATCTAAAGATAGCGATTGTTATGATTCGGTAGATTAGGAGGAGAAATGGAGAAAAGCCCTTAGGGCTTCAAATACTGTGCTCCAAATCTTGGCCAAGGAAGAAAGAGAGACTGGATCTGTGATCTGGGGCACCTGCAGCTTACTCACTCATTTGAAAAAATGTTTACTGATCTCTAAACTCCTACTAGTCAGGCCCTGCACTGTTTCCTGGGGATAGAGGGAAGAAATCATTGATCCCTTCCCTCAAGGAATTCATGGTCTCTTTGGGGGAGACTGACTGAAAGGCAAATAACCACAGTGTCATGTGCCTTGAGAGATGCCACTGAAGCTCTGTGGGTGTAGGGAATGGGAACTTACATTGCATTGAGGTGGCAAAGTTGGGGAAGGAGAGGAGGAAGAGGCATGTTTGGAAAGGCATGCTGGAGGAAGAGGTGTTGAACATAGGCTTCAAGGAGGATTAGGATTCATGAGAATGCAGTGAGGAGAGAAGCACCTTATCAAGTGGAATAGCACCTGTGAAGTCAGGAAACAGGAGAAAGCCTGGAACTATACGTCTTCATGTGTTTTGTGTGTATTTTGAGTAGTACTGATAGTAGGGCATAAGGTTGGAGAGCAGCTTCAAGCCAACAACAAAAGAAATTTGAGATAGCACATGGATTTCAACCAATCTTTAAAGTCTAGTGAATTGGCAGAATATTACTAGATAGCCATTTAGAACAGTGTTTTTTCTTTGTTGTTGTTTTTGTACATTTTTGACCTGAATACATGTGAACAAATACATTTTAGTTTGACACTCACTCAATAAACCTAGCTGGAAATATAGATAAAAATATATGATTGAAATAAAAATCCATGAAAAAAAACTTAACCTTACTACATGTGATGCTTCTTAAATATCAAGATATCTTCTATTCTATTCCATTCAAATATAATGTGTTCCTTTACAATTCATTTATTTTTTAAAATGCTGATGCACTAACATGGTCGTGTTTTGGTTCAGAGGAAAATTGTACCATGTGTGATTAGCAGAGTTTGCAATGGGTTTGTGTTAATCAGGTTAGAACCTGTGCCTTGGCTGATGGGGGCAAAAAGAAAACAATGAGGGCTTTGAAACATGAAGCTGACATGCACGGATATAAAGTTAGAATTGCTTGGGCAGCAGCCTGAGGAGTGGGAGAAAGGGAGAAAGAGAGATGGGTTAGAAAACTGTGGCAGTAATTTAAGGGAGAGAAAGGGAGTGCTGGAACTAAGACAAAGGCAGCGGAGAAGGGTTTCATTAACCCTCAAATACCAATCAGTGCCACCAACAGCTGCAGGCTGCAGACCTACTGGTCAGGCAGCCTTTTCCCGTGCAGCATCCAGGCTTACAGACTCCAATTCCATTTTCAGCACCCTGTGGCAGGATGCATTCTTTTATGTAGAGTTCTACAGCTACTGGATACCTTTGTATGTCTAATAAAAGGAACCAGAATGCTCAGGCTTCTGCCTCTGGGCAATTTCTTTATCTCTCAAGGCCTTCCTCCTGGGCACAAGAATTACTGGGTCTCATTAGCTATGGATTCCCAGACTGGCTTGGAGGAAGGCTTTGCATCCCACCCTTTATCTATACCTGACTCTTCCCCGCTCACCTTGATGGAAGCTTCCAGCCTCAAGTTAGTGTGTAACCTTTTGTGAACCATACAATGGTCGCTATAGGTTAGCAAGTCTTTAGACTCAGGCAGACCTTAATTTGAATCCTGGTTCTGCCACTTACTACCTGTGAAATCTTAGGCACGTTGCTTAAACCATGTGAGCCTCAATTTCTCCATCTGCAAAATAAGGATAAATTCCAAGATTATAGTGAAGATTTAAGAAGAGAATATAAGACAGCCTTTAGCAGCCGGGCGCAGTGGCTCATATCTGTAATCCCAGCACTTTGGGAGGCCAAGGTGGGCAGATCACTTGAGGTCAGGAGTTTGAGACCGGACTGGCCAACATGGTGAAACTTCATCTCTACTAAAATTACAAAAATTAGGCAGGCACGGTGGTGGGCGCCTGTAATCCCAGCTACTTGGGAGGCTGAGACAGGACAATCCCTTGAATCGAGGAGGCAGAGGTTGCAGTGAGCCGAGATCATGCCACTGCACTCCAGCCTGGGTGATAGAGTGAGACTCTGTCTCAAAATTAAAAAAAAAAAAAAAAGAAAAAAAGAGATAGTCTTTAGCATAGAGCAAATGTTTGAGGACTAGTAGCTAAAACAAATACCTGAAGTATCCACCCCTGCAAATCCAGCAGCAGGGACTCTGAGATGTCTTACTGGACTTCCAACAACTGCAGTGGGGATGATTGGTTGGTGTGCTTTGTAGCGTAGGTACTCTATGAAGGTAGCATTTGCTCCATTCTTATACTAGGAAGACGCTTTTTAGGAGGAAGCTAAAGAAAGAGCGCCAGAGACAGAAAGATTTTTGATGCCCTGAGGAACACGTGCCACCATACTGGCAAGGTCTCTTTAAGCTATCAGCATACATTGATTCATGTACACAGTGCACTTGCACGTCCCACGATTCGCGAGAGTCTAATTTATTAATCAGCCCAGGTGATAGGAACAGTCTGTGACATCTCGTCTTCTAGTTCCTACTGCACCGTGCTCGCCAGGTTGTCTTTGATGTGTAATGCTCAGGGGACATTTGTCCCTCAGGGATTGCTTCTCACCCAAGAACATCCATGGCAATCAGCAGCATTTCAAGGCAGGCTGTGTGTGTGTGTGTGTGTGTGTGTGTGTGTGTCTGTGTGTGTGTGGTGGGGGTGGGGGGTGTAGGTAACTTTGCTTTTCCTCAAATTGCAGGTTTATTGTTCAGAGAAAGTCAGCAAGGTACAGCTTCCGTCGCTGAGCACTTGTGACAGCCTCTCTGCGACTCTAGCATGACACCCAGCTCACCTAGTTCTACATCACATTCATGGGGGAGTGTGCTTTGTATGAGAAAGAAGTAGGTAAATACAAATGATATGAAAGAAATAAGTCTCCCTGCTGGTAAACAGTTTGAGATAAAAGTGCTCACCTGTGCATTAATTCAACAAATATTTATTGAGTCTCTACTAATGTGTATGCACTCTGTTAGCCTCTGATGACACCAAGGGATTATTCATCTCTGCCTTTCAGGAGCACTTGTAGGGTAGTGGGGGAGAGATATGCTAAAAGCAGCCAAATCGACCCCTAGTATGAGGAGTGTTGAAAAAAAAATATAAAATGGAGTAATAGTGCAAAAAAAGGGCATTGAGCCGGTCTTGCAAGATTAAGGAAATATTCCAAGAAAATATTTTAAGTAGGTTTGTGTGTGTGTTTTGAAGTAGGGTTTAGAGGAGGGGATACTTGTTCTTGAGCTTGCAAGTAATTCACCATAAGTAATGGACACAGAAGATGTTAGCATGCACGCCAGAAAATTCAATAGTGAGGTCAGGTCATGAAGCTCTGTACATGTTATATAAAAGACTTCAGACTTTATTCTAAGGTGATGGATCCTACACTTTCTCATTTCAAGATGTTCTTAAGGTTTCAATGATTTTTTTTTATGATTCCCATAGGCCCCCCCAAAAATACCAATAACACTATTTAATAAGTAGTTAGATCCAAACAATTTAATAATGAAGTATTTCTGTTGTGACAAATTTAGTGGCTATTTGAAAAAAACAATACATGAAAATCTAAACAAAAGGCAATATTTTCATTTTATTCTTAATCACATTTACTACTTCTCTAACTTTACAGTTAGATAAAATCATCCTCATTTTCTCTTCCTTATTAATTTTTTGCAGTACTTTGAAATTGTACCAAGTGCCAGAAACCCAGCTTCACACACATACTAACATTGAAAGGAATGTATTGTGTTCTAATGTTGAAACTGTGAACGACCTCAAGTTAGATGTTCTTGTGATGCCCAATAAATATCAAGCATCCTTCGTTTGCCTTGAACACTTAAAATATCCTGCTGTGCACCTGTGAGTTTGCTGTGGCAGTGCATGGCTTCTCAGCCACAATTTGTGAACTACATCCTAATGACAATAGGGATTTCTAGGAGTTTTGCCCAGAGGTAGAGCATGATCAGGTTGTCATCTTACAAAGATCACTTCTGTTATAATTGAAAGAATAGATTAATGGGTGAAAGATGGGAGACGGTGCAAAGTATGTCATCCAGGTGAGAGAGGAAACTGTCTTGGAATAAAGTAGCATCAGTTGATGTTTGAGATACATATTTATTTAAGTTATAATTTTGAAATAATTATGGACTCCCAAGAAGTTGCTACGATAGTACAGAAAGGTCTTATGTACCCTTTACCTAGTTCTCATCAATGGTTACATCTTATGTGACTGTAGTACAATATCAAAACCAAGAGACAGACATGGGTATAATATACACAGAGTGTGTATAGTTCTATGCCATTTTACCATATGTGTGGATTCATGTAACCACCACTGCGATCAAGAGACAGAACAGCTCCCTCACCACAAAGATGTTTCTTATGCTAGCCCTTTACAGTCAAACCTCTCTCTCATCCTCTACCATCCATAACCCCTAACCTTTGACAACCACTAATTTGTTTGTTCTTCATCTCTGTGATTTTATTCTTTCAAAATATTATGTAAATGGTCATAACCTGAGATACTTTAAGGAAAGACAGAAGACTCAGTATTTGGTGAGTGTTTGAATATGAAAGTTGACAAGGAAGAAATAGTCAAGAGGCAAGGAGACTGGCAAAACCATACCTTAAGTAATAAATCCACTGGGTCTAGGTTAAGTAAGGAAAAGAGAAGGGGAACATTTTTAACTTGGTCAGCTGGGTGGGTGATGGTGCTTTTCATTAATATGGGGAGCCCTGGAAGACAAGGAGACTTTTTGAGGTTATCCATGTTTGAAGATGATAAGCCAGCTTTGAAAATGTTGAATTTAAACTACCTGGAACATTCAAATAGAGACTTAGTAGGTGGTTGTATAAATGGTTCTGACCCTTAGCAGAGAGAGCTGGGATAAAAAGTTACAGTATTTGGAGTTATCAGGTTACCAATGATAACACTTGGAGCTATGCTCACTCACAAAGGAACCTGTTTAGTAGGTGCCGAGTAAAGCATTGAGAAATTGAGGAATGGCTGGTGGTACAGCGGGAAAATCAGGGATGGCTGGTACCATGGAAGCAAAAATAAATGAATCTTTTAAGAAAGAAGGTGTAGGTAATCAATAGCTGTAGTTTCTGATATAGCACATAAGGCAAGAACTGAAAATAGTCTTTTATAAAGTCTTGACCTTGGCAAGAGCTGTTTAAGCAAAGGGTTAGGGATATAAGCCAGAGTGTAGTGAGTTGAGAAGTGAGAAAAAGGGAGTAGAGATTTTATTATTTTTTCTTTTTTAAAAAAGAAGCATGGCTATGAAAAGAAGCAGAGATGTGAAATGAAGTTTTATTTATGTTCATTGGCTTTAAGAAGGAGGGGACTATTAAGAGAGGGAAGAGACTGACACTGTGGGACACAGTGGGGTTATTATTTTTTATTTTTTAATTTTTTGTTCTTAATTCTTGTGTGTACATAGTCGTGTATATACTTATGGGTTACATGAGATATTTTGATACAGGTATGCAATGCATAGTAATCACATCAGGGTAAATGGGGTATCCATCACCTCCAGCATTTATCGTTTGTGTTTCAAAGAGTTTAGTTATACTATTTTTGTTATTTTTACATGTACAATTAAATTATTTTTTACTATAGTCACTTTGTGTTAGCAAATACTAAGTCTTTTTAAAATTTTTTCTATTTTTTGTACCCATTAGCCATCAGAACAGGGTTATTTTTGATGAAGCCATTCCTGAAGTAGCAGGAAGGGAAAGAGTAAGAACACAAGTAGGGGTAAAAGGAGAGATACCTTTTGTTGAAATAGGAGGAAAGAAGGGAAGGAGAGGTGTGGGTGCAGATAAATCTATTGATTTCACTTGTGAAGATTTGAAGGCTTCTGTTCTCTTTGTGAAGTGGGGTGTGAAACGAATCACTGAGGAAGGCGGTACTGTGGAGTGTCAAAAGTTTTGATAGTGTCTGGGGAAACTTGGAAATCTAAAGAATTTTAGAAGAATGTGATTAAGGAAATACAGAAGGATCATTAAGAAACAACTCTTGGATAAGGTTGGTGATCACCAATTTATAATGGCTGTAATGCAGTTGGGATATCTGCATTTCCATATTCAGGGAAATATTTTTCGCAATAGCCAAGATATGGAGTCAACTTGAGTCCATCAGTGGACATATGGATAAAGGAAATGTGGTATACATACATGATGGAATACTATTCAGTCTTCAAAAAGAAGGAAATCTTGTCATTTGCAACAACATGGATGAACCTGGAGGACATTATGTTAAGTGAAATGAACCAGGCACCGAAAGACATATAACCACATGTACTCACTTTTTTTTTTTTTTTTTTTGAGACGGAGTCTCGCCGTGTCACCCATGCTCGAGTGCAATGGTGCAGTCTCGGCTCACTGCAACCTCCGCCTCCCAGGTTCAAGTGATTCTCCTGCCTCAGCCTTCCTAGTAGCTGGGATTACAGGCATGTGCCACCACACCAGGCTAATTTTGTATTTTTAGTAGAGACGGGGTTTCTCCATGTTGGTCAGGCTGGTCTTGAACTCCCGACCTCAGGTGATCCGTCTGCCTCGGCCTCCCAAAGTGCTGGGATTACAGGCATGAGCCACCGCGCCCGGCCCACTTGTACTCACTTATATGTGGAAACTAAATAAGTCAAATTCATAGAAGCAAAGAGTAGAATGGCGGTTACCAGGGTCTACGGTTGAGGAGTGGGGGAATTGGAAAGATGTTTGTCAAAGGATACAAAATTTCAGTTAGATAGGAAGAACAAATTTAAGATCGATTGTTCAACATGGTGACTATACTTAAAAACTGTAATTAATAATAATAATAATGGATTGTACACTTGAAAATGTGATAGTAGATTTTAAGCTTTCTTACCACCAAAAATAAGTATGTGAGGTAATGCATATATTAATTAATTTGATTGAGCCATTCCTCAATGTATACATACATCAAAACATCAGATTGTATACCAAAAATATATGCAATTTTTACTTCTCAGTTAAAATAAATACTTACCTTTAAAAAAAAAGTATTGGCTCAAAGTAAATGCATAGGTGGATCACTGAATCTAAGTTGGATACAAAAGAAAGCAGGTAATAGTATGTAAAGGGAAAGGAGAGGGTTGTGGGCCTAGAGGTCTTGAAAAGGTGAAAAAGCTGGTGTTGTGATAGACTAGTTAGAGACTGGAATGTTTTAATACACTATGTCAAAGCTAGAAGGGTGTTGGGAGATGGCAAGTTCTGGAGTAATCATGGCAGGAAGCAGGGGCCTGGAAGAGGATGGGGTGAAGGTCATTGAGATGGAATAGGTCAAGGGGCTGAGAGGCTGCGGGTATTTGATGCTAGGTACATGGAATAAAGATAGGACTTGGAGTTAAGGCACAGTTTGAGTCATGTGCTGACATGTTCAAATAACTTGAGAGAATACTCTGAAAGTTGGTTATTGAACACAAGGAAGAAGGGGAGGGGTGGGGGAAATCTCAATCTGTAAAAGAATTTAAGCATTCAAGTCTTGTTTCATTCTATATTAGATCTTTGAGTAGTGATCTGAGCCTCAAATTCCTTCTCCTTAAAGAGGAATTTATCTTTACCTGCCCCCCAGCCCCCAACAGAGCTGTAGAATGTAATACTCAAAAGAGGAACTGAAAGTAAATGTGCTTGGTAAACCATGCACTGTCATGTAAATATGGGCCCTATTGTTCCTGTTTACAGGCATGAGGGACGGACTTTGGATTCCTTTCCCTGCTCTGATGGAAGATAGTGCTTTGGTACCTAATAATTGCATTCAAATGGTCTGATTTCAGACTATCACTTTAGGATAACAAAATGAGCAGCAGTTGTAATATTGGAGACGGACTGTTAGATGTCCTATCTTTTAGATGTCCAGAATAAATGTGCGAGAATAGTTGACCCAGACAAATTGACTGATGAAAGGATAACTTGTGCTTCAATATAATGAGTTCAATATTCTTTTGATTTACGAAAAGGCACTGGGGCACCCAGGCCCGGATGCTTGTCAGCAAGAGAAAAATGGAGGTTGCATTGCAGTTCCTGCAGACAGAACAAAGTTCTTTCTCTGTTTCAGCTCAACCTGCATTTGTTATTATTTTATTATTATTATTAATTATTAGAAAGGGAAAGGAAAATAATACTAAAGACCAGGGGTTTCAGGAGGCAGAATTGTCTTACCGTATAATTAGCCCAGCCCTGATGCTGCCAGTTGAACCTAAATGAGCAGGATAATGGGAGAAAGTCCAAAATAGAATCCTGTTAGGGTTCATTTCAGAACCAAGAAGGAAGTTGAAAAATAAAACAAAAAGAATGGAACGAATAAACTTGTGTGATATGATACAGAATATGGTATTATTAGCTAAAGCTTATATAGCTCTATTAAGTCATTTATACTTGAGTGCAACCCTTGTGACAGCTGTAGCCTTTAACCCATTTTACAGATGAGGAAATTGAGGCTCAGAAAAGTAATATGGCCAGGGTCACACAGCTGGGAAGTCACACAACTCTGATTTGAACCCAGGCAATCTGGTTCCACAGTCTGTGCTCGTTACCACTGGCTATACAGGGCGCTGAGAAGGTGAAGGGAGCGCAGCCTTGGGAACCAAGGAGCCCGTGTCCTCCTCTGTCCTCAACACTGTATCATCCACCTTGTGACCTGAGCATATTATAACCCTGAGCCTCAATTCCCTCTATAATATTCATGTTTTGGACAAAATAATTGCTAAAATACTATCCATTTCTTTTCTTTTTAAGTTTTATTGAAGTATAATTGATGAATAGGAATTGTATACACTTAAGGTATGCAACTAGATGTTTTGACATATGTATACATTGTGAAATTACCCCCACAATCAAGCTAATTAAGGTGTCCATCACCCACACAGTAACTATTTTCCGTCTCTTTTTTTGTGATGAGAACACTTAAGATTATTCTCTTAGCAAATTTCAAGAATATAATATAGCATTTTTAACTATAGTCACCATGCTGTATATTAGCTCTCCAGAACTTACTTATTTGGCATAACAGAAACTTCGTTCGTACCCTTTGACCAAACTCTCCCCATTTCTCCCTTCCCCCTATTTCTGGCAACCATCATTCTACTCTCTGCTTCTGTAAGTTTGATCCTTTTAGATTCCACATACAAGTGAAATCATGCAGTATTTGTCTTTCTGTGCCTGGCATATTTCATTTAGCATAATGTCCTCCAGGCCCATACATGTTACAAATGGCAGGATTTCTTTCTTTTTAAAGGTTGAATAATGTTTCACTTTGTGTGTGGGTGAGTGTGTGTGTCCATTCATCTGTTGATGGACATTTATGTGGATTCCATATTTTGGTTATTGTGAGAAACTCTGCAATGGACATGAGAATGCAGATAGCTCTTCAACATACTAATCTCATTTCCTTTGGATAAATACCTATAAGTGGGATTGCTGGATCATATATTAGTTCTAGTTGTAATTTTTTGAAGAACTTCCATACTGTTTGTTTTCCAAAATGGCTGTATAAATTTGCATTCCCATCCACATTCTTGCTAACACGTTATTTTTCAAAATTTTATAATACCTATTCTAACACGTGCAAGGTAATAGCTCATTGTGGTTTTGATTTACATTTTCCTGATGATTAGTGATATTGAGTATGTTTTTGTGTACCTGTTGGCCATTTGTATGTCTTCTTGAGAAAAATGCCTATTCAGGTCCTTAGCCCATTTTTACATCGAGTTATTTCTTTCTTTTGCTGTTCATTTATTTGAATGCTTTATATATTTTGAAAATTAACCACTCATTAGATATATGGTTTGCAGATATTTTCTCCCATTCCATAGGTTGCTTTTTCTCTCTGTTGATTGTTTCTTTTGATATACAGATACTGCTTAGTTAGATGGAATCCCACTTGTCTATTTTTGCTTTGGTTTCCTGTGCTTTTAGGGTCATATCCAAAGGAATCATTGCCCAGACCAATGTTAAGAAGGTTTATCTCTGTTTTCTTCTAGTGTTTTTATGGTTCCTGGTTTTACCTTTAAGTTCTTAATTCATTTTGAGTTGATTATTGTATATGGTCTGAGATAAAGGTGCAATTTCCTCCTTTTGCATGTGGGTGTCTTGTTTTTCTAACAACATTTATTGAAGAGAGAACCTTTTCCTCATTGTGTGTGGTTGGAACCCTTGTTGAAGACGAATTGACAATACATGCCCAGGTTTATTTCTGGTCTCTCTATTCTGTTCAATTTTGTCTGTATGTTCATTTTTATGCCAGTACCATACTGTTTTGAATACTGTAGCTTTGTAATGCAGTGACACACTGCATGATGATGTTTCAGTCAACAACACACTGTGTATATGACAGTGTTCCTATATGATTATAATACCATATTTTTACTGTGCCTTTTCTATGTTCAGATATATTTGATACATGAATATTTACCATTGTATTACAATTGCTTACAGTAGTCAGTAAAGTAACATCTTGTACAGATTTGTAGCCTAAGAGCAATAGGCTATGCTATAGAGCCTAGGTGTGTAGTAGGATATATCATCTAGGTTGGTGCAAGTATACTCTGTGATGTTTGTACAATGACAAAATCATCTACTGATGTATTTCTCAGAATGTATTCCTGTCCACTTTCAGAGTCTGAGGTGGATGGATTGCTTGAGGCCAGCAGTTTGAGACCAGCCTAGGCAACATAAATGAAACCCCGCCTCTACCAAAAATGCAAAAATTAGCCAGTCTCATAACCCAGTCTCAAAAAATAAATAATTAAAAAAAAATTAAAAATAATAAAAAATAATGCATTCCTATCATTAAGTGATACATGCCAGTATATTTTAAAATCGAGAAGTGGGATGCATTCGTCTTTGTTCCTGTATAAGATTTCTTTGGCTATTTGGGGTCTTTTGTAGTTCCACACATATTTTAAGTTTTTTTTTTCTATTTCTATAAAGAATGCAAAATTTGATAGAGATTGCATTGGATATGTAGATCAGCTGGGTATTATGGACATTTTAACATTATTAATCCAATTCATGAACACGTGCTACCTTTCCATTTATGTGTGTCTTTTTTTTTTTTTTTTTTAACGTAGTGTCACTCTGTTGCTCAGGCTAGAGTGCAGTGGTGTGATCTCGGCTCACTGCAACCTCCACCTCCTGGGTTCAAGTGATTCTCCTACCTCAGACTCCTAAGTAGCTGAGAATACAGACACATCTGGCTAATTTTTGTATTTTTAGTAGAGATGGGGTTTTACTATGTTGGCCAGGCTAGTCTCAAACTCCTGACCCCAGGTGATCTGCCCATCTCAGCCTTCCAAAGTGCTGGGATTACAGGTGTAAGCCACCGCACCCAGCCTTTCTGTGTCTTTTTAAATTTCCTTCATCAATGTGTTTTGTCGTTGTTGTTGTTTTGGAAATGAAGTTTCATCTCTGTTGCCAAGGCTGGAGTGCAGTGGTATGATCTCGGCTCACTGCAACCCCCAACTCCAGCTTCAAGCGATTCTCCTGCCTCAGCCTCCTGGGTAGCTGGGATTATAGGCATATGCCAACACGCCCAGCTAGTTTTTGTACCTTTAGTAGAGGGTTTCACTATATTGGCCAGGCTGGTCTCAAACCCCTGACCTCAGATGATTCATCCGCCTCGGCCTCCCAAAGTGCTGGGATTACAGGCATGAGCCACCGTGCCCAGCCTCATCAACGTTTTATAATTTTCAGAATATATGTCTTTTACTTCTTAACTGTATCCCTAAGTGTTTTATACTTTTTCTTACTATTGTAAATGGGGTTGTTTTTATAATTTTTAAGATATTTCATTGTTAGCATTATTTTTGGATAGTTCACAGATTTCTGTATGTTTATTTTGTATCTTCAACTTCATTAAATTTATTTATAAGTTGTACCATTTTTGTTGTTACTGAGTCTTTAGGATTTTCTATATGATCATCATATCATCTGCAAACAGAGATAATTTTACTTCTTTTTTTATTTGAATTACTTTTATTACTTTTATGTATTTAATTTTTCTTGTCTAATTACTCAGCTAAGACTTCCAATACTATGCTGAATAGAAGTGGTGAGTGGGCATCCTAGCCTTGTACTGAATCTTAGAGGAAAAGCTTTTAGTTTCCATTTACAATACTCCATAGCTCTTATTTTTCCATCTTCTTCGTTTTCTTTTTTTTCTTTTCTCTTCTCACTCTTCTACCTCCTATTCAAATATACTATCTATATGCAATGCTTTAAAATTCACAAAACAATGTCTCATATGAGGTAGTAATAATATCTCATTTTACAGATGACGTAGCAAAGGCTTTGAGTGAATAAATTATTTATCCAGTGTGATATACCTGGTAAGTGATGAAGCATTGGCATCTATCTAAGTCTTCTGATGTGACTTTCATTACTCATTTTAACTTTCTACAACTACCTTTCTGTTTCATGGGTCCCTTATTATCACTGGTTCTCAGTTTAGGTACATCGCTGGTGCTTTTGCAACACTTTTCAAAGGAGAATGGAGAAGAGTCTTGCTAATATGCAAATATATCTCACCTTATTCATGCGTAAGGATAATCCTTATCCATACATAAAGATTCTAGAGGTGACATTTACAAGAAGAGAGAATGAGAAATATTTAGCTTGCAGAAAAAAAAAAGGAAAAAGAAACCTAGATTTTTCCATTTACTAATTCTTGGAGCAGAACATAATCTTAGTACATATATTTTAGCACCTTTTCCCGCCGAGAATTCTTATAACATGTCATATTCTTGGGAAGAATTTATTTTCTCAATTTACTGATCATTTATACCACACAATGTGGGCTTTCATAAGAAGCCATATCACCTTTTAGGAAACTTCAGTCCAGAATGTACATTCTATTGAGGCATGGATTTTTGTTCATTTTGATCACTGTTATGTACTCAGACAGAAAAAGTGCCCGATATATAGTAGCCATTCAACAGGTCTTTGTGGAAACTACGACTAAATCAATAAATACACTGTAATCTTCTCAGGGAAAACTCTTGCTAGTAACCTTGGTTCTAAACTCCCATTCCTGTGGTTCTTGACCTTATCTAAACATCTGATCTTTCATCTAGTCACCGCTGTAAAATACAAACATACAAGCAGCAACAATAACAGCAACAAAAAACCCTCATCATTGAGTGTACATCTTGCAGACCTTTGAGGGTAAGACTTTTGTCCATCACCTCTGGTATCAGTTCATATGATAAGTACTGTTTGCCTGGGACTTCACTTATTGTATGAAAGACACCAATTCACATACTTTTCATACTAGAAGTTGGACTTTCATAGTCTCTGCATTGGCAGAGTCTATGAAAGGCTGAACCTAATTAAGCGATAGATGAAGGACACTATCTTAGTCCCTATTTGTTTTCATTCATTCGTTTACATATTCCTTTATTATGTAGATATTCAACCTGTATTTTGTACCAACCACTCTACTATTTAATATAAATATGAATAGTAACATAATGTCCTAGCTGAAGGTGCTAATTGTATGGTGTTAGTGACAGACAAGTGAATGGCGATAAGATAATGCTCTAAAGCTATAATAAAAGTACATATAGCTTATGTCATTATTTCTGTTTTGTGTCTATCCTACGTCCATTATATTTTTCTTCTCCGTTTAAGCAGTCAACTTGAGCAGAGGTTAGTATGAGAACACTGGGTAGAAAAACATGGAATGGATCTTATGACACCTCAGCTCTAGTTCTAGCTTTATATCTCATTTGTTAAGTGGACTTGGTCAAGTCCAGTGACCTTTGTGGGCCTTTGCTTTCCCATCTCTAAAATAGATATTAGGGCTGAACATTTTCTGAGCTTCTTTCTAGCTCTTACATGCTGTGGTTCTGTGAATTCTTTGCCTTCTCAAAGATTTCAGAAAATTAACTCTCATTGAGTGTCATTTTCTGACTCCGGGAATAAAGTATTTTTTTTCTAAGATTGTTTTCTTAAAATTAGAAGACTGATGTTGTATTATTAAAAACAACCAACTCACCATGCTTCAGGGTAGAGATTCTTTTGTCTATTGCTAATGGAGGATGTTAGAGAGAAGGTCATGGCTGTACCTATTATGCTGTTCTATTTCAGCCTACTCTATAATTCTCTGCTTTTTTTGAATCCTATTCTTTTGCTGAGTACCACCCACCTACTTCTGGGAGACAAGGCTGTGTGAAAGACATCCTCAGACGTCTCATCTGCTTCCTCATCCATCTGCAACTGGATGCTGGATTTTCAGCAGTAACTTGGGAGCTTATTTCTCAAAGAGAACTAGAAAAAGTAGCCACTGACACTGGACCAGTATCTATTATGTACAGGAAGCTTGTAAACATATGTACAGAACCTGTACTGGGAAACAGAAAGTTTCTAATTAGCTGGCTCCAGAGAGAAAATTGGTGGTGGTTACTGGAAGACAGTCTTCAAAGTAAGAAAAGGTATTTAATAGTCAGATTTGTCAGAAGACAGAGAGAACACCTGGATAGAACTGAGTGGGCAGTCACTGTCCTGTCACCAAAGGGATTCTAATTAGCATAGTCTGACCCAAGAAAGAATGTAAGCACAAGTGTGAAATTGGCTTCAGTGACCTTGTCAGATACCCTTCACCACGTAAAGTTAGTTTTCTGGGTAGCCAAATATAGTTGCACAGTTTGTCTACTGCACAACGGAATCTTGATGGAGAAGAACAATGGAGGCTCTATCCTGGCATGGGGATGCATAATTCTATCTGAAAGGAGCACTGTTTCTGAAATTTGTCTGCCTAGAGGGAGCAACTTTTTCTAATTTTTTTTTTTTTTTTTTGAGATGGAGTTCATTCTTGTCGCCCTGGCTGGAGTGCAGTGGCGCGATCTCGGCTCACTGCAACCTCTGCCTCCCAGGTTCAAGCGCTTCTCCTGCCTCAGCCTCCGAAGTAGCTGGGATTACAGGTGCCTGCCACCATGCCCAGCTAATTTTTGTATTTTTGGTAGAGACGGAGTTTCACCATGTTGGCCAGGATGGTCTCAAACTCCTGACCTCAGGTGATCTGCCCGCCTCGGCCTCCCAAAGTGCTGGGATTACAGGCGTGAGCCACTGCACCCAGTGCTTTTTCTAATTTTTATATGGCATCTGTTCTATGAATGGAGGCCCTATAGTCTGATTAATAATGCACTGTGACTGTTTCTAGATGTTTTATTGAAGTCTTCCATATGGGATTCTCTTCCAGATATCAATCAAATGCTGCTGCCCTTCCCTCCATTTTCCCTGGGTAATCACACTTGCTCCCTCCTCTTCCATTATCACCTACATTCCAACAACTCCCAAATATCCATATTCAGTTTTCATCTCTCCTTCAAACTCCAGAATTTTTGCACCTAACTGCCAAATGCATTTCCATTAGACTTTTTAATGAAAGCTCAGAATCCTGATTCTCCTTCCCTACCAGTTTGTTTCTCTTTCTGAGTTCTCTGGCCCCAGTAATGGCACAATCATTGGTCAGGGGACTAAACCAGAAGATTAGCCACTACACTATTCTTCATGATTTTTCTTGTTCACTCAAGAATAATAATAATAATTTTATAGTAACCAGTAATATTTATTGAATGTTTACCATGTTTCAGACTCTATGTCTGTCTGTTCCTGACCCCTGTTCTCCACTGCTCTGAGCCTGTGAAAGGTTGCATAATTCACCACTGTTTATTGCCTTAGGGTTGGGGAGCACCCTTAGGTCAGGCAGCCATAGACATGCAATTCTTAACCTTTTTCAGTTGCAGTTTTTCAAGAATAAACTCTCCTATGGCTTCTGTCTGCTTTAGGTTCTTTCCATGGTCTTTAAATTATTGTTGTTGTTCTTTTGAATGTATTCATTATTTATCATTACTTACCATGGAAAGTTTTGCTTGAGCATTTCATCCTGCAGACTTGACCAGTTCCTGATTTAATTATTGAAGGATCACTGCAGGTGAATCAGCCAGTAGGGGGAGCAAGAGTGTAAGCTTGGACCAATCAGTAAGTTTTCAGACTGGCCCAGTCAAGAGATAATAATGACTCGGACTAGGGACTGTCGTGCATCTTCCGAGAAATTATCATGTTCAAGAGGTTTAAGATGACAGGATTGTATCAATCCATGTGATCAGTTCAGAATCAAAACACCATAGCCTTCTGACTTAGGTCAATGAGTTATTAACCAATGCATGGGTTCTTCTAGGTTTCTGAGTTGAGGAGAACTTAGAATGAGTAACTGGTGGGACAGGCAGTATGCTTAAAATGCTATCTGTGGTAGCTGGGGTTCTGTGTGAGGTTATATCCTTTGGGATATTTCTCAGATTAATAGAAGAATCTTAGACATGTGTTTTCTCACTTTCTGCATATCAAGTGAGTCATCAACCCTATTGCTTCTAATTTACCTTTCCTACCTTCTTCTCATTTTCTACCTCTAACTCATGCCATCAGCTTCTTTCAGTCCCATAATTGCAATAGTTTCCTAATCAGGCCTCCTCCTTTCACGGAACAGCCAGAGTTAACTGATCTCCTAAAATAAAAATGAGACCATGCTTTGCCTCTTCTCCATCGTCTTCATTGGTAGAGAATACCAGTTCTTCATCGTCTTACAGGTAGAGAATACCAATCCTCTAGCTTAGTATTCCAGTCATTTTCTGAGTATTGCATTTCTTTATGTTGGCAAGGCCACACCCAATTACTTCTTAATTCCAGAATTTCATTCACATTGCCCTGCCTCTGTGATTTTTCTCATTCTGTTCTTTTGCTTTAGAATGCTCTTTCTCCTTGATCTCCGTGCTCTGCTTTTTAAAACCACATTCTCAGACTTCAAGAATTGGCTTAAATGGGCCGGGTGTGGTGGCTCACGCCTGTAACCCCAGCACTTTGGGAGGCCGAGGCGGGTGGATCACTTGAGGTCAGGAGTTCGAGATCAGCCTGACCAACATGGTGAAACCCCATCTCTACTAAATATAAAAAATTAGCCAGGTGTGGCGGCACATGCCTGTAATCCCAGCTACTTGGGAGGCTGAGGCAGGAGAATAGAATAGCTTGAACCTGGGAGGCAGAGGTTGCAGTGAGCCAAGATTGTGCCATTCATCACACTCCAGCCTGGGCAACAAGAGTGAAACTCCATCTAAAAAAAAAAACAAAACAAAACAAAAAACAAACAAACAAACAAAACCTCTCCTTTGGTGCATTCACCTATTTTCATTTAATTCAGATATTTTTAGTGAGCACCTACTATGTGCCATTCACTCTGCTATATCCTAAGGCTATGAGGTTGAGTAAGAAGCATTTTCCCACCTCTTGCTAAAAATATCACCCCTAAATCGTGTGGCCCTTTTTTAAGATTTAGCAAAGCCCATTGCTTCCAGTGGTGGTTTATCAATTCATTGACTGATGAAAAGACCTCATTTTGCTTTCTGTATTGTGTTTTTGCTACTCTTTCCCACTCTTTCTCATTACCACAAGGAGTCTGTTGGCTACTGAGGTCAAGGCCCAGGTCTAGTCATCCATTGTCTCCCCAAATCACCCAGCATTGTATTTTGCATACATTACATCATAAACCTATGTTTAGGATATGGTTAAAAAAAATTTAAAAAGAAAAAATAAGTACCTAGTTGTGACTATTGCCATTTATATATTTGGCTTTCAAGAGTCACATACTAACAACATCATTCACAGTGAATTATTTACAGAAAGCTACTGTGAGGTTGAAGTTATATGTCCTCCTTAAATGAATCTCTTCAGGTGAAGGGAGAAAAAAGAAGGACAATGGGAAGGAATCCTTTTGCATGCAAATAAACCAGACATTTAACAGCCTCCTACCCATCTGTTCCCATCCTGTAATATAATATCTAAACCTTCCTCCAAAGGCATGATTTTGCTTGACCCACAAAAAGTTTTTAAAAGTAACTGTGGGTCTCTGACTTGTGGTTTTTCTTTTTTTTTAACTTTTAAGTTCAGTGGTACATGTGCAGGTTTGTTACATAGATAAACGTGTTACATGGGGGTTTGTTGTATAGATTATTTCATCATCCAGGTATTAAGCCTAGTACCCGTTAGATACTTTTTTCTGATCCTCTACCTCCTCCCACCCAGGTCTTTAATTTTTCAGAAAAGGATATTTCAAGAAAAAAATCCAGATATCTGAGGTTTTTTAATTGAAAAAATTATGTCTGATAAACCTTTGCCATCATTTGTGCAGATAAACAATGGGCTGGATCTGTGTGAGGGCTGCTACCTTCAGATATGAATGCTGTCAGGCTTGACCACTCAGATGGCGTTGTAGCTACATTTGCACTTGACTGTTACTTCCATGAACCTGAAAGCCTTTGAAATCTTTATTCCGTAGGTCCTTTATATTGTCTTATTTCTGTGTTTGTTTCCTTGTTCATCGGGGAACAAGCCCAGTGTAGTAGACTCTGTATTCTGATGTATCTCACCAATTGAGTTATCATAAGTACTCTAGTGTAGACATGTGATTATACTGTTCCTACTGATGAGGTGTTTGTGGTTCAGAGAAGTTAATAAACTTGTCCCAGATAACACAGACAATATGAGAAGCACTGGGATTCAAACTTAAAACTGTCTACTCCCAGGAGAGTATGTGAAATAAAAGTTAAAAATGTGAACCATCTCGAAGCAGAGATAATGAGGAAATTTCATCTTGCAATGATATATTTAAGAAGTTATTCAAGAACTGTTCCTTGGAACCAGGTCTCTCTTATGATAAAAAAGGAGAGCTTAAAGCACCATGTGAATTATTTAAAATAAAAGTGCTGCATATCCTGTAAACTAAGTGTTTGGGATAATCCAAGATGGGATACCCTTAGAGAAGAGATAAATCAGATGAGATCTCTAAGGTCTGTTTTTTTTTTTTTTCTTTCCTTCTATCTCAAATTTCTCTCTACCTTTGATTCCTCAAGGTGAAATTAACTAGACTATTTGGTGATTTGGAAAATACAAACGCAGCCAACCACATGTTGTGCAATTCAAGTGTTCCAAGGATCTTTAGGTCTAGAAAAACATTTAAAGTCTATCTAGCAGTTGCTTATCATTTTTTATTGAATAACCGAAGTCAGAGTGGATAGGCGTCTTGACCAAAATCGTGGATGAATTAATGACAGGCACAAGGGTAGAACACTCTGTCTGGTGAGTTCCCCCGTCCTCTTGTGCATGACCTTGTATAGCAGGCATGACTGTCTCTGAACTTTCAAAATACCAAGTGGCATTCTTTTGACATTTAAAATTAGAGACTTATATTGTCAATTATCTTGTCTACACAGCTATGTCTACACAGCTACATCAAAATTTCATATATGAAAACGCTGAATCTTTTTTCTACATTTTTGCACTACCCAGTAGACACATGTTAAATTTGTTACTCTGTTAAAAATGATGATGGCGATGGCCGGGCGCAGTGGCTCACGCCTTTAATCCCATCACTTTGGGAGGCCGAGGTGGGCGGATCGCAAGGTCAGGAGATGGAGACCATCCTGGCTAACATGGTGAAACCCCATCTCTACTAAAAATACAAAAAGAATTAGCTGGGCGTGGTGGCAGGCGCCTGTAGTCCCAGCTACTTGGGAGGCTGAGGGAGGAGAATGGCGTGAACCCAGGAGGTAGAGGTTGCAGTGAGCCGAGATCACGCCACTGCACTCCAGCCCTGGCGACAGAGCAAGACTCCGTCTCAAAAAAAAAAAAGATGAAAGATAATGGCGATAACACTCTCGATGCCCTCAGCTATGCAGATCATATATTGTTCATAGTGGAAAAAGTTGCTGGTAATATTCATGTTGGCAATGACAAAGATTGGTGGAGACAATTTTCGTGGTGATAATAATAATAATAGTATCTCCAGCTGGTGTCAATGCTGATATTCATATTAATGATGATAAAGTTGATGGCAATGATGATTTTGAAGATGCTGATAATTGGGGGAGAATGATGAGCATGAATTGATTTCCAAGTTGCACAGCTGTTTGCCCGGGGATGTTGGTGGTTTTGTTTGAGCCTCTTTAGTTTTCCTTCCTGGTATAAGTTGGATCTCAGTTTCCTAAGAAAAGAATGAGTTAGTAGGATATGACAACTGAATACCAGGAAAAGAGCCCCGCTGGAGTCACTGGTAAAATTGTGTTTCTTCCTGAATGATACCAGATACACACCACTACCAAGGCACCAGAAATCCTCTGGGGATTCAAGAAAACCTAAGGGATAGTTAGATGAGGAGGGAAAAAAAGAAAACGGGTAAATAGAAAGAATGAGGAGGTACAAAGTATCTTGCAGCCTGAACTTGAAGTTCCCTCTATGCTATTAATCCCTAAGTACAAGACTTTGACAATTAGATAAATAATTAGATTAAGGGTTATGTTGAGGGGCTCTGGAGTCAGAAATGCTTAAGCTGAAACCACACCTCTAACACTTATTAGCTATGTGGACCTTGAGGAAGTTCAGTTAACTGCTCTCAGCTTCAGTGCGTGCTCATCTATAAAATGGGAACACCTGTATGTAATTGTTTTGATGGTAAGCGTTAAATGGATATAAATGGTTGAATCAAATTACTCAGTGCTGACACATGTATGTGATTCCCTCATTTTCTTGATTCCCCTCTGCCATCCCGTTCGAATGTGCAGATCCATTCTGCACCAGCCTTCTGAGACCACGATGGTCTTTCTCACTGGCTTGTACCATGTCCTGATTTCAGTGATTCTCTACAACCTATTTTTTTTTTTTTTTTTTTTGATGCCTGCAAGAACTTGATTAGTATGCGAAGGAGTGGCCAGTCCACTCCACACTGCAGCAGGAGCCCAGAGCTGAGCAGAAGGCCTTGGGAACCGTGCGATGCATTTCTCAGTGGCAGGCAAAATGAACCCGGGACAAGCTAAGCTTTGCTTGTTTCAAAAACTCCGTCATAAATTAACGTAAAGATGCTCTTTTTCCTCACCAGCCAGAGGACAGGCATGTTTCAGTAGGCAGTTAATCTTGGCTGATCTATATTAAATATTTATCTGCTGAAATGAGCCCAGTATTGTAGTGGTATTTTTCATTATAGGACTTTATCATTTCCAAAGAGATTTCCATGAGCCGGCTCCCTTGTATATATTAAACCCAAATTTCCTGTGGAATGACACATCTTTCTTGGCAGCGAACTTTCCTCTCTGTAACAAGCTACTGATATGTTGGAATTTACAGGGCGATAAACACATTTATTGAGAAAGAGGGAGTGGAGCAATCTTTTATTTGCTTCTCTAATAAAAACCCTGGGGACAGGCTTGAAAAAATGGAAATTGGTCCCCATTTTCAGCAGCACAGGGTGAGGGGACAAGTGGTTGAGATCTGCTCTTGGAAAAGCCCTAAGAAAAGGGAGGGAAAGAGTTGCTTTGATAAGAGTCATTATAATTCCTTGTATTTGAATTGGGGCTTTTACAGCCATTTCCATTATCTCATTTGAGCCTTACAACCACCCCCCCAAAAGTGAGACTATATCCATTTTTAAAATGAGGCTCCTAAAGCTTCAACATCTTTGCCAAACACAGAGCTAGGGCACAGCTGGTATTGCAACTCAGAGGATGGCTGAGTTAGGGCCTCTTGCCTGTACCACATTGCCTCCCACAGCGGGAAGAGAAAACTGCAGCTTCATCGGATTCTGGCTCTGAGTGTGAAATTGGATAATCAAGTCTCTGGATAGTATGGAATTTGTAAAATCTGAGCATCAACCTTGGTCTAAGCCATGCTCCTAGAAAGCATGGGCTTTCCCAGAGAAAACTCAAGTCAAAAGAAAGCGATGCAGAAAGGAGCAAAAAGCGAAACCCAGATGGGAGGGGAGTGGAGAGAAATAAGAGGACTGGTGGCAGGCCCCTTCAAAGTTAATGTATATTTGAATCAGCTGAGGATCTCATTAAAACTATAGATTTGGATTCATTCGGTCTCAGGTGGGACCTGGGAATTCTGCAATTCCCCAGAGGATTCTGAAACTCACCAGATGCTGCTGGTGGTGGTCCAAGGGCTGTATTTAAACAGCAAGGTGATATGAAACCAGCCTAAGGAGAAAAAGGAGGAATGATAGCATCAGGTGACGGTATGGTACTTGTGTTAAGAGATCTGAGAGGAGGCCAGGCGCAGTGGCTTACGTCTGTAATCCCAACACTTTAGGAGGCCGAGGTGGGTGGATCGCCTGAGGTCAGGAGTTCGAGATCAGCCTGGCCAACATGGTGAAACCTCATCTCTACTAAAAATACAAAAATTAGCCGGTTGTGGTGGCCCACGCCTGTAATCCCAGCTACTCAGGAGGCTGAGGCAAGAGAATCAATTGCTTGAACCCGGGAGGCGGAGGTTGCAGTGAGCCGAGATCGTGCCGTCGCACTCCAGCCTACGCAACAGAGCGAGACTCTGTCAAAAAGATCTGAGAGTAGGAAAGGTTGTTTGATGTTGAATTTCACCCTCCCCCTCCCACCACTTTAAAAAATTCCTTAGGGCAAAGTTGTGTCCGTGAAAGTGGCAAGTATTTTAGTGATCTTTTGGGTCAGTGATTCTCAGACTTTAACCTGCATCATAATCATCTTGCTAAAGCAAGTTAGCAAGAGGGCTTGCCAAAGCAGATTGTGGGGCTCCACCCACAGTTTCTGAGTCACTGGGTCTGTCTGGGGCAGGGCTGGAGATTTTGCATTTCTAACAAGCTGCCAGGTGATGCTGAGGCAGCTGAAGCTGCAGTTCCAGGGACGATGAGGACTACTGTTTGTTTCCACCCCTTCATTCTAAAGAAACACTCAAGGAGGCCCAGAAAGAACAAATGATCTCATTTACAACCACAGCCGGTGAGAACGCAGATTCACGCTCCAAGCTCTGTGAACTGCTAGTCTGGTCCTCTTTCTACCTCTCCGTAACTCTGTATCCTTGGTCAAGTCCTGTCATCAATTTCTGCTTTGAAAAGGCTTAAAAGGAATCTAAGAAGTGGTCAGTGAGGGCGATAACTTTGGCAGCTGTGATTAATATAACATTGAAGAGAGAAAGAACCTACCTTCCTCCCAGGGGCATAGAGCTTTTGTGTTTGCGGTACACAGGGAAAAGCGCAACCGTAAGAGGTAATCTATCACTGCTGTCTCTCCACTGTGACCAGCTATTACTCTCCCCTTGGTTTCACTCAACATGAAAAACATTATTTCTGGGCAAAATTAAATTTGGGGTTTTTGAAAATAAAGGAACAACATTCTTGTTCCCCAGTCCCCTTCCAGAATCCCTTTCTCTTTCTTTCAAAGGTTATAGCTCCTGGCATTCCTGCATATTGAATTTTGTAAGGGCTTTTCTGTAACAATAACAGTGGAGATGGGCTTACTTTTCATTGCTACTCTTCTTTAATTTGTTTCCTTTTCTTTTATCACCCATTTTTGCTTTTCCTCCTTATTACTCTTCTCTTTTACATTCTTCCCCTCCTCCCTCTGTCCTTCTTCTCGTTCAGTTCTCCTTTCATCACTGGATGTCAGAGCCAAAAGAGACCTTTAATGATCAGATGCCAACTTCCTTGTTTTCCAGATGGGAATCCAAGGTCCAGAAAGCCTTACCCATTTTGCTGGATCTTACGGAAGGGATCCCATGCTACTTATTTGCAGGGCCACAGCTACAACCCAAGTATCCCAGCTCTTTCCTCCTGTGGATTTCATCTACTTTCTGTTTAAGCACCATTCCCAAGTTCAGCACTCTCCCCAACACTGTCGTCTCATCTACACATAGTAATTCACAGGGAAGGGATGGAGGTGGGTGTGGGACAAGAATCACTTAGGTAGGGTGAAGGGCCTTGTCAAAACTATTCAAACCCTCAGAGGGTGAGGAGAAATCAACATTTTCAGACTTTGTTCATGGAAATATAAGTTTGTATTTTTGAAAATTCAAGATGCCTATGAGCTATGACTCCATAATTCCACTTTAGGAATCATTTCTAAGAAATACTCACAATGTGTGCAGAGGTACACTTAACAATATTTACTGCAACACCATTTGTAACTAGCCAAGAGGAACAAAACATGAAAACAAGCTGAATACCTGTCAATAAGGGATTGCTCAAAGAAATTATGGTGCATTCTTGTAATACTGCAAAGCCACTAAAAAGAATGAAAACAATCTATGTGTACTGATCTGGAAAAAAACCATGATATATTGTTGAAATGAAAAATAAAGCAAGTTGCATACACATACACACACATCATGACCTTATTTTTGCTTAAAAATGTTTATATGTCTATATGCATAAATGCTAGATTTATATTTATATAAGCATAAGTAAATGTATAAGGATGTGTTATGAACTAGCAGAATAATGAATAATTTTGAATATTTTTCCAAAGGGAACACACCCTTCATATTCCCTGACAATGCTGACTTGTTCTCACTCGCCCATAGAGAATCCTATGATACCATAGAGAATCTATGATACCTCTCTTTCTCCCTTCCCTGCTCCTCCCTTCTTCTCCCTGATCCCTTCTTTACTTTTACTCTCTCTGTCTCTCCCACCCTCCCTCCCTTCTTTCTCATACACACTGCCTAAGTGATTTTTGAATGCTTACATCAATGCTAAAAGACCTACAGAGAAGAGAACTGGTTTCCTGGTAGTTCTTCCGCAAAAGCAGGCTGATTGATTGCAGATTGCAACCAGGTCCAACTTTCTATCCCAAATGACAAATGAAGAGCTCTTAAAAACAGAATAAAATATCCCATATTCAGAGAAGTATCTCTGCCAGGCCAGGCATGAAAGGCAGTGAGCAATGAGAACTGTGTGTAATTCCTGACCCATCCATAGCCTGTCACATTTCTACACTCTCAGAACCAGTGTCAGTAGGGTTGGCTGGACTCCCTGGCTTTGCCCTCCAGGTTCCTACACCATCCAGCCTAAAACCCTGATTAACTCCAGCATCTGCCTTTCCTGTACCTCTGGGTGGTGCAGAGAATGTTTCCATTTCCTGGGCACATTGGGCAAAATCAAACCTCTGTGGCTTTACCCACATTTCCTCCATCTGTCAAAGTCCTAAGCAGTCTTCAAGGCATGGTTGAATGATTCCTGCTCTCAGAAGTCTTCTTTCATACACCCCTGCTCTTTCAGAATTAAATAAATCTCACTTGCTGTATTACTAGAGCAATTATTTAATGTTGCTTTGTACTGAACTGACTTGGGGCCAGTTCTTCACACTAGATTGCTATTGAGGACAGGGAACATGTCTTTTCCTTTGTATACCGAGTGTCTCATACACAGTGACGTTCAACAAACAAAATAAAGGATGAATGAGGCGGGGACATTATTAGGTGACAAACTTGAGTAGTGAGATTCCTGGTTCAGTTAGACCTACTAAGTAATTATTGCTGCATCTCAATTGGGTTTGATTCAACAGCATTTAAAAATACTAGATATTTTGGCTGGGTGCGGTAGCTCACACCTGTAATCCCAGCACTTTGGGAGGCTGAGGCAGGCGGATCACGAGGTCAGGAGATGGAGACCATCCTGGCTAACACGGTGAAACCCCATCTCTACTAAAAATACAAAAAAAAAAAAATAGCTGGGTGTGGTGGCGGGTGCCTGTAGTCCCAGCTACTCGGGAGACTGAGGCAGGAGAATGGTATGAACCCAGGAGAGGGAGCTTGCAGTGAGCCGAGATCGCACCACTGCACTCCAGCCTGGGCGATAGAGCGAGACTCCAACTTAAAAAAAAAAGAAAAAAAAACTACTTATTTCATCCATGTTCTCACTGTCTACAACCAACTGCATCTTTTCTTTATATGTTATTGTACATCCATATATCTAACATGAATTTCCTGCACTTCTTGTGAAAGCTAATTCTGTAAACATGTATCTGTGTCCCAGAGAGTTTCTGCCAAGATCATCTACTATTTTCTTTATGCTGGACATTTTATTTTATTGCCATTTTTTTTCAAATTATAACAAAAGATGTTATGATCTTTTTGTACATATAGCATTTTTCTTCTTTTGAGGTATTTCCTTAGGATAGATTCCCAGGAGGTTATTAGGTCAAAGCATATGATCATTCTTATAAGCCTCATTAATTTTGACCCCAGTAATTCAGAAAGTACACTGATTTGGGCAGGTAGTGAGCTTTCTTTTGCTCTCTCTTTGAAAGGAAAATTGTTAAATAATAAATTGGCATGAACGCAATTTCCAGCATTCCTTTGACAATATTTCATGCAAACATTTTAAGCATGTTTTGTAGGCATCTTTTTCTTGCATACAGAATTGATATGCTAATTATGATTTATTTTCATCAGTTCATTAGTGCAGGCCTTCAGTGATCAACACTTGTTCAACTAATTTCCACCTTTTTCTACACAATTAATGTGAACGAGGCTTTGGCTACCTCTGAAGGGTTTTCCATGGGTTTCATTTGAGACATGTGTTTGAAGCACCTATTATTTTCTGGGTATTATTTTAAGTGCTGAGGATACAGAGGTAAATAAGATACAACCCTTTCTCTCAAGGAGCTCAACTCTCTTAAGGGAGACTGGGCTGTGAACACATGCATCAGGGAGATGGTGGATGAATGGACAGGATGATCTGGAGACACCTCACAGGGGAACCGTGCGTGGGCAGGTGCCCTGGCGAAATCCCCATGGTTAATAATATAGCTGAGTTGAGTTCTAAAGGAGTGGAAGTTTACCAAACTAAGAGTTTAGATAGGGACACAGTTTTCAGTTAATACATCCATTAGGTGATGTTTGTTTTCAAATATTAAATTACTCATCCTTCTAATTTATTCACACTGAGCTTTCCCCAAATAGCCTGAGTTCATGTTATTTTATTTCTCTCTTGTGCACAGAGCATTGGGAAGTACCTGAGGAGATCAGAGTTCTCAACTTGGCTCTGTACTTGTTTTACTTTGAGCCCTGGTAAATCAGTGTAGATCTCATCTCTGTACCTCAGTTTTCTTACCAATAAAATGGAAGTAAAGTATTATATCTGCTTTCTTTTTTGGGATATTTTGGATGTAAAAATCAATTGACAGAAAAGTGCTCTAAGTTGTTTTTTGTTTGTTTGTTTTGTTGTTGTTGTTGCTGTTTTTGAGATGGAGTCTAGCTCTGTTACCATGTCGGAGTGCAGTGGCGCAATCTCGGCTCACTGCAACTTCTGCCTCCTGGATTCAAGCCACTCTCCTGCCTCAGCCTCCTGAGTAGCTGAGACTACAGGCACGCACCACCACGCCCAGCTAATTTTTGTATTTTTAGTAGAGATAGGGTTTCACCATGTTGGCCAGAATGGTCTCGATCTCTTGACCTCGTGATCCAGCTGCCTTGGCCTCCCAAAGTGCTGGGATTACAGGCGCGAGCCACCGCGCCCAGCTGCTTTAAGTTGTTTTAAAAAAAGATGCAAGGTAAATGAATTTGTCTTATTTACTCACTTCTTACAGGGCATCCCTTAGTTCCTAAGGCCCCTTTATCCATCTCTTTGTTTGAATCCCCGCATTGGAGCAGAGTCACAAATAGAATCTATGGAACATGAAAATGGTTCTCTAATAGGCTCTATATGAGGCCAGAAAAACAGTGCCAAATAAAATTAGCCAACAATCAGTCAGCAAGGCGGCCCTGCCTCTGACTGTGTAGGGAATGGTTCACTGCTCAGAAAGATTAAGGCTCCAAACGCAGCCAGTGCCCTCAGGGCAGTAGGGCTGTGGGAGAGAGGCAGGGAGGCGAAGAGGGGATCCATGGGAGGGCTGGAGCAGGGGCTCCAGGAAGTCAGAGGTTCTGAAAGGGACCTGAGAGATCATCCAGTGCAAATATTGAGTTGTAAACACAGAAGAGTCCCAGAGAAGGGGAAAAACAAGAAACGAGATTTGTCTACCTCATCCAAGTGCTGGAAAGAAAAACAGTAGGGAAAAGACATAGGGTAGAGACTGATTCAGTATAGATAAGGAATAACTATATAATATTCGATATATGGAATAATCCATATAAAGAATATGATTCAGTATAGATAAAGAAAAATTCCAATGCCATAGAGAGTTGCCAGCTACTGGAAAGTTTTCTAAGCAGAGGTAGGGGGGTAACCTCTTTTTTAATATATCAAGCAAGGGGTTTGAGGAATAAGAATAGAGTGGAAGATAGGATGGACTTCCCAATATTCCTCAATTCCTTCTTCATAGATGCCATACTTACTGCCTGGAGAGATTACTAGATATGTTTACATCTCAAGGAGTCCTTTCTTTTTCTAAAATGTTATGACATATTTTGTACTAGTTCAAGAAATTAGGCACTAACTCTGATAACCAGGCACCTTTTCCCTCAGCATTCACCTGTGTCCATCTGCACTACTTAATCGGGGCCTTATAAATGGCTTTGGCATTTATTTCTAGTTCTGACATAGTAGGCTCCTCTCTTGTAATCAGTAATGTGCTGGTATATGCTTAGCAGCTGTTTCCAATATTTAATAATCATTAATGATGTTCACCCTCCCTCCCCCAAATAAAGCTCTGATAGTGTTTGCCAATTTCCAGGGGGTAAACATCCTCACCATCAAGCTACCAACTTGATGTTCCTAAATGTGGAATTAGGAAGCGAGGAATACATTCAACTTCTATGAGCCCCTAAAAGCTGACTTTGACCAACCAATGCCTGGAGTTGTATTCTCTGCGTCCTTCATGGAGATTTCAAAGCCAATGCATTGGACGAAAGAGCGAAGGAGGAGTGGATAAAAAGGATGTGGGCAGAAGGGAAAAATAAAGACAGAAAACTTCAAATATCCTTCAACAGGTGAATGGGTAAAACAACTGTGATGCCTCTACACATAGGCTACTATAAAATGAATGAACTACTGATAAATTCAACAGCTTGAGCGAATCTCAAAGGCATTATGGTAGGTGAAAGAAGCCAGACCCAAAAGGCTACACACTCTATGATTTCATTTATATGACTTTCTGAACAAGGCAAAACTATAAGGATGGACGGCAGAATAGTGGTTTCCAAGGCTGATTACTTTTGATTACAAAAGTAGATTTGGGGGATGATGGAGCTGTTCTTTACTCTGATGGTGGTTAATACTATACATTTGTCAAAACTCATGGAACTGTACACTAAAAATTTAAATCAGCTTTATTGTATGTGAATAATAATAATAATGCTAGAAGTAAAGGGGAGTAGAAAGGGAAGATAAACGAAATTAAGACAAAGAATTTAAATCTGCTTTGGAAGGAAATCATGCAGTATCTACATCATTTAAAGTGGGCAAATCGTTTGACCCAGCTATACCATCTCTCAGTATCTACCCTGGAGAAAACATGCACCAGTATAGTGGGAAGCATGGATGAAGGTACTCATTGCCAGATGATTTGTAAAGTAATAGTGAAAATATTAGAAGCAGGTTACATATCCACCGATGGGTTAATGCATAAGTAAGTTGTGGTTTATGGACAGTATAGAACCTTCTGCAGTAATTACAAATAATAAAACAACTAATTGTATTGATGTTAAAGGTTCTATAAGGAGATTTTGTTAAAAGATACAAAATGATCCATATAGTAGCATTTCACATGTGTATTAAACATAACCCACAAAAATAGTTTATATTTTCTAAGAGTACATTTATACACATATACATATGAAAAGAAAAATCAGGAAGGTGTTCTCATAATAATGGCAATTACCTATGATTTAAACTTAAAATAACCAAGGGACTGTATTCACGTATTGCTTTGATAGTTAAACATAAATTAACTGTCATTAGGAAATATGATATATACTTATGGGCCTTGTTTTGGATGTATTAAATACTTAAGAAGGTATCCAATTCAGATGACTGTGATAGATATTTCAGGAAAATGAGTCCTCAAGTAAAGATGTTTTGTCTGGCTGCCATGAGGGATAAAAGCATGAAAGAGAGGGAAGGGGGAAGAGAATGAAGAAGAAAAGATAACAGATAAGGAAATGAAGGAGACAAGGAAAAAAGGGAAAGTGAAAAGAACAGAGAAACTGGAGGAGTGAGGAAAGGATGGGAGAGGAGAGAAACGAAGGGCAGAAGTGAGTGGGTGATCAGATGGGGAGGACAGAGGGAGGATTTCGCTCTTTACTGCTATTTGGGGGTTCTCTTTTAAGGAATCCAGGGTTACCTGACACCCTTTCCCAGTTAATAGGCTTGATTTTGATATGCCTGTATCATATACCATATGAGCCATTAGTAGAGCATGCTTCTTGAAGATAATAGCTACCAGAGACACACAGCTCATGCTTTGGGATTAATGATCCAGCAGAAACTAGTGAAAACAGCACTATAGGTATTACTGGAGATTTTCTCCTTTTGAGGTTGTAGGAGAGCTTATAGTATGGATGGACTTGGTCCCAAGCATCCAATATGTTGCATTGGAGTTACCTGACAGTGTGTCCATTTCAGGATTAATCTTGGAGAGTCCATCATGTTAAGACTGTACATGAAACCTCCCCAGCTGTCTTCTTAGAACCATCAGTTGGGACAGAGTACCTATATAGTCCTATTGGACTCAGCACACATTTTATGAGCATCTACTGTGTGCTGGTCACTGTGATGGACGGTGTCAAAGGGAGAGAGATAAACAGAATAAGGTTATACCCTTAAAAGTGCAAGTTCATAGTCTTGTGGGAGTTGGGAATATATGTGTACAAGGTAGGGCAAAATAGCAAAGACTTCAGAGATGATTTGATGTTAACAAACTACAGTATCTCCTGGTTGATTACAAGGATTCCTATTCATTTGAACATGGGCTTTTATAATCCTACATATATATTAAAACAAAAATAGATACATTTTCTCTTTTAGATATGCATTATGAACTCCAACCACTGGGAATCAAGTAACTCAATGGGTCAGGTACCCAAAGTCTAGAGTCACACAGAATTGGGTTCAAATCCAAGCTCTGGTTTTACTTATGATTGACCTGTGGCAAACCACATTCCTATCTAAGCCTCGGTTTCTTAATTTATAAAAGGAGATGTGATTTAGTCTACAGGGTTATCATAAGCATTAAATAATGTTAACATACATTAAATAATGTACACACTACATATATAGTATATATATTGGATATCTCTATTGTATATATCATATATGTGTATATACACATATATCTATATCTATACCTTAATTAGAAGATCCTCCAAGCTAAGTGCTGCATTTACTCTCTGTGACTTGAAGCCATCCCTTGATGCTTTAGGATTCTGATAATGTCACTAACTTCTCTGTGCTTCAGTTTTCTAATTTTTAGAATGGGTGTGAGACTGATTCTGTGCATATTTTCTTATTTTGTCTCTGGGGCTGACCTGTGAAATAGACAGAGCTGTTAGAATCATTTCCATTCTACAAATAAGGACCCTGGTACACAGCAAGTTAGAGAGACTTTCCCAGGGTTGCCCAGCAAAAGAATGTGTGTTCCTCCAGCTCTTCTAATGGTCTCTTCCAAATCAGGGCCAGCTGGGGCTTAGTCCAATGAAATGAATTCAGATTCATTGGCAGAAGCATAAAGGCTTTCAAAGGTTCTCTGTAATCTCAACCAAATCCGTTTGTTAGTCACCCTAGAGGAATCATTTAACTCTGTTCACTCTTCATTTTGTTTTTTCTACTACAGTTTGCTTCTCCCTCATAGGTCCTCACACCCCAGGGTCCTGTTTTCCAGGGCTGGATCACTTAAGGCCAGCAAAGGGACGCTGGGTTCTCCTTCTACTCTCCTTTCATGTGATGAACTCTATATTTCTCTGAGCTAGGAAACAACTGCCATTTAGAGAGCATAGCCAGTGGGTGGGAGGAGAGGAGAACACCAAAGGTTTCCTTGGCTGGGCAACCTGGAGAATGACTCAGAATAAACAAAATAGGATCGACTCAGTGGAGTAAGGCTGCCAATTGCATTCACTGTCCACATTTAGCTTCCTAACCTGCTACAATCTGTATCTTTGTCTGGGTATCCAGAATAATCTCATTTGAGTTTGTATTTTTATAATCAGCTTCAACTTATGCCAGGTTCTGAAAATACAGAGGTAGAGGTGACCTGTCCTTGAGAAGCTCAACATCTAGTAGGAAAATCAGCCAAGAATAAACAGAATGAAGTCGTTGTAAAGAGATTTGATCTAGCTGGGTGAACGTGGACAAGGAACATAACCTCTCTGAACCTGATACTTTTGCATCTTGGCTTTACTAATACCTATCCCAACCCTTGTGGTTGAAATGGTTGAGTGAGATAATAATTAAAACCCATGGCTCAGAGTAGGTACTCAACAATTTGTGTCTGCTAATGAGTACTAATGAGATCATCATGAAGGAATGATTCAGGCTGAAGAGGCAGTGTGAATATTGGAACTCTGGAAGGCTTCCTGGAGGGAAGAAGCATTGTGCTGGGCTTTGCAGTTTGAATTAGACTAAGTGAGCTGATCCTTGCATGCTTTCTTCCTCCCTCCCTAACCCCACTCCATGCAGTTTTGAGCCAGCCTCCCTGCCTTGCTCACGTTGCTCCCACTCAAAGAATTTTTTTAATCCTTTTTCTTTACTGACTCGAATCCTCACAACCCCTGAAACCCAGCCGAGATTCTGCCCATCTGAGTGCCTCTGGCCTCATTTTGGATTCAGACTGAGAATCACCCAGGGTTCACACTCACTTGCTCTCCAATTCTTCCAAAAATTATAGTATGTACTATAAAGGACCTCAGGGATATTATTCAAACTTTTGATTGTACAGATGGAGAATCCAAGGCCCAGGGAGGTGAAACAGCTTGCCCAAATTCAAAAAACACTTTGGTGACAGAGCCAGGAATAGGATCCTGAGTTCATTCTGTTTCCTGCTTTTTTGAGTTTTGTCTCCTGATGCAGATAACTACATTTCTAGAATTCAATGCTATTGGTTTCTTATTCCTGTGCAGTGGATTATGACAGCACCCAGAACTGTGTGCAGGAAACATCAGGGCCCAGAAGCCCTGGCTGCTGGCCTGATTTCAGCACTTGTTGGAGGGGACCAGGAATGGGGCTTTTGGCTCTGCAGGAATTCTATGTGTACTTTCTCCCAGGCCCACATTCTCTGGTCTAAGAACAAGGACCTCTAAGGACAAGGACCTACACAAGACTTAGCTCAAATTACTTTCAATCAATATAGGACACAAATTCAGGCTACCCTGAGTTATCGAATGGATAACAGAGAGAGCTAGTACGGGAAAAACTTCCATGGAAAAGTGTCAGTCTCTGCGATGTGGCTGCTGGGGCCAGTTTGACCAGCAGGGAAGCGAGTCTTTCATGGTTTCTGCTGCAGCAGGAAATGGTGTGGAAATAAAATGCCTGGAAGTAGCAAGCTCAACACACACAGAGTCCATGTTCCCCTTCTCCTGACCTCACTGTCCAGGCTGTACCTAGGTGGCTGGCTTTTCTTCTCTTGGGAGCTAGCTTGTTAGGACTTTCAATTGGTGCCCCTGAGGCATTCTTCCCAGCGTTCTAGGGGATAGCAGTTTTGTTGTCTGCTCTTATGAATTCAGCTTTAGTCTCTCTTACTTTCATTTCAATATGGATGTGCAGGTCACCCACCTCAACCAGATATTTTGAAGTTCATCATCTTTAAAAAATAATTTCCTGCCGGGCGCAGTGGCTCACTCCTATAATCCCAGCGCTTTGGGAGGCCGAGGCAGGTGGATCATCTGAGGTCAGGAGTTTGAGACCAGCCTGGCCAAAATGGTGAAACCCCATCTCTACTAAAAATACAAAAATTAGCCGGGCATGGTGGCGGGCACCTGCTACTACATCCTAGCTCTCAGGAGGCTGAGGCACGAGAATTGCTTGAACCCGGGAGGCGGAGGTTGCATTGAGCCAAGATCGCGCCACTGCACTCCAGCCTGAGTGACAGGCTGTTTTTTTTTTTTTTTTTGTCTCAAAAAAACCAAAAAAGTAAATAAATAAATAATAATTTCTCCCACTTTTTTGTGAAAAGCATTTCAAAATATTTTCAAAAAATTTTTAAAAGGGGAAACAAGATTATGCCTATAATCCTACCACTTTGGGAGGCTGGGGCAGGAAGATTGCTTGAGGCTAGGAGCTTGGGACCAGCTTGAGCAACATGGCAAGACCCCTGTCTCTATGTATTAAAAAGAAAAAAAAATGGTAGTTTCAGTATCCTCTCAAATTCTCTCCAGAAATAAATTTGCACGTGTTTGTGTGTTTAAAAAAAAATGAAAAAAGACAAAGAAGTGGCAAATCAACAGTTATGTACTCTTTACCTAGATTTGCCAATCATGAATGTTTTGCCACATCTACTTTCTTCCTCCTTCTCTCTTTTTTCCTAGCTCTCCTTATTTTTTCTCTCTCTTTTTTCCAAAAAGAATGAAAAATATGTTGTAGACATCATGTTACTTCCCCTGTAATATTTTGGCATGTTTCTTCTAAGAATGAGGACATATATAAACAATAAGTAAATGAATGTATTATATAAATAATACATTCTCCTATAAATAATAAATAAATACATTTCACAATAAATACATAATCAGGCCATTAAAATCTCTAAGAAAATTAATCAATGATAGTTGCATAATATAATCTAATACCCAGTATCCTCAATATTCTCTAAAATTTTTTCATCATTGTTTTTCCTTTCCAGGGTGAAATCAAAGGCCACATATTGATTTTTTTTTTTTTGGTCCTTCTGGTCTCTTCTGCCCAGTGTCCCTCTTTCCATCATTCTCTCTCACCATTTACACTCATCGTTTCCCCCTGTACTCATCTTGAGGGTTTCTGAATTGTTCTTATACCTCATGTTTCCATTCACCTATGAGCTATTCCCTTTGCCTAAAATACTTCCTTTTCTTCTATGCTCCTGGCTTAACCATTTCATCAGTTATCAGCTCAAATCTTACTTCTTCCAGGAAGCTTTTAGTGAAATACCTAGATTAGGTCAGATACTACAACTGTGTACTCCCATTTCCCTCTTTATTTTGCAACCAAAAACCTTATCATATTGTAATATAATTTATTTCTTATAATTATTTATTTCTTATACTTACTCTATTTTCCTGCTAGACTGTAAGTACTCTGAGGCAGAAACTGTGTCCATTTTCCCCCATCCATTTCAACACCAGTCTCTAGTTCAGATTCTGGTGAATAGTGAGGCATATCATATTTATTGGATGAATAAATCTTTTTGGAAAGTGAATGGGAATGTCAATAATATTTCTTCTTTACATTTTTCTCCCCAAATCTAGATTTGTCAACTCAACTGCACACTGGACATGTCCGCTTGGATGTCTTACTTCTCAAGTATATTGTGTATAAACCTGTACTTCTGACTACCCCTTTCATTGTCAGTTAAATCTGTCTTATCTACTGCCCTCCCTATCTCAGCTAATGGAAGATTCATATTTCCAGTTGCTCAAGTCAAAACCTTTTACTCTTCCTTGATTCCCCTTGTTTCCTCACACTTCAAGTCTAATCCATTAGGAAACCCTAATTTTACTCCTTAAAAATACAAACCCAGAATCTGGCCACCTCTTCTCTCCTCTCTTGCTACTCCCCTAATTCAAGCTACTGTCCTTAATCTCCTGGATTACCAGAATAGCCTCCTGTATAATCTTACTGCTTTTAAGCGTGCCTGTCCACGTTCAACTCTCAACACGGGGTGATCTTTGTAAACATAAGTCAGGTTGTCTGACTCATTTAACTAAATGCCCTGCAAATGGCTTCCATTTATTTCATAGCAAAACCCAACATCTTTACAGTAGTCAGTGAGGTCCAGCATGGTCAGTCCCTTGTTTTCTCCCCAACATTACCCGCTATTACTCCTTGCCCCTCCCTCACCACTCTCTAGTTATCAGGTTTCCTGGTGTCTCCTCTGCTTGGAAAGCTCTTTCACCAAGTGCCAACCTAGCTCACTCCCCTACCTCCTCCAGGTGTTTACTCAAATGTCATCTTCTCCATGAGTCCAACCCTGACTATCCCACTTAACATTGCATTCCCTTCTGCCAGTACTTCCAGTCTCCCCTTCTCTGTTCCACTTTTTCTTTTTTCCATAATACGTAACACTTTTTAATTTACTTGTTTAAAATATTTATTATTTATCTCTTTCTGCTAGAAGTCTCATAAAGAAGGACCTGTGAATTTTTTTTTATTAATGTATCTCAAGTGTTTAGAATAGTGTCTAGTTCCTAATGAATATTTGCTGAAGAATGTGTGCCTGAATGAATGAATGAAATATTGAATGAATGAATGAATCATGTGAAAGCAAGTTCAAAATTTATATAAACCTCCTGGCTCCTCTGCTTTTTGGCTCTGTTACCTTGTTCAAGTCATGTCACCTGTGGAGGTTCAGTTTCTACATTTTAAAAACAGATAAATAAAAATCTCTACCACATAAGGCAGCCTTGAGGATTAAACTAAGGTATTTGAAATGTGCTTTGTAAACTAGAAGGCACTGAATAAATGTTAGTTTTAAACAGGGGTGGGGGTAGGAAGACCAAAAAGAAAAGAAACCATGGAGTAAGAGTGACCAGCAGGGGATTATATGGGCAAACTCTCACAATCCCAATGCAAGCACTGGAGGGAATAAGACACAGTAAAAATGAAGTGGAAGAAATTCAGGCTAAAAACACTTCACGTCCCTGAGGAAGGGGAGGGTGAATCATTCCACGAGCATTTACAAGGAATCTAGAAATTGCAAGTTCCTGCACTCAACGGGAGTTGAACTGGTATTGATAATTTCACAGTGTTTGAAAAGGACAAAGCCCATGTGTAAAAATAATAGTGATTTAGGGTCATGAGAAGTTCAGATGTCTGCTTTGGGAGTGCCAAGGAGGGAGGGATAATGATTATAAGGTATTACTCACCACTTATGAGCACCTCTGTGTGGCCAACACTTTACACATTATCTCTAACAGGAAGCCTGTGGAGGAAGGATCTTTAGAGCCCTCACTGTGCAGGAAACAAACCCAGAGAATTTATGTGACCACTGCAAAGTCACACAGCTGTGAGAAGCATATTTAGGACTTGAACCTTATTCTGACTTGATTTCCAGGTGTATCCTTTTTCAACTACATTTTAGTGCCTTTCATGTTTTGTGTTGAGTTGGAAGTCTTAGGGAAGTTTCCATACAAGAAGTATTTTGGTCTTGTTGGATGGGAGTTGGACAGGTGATTTCTTTTCTTATGTGCTCAACAAATATTTATTGAGCACCTACTAAGTGCTGGGCACAGTTAATAGGTTTTTGTGATGAGCCGTGCAATAAATAAGACAATGTCCTTGTCCTACTGGAGTTTGTATTGTAGTCGAATAAAGGGCCGAGGCCTGGAGAATAGGTGGAGAAAAGAAATAAGGTGTAAACAAATGAATAAGATAAATCTAGGCAGTGACACGATTGCCATAGATAAATAAAAATCAGGTAATAGGAAGATGTCTAGTTTAGCTTTGGTGGCCAAAGACTGCTTCTCTAAGCTTGTTGCCTTGAGCTTTCATGGTGCAAGGCAGCATGGTAGAGATCTTAGCGCTGTGTGTTCCCTGCAAGCTATGAAGGTATGAGAGTCAACCCATCCCTGCCTCTTTGAGGGCTGAAAAAGACCACTTTGGATAGAGATCAATTAATGGAGGATGGTAGAGGGTGAAGTTGGAGAAATAAACAGAGGCCAGTCCGTATCAGCTATGGTAGAGTTTCGATTTTATACAAAAACACTTTTATCTATCTATCTATCTATCTATCTATCTATCTATCTATCTATCTATCTATCTATTTATTGAGACAGAGTCTCACTCTGTCGCCCAGGCTGGAGTGCAGTGATGTGATCTTGGCTCACTGCAACCACCACCTTCCGGGTACAAGTGATTCTCTGGCCTCAGCCTCCTGAGTAGCTGGGATTACAGGCATGTGCCACCACGCCTAGCTAAGTTTTGTATTTTTAGTAGAGATGGGGTTTCGCCATGTTGGCTGGGCTGGTCTTAAACTCCTAACCCCAGGTGATCCACCTGTCTCGGCCTCCCAAAGTGCTGGGATTACAGATATGAGCCACTGCACCTGACCTAACTGAAACACTTTCTTTACTCAATTTCTCTCTCGTTCATCTTTGTTCACTAGGATAGCCTTCTCAGTGTCATTGCTGGATTCTTCTCTTTTCAGTCTCTAGATATTGGTGCACCCAGAGTCTCAGTCCTTCGGCCTCTTCTCTATCTATCTGTGCCTATGGTTTCATGCTCTCATCTGTTCTCCTGGTGTTATAGAATTTACCCTGACAATTCACATTTATGTTGTCAATCTAGACAAATCCTCTAAACTCCAGACCTATGTCCCCAGCTATTTAATAGCCTTATTTATTTATTTATTTATTTATTTATTTATTTATTTATTGAGATGGAGTTTCACTCTTGTTGCCCAGGGTAGAGTGCAATGGTGTGGTCTTGGCTCCCTGCAACCTCTGCCTCCTGGGTTCAAGCGATTCTCCTGCCTCAGCCTTCCAAGTAGCTGGGATTACAGGCACCCGCCACCACACCTGGCTAATTTTTGTTTTTTTTAGTAGAGATGGGGTTTCACCATGTTGGCCAGGCTGGTCTTGAACACCTGACCTCAGGTGATCCGCCCACCTCAGGCTCCCAGAGTTCTGGGATTTCAGGTGTGAGCCACCGTGCCTGGTCTTTAATAGGCTTCTTAAATGTATCATGTCAAAGTCTGGATTCTTGGTTGCTTTTTCAAATGTGTGGCTCTACCAATGTTTCCATTTTCATTGAATGGCATCACTGTTGATCCAGATATTTGAATCCCAAGCAAGTAAGTATCCATGATTCTTCTTTTTCTTTCATATTCCACATCAGCAAGTCCTATAAACTCTCCTTAGAAACATTATATTTTATGCCATAAATGTGTACAATTATTATGTGTCAATTAAAAGAAAAGAAAATGCATTCCTGGTGTATCTACTTACTGCCCTCATCCAGGCCACTCCCTGCTTTTATCTGGATCACTGCAGTGACCGCCTAGTGGCATCTCCGCTTCTGATTTTGTCCTCCCCTGCCTTCAGGTCTTCTCTACACAGCAGCCGGAGTGATCCTTCTGAAACCCAACTCAGATTCTGGCACATTATAAAAACCTCTATAGTGGCTTTTCATCTCACTTAATACAAAATCTGAAGTCCTCCTATTCAGCCTTAAAAAAGAAAGAAATTCTTTCATTTGCAACAACATGGATGGAACCGGAGAACATTATGCTAAGTGAAATAAGCCAGGCACAGAAAGACAAATATTGCATATTTCACTTACATGTGGAAGCTAGAACAATCGAATTCATAGAAGCAGAGGGTAGAATGGTGGTTACCAGAGACTGAGGGTAGGAGAAATGAGATGATGGTCAAAAGGATGCAAAGCTTCAGTTACATCTGAGACTTAAATTTTGAGATCTGTTTCACAGTGTGGTGAAGTTAATTAATGATTGAGTACTGTACATTTTAATACTGCTAAAGAAATAAATTAAAAATGTTTTCATCACAAAAAAATGTTAAATATTCGAGGTTTTGGGTATATTCATTAGCTTGATTTGAGCATTCCACATTGTATTAAATAATCGTAACGTCACTTTCTGTCCTACAATTTGTACCCTATAATTTGTCAATATATAATGATAACAGTAAAGTCTTCATCGTGGTGTACCAGGACCTCCTTCATGTGGCCTCTGCTCCCTCTCTCTACCTCTCCAAATTGGCCTTCTTAGTAGTTTTCAAACATTCTGCGTTCACTCACAGCATGGGACATTTTACAGTTGCTCCTCCCTTTGCCTGGAACAGATTGTGCCTCTAAGTCTCCCTCTGGTTGTATTTCTCCTCCTTGAGGAACATGGGACCTCCCTCCCTTGTGACTGTCTGTCCCCTGAACTTGCTCTATTTTTTCCATGAGACTTACCATGTCTGACATTTCATTATATCTGCATTGGCATGTTTATCATCTGGTTCTCTCACTAGAAGGTAAATTCAAAAAGAACAACAATTTGCCTGTCCTATTCACTGTCTTATCACTTGGCATTTAGAAGAGTACCATAAACACAGCTTAAAAACCACTGGTTGAAAAGAAGGGAACAACAGACTCTGGGACCCACTTGAAGGAGGAGAGAGGGAGCGAGGAGGTTGAGGATTGAAAAACTACCTATGGGGTACTATGCTTATTACCTGGGTGGCAAAATGAGCTGTACACCAAAACCTCGTGACACACAATTTGCCTATATGAACAAACCTGCCCATGTACGCTTGAACCTAACATAAATGTTTTAAAAAAAGGTACTGATTGAAAGAATGAATAGCAAGTCATGGGGTCAACTGAGTTTGAGAGAGACATGGTTATTCTTTCCTCGATGATTTGAGGACTGATTTTTTGTTTGTTTGTTTGTTTGTTTGTTTTGGTAATTGAGATGGAGTCTTGCTCTGTCACCCAGGCTGGAGTGCAATGGCGTGATCTCAGCTCACTGCAACCTCTGCCTCCTGGGTTCAAGTGATTCTCTCACCTTAGCCTCCTGAGTAGCTAGGTGCCCGACACCACACCCAGCTAATTTTTTTTTTTATTTTTAGTAGAGACAAGAGTTTTGCCATGTTGACCAGGCTGGTCTTGAACTTCTGATCTCAAGTGATCCCCCAGCCTTGGCCTCCCAAAGTGCCAGGATTACAGGTATGAGCCACCATGCCTGGCCTTGAGGACTGATTATATGCAAACCCTGAGCTAGGTGTTAAGAATATCCCAAACAAGCTACCACTTTTCCATTCTCGTGCAGGACACATCCTGTAGCACTGACAGAGAGAAGTAAGTGGGCAATTTTAGTTCGGGGTGATACATACTTTAAGGAAGTGCAAGGTGATATTGGTGAGTAAGATGAACCTGAGAGAGTAGGGAATGAGTTTTTCCAGTAGTGAAAACTGCATGTGGGTAAGATAACTTGGAAGTTAGAGTGTGTTTGTACATTTGGATGGAGCATAACAACAAAAGAAAAACAGGAGACAGGACAGACAGTGTCCTATTCAGTGTTTAGATATCAGGGCTGGCTGGGTGCGGTGGCTCACGCCTGTAATCCCAGCACTTGGGGAGGCCAAGGCAGGCAGATTACTAGGTCAGGAATTCAAGACCAGCCTGGCCAAGATGGTGAAATCCCGTCTCTACTAAAAATACAAAAAAAATTAGCCTGGCATGGTGGCGGGTGCCTGTAATCCCATTTACTCAGGAGGCTGAGGCAGAGAATTGTTTGAACCCGGGAGGCGGAGGTTGCAGTGAGCTGAGATGGAGCCACTGCACTCCAGCCTGGGTGATGAGCGACACTCTGTCTCAAAACAAAAAAACATCAGGGCTACATTTTCAATAGTGGCTAGTTTCTGAAAGTTCATATAAATGTAAGAAAAAGGTGAATGTGGGTGATGCTAATTGTGAATAGTTTCACAGAGCAATATAAAGTGACTGGGATGAGGACAGGGCAATGAGGAAGGAGCTGGGAATTTGAACATAAGGCATCTTGAATATAAATCGAGAGAGTTTCCTATTTGTCTCATAGACAGTGGGGTTCATTGACTGCTTCCCAAAAAGGTGGAGGAGGTGGCATGAGCCAACTCACACTTTGAGAAGATAATTCTGGCTGTCATATTTAAGAAGAATTGTAAGGTTGTCAAGGTAGAATCAGGGGGACCAGGTGGGTGGCATTTGTTCTTCTGTGTGTCTTGGCGAAGAACCTTGTTTTATTTAATCCCACTAAGACTTCTTTCCTGCAGATCTCTGGTCTTACCCGACATGCTACTGATTGGAAAGGGGAAAAAATGAACCCACTAAGGTGTTAAGGATTAATTCCAAAATTCCTCACTTCTGAGGATTTAATTGCCACCTCTGCCTACGCATGAAACAGGGTGAAGTAATAAATAGAAACAGGAAGTCACTGAAGACTTAGGCAATTTGGAAACAGAGTCCTAAGGTAACTTGCCAGATTCCAGGGGCTCTGTATTGGCAGTGAAACAATCTGATTGCGGGAAGTGCCTAAGAACATGAGTTTCTTAGTGCTGGAAAGGAGAGAAGATCCATTCATAAGCCCGTTTGTATTGCCTTCATTTATTTAAGAATTGTTGGCCGGGCGCTGTGGCTCACGCCTGTAATCCCAGCACTTTGGGAGGCCGAGGCGGGCGGATCACAAGGTCAGGAGATCGAGACCATCCTGGCTAACACGGTGAAACCCCGTCTCTACTAAAAATACAAAAAAATTAGCCAGACGTGGTAGTGGGCACCTGTAGTCCCAGCTACTTGGGAGGCTGAGGCAGGAGAATGGCGTGAACCCAGGAGGCGGAGTTTGCAGTGAGCAGAGATCGCACCACTGCACTCCAGCCTGGGCGACAAAGCGAGACTCTGTCTCAAAAAAAAAAAAAAAAAAAAAAAAGAATTGTTTACTGGGTATTTTATAAGTTCCAGGCAATGTACTTAGAGATGAGAAAAATAGATACAGTCCCTGTCCAATGGAGGTAACTGTCTAGTGGAGAGTGAGGACAATAAAATCATTGCCAGCTGGCCTGGGGGAGCCTGAGGCTGAGCTAGTTGGGAGAGTCAACTAAAGTGCCCTGTAGAAGTGACCTCCAAGCCCAGGCCCAGTACTTTGAGAAGGAGTTTATCAGGGGAGAATGGGGGAGAAGATTGTCCAAAGAAGAGGAGACCTCAGAGGCACTTCAGTCCTGAAGTTCTTGGTTTCACTCTGTAGAAGAGTCACCTGGGAGCTTGTTAAAAAGGCAGAGGCAAAGACTCTGGCCTGCTAAGTTTTGACTAATCTCTCGTTTCTGTATTTTAACATGGATTCTCACCAAATTGTGATGCGGGTGGCTGACCTCACGTCAAAATAACACAGATGGCATCTGTGTCTGATAGTTTTCAAATTGTGCCCCTGGCCTGAAGGGCAGGATGGTGAGGGGAGAGTCAGGGGTCTGCGTTCATCGCTATCCCCTGAGAAGTTCTACTTATATGTAGTTTACTTATTTTGCAAAATATTTATTGGAATGTTATTATTTGTACTTCCTCCGGCAAAATGTACATTCTTTGTCTATAGAGTTTTCTCCTGTAGTCCTAGCACCTAACATAGAGACAAAACCTTACTCCCAAAATTAGTTGAAAGAATATATTAATAAATCAAATGTTTCAAGTCTAAGTAAAAGCATGAAGGCCACTAATCCACTCCAACTGTTCATTTTACAGATGAGTAAAGTGAAACTCAAAGAGGAATCATTACTTGTCTAAGGTTGTCCAGGTTGTTATGTTAGAGTAGAGGGCTGACTTATATGCCTGTGCCCACAGTCCAGTGTTTGTTCCTCCAAGTCCAATTTCAGCTTTTTTTTTTTTTTTTTTTTTGAGTTGGAGTCTCGCTCTGTCACCCAGGCTGGAGTGCAATGGCATGATCTCGGCTCACTGCAACCTCTGCCTCCCGGGTTCAAGCAATTCTCCTGCCTCAGCCTCCTGAGTAGCTGGGATTACAGGCATCCACCACCGCGCCCGGCAATTTATTTTTATTTTATTTTTTTATTTTTAGTAGAGACAGGGCTTCACCATATTGGCCAGGCTGGTCTTGAACTCCTGACCTCATGACCCGCCCGCCTCGACCTCCCAAAGTGCTGGGATTACAGGTGTGAGCCACCGCGCCTGGCCTCAGCTTTTAAGGAGGACAAAATATTGGCAGAATCTTGCTTAAAATACAGGAAGTAAGTAAGAAATATGATGCAGTTTAAGAACAATTTATATAAATTCATAGACTTGGGTCTCATAATGGGCAATTAGCTTGCTAGAGAGATTTTTGGGTTGAAAGCAATCCTAAACCACATGTGGCATGCACATAGTGTCATAGAGATAGTTAAACCCGGAATCTTTGAGCTTAAGTTTCTTCATCTGTAAAATGAAAATAACCACAACCAGCTCCTGGGGTGCTTGTGAGTATTCATGCAAAGTGCCTGGCCCATATATAGTTGACCAACATACATTTATGCTTAAGCATATGTACCCGGAAAATCAAACATGTCCAATATTGTAAAAGAGATATTATTTATCTCTGAGTCTACTAGGGGTTTAGGCAGTAAATACATGCAGGAGGGAGGGAGAGAGAGAGAGAGAGGAAGAGAAGAAGGAGGAGGGAAAGAGAGGCGAGGAAAAGAGAAGAGAGGAGAAAGAAAGAAGAAAGAATAAACGAAGGAAGAAAGGAAAGGAAGGGAGGGAGGAAGGAAGGAAGGAAAGAAGGAAGAGAGAAAGAAAGAAAAGAAAGTAGAAAAGAGTATTATTCTTCCTTTTGGAAAATACCATGTGAGCTTGCAGAAATACCACGTTGGTTGTTGGCAGTGGCCTTTTGTAGGCTATTGCCATCAAATACCTTATGCTCAAGAGGAATGGTAGTCATGTGTGGAGACAGGAAAAAAGAGGAACTGAGGACAATTTGATGGAGAGAAACCATTTTTATGTGCTTTGGAAGAAAGAACAGAATTAAAATTCAGACTTTGGGAGTAGCTCTGGGATAAAACAGGAAACTGGCATTTCTCAGTGTGTTTTGGAGTACTGTCCAATGAACTCAGAGCTGGAAAAACCTAAACAGGCAATCCCTACCATAAGTTATCCATCATCTTGGTGCCTATATGGGACTAACATGTGTCTGTGGCCACAGCGATGACTAATTTTTGACTGAAAGATGTCCAATTCACCTAGGTATCCAGAAGACAATTGCTAATGTTCCATAAACATTTTTACTTTTCTGAAACTCATAGCATTTCCTAGTTAAGAATGGACAACAATAACGCTTTCCAACCACCCGTTGGATTCTGAATCCCTCCTATAAGCATCTCTGTCAATCAGTTATGCAAACTCTGCTTCAGTATCTTCAAAGACAGGCACCCCTCTACTTCCCAGAGCAGCTTGTTCCATTCTGATCAGTTCTGACAGTCAGCAAGGACTTGCTTTATTGAGTGTAATTTTGAGAGTATTGAGAATATTTTAAATTAAATTATTATTTAATAATTGCTGTCAATTATTCCTAGTCATTTCAGTTTTAACCCTCAGAGCTGTGTTTTCATGACATTTACAACTCATCAGATCCTACCAACTAGGAAAATTGATGATGCCTTCCTTCTTCTTATGATGCTTTGGTAATCAAATCAAATATCTCTAAGAATACTTTAGACGACCCCCACCCCATTGTTTTTCTATTATCATTGAGTATACTAAATCAATTACCTTGTTTAATCATCAAATTATAAATTCCACTTAAAACGTTAATTTTCTTAACTCAGATGTGACCTGGGCAGTTTTTATCAGCTTCTTCCAGCGTAGATTTAAATAACGAGTGTGTTATTCAGGTTTAAAAGTTCTCCAAGAAGGCTATGTGGGTAAACATCCCTGTTTTCTAATTTGCTTCAGCTGAGTAGTTTTCAAACATTTTGGGAGCAAGAGAATACTTTTGTCAAAGCAAAACAAACAAACAAATCACTGATCTATCTATCTCTGTCAGTGGTAGTACAATATATAAATCTTTGATCATCCTTGATTATTTCCTTAAAATATATTATTTGATGTCTGGGTCAATGAGATAAAACAGGATTAGCAAACTGTCTATAAAGGGTCAGACAGTAAATATTTTAGACTTTGTGGGCCTTCTGGTCTCTGTTGCAGCTGCTCAACTCTGCCACTGTAGTGCAAGAGCACCCACAGAATATACAGCACATAAATGGAGGAGTGTGATAGTTTTCCAATAAAAATTTATTTGCAAAATGGACAGTGGGACACATTTGGTCTTTGGCCTATAGTTTGGTGCCTTGTGAGTTAATCCTTAAAGATTTTAGTGCATTTTGGTTAAGTAAAGTATGGTTTTAGATCCCTGGTTCTTGATATAGAGCCAGATATTCAGTGAATATAACTGAATGAATTAGCAGAAGAGAAGGATATTTCTTAACTAGTTTCAAACAGGGACAGGGAATATTTCTTTATAGGAAAATGACTAAGGGTCTAGCTGAGAATGTGGATTTGGGGGAGGCTCTGAGATGGCAGCATGCTCACTAATCCTAAAATATCTTAACAAGAAAGAAATTGGCAATTAAATGCAGTATTACTTGCCGGGAAAAAAGTTGTTCATTTTTCTTCTTAAACAAAGCACTGTGGCAGAGGGAATTAAGCAGAGACCTGGTGTGCGAGACCTGGATTTTAAAACCAGCTCTTGTGCTGACAGCTGTGTGTCTTTGAGAGAATTATCTCCTCTTTCAGAGTCCCTGTGTTTCCATCTAAAATTTAAGTCAGTGACAAAGACACTCTTTGTGGTCCCTTGGAGCTTTCAAATTTTGTGATCTGAAAGGAAAAAATTCATATAATTGCAATGTTTAATGGGATTTATGATAATTGGAAAATAATTGCCATTCCAAACTTTTATTAATCTATATTTAGTTATGAGTCGCTCTTTCACAATAGATGCTTTGGAAATAAGCAAAGAGACAAATTGAGTCAACAGAATTTTCAATATTTTATTTATATGCAGTTTGTGTAATCCCTGGAGCCCATGGGCATATTAAGATCATTTAAACTATCCATTAAAAGTTATGTGTTATACAACAAACTCTCCTTTTAGAACGCCTTGCCGCAGGATACGTAGCTAACATTTATTGAGTAGCTACTACTGCCAGATTAATTGCATTCATTATGTTTAATCCTTCCAGCAATGCTGCAAGGTAAATACTAATATTCCTTTTGCACTGATAAAGAAGCTCAGAGATGCTGAGGGATTTGCAGATGTTCACTCGGCTAATGAGTGGCTTTATTGTAGGATTCAGAGCCAGACCAGGCCGACCGTAAAGTCTGTGCTCATCCCACAGTATCAGAATGTCTTTGTGAAAGGACCTGTTTTGCATCCTCTTTCCAGGTGCTCAATGGAATGAGCATTTGCTTTCCTTGATATCCTCTATTTTGTTTTTCTGTAGAGCATTGTGGAGACTCCTGGCAGGGTGGGTTGCCAGAGTCAATGACTTCCCCCATTCACATGGGGACACCAGAATGGGCAGAGGAGTAGAGAATAGGAAGAAACAAGGAAGATCCCAGACTAAGAATAACAGAACCTGAATTTCTGTCCCAGATCTGGTGCAGATTTTCCAAGTGGCCTTCACTGCTCTGGGCCTTGGTTTCCTCCACTTGTGATGGGGATGATCATACTCCCTATCTTCCAGGTTGTTGGGAGAATAATGTGTGGGGTGACAGAGATTTGTAAAGGACCAAGTGCATGACAGACCCCACAAAGTCAAGAAAATGGAATAAGACAGTGGGTCAGAGTAGAGAACACGGAATCTAAGGTGAGGAACTTATTTCCTAGTCCCTCTTGCCACCAATGGTGCTGTGGCCTTAGCAAGTCCCTCTCTCTCTATGGGCCTCAGTTTTCTCATCTGTGAAATGACAGTGATGGCCGTGAGTGCCTAAAGTCCCTCTATCCTGATATTTTGGATTCTGTATGGCAAGGCAGTGAGCAGTTCCAGTGCATGGAGTGTATCTCAGGAAACACTGGGCCCTTTGGGGTAAAATAAAACAAGTGCATTCTAAGCTTCCTTTCCCACGATTAACTCTCATAGCCACCATTATGGCCCCCTGCCCTCGATAACAGTGCTTCAGGAAGAATCCCACTTGCTTTTCTGGAAATGGCCCATTTATATAAAAGTTGGGCCATTCCAAGTGTGCTTGTTGTGTTTCTATTTTTCCCTCTCAAGTTTATGTGCAATGAGAAACACACATAGTCCCCTTCCAGTGTGCTCCCCTTAGGTTATTTACCCCCATTGCTCTGAATTCAGCCCCGTAAGAGCCTTCAGAACTGCTATGAGGCTGGCATAAGAGTAAAACTATCATTACTTAAGTGAACACCTTTGGCAAATAGACCTCTGTACACATTATAAGCAAGGAGTACTTTATTCTCTAAAGTTAAGTTGATATCTTTACTTGTAATTAAAATAATACTATTCATAATTACATTTTCAGAGATAGTTCTTTTTTTCTTCTTCTTTTTTTCTACTTTTCCTCACTTCACCCCTCTGGAGCCAAAATGCCCTGAGAGATCTGCCTGGATGTGGCTGTTTCTCAGCTGCCTTGCCAGTTGTGTTATGGGACATGAAGGCAGGCAGGGGATTTGGAGCTGACACCCTCTCGTTAAGATGCATCATTTCTGCTTCACATATGCCCTTGGGTTCACCTTTCTCTGAGCTGGCTGAGGATCGTGTGGGGAGCGAGTGGGAACAGCAGGCAAGAGAAATGCCTTCTTTCCTCTCTCAGCTCAATGATTTCATCTCACTCTTCTCCTCTGTGATTCCCCTTGTTCACCTCTGGGGATAATTTGCTGCTAACAATAGCAGAAGCTGTCCCAGAGTTTTCCTCTATCACCCCGATACTCAGAAGCTTCTCTTTATCCATTTCCAAATGATTAGTTAATGCGACCAATGGGATAAGCCACCCAGGAATAAACAAATGCAAACATCCCATCACTGTAATCAATCATGCTTTCAACAAACCTTTATTCGGGGTTCAATGTCATTATAGTATTCCAAAATGTATTCTTGGATTAAGCCAGACCGCCAGAAAGCTATATATTTAGACTGTAATATGTTTGCCCCTCATGGAGTTGCTTTATTGTTGCTTATTGTATGAATCGTGTATGAATAGTGCTTCATTATATGCATTAGGCTACCTTGAGCCCATCAAACTCACAGGAATATTGTTCAGAACATCTCCCACCAGCATCAACTCTATTGATCTCTTTATGAGAAACCATGGAAAATGTTTGTGTCTTATTGTAGCATTGAGGGAATCTATTTCTCAAATAACTTTGAACAACTACTCTGCTGTCTTTCTGACTGTATGGCTTTTGGCTATAATTCCCCTTTTTCCTTCAGCTGCAAGGAAGCTCAGAGACACTTGCAGTTCACTTGAATCAAGTGTTCAGGACTTTATAGAATTAACTTTACAAACTTCATTTTCTATTTTAACCCAAACTTCATTTTCTATTCTCCCTTTTATTTTTCCTATTTTATGTGTATTTTACGGCCTATAAGATGTGTATGTTTTTGAAAGTAACCTCCAACTACATCTGAGATCAGATTCATGTAAGCGAACAAGTCATAAAACATGCATGAGAAGAGTAAAAGAACCCTCCACTTATCAGAGGTCATTAGGAGCTTGATTATCTAAAAACAATGGAGGAAACACATTTATCCAGTGCGCCCTATAGACCCAAGACTGCTGGAAGCATTCCCCTTACAACTCTAAGATGCAGAAATTGTCACTGCCCCACCCCATTTTACAGATGAGGAAACTAAAATAGAACCTTTTAAGCAATAGAAACATCATAAGTGTGTCCTATACAAATAATTGTAAAACAAATGCTAATGCCAACAGCAGCTAACAATTGTTCATACCGTGTTGCACTGTATAAAGAAGTTGTCTAACTATTATTTCATCTAACTCTTCCAGCACAATTTGAGGAGGTGCATGCTTTTAGTCCTCATCACATATACGAAAAAATAGACTTGGATGGAGTTTATAAACTATTGCTTCATTTCTTAAATTTAGCCTTGCTACTTTCAGCTTACTTCACAAGAATCAGATCCCACCTTTCCCTAAAGTTTTATCTACTGGAATTTTAAAAGAGCATGATTGTGTCCTTTCCCTTCTCACTCCACCATCTATCCACTATCACCCAGCTTTCCAATGTAGCTGCTCATGTAATCATAACAACAATGATGATATTGATAATAACTTTAATATTTTATTGATGCTTTCATGGTTTAATATAATCCTAAGCCTGTCCTTGTAAGGTAGCTACCATTTACATTTTACAAAGTATAAACCAATAGGTGGTAGAACCATAACTCACAGTTTTACCCCTAGAGCCTAGGTTGAGGATACAGGGTTAAAGATGATCCAATTCAATCAGTTTATTTCACAGGTAGAGACACGGATATCCAGGAATGAATACACCGTCCCAAGAGCACAGAGCCAGTTCTCCTTCCTGTCTCGTGTTTTTTTTTTTTTTTTTTTTTTTTTTTTTGAGCTGGAGTCTTGCTCCGTTGCCCGGGCTGGCATGCAGTGGCTCGATCCCGGCTCACTGCAGCCTCCGCCTCCCGGGTTCAAGAGATTCTCCTGCCTCAGTCTCCTGAGTAGCTGGGACTACAGGCGCATGCTGCCACGCCTGGCTAATTTTTTGTATGTGTAGTAGAGATGGGGTTTCACTGTATTTCCCAGGCTGGTCTTGAACTCCTGAGCTCAGGCGATCTGCCCGCCTTGACCTCCCAAAGTACTGGGATTACAAGCGTGAGCCACTGCACCTGGCCTCTCCTTTCTGTCTCGTAATCATGTCTCCTTCTGTGCACTGTGTCATTGAGTGTACCTATGTGTATTTTTTTGCACGTATGAAGGAAAGTAGAGGACTAATAAAGAGGATGAAGGAGGATTCCTATACAGGCAATACTTTGCTCTAAAAAGAAAGATTCGGACTTATAATTTTCTCTCCAGCCTCATCTTAAATCCAGCACCCCTGGCTGCAGTCTTCATCCATCCCCAGGCCCTGTCATCATCTGCCCTCCCACCTCTGGCTCCCCCAGTGGGATGGCCCTTGCTGCAGACACCCCACGACTTCCATCCAGGATCTTACTTTAATCTCAGTCTAATTGGTTTGCCCACCCTGCTGGGATGCTTAATTGGGCATAAGCATATTCCACAGATCCTATGCCATTGTGAGTTCTGCCTTCTCCTCCAAGGGGAATTTGCTTGTTCTGTGCACTCAGAAGGAAAGATATATTTTATGTTGTGCTCAATTCCCTGAGAACTGACATGAAATTGTTCCCGGGCCAGCAGAGCAGTTAGACAACATGGCAAGCAAGGCTTGCTTTCTTTTATGTATTTTCTTTTACATTATTTTTTTTAAGGTGGCATGTTGCAATGGAAAGGGTATTGCACTTGAAGTCATGAGCCTTGGGCTCTGATTTAATCCTTCCTGATCGTTTGCTGTGTGATCTTGATCAAATAACTCAATCTTTTTGACATTCAATTTTCCCATCAGTGGATGGTATTAGTTGGATTTGATGACTTCTATGAATGGAGTTAGAGTGAAGCTTTTAGGACATATTTCCCATAGGCCAAATATATTTGGGCACTTGCTTTTGTAAATAAAGTTTTATTGGAGCACATCCACACTCAGTTGTATTGTCTATGACTGTTTCCCTGTACAAGGACACAGTTGAGTGGTTGCAACAGGTACCTGTGGCTGAAAAATCTAAAATATTTACTACCTGGACCTTTATAGAAAATGTTTGCCTACCCTTCCTTTATAACGTAAATCAGATTAGGTAGACTCAACACCTTCTTTTGACTTTTCTTGTTACTTAGAATTTTTAAAAAAGTTTTACTAAGGCTGACAAAGCCTTTTGAGGTCTATGTTCCTCCACTTCATCTTTTGATATTATTTTTCTTCCCATATCACCCCTCTACTCATTTAGGCTGCCCTTTGATGTTTCCCAAATGTGTCAAACACATTTCCACCCCAGGACCTTTGCATTTGCTGTTATTTTTTTCCGGGAACATTATTTCACCAGGTGGCCCTATGGTCCCTCCCTCATTTCCTTCAGGTGTCTCCTCAAATGTCATGAAATCACAAAGGCCTTTTCTGATGACCTATATGAAATGACAGCTTTACCCCCTTCTGGACATCGCAGCCTCCTCCCCGTGATTTATTTGTCTTTATAACACTTATCTCCCCTGACACATTACATATTTGTTTCTTTGTTATCTGTCCACTGTCACCAGCATGTATGCCCCTTGAGAGCAAGACTTTCATTAATTTTGTTTACTGTGGTATCTTTAGAGCTGGAAAAATAGTAGGTGCTCAAATTTCGAATATGTAATCAACCTTTTTGTCTCTAATGTTGTTTAAATCTAGCTCTGAATAGATCTGGGTGCTATTGAGCCCTTTTACTTAAGTGTACTTTGGTAAAGAGTGTAAAAATCACAGAATCCTGTGATTATTACAGTCTTTGCTCCAACATCCCTGTAATGGTTGCAGAGCCACATAAACCTATCTTCAAAATGCTTTTAGCCTGGATTGTTGGCCAGTGAGAACAGAGTTTATAGACTGTAATCTACTATCATAGTTTGACACATAGTCATTCATCCTGTGGTCCTTGACAACCTCTCTGCCTTTAGCTCTTATCATTTATGTATTACAGGTACACACAGACACACACATCCCTTTCTTTCTACCTGTCCTATCCCCTCTCTTTCACCTCCATTTTTGCACATGGAGCTCATTGTTCTTTTTGTTCTTTACCATTTTTAAGTGTTCAATTCCATGGTAATAAATGCATTTATATGTTTTATTTTTCCCTTCGTTCCTCCCCAACTATCCTTCCCAGCCTCTGGGAACCATCATTTCACTCTCTATCTTCACGAGGTCCATTTTTCATCTCCCACAAATGAATGGGATGTGTGATATTTGTCTTTCTGTGCTTGGACTATTTCACTTAACAAAATGGCCTCCAATTCCTTCCATCCTGCTGCAAATGACAGGATTTCATTCCCTTTTATGGCTGAATGATATTCCATTGAGTATGTATACATATTTTCTTTATCCATTCATCCATTGATTGGCACTTAGTTTGATTGCACATTTTTCGTATTGTAAATAGTGCTGTGATAAGACATGGTCCTATCTCTTTAATATGTATTTCCATTCTTTTGGGTATATGCCTAGTAGTGGCATTGCTGAATCATATGGTAGTCCTATTTTTAGTTTTTTGAGGAACCTCCATATTGTACATTATAGTTTAATACCTTCCCTAAACAACCATTTGTCCTCCTTCCCCCAGTGGACCAATTCCTTGGGATAAAAAACTCTGTCCGTGGTGCTGAGCAGGTAGTTAGTTCTTTAGGGTAACATCCCCAGTTACTGAGTTCTCCCCAAGTACCTGACTCTGTGCTCAGCAGGTCGCATACATTTCCTCACTTAGGCCTTACATCCACCCTGTGAGGGATAAACTGGGTACCTGGCATAGGCATCTTTCTGAGTTTCTTTTCAAGGAAGCAACACAGATGGCAGGCCCTGGTCTATCGCTGGTGAACGTCAAAGACTGTGATGGCTGTTTCAAAAAAAGGAATTGAGTCATGCCTTGTAATTTGGTGGTGGGGGTGGCATCATTCTTCTGTACTGGTACTGGTTCTACTATGCTTTTATATTCTACCTCTCGATATTTACATTAAAAGAGTGATTTAAGAGTCAGGGTGCCAGTTTTCTATACTCAATTCTACCACTCATTAGCTACATGACCTTTAACAGTTACTTAACCTCTCTGTGTGAAATAAATATTAATTTTAAGGAATACGGGTGTGTTCATATGAAAAAAGCAACCCAAGACAGTAAGTTATGAATAAAAGTGATACACACACACACACACACACGTATGACTATATATATTTTTCTATATACTGATATATCAGTATGTTTATATGCATATATATATATAACCTCATAATTATATGTATATATAATTTTATAAATTTCTTGGATTAGCTGATAAGGAAATACTCTTTTCCTCAGAGATATTTGGCATTTCTCATTGCTGTGTATTGATCAATTACCTCACAATTCAGTGACTTAAAACAATATTATCTCACAGTTTCTGTGAGTCAGGAATCTGGACGCCCTGTCTCTGGGTTTGTTACCAGGCTGCAGTCATCTCAAGGCTAGCTTGGGAAGGGTCTGTTTCCTAGCTTAAGCCCATGGTTACTGCCAGGATTCAGTTCCTTGCAAGGCCTCATTTCCTCGGAAGCTGTTGGCCTAAGGATTCCCTCGGCTCCTTGCCATGTGGATGTCTCCATAGAGCATCTCACAGCATGGCAGCGAGTGAGAGGGAGGGAGGAAGAAAAGATGGACACAGAGACAGAGAGAGCGGGAAAGCCAATGCAAGAAACAGAGAGGGAACAGAGAGCCAGTGGGTGAAGCAGAAAAAGAGACAGAGACAGAGAAAGACATAGAGGGACTTAGAGAACCAGAGACACACAGAGAGAGAACACACACCAAATAGACATCGAAGAATTTTGTAACTGAAACGTGAAAGTGACACTCCATCACTTTCATATTCTATTAATTAGAAACGAGTCCCTGGGCCCGAGGTCATTAGGACTCAAGCCGCAAGCTGCCTGCCACACCTGTAACATTTGTCTCAGCTGGCTGTCAAGGTCTTTCCCCCATGCCCACATCCCATCAACTACTTGTTCCATCTTGTTGCCTCCCACACCCTCTTTTTCATGCTCCCCCCTATTTTATTCTGCCCTTCTCAATGTTTTCTGTATCCCTGCTCACTGTTCCTGACTTTTCCTCCCCATGGTTAGTTTTTTTGTTGTTTTTGTGTTTATTTGTTTCTCTTTTACTTTTAGAGACAAGGTCTCACTATGTTGTCCAGGCTGGATTTGAACTCCTGAGTTCAAGTGATCCTCCTGCCTTGGCCACCTGAGTGGCTGGGGCTACAGGCGTGCACCACCATTCTGGCTGTTTTTGTTTTTAACCACACTTCGTTGATCTAAATTCCATGCAAACTTAAAAACTATAGTTCAAACATGACCTCCTCTCTGAAGCTTTCCCTAGAGGCCCGAAAAGTTCAGGTTCCTCCTCCTGTGTCCTGTAGTCCTTGATTTATAATAAACTGAAAAGTCTTCCAGACTGTGAGCTTCTTAAGGACAGGGACTGTGACATGTGCATTCCCCTTCCGTGGACATCATATGTTGCCCTTAGTAGGTGTCTTGAAGGGTTCACTGAGTGCAGTTGATTGACTTAAGTACCTGCAACAACATGCAAGGTACTCAGTGGACTTCAAATTTGAACTATGTCTTGAATTATGGACAGAGATTTCTTACTCAGACACAGACCATGATCTCTGAATCTTGGAAACATATTCTAATGTGAAAGCTTTTCTCAGACCCAGTTTTCTGTGAATCAGGGGTCAGACACCACCACTAAATTACCAGGGCACATTCCGGCCAGATACCCCCACTGTTCTGCTGCTTCTTTGCCCTGTGTCCCTTTCCTCATTCGTCTCTCCCATCCTGTGGCAGGAGAGAGAGACCTTTTCATTAAACTCTGGTTCCCATCATTTATCTCAGCTGACCTTACAGCCCTCTTGTCTAGTCTGTTTTCCTCAAGGGACCGAGAGCATGTAACTCAGGCAGGTCGGAGAGCTGGTCATTCTGGGGGAGCTGCATCTTTGGTGGGAACTGTGATTGTTACTGAGCAAAAGCAACCTTCACTCAGTCCCTCTAAGTTTTCACTTGTACTCGGTTTGTATGCTCCAAGTTTACTGTATGTGAACTTTTAATGATTTACATGTACATGTCTGGGAACTTGTGAGAAAATAAAGTTATAAAACAATAATTCACATTAAATTAGCACCTTGCAGTTTCCAAAGGTATTTTGCACTCTATGTTTCATGTAATTCCTGCATCAGCAGTAGCAAATAGATAATTGAATTTTATAGATGAAGAAATGTAGGTCTAGAGAGGGGACAAGATCACAACACATAATTTGTAAGAGGGAGAGCGAGACTTGGACTTCCAAATTTGGTGTCGTTTGGTTGTGAGATCCTCTGTTATTAGTGAAGGCAAACATGGAAATTCTCCCACATGGTCTTTGGAACATAGCTTAATTGCTTTAAAATACTAGGTGCTCAATGAATACATGTTAACATTTTGGATTAAAGTGAGCTCTGGGCTCAATATTTGATTTCTGGATTATCCTAGAACAGTCCTCAGGTTGCTTTGTGCCTTAGGTCCTGTCTACTATTATATATCCTCCTTCTCACCCTCCCTCCCTCCTTCCCTCCCTCCCTCCCTCCTTCCCTCCCTCCCTCCTTCCTTTTCTTCCTTCCTTCCTTCCTTTCTTCCTTCCTTCCTTCTTCCCTCCCTCCCTCTCTCTCTCCTTCCTTCCTTCCCTCCTTCCCTCCCTCCCTTTCTCTCTCCCTCTCTCCCTTCCTTCCTTCCTTCTTCCCTCCCTCCCTCTCTCTCTCCTTCCTTCCTTCCCTTTCTCTCTCCCTCTCTCCCTTCATCCGGTCCCTCCCTCTCTCCCTCCCTTCCTTCCTCCCTTCCCTCCCTCCCTCCCTCCCTCCCTTCCTTCCTTCCTTCCTTCCTTCCTTCCTTCCTTCCTTCCTTCCTTCCATTTGTTTATTTCTCTGTCTGGCATTATCATGAATCCTGCCATGTAACAGGCACTGAGCTATATACAGGGCTGGGTTAGGGAGTGCCTAAGAAGATTCTATTCTTGTGGTGTCATTTACAGTCTAGCAAGAGAGATGGACAGACAACTAGAAGACAATGGAGGACTTGGTCCTGTGACAGGTATCAGAAATGGATAATAATCCCCTGGCACAGGGCTAGTGTGATCATTATATAAGAACTTAGACATGATATTCTTGGAAACTATAAAATACCATGAAAATTTTCATCAGTACATTATCATCATCCATATTATCATCAGATTATTATTTGTATTACTCTTTCTTTTTCCTCAGTCCCTCTACCCAACCCCTAATAAAAGTAACTCCTGATATTTGTCTCCCTGGTGCTCTGTAAACAACTTGAGGACAATGATATTGTTTATCTAGTTCAATATTCCTGTGATGAGAATAGTACTCTATAAATATTTGTTGGTTGCAGATGATTGGAAGCTCCAGATCAAAGCATCACTTGACACATATTAAAATTGTAGGCACTTTCCCACTTAAGGAGAGATGCCTGGATGGATGGTTGGGTGGACTTTGGCTTAAGGGTAATGGTGGTAAGTTGAGAAGTGTTGCTCATTTCTCCTGCCCAGGGAGTTTGCCCGTTGGAAGGTGAGGAACACAGCCATCGAGAGGAGAGATCTGGTCCGCCATCCAGTGCCCCTCATGCCGGAGTTTCAAAGGAGCATCCGCCTGCTTGGCAGGAGACCTACCACTCAGCAGTTCATCGATACCATCATCAAAAAGTACGGCACCCACCTGCTCATCTCAGCCACATTGGGAGGTAGGTCAGCAGCCACTGGGCCAGAGCCTTCTCATGACTTTGGGTTTGGGATGGGAAGGGAGAGTGGGATGTCTTAACAGCAAAGCCTTCTTAGCTTCTCTGCCATTCTACATCACACAAAAGCATTTATAGCCAGGTAAGCCAAATTGTCTTGGCTGTTGTGATCATATCCGAGGAGGTGATTCAGTTCTATGGGACAGTCTAATTTGAGAGTTTACTAAATTTTCTGAAAATACGGCTTAACCTTGGAATTGGCTCCATTTGTTAGAAATGCCTAATCTGATCATTTTCTCAGTTCCTTTGGTCTAATCTGGGAAAATAATTAAATTTCAGATATTGTTTAGGGAATATGCTTTGTTTATTTAAGTCTACTTTAGAGACTGATAAATCGAGGTTATCCTTTTACAAACAGGCTATCATTTGTAACTCCTGTGGGCTTAGAGTAGGTTAATGGGAAAGCAGATTAATTGTTCCACCCTGCTCAGCCTTACCCATCCCTCCCCATCAGGGCCAGTCAGTTTTTGAGTGATCAAGGGTAAGAGGGCTGGATAAAGGAGAGGAAATAAATGCAAAGACAATGAATGGAAAATAGTGCAGACTAGTGCCTTTAGATGCTTGTGGATCTTGCCTGAATGCATCATTTAATATTAGGAGCAATCCCTTAGGCACCAGTTTTGCCACAGTGACTGGATTCACTGAACTTTGAGGAAGCCCCTTTAGTGATAGAGCGCTGTGCCACATACTCACAAAGTCGCCGGCTGCATTTAGGTATGGCCCATGCCCACTAGGAGAGATTGGCATATTGATACAGGAAGGGTGGACTGAGGTGTAATTATAACAGGGGATCTTCTCCTTCAGAGACATGTTGAGCACTACCAACTGGAGTGGTCAGTACAGACTTCCTGGAGGAAGTGACAGTTTTGTTCACCAGGAGCTGGTTAAGTAAAGGGAGGTGGCAGAGCTTTCTAGGCTCAGCATGCAATGTAGGAAGACCCGATTCATAATGTGGGGAATGTGGTGGAGAGATTGGTTAGGCAAATTTATTCATTCCTACAATAATATTATCCACTACTTAACAGTTATTTGCTATATAGCAGACATTGTACATTGTCTTTAGTCCTCAAAACTGCACATGTCATATTACCTCCATTTTATAAATAAGGAAGCTGAGACCCAGAAGAAGTACAGCTAGTAAGTGATAAAGCTAAGTTTTTAAGTGAGTGTTTTCCATGCACAAAGCCTGCATTCTGTTTTTGATCCAATGTCAGTCATCTCTTTTTTTTTTTTTTTTTTTTTTTTTTTGAGACGGAGTCTCGCTCTGTCGCCTAGGATGGAGTGCAGTAGTGGCGCGATCTCGGCTCACTGCAAGCTCCGCCTCCCGGGTTCACGCCATTCTCCTGCCTCAGCCCGCCGAGCAGCTGGGACTACAGGCGCCCACCACCATGCCCGGCTAATTTTTTATATTTTTTTTTAGTAGAGACGGGGTTTCACCGTGTTGACAGGATGGTCTTGATCTCCTGACCTCGTGATCCGCCCGTCTTGGCCTCCCAGAGTGTTGGGATTACAGGTGTGAGCCACCGTGCCTGGCTGTCAGTCATCTCTTTAACCAACTCACTTCCCCACCAACCCAATACCCGCTCCACCAACCAACCAACCAGCATGTGTTAGCTGTCTGTTGCCAGTTAGATATTAAGTTAAGTAGGACTTTGAATATGAAATCATTAGTGTAAATTCTATTCTGTTGTAAAGTGAAAATGAATTCATTTCTACATTAAGTGTAGCATTAACCTAAACTCTTTTCTTTGGACATCACCCCCTCCATTTCACTTGGGGGTAAAAAAGGCATTGAGACCAATTCAATTCTTCCATTAAAAGCTGTGCTCTTGTCTGAGTTCCTGGAAACCCCAAGTAACCAAGACCTTTCTTCCTCAATGAAATATATTTTTAATTTCTCTAAGGCAAGGTGGTGAATTATTCACAGAGCCTTGTTCCTCTCCTATTTTTACAACACAACATTTTAAAATATGCAAAGCTTTGGATTGAGATCTGGTGTTGGACAGTAGGCCCTAAATGTTCCCTCAGCCCTCAGTGTGGAGGAGTAGAGAGAAGGAAGGCAAAGAGATTTATTGTTGATTGAACACTATGTGCCATAAATGATGCAAAGCTCTTCTTACATCATCACTTCATTCATTCACTTATGGAAAACATGTTTTTTAAGAGCCTCCTCTGCAGTATGAGAGAAGGGAGGTGGGAAGTTGTAGGGAATGAAAGAGCAGGCTCTAGAGTTTGATCACCTGGCTTCTAGTCCTGCCTCCGGCTGTTCACCAGCTTAGTGTTACTGTATTAGTCAGGGTTCTCTACAGTGACGGAACTAATAGGATAGATGTATATATAAAGGGGATTTTATTCAGGAATATTGACTCACACGATCACAAGGTCCCATAATAGGTCATCTGCAAGCTGAGGAGCAAGGAAGCAAGTCCGAGTCCCAAAGCTGAAGAACTTGGAGTCCGATGTTCAAGGAGAGGAAACATCCAGCAGGGGAAAAAGATGTAGCCTGGGAGGCTAAGCCAGTCTAGTCTTTTCACATTCTGCCTGCTTTCGTTCTAGCCACGGTGGCAGCTGATTAGATTGTACCCACACAGATGATGGGTGGGTCTGCCTTTCCCAGTCCACTGACTCAAATGTTAATCTCCTTTGGCAACACCCTCACAGACACACCCAGGAACAATACTTTGCATCCTTCAATCCAATGAAGTTGACACTCAGTATTAACCATCACAGTCACCTTGGCAAGTAACTCAATCCTCTAAGCCTCAGTTTCCTCTTTCCTAAATAGTTACAATAGTAGTCCTTCATGCATATTGCAAAAATTAAATAAAATCATCTATTGAAAGTGCTTAGCACACTGTCTGACACTTAACAAATTGTTGCTATGTTACTACTCTTGTTCTTACTATTATTGTTGTTACTTAATGGGGCTAAGAAACTTGGGAATCCAGATTAAGGCCCAATTCTGCTACTCACTAGATGAGTGGGAGACACTGAGAAACTCACTTTTCTGTCTGAATATAAATTTCTTTATCTATAAAGAAGGAGGTGCAAATAATTTTATTCACTGTAATTTTTTTCTAAGACCACTGTGTTCATTGAGAAAAAATGCTTTGATAAACTCTTCGACATGTCAGGTAAGTTCACAAGGGGATAATCAAATACTAAAAGATGCTTCTTAACCTGTCACCTATGAGACAAATAAATGTGTTTGTTTCACTCTTTAGGAAGAGGAAAGAGGAAGGGAAGGCTATGGGAATGGAGAAGCAGAGGTGATGGGAGGGCCAACAAATAAGAGATTTCCATGGGATCTCCAGATTTTTGGTGAAATCTATTAAACTAATAAAATACATCATGTGAATACTCCTATGAAGGGGGGTGAAGGGAAAAACACACAAGAAAACAGGCATAGAAATTTTCCTTAGTCCCCCTGATGACCATATCTTGGGGCTGCAGGAACCACCTTGGAGACTGGGTGCCTGTGTGACACGTGTGGTTAAGCTTGGATGTATGACTATGCGTGCATGGAAGTACATCTGTGTAAACAGATGTGCACAAATGCCTACCTGTATAGACAGATGTTCACAAAGCCTATTCCTGCTTAGATATGAGTTAATTTATACATGAGCATGTATTCATGCACATTGCACACACGTGTACACATCATTCACATATATATGGTTGCAACATGTATATGTGTGTGTGTGTGTGTGTATGTGAGCTTGCACATGCATATGAGCGTTTGTATTGCATGGATGTCTTTTTATACATGAGGGCTCATCTTTTTTGTTTATTTGTATATTCACTATTTCCCTCCCTGCATTTTGGGAGAAGTCCCCTTGACTAAGAGGAAGGCTGAGAATAAAATCCCAGGGGCTCAGAAGGAAAGGAAGAGTTATGTCCCAGAGGGCTAAAGTCCAGACACCTCATCTCCTATCTGGGAGCAAAATCTCCTATTGACTCAAAAAGTAATAGGATCAGCTTCCACTCTTCCTCATTCCCTTTGAGAGTCCCCTTTTCTTCACCTCTGAAACAAGGTGCTGCAGTGAGGTGAAGTCTCCTGGAGAACAGAAAGACTCAGAAAAGGCCTATGTGGGGCGAAGAGGCAATTTGCAGGAATGCCCAAGGGGGAAAGCAATTCTAAACAGAACATTCTCTTAATAAACAAGAAATTAAGCCTTAATAATGCAGCAAGAAGCCCATTAACCCCTCTTGATCTAAAGGTTTGCTTCTGCCAGTTCTCAGTCCAGAGGGAACCGGGCTTGTTTCACCTTCTCCTTCACAGGCCCCTAAGAGAGCCTGAGCTGACACATGGAACATTTATTTCCTCTGCCTCATGGCTCAAACTCTTAGCATATTCACTTGTTTAACTTTTACCTTTCCACTCAGCTGTCTGTTCATCTATACACCCATCCACTCATCTATCTATCTATCTACTTATCCATCAACTGATAACTGAACATCTATTCTTCATCAGACCCTAGGATAAGCATTGGAACATTAGAAAGGTGAATTGGATGGAGTCCTTGTTCCCCTGCTCCACTTCCCATGGCCCCCAGAACTCAAAGTCTAATTGGATATAGCATCAGTTTTAAGCCAAATCTATTCAGGTTGCTGTGGGGGCCAAAGGATAGACAATCATGTATTACTACGTAACAGTAAAGCTTCTAGGAAAACTGCAAACGCCAAGTGCTTTACCATGAACTCAACTCAAGCCTTGGCCTGTAAAACCTGAGAGTTATTAATCTAGTTCAGGTAAGGAGTGAAGGACTAAGGGAAGGCATCCCAGAAGTGCTGTCTTAGGTGATACCTGAAGGATGACTATAAGTTAGCCGGGAGAAAAACAGAAAAATAGAAGTCCTAACGACGAGGGAAAATGGGGCACATTTGTACAGGGTAGAGCAAACACAGAGAGCAGCAAAAGTTATAGCTGGAGTGCCCAGATCATCCAGGCCTTGTGGTCCACATTATCTACAGGATGCAGGTGCCCACTCTTTCTCTGGTCTGCGTTGCATTCTGTGCACTCCCTTACCTTGGCTATTCACCTGGTATATTAAAATGATCTCCTATGACTCTGTATCCCTAGACCAGCACTAGCCAATAGATATATGATGTCACCCCAAGTGTGAGTCACATAAGCTCCTTTTAAATTTTCTTGCAGCTACACTGAAAAAGACAAAAAGGAGAAATCAATTGAGAAAAAAAGGACAAATCAATTGAACAAACGTTTTTACACTGTTGGTGGGAACGTAAATTAGTTCAACCATTGTAGAAGAGAGTGTGGTGATTCCTCAAAGATCTAGAACCAGAAATACCATTTGTCCCAGCAATCCCATTACTGAGTATGTATCAAAAGGAATATAAATCATTCTATTACAAAGATACATGCACACATATGTTCATTGCAGCACTATTCACAATAGCAAAGACATAGAATCAACTCAAATGCCTATCAATGATAGACTGGATAAAGAAAATGTGGTACATATACACCATGGAATACTATGCAGCCCGAAAAAAGAATGAGATCATATCCTTTGCAGGGACATGTATGGAGCTGGAAGCCATTATCCTCACCAAACTAAGGCAGGAACAGAGAACCAAACACCACATGTTCTCACTTAGAGCTGAATGATGAGAACACATGGACACAGGGAGGGCAACAACACACACTGGGTCCTGTCAGAGGGGTAGGGTGGGGGAGCGTTAGGAAAAATAGCTAATGCATGCTGGGTTTAATACTTAGGTGATGGGTTTATAGGTGCAGCAAACCACCATGGCATACGTTTGTTTACCTATGTAACAAAACTGCACATCCTGCACATGTACCCCAGAACTTAAAAAAAAATTTGCACCAGTTTGTGATAATGTAGCTTCAGGTTTTCAACTGTTTACCAAATAAAGCTTCTTAGAATGAAAAAAAAAAAAAGAAAAAAGAAACATGCCCTTGTTCACATAGTTGATAGAGAATAGAGGCAGCTCCCTGGAGCTTCCTTTCTGGAGTTCTGGAGAAACAGTTCTTTACCCAAATTAAAAGTCATCATAGTTAGCAGTGTTACTGATCTATGTGTGCATGTCTAAGAAAAACTTAAAAGAAGAAAATGTATAAATTTTTATATTTGCATCTAAATTTATTTAAACATGTCTATCATTCATCCATTTGCTTCCATCCAAATATCTCTTTCTAGCTATCCACCGTTCATTTATCTATTAAGAAAAGATCAGGGGGAGGGGAAAGAGAAAAAGGAAAGGAGAAAGAAATGAAGGGGAGATGGGAGAGTAGAGGAAAAGGAGGAACTGCATGATAATGAGGAGACAAAGGAGGAGGAGAAAAGAATGAGAAGAGAATGTCTATGCCACATTTGCCATTGTATAGAAGAGACTGAACTTTCTTGGAAGAGGGGAAGAGGGTTTTGTTATAAGATGATGCTGGTGAGAAGCATGAAGTCAATTATTAGGGGCTGGACTTTATTGTTGGGGGTTTTTTAATGATCCTTGTCCTAATGAAGCCTGGTGTTTACAGCCACCTCTAGACAGTTTATTTTCATTGTGCCTTTGATTTTTAGAGGCAGAAGGAAACATGGGCCACATTGGTTGGAGATTTAAGGCTGTTTTCAGCATCCAGGTCCCATCCCTGTCCTCTCACATGAAAGCTCCACAAACCTTCTTATCTACTTTTCTTTCCCATCCAGGGGAGGAGGCTTTGACCATGTATATGGACAAAAGTCGCCTCGACAGGAAGTCAGGGAATGCCACTCAAAGTGTTGAAGCTCTGCACCAGCTCGCATCATCCTACTTTGTTGACCGTGATGGTACCATGAGGAGGCTTCATGAGATCCAGATATCAACTGGAGCAATCAAGGTACAGCTCCGGGGTGGATTTGGGCGACAGGTTCTCAATACAACAACACTGCAATGCAGGCATTCTGAGAGTGGATGGACAGATGTAATTTCTGGGTTCATAACCATGTAGCTCGTGATGCCCTCTGCCAGCTGCTTTGACTGATATTGTCACATACCCTGTAATTAATATCAATGTGCACTGTCATTCCAGTGGCCATATGTACTGATTTGCTAGAGTATTCTGGCTGTAGTCATGGCATAACTATCAACAGTTCTCTCATTCAGTCTTCTGTATGGAGATTATCAGATCCCCTTTCTAGAGAAGAAACAGAGACTATGAAGAGGTAAATGATTTTCCCGAGGTCTCAGAGATAGCAGCGATTAGATTACTGATGCCTAGCTCAGTAATATTTTAAACATCTATGTTTTTTATTCTTTCCTCCCCACTCACCATTTTAAAGATGGGAAAACTGAGGCTAAAGGTTTAAAGCCTTTTTCTGAGGGTTATACAGTTAGAGAATAACTTAACAGGGACTAGAACTCTGCTCTCAAGACCAGCAGTCAGCAAAAGTTTTCTGTACAAGACCAAACAATAATTATTTTAGGCATGGTGGGCTGTATGGCCTGTGTTGCTATTACTCAACCCTGCTGTTGTAGCATAAAAGCAGCCATAGATGATATAAAAACAAATGGGCATGGCTGTATTCCAATATGACTATATTTACCAAAACAGGCACTCTGTGGTTTGCTGATCTAGGCTCGCCTACACCAGCACCGTCCAGTAGTACCTTCTAAGATGGTGGAAAGGCCCTGTATCTGTGCTAGCCGAGATAGTAGCCACTAGTCACCTGGGGTTATTGAACACCTAAAATATGGCTACCAAGGAGCTCATTGTTTAAGTTTATTCCATTTTAGCTAATTAAAAATTAAATGGTCACATTGAGAAAAGCAGCCCTGGACTTTCAATTCAGTGCTTAGAGCACAGGAACTTTAACAAGATTCCATTTTAAACACAACAAATTCAGACAGCCTCTATAAAGCGAATGTGGGAGGACATCCTCGACATAAAATGTTTGCTCTTCTGAGGGTTTTAGTGCAGATGTTTCCATCTCAAATGTTCTTTAACCAGATTATGCCTGCATTTTACATCTCAGTCTTTACTCTAATTTCTTCTAAAGAAAATGCAGACCTAGCCTTATATTAAGACTTTCCAAGATATCTATAGGGAAAAACGGTGAGGATAAGGCCAAGGGGTCTTACCCTGCCAAGGCTGGCAGATGAGTCAGAAATTGACTAAGGAGAGAGAAAAGTGTGGGAGGGAGAGAGTTACTGAGCAGGGAGGTAGTAAGGAGAGAAATAAATCAGACCAACAAACAAAGGGCCAGTTTATCCGAAAAGAATCGCCTGTATTTGGGAGATTATGTTGTTAGGGAACTCAGCACAGAGAGATGGATCTTTATGAAGCCATCGGAGTCAGAGTGCTGCAGAGGCCTGGTTTTCATTATCACCAAATGGTTCTCTCCTCGCTGGATGGGATGTGGAATTGAGATATTGAAGCTCTGTCAGAAGATAATCCTCCTTCGTGTATCCTAGAAGTGCAGTCTGCCTCCATAGGAGGAATTTCTCAGAGAAATTGCAGAGGCCACTCAAGAAACCATTTCTTATGGTAGGCACTGTCTTCTGCACTTAATTTGGCCCTTGGATTTTTCATGCCATTTCTTGCCACTACCTCAAGACCAAGCTGTCTAAAACTTGTCTCACTATTGGGTCTGTTTTTGTTGTTGTTGTTGTCTTTTTGAGATGGAGACTCGCTCTGTTACCCAGGCTGGAGTGCAATGGCATGATCTTGGCTCACTGCAACCTCCAGTTCCCGGTTTCAAGCGATTCTCCTGCCTCAGCCTCCCAAGTAGCTGGGACTACAGGTGCGCGCCACCATGCCCAGCTAATTTTTGTATTTTTAGTAGAGATAGGGTTTCACCATGTTGGCCAGGATGGTCTCAATCTCTTGACCTTGTAATCCACCCACCTCAGCCTCCCAAAGTGCTGGGATTACAGTCATGAACCACTGCAGCTGGCCTGGGTCTGTTTAAGACCAGCCACTAACCCGGGCGGAGAAGTTTTGCCCATTCACCATTCTCCCCAGCAGAGGTATCTTTAGGAAAGTAAATTGGTAAGTTTTACTCTCTCTCAATAATAAATATGTTATTATTTTTATATAAAAATAAATTATTTGTAAAACAAAACGAAAAATACAAAACCTAATTATTCCCCATTTACTAAATATGACTGCACCCGAAGTGCTAAACCCTTCAAAAATATAATCTCTTGACCCTATTTTGGTGACTAATAGCATTACTAACATTTTATAGATGGGGAAGTTGAGGCTTAGAAAGAGAAAGTTACTGATCCAAGGTTTCACAGCTGGAAAAGGGCAGAGAAGGTGCATGTGGCTGCCTCCCAAGTCATTGTTCCTTACAATGGATGCTGTGTTTTTATAGCTGAATGCAAACTTCAAAACAACCCTAAATAATGGGAAGCAAAGGCTAAATAAATGAAGAGGCTTCTTTTCATACTAAGCCATTCTTATTTCAAGGTTATCTTTTTGAATAGCTGTTCCTCTCTTACCCACCACCTCAAGTCTTTCTAAGACAATGTTTTGGAAATGCACATCCACAGGATTGGGTCATTTTCTCCTGTGGCAGCACAATGCTTCTTGCTAAAACTTCTTTAGGAAAATGGGCATCGTTTTCTTGTTCTTGCCTAATAATAGTGTATATGTACTCATTATAACTTATAGAGCCATTTTGTAATAAGGTACCCATTATGGAACACATGCCATGTGCCAGGCGTTTAGACCCATCGTACCTGGTCTCACAACCTCTCTGGAAGAGATTTACTAGCTTTGATTTGCAGATACTTAGAGAAATTAATTGGCTTCCCTAGGTCCCAGGGTAAATACATGGCCTAGGCAGGATTTAACACTATTTTTTCTGATTCCAAAGCCAATGCTTTTGAAATATAATGTGTCAACTTCTAAGTTCATGTCTACTTGCAGCCACCGTGTGAAGTGAGAACCAGTGGTAGGAACAGGCATGCACTCTGTATGCTTGACCACCCTGCTTACCTGTCTACTCAGTGACAGCTGTGCTTGGTCCCAGACACAAGCACGAAGCTCAGAAAGTGACCATTGACTCAAACCAGGAGGCCTTTTCTGCAGGCTTTGCTCTGCTGGGGCATGACTCTTTGGGGTATGTCCTAGACAAGGACTGCTGTCTCACACCTATCTTATTTGATATCTACTGCAGGTCACAGAGACACGCACTGGGCCTCTGGGCTGTAACAGCTATGACAATCTGGACTCTGTGAGTTCCGTCCTTCTGCAAAGCACGGAGAGCAAACTGCACCTTCAAGGTAGGAAGCCAGTGGAAAAAGTGGGGTCAGTTGGGGGAAACATCATGGATGTGATATGTGGGAGAGGGGATCAGGAGGGATGGAGTGAAGGGAGAATAAAGAAGAGGAAGCATAGAAAATCTAATGAAAACTGCAAATATGGAAATTAGACAGTTATGATACCGTGTATACATATATATTTAGAATTTTTTAACATATGCAGGACAGTAAATTCATGATTATTAATTAGTTTTCAGATAGTAAGGAAATGTGAGCTTTAATTAATTTGTATTTATAAATATCTACATTTCTTTGGTGTCTGTATATGCTGTATATGTCAAGTTTATGTTTGGGGCTCCATATACATTATTTTAAAGAAAATATATCCTTTAAAATAGTAATTTCATCTTTATTAATTCACATCATAAAAAGGAGAGGAGATTGCAGGGAAAAGTTGGACAAGGCTTTAAGTACACATAGCACTGTTTTTAAAAAGCATAATGTATTATATCAAAAAAAGTAAGGATTTTAATTTTTCACATGTGAAGACTAAGTGAATTATATTGCATTAATACAACATAATATTAAACTGGTACTGATGTTTATAAAGAATTTCCAATAATATGTAAAAATAATGTGATATAATGTTAATAAATAAAAGGTTTCTGATGGAATGGGTGGCATGATCTTAATAATTTAAAGAGATAATAAAAATAGGCAGGGTGCAGTGGCTCACACCTGTAATCCCAGCACTTTGGGAGGCTGAGGTGGGTGGATCACGAGGTCAGGAGTTTAAGTCCAGCCTGGCCAATATGGTGAAGCCCAGTCTCTACTAAAAATACAAAAATTAGCTGGGCGCGGTGGTGTGCGCCTATAGTCCGAGCTATTCAGAAGGATGAGGCAGGAGAATCGTTTGAACCCAGGAGGCCGAAATTGCAGTGAACCGAGATTGCGCCACTGCACTCCAGCCTAGGCGACAGAGCAAGACTCTGTCTCAGTACTAATAATAATAATGGCCAGGCGCGGTGGCTCATGCCTATAATCCCAGCACTTTGGGAGGCCGAGGCGGGCGGATCACGAGGTCAGGAGATTGAGACCATCCTGGCTAACGCGGTGAAACCCCGTCTCTACTAAAAATACAAAAAGTTAGCCAAGCGTGGTGGCAGGCGCCTGTAGTCCCAGCTACTCGGGAAGCTGAGGTGGGAGAAGGGCATGAACCCGGGAGGCAGAGTTTACAGTGAGCCAAGATCATGCACCACTACACTCCAGCCTGGGCAACAGAGCAAGACTCCACCTCAAAATAATAATAATAATAATAATAATAATAATGTAGCAAGAAAATATGCCCAGGTATTAGAAGAGCTTACTTCTGGATCTCTAGGTTACCGATGATGTATTTTAGGCATCTAATTTCTTTTCTAACTTCTCTACAATGATCATGTATTAACTTTAGAGTCAGAAAAAAAAATGACATGCTTTAACTTTGAGCAGACTAAAAATGTGACCTTCTAGAAAGGTATATGATAAAGGTGATTCTGAATGTCAGTGGGAGGAAGTTGGGTTGAGATTGGCAGGTAAAGCTAAGAGGAGACTAATGTGACTTTTATTTTCTGGTTCCTTTTGGCAACTCTTTGATTCATGCTCCCGTTACAGAAGGTGGTTAGAAAATATCTTCTGTTTTCTAACATGCATGGAGGGCTTGGTAGTGTCACTTGAGGGCAGTGAATGAAAATCCCTCAGGGAAATTCAGGCCAAGAAAGTGGTTTACTATTAAATAACAAAACACAACACACTAGAAACTTAAATACATGGAGCGTAACCCTGCCCTCTTTAGCAGAAAAAAGAGTAGACAGAAAAGAGTAGCAGAAAAAAGAGTAGACAGAAAAAAGAGTAGACAGAAAGATTTACTAATGCCTGTTAAGAAAGTAGATAAGAAAGACAGATCTTCCTTGTGTGTGCCAGGGTTTTCAATGTGTTAGTTCATGCGATACCTGTAGAGACTGTGTGAAGTGGGAGCCAGGATTTGAATCCAGGCAGTGAAGCTCCAGTCTGTGTTTGATCACCCTGCTGTGCATACTGAGGGTGGAAAGATTGTGAGTTATAATTGGAACAGAAATAGAAGGAATTAATGACATATTCCTACCAAGGAAATTACTGAGATCTTAGGGACATTTAGAGGTTGATTTACCTGAAGCCAATGAAGCTTAAGGTTCAAGGATTCTGCACCTTCCAAGTACCCACCTTTTCTCATTCTAAATACACACTTGATTTCCTATCTAATTTTGAATTTATTTTTTAAATAAAACAGCTAGTGTATAAGACTTATGTTCTCCAAAATCTAGATCTGCCATGATAACATTATTAGAAGGATGCTGTGAATGGAAAGGGTGGTAGCAGGCCTACTGTCCTACCCTAGATGGGTTAGAGTACACCTGGAGGATTGGATCCGTGTTTGAGCATCACACTCCAGGAGGGATGTTGAGAAACTGCAGTTTTTCTTGAGAAAGTGTTTTACTATGATAAATAGTAAAAGAAGGTTAAATTGAAGCAAAAATTACTTGCTGCAGGTATCTAAAAGGCTGCCTTGCAGAAAAGATAATCAATCCCATTAATATTAATAAAATGGACCAATCCCAATCTAGTAGGAAGGGAGAAGTTACAAGGATCCCAGCTTTTAACTCAATGTAAAATGGATCTTTCTAGTACACATTTATGACCAAATCTGGAATGATCTGCTGAAGGATGCAGTCACTCCCTGTTGTCAGAGAATTATAAGTAGATTATATTTGGTGCAAATGTTATAGAGATTATTTAAGCATCAGTTAGGTTGGGTGATTGAGGCAGGTGGTTTTAAGTTCTTCTCAACACTGATTCTAGGATTTTATGAAAATGATGAATTATAAAACCTTTATTGAGACTAACTACATGCCAAAGCCAATACTAGACCCCAGGCATATAATCATAAATCAGTTCAAGTCAACAAATATATTTTTTGAAGAACTCATGTTGGTAATGAGATAGACAAAAAAAATAAAGTCGTGAACAAGACAGACATTGTTTCTGCCCCAAGGAAATATACATTCTATTAGAGAAGATGAGCTTCAAACAAACAAGAGTAGGCATAATAAATTTTAATGGAGAAAAAGTATAAGGTTTATATGGCACGAGATAGCATAGGGACTTAACGTACCAGGGAGTCAGGAAAGTTTTCTGCCAAAAAGATATATAGGATAAGACCTGAAGGATGAATAGGAGGACAGAGGCATGGATAGAGAGGCAGACAGAGGATCTTTATGAAGGGGTATTCAAAGAAATAAGAAACTCATGTGAAATTAAAGCACAGACATCAATGGTGAGAAAGACAAGATAATCTTTCAAGTCCTAGAAGGCTTCTGCAGCACATTAATGAGTTGAAAGTTAATTTGAGAGCAATGGATACCATGGAATGGTTTTTTAAAAAGAAGTAGCATGAAGAGATTGATATTTTAGAAGATCATTCTGACTCTTGTGTGGACAGTTAATTAGAGGGGGTGGATTAGAGGTTGGTGACATTTAGGGGGCTACTACAGAACTCAAGAGGAAATGCCACGGATTTAGACCATGGGGGTACCAGTTGAGATGGACAGAAATGGAGCAATCCCAGAGTTACTTAGGAGGCATTATGACGAGGATTTAGTGAAAAGACCATATAGAATTTAGACAATTGGGTGAATGGCTTGTGGGGATGAGATAGAAAGGATAGATGGGCAAGTATCTATGACTCAAGATAATATATAACCTAATAGTCATAATAAAATAAGACATGGCATTATGGGGATTCAGAAAAGGGAGTGATTCATTCTGTCTGTTCAGATTCATTCTGTCTAGAGGAGTCATAGGAAAAAAAATATCTGAGGAAGTATCATATTCTCCTAGTGGAAGGCAAAACAAAAGTACTTCTAAAATATAAGACAGATTATCTCATGATTTTTGAGTGAGCTCATTTTTATTCAGTAGGATGCAAAAAAACACTAAGTATAAGAAAAAAAGGCTAATAAATTGGATACATTAAAATTATAATTTATGTTCATCAAAATACTATTAATATTATAAGAATATGAGCCATAGAGTGGAAGAAAATATTTGTAATACATGTGCCTGACAAAGAACACTTATAGAATACAGAATATACATATTTTTAAAACTTCTGAAGTCAAAAAGAAAAAGGGAAATAGTCTTGTAAGAAAAGAAAATGAATGAAAGACATGAACAAGCACTTCACAAACAAGAGTGTCAAAATGCCAAATAAACACTTAGGTGCTCAACTCTCCTAGTCAGGAAAAAAAGTGTAAATTAAAGTCACAATTTAATATAACACAGCAATGAGCATGACTCAAATCAAAAAGACTGACAATATCAAGGAGGGACAATGTGAAGCAATGGGAACTTAGGCACATTGCTTATAGGAACACAAATTGGTACAATCACTTCGGAAAATTCTTGGCAGTGTCTACAAAAGACTGCACGTGTCCTTGGTCAATGACCCATCAATCCTGACTCCTATGAAAACATGCTCACCAGAAGACATAAATGTTCACAGCAACTCTATTTCAAATAACTCCAACTGGAAACAACCCAAATGTCCATCAACAAGAAAATGGATAAATAAATTGTCATACATTCATACAATGAGCTTACTATACAGAAATAAGAAAGAATAAACCACTGTTTCATACAACAATATGGAAGAATCTTACAAACACAGCATTGAGTGAAACAAGTTAGACGTAAATGAGTACAGGCTGTGGGATTCTATTCCTAGATGGGTGAAAAAAAAGTAAAAACAAATACACGGTTTTAGGAGTCCAGAGAGTGTTAACCTTTAGGGAGAGGAATGGGGTAGTGGCTGAAGGGGTGAGAGACATTTCTGGGGATATTGGTAATGTTCTGTTTTTTAAATCCGGTTGGTAATACATGGATGTGTTTGCTTTGTGAAAATTCAAAAAGCTGCACATGCTTTATTTGTATGTATGCATTTCTGTGTATACAATACGTATCTATTTAGGTTTTATTTAATAACATGTCCCATGTTGACATCCTCTGCAAAGAAAGAACATGAATAAAGGGGAGAGGCATGGGAAAGTGGGAGGTGGTTCAGCCCAGCTGGAGGACAGGCTGCATGAACTGAGGTTAGAGGAGCCAGGAATGACAATAGATATTATTTTTTTCAGTGCTTCCTCATATGCCAGAGATTGTGCTAATTTATTTTTATTAGATTTATTTTTGCTTATTTATGTATATTTTTAACTTGTTTTTATTTTATAATTGTATTTATTATATTTTTAATCCTCAACATGATTCCCATGAAGAAGGCATAAATAACATTCTCATTTTTGCAGGTGAAGAAACCAGGGCCTAGAGAGGTTATTTAATAAGTGGCTGAACTGCAGTTTTAACTCAGCCTAACTTCAAGCTTCTTCAAATGTGTTTCCTCTATATTTCTCTCTTCCTCTTCTCATTCCTTTGAATGAGGCTGGGAGGGCAGATTCTGCAGAAGGCTACTTTGGTGGATTGAGAACAATATCAATGGCACTCTAATGACTTTCACCTTGTGATGTTTCATGAAATGTTTATTAAAACAAGGCAAACGTAAAGCAAAATAGAAAAAAAAAAAGAAAGAACAGGATTGGAGGAGATTAGAAATGAGAAAGAAAGCATCATGAGAATGATCAGAGGCTATTAGTAGTCATAGCAGTAACAGCTCAAATAGTGGTAATAACACTAATGGCATAATGATAACTTCTTATTTTCATACTTCTCTTTCCAAGAAGCCCATTGAATGTTTTACCAACATTGTCATGTAATTTAATCTAGTATCCATATGGCGAAGTATACAGGGAGCAAAGCTGTGCCTCAGTAGCTCCCTGATGTGGAAAGGGATGCAGAGAGAATATTTTGCTGAAATCTGTGGATGATACAGAAATTTATTCTTTCATACATTTACTAATTTATTTATTTAGCAATATTTACAGAGCACCAACTGTATGGTCAGGTATGTTTTTAAAGCCAGATATACAGCAGTGAATAAGATAAATGAATCATTTTGAGCTTATAATTGATGTGTGGATATGGCAAAAGCAGACAATAAATAAAAAAACTTCTTTATAATCAGAGAAATAATGAAGGAGCAGGTCATGTAGAAACTTGTAGAACATGGCAAAAACTTTATATCAGATTTTACTCTAGATGCAATGAGAAGCAATTGAAAATTTAGGCAGAGAAGTAACTTGACCTGACTTAGATTTTAAATAGATAACTACAGCTATTAAGTAAGAAAGACTGTAGAGGGCAAGAACAGTTGTAGGATATCAGTTGTTAGGAGGCTGTCATGTTTATCCAGGTGAGAGAACACAGTGGCTTAGATCATGACAGTTGCAATGAAGGTGGTGAGAGGTGACTGAATTTATGGATGAATTTTTAAGGTTAGCCTGACATGATTTGGTAATGAACTCAAAAGTATTTGTGAGAGAGAGAAGTCAAGGATGACCCCAAAGTTTTGCCTGAGCAACTACAATGGTAGAATTGTCACATTGCTATGATGAGACTGGTAAGGACCAGTTTTGATGGGACATGTGAAAATGCGTTCAAACCTAGTTGAGTTGGAACCTACGTTTGACAAATCTATTCGATATCCAAATGTAGATGTTGAGTGGAAGACATTTGAAAGGTAAGAGGAGAAAACTGAAAATATAAATTAGGATATAAATACTATTTAATTATCTGAGATTGAACAAGATTACTTTGGGAGAGAGGGTAGATAGAGAAAAAAAAATTCAGTTATTGTGCCATGGAGAAATTAATGTTAAAAGTTGCGATGATAGAATGATGATGAGGAACAAGAAAAGGAAGCTGGAGAGTGGCCAGAAAAGTAAGAAGAGAGACAAGAGAGTATAGAATCTTGGATGTTATATAAGGAAAGTTTTTCAAAACAGAGACAGCAGTAACTGCGTCAAATACTGCTAATAGTATAATTAAAGTGAGGACTGAGAACTGAGGATGATATTTAGCAACACATGGGTCACTGATGACAAAGGATGTTTTCAATGGAATTCTGGGGGTGAAATTCTGGAGCAAATTCAAGTGAAATTCAAGGGCAAACTCTACAGAGTAGTATTATAGTAAATGGCACAATAGCTTAAGGTGATCAGGAGTAAAGTGATATTTTTCTTTTCTTTTTAATATAGAAGCAACAAAACTTTTGTCTAATGTTGAGAATTATTCTGTAGAGAGGGAAAAATTGATACTGCAAAAATGGGAGGAATGGTTTTACAATCAAAGTGGAGCAGGCAAGAGTGAATAGGGTCTTGTGCATAACTGGAATTATTTGCCTTAGATAGGAGCACATATTCTTGGCAGAGAGGGAAAGGAGAACCTGAGATCAGAGGCTAGTACAATTTGTACATGTGATAATGGAGACATTTTCTTGATCTTTATTTCTTGATTGCCTATCATAGATTTTAAATTGTATGATTTTTCAGATTTTAATACCTCTGAAATTAGAATGCTTTTTATTATTGATGATGTGTCTTAGTTTAATTTGGCAGGGTATTATTTTCTTAGTATACATAAAACAGTGGTGTGTTTTATAGTAAATATCATCTTAGATTTGTAGATTCAATGTCATAAGGTATTTCCCCTGAAAAATTGAGTGAGGTCATTAGCTTATTCCCAATTTCCAAAAGGTAAGGATGAATGCAAGGAGGATAGAGATCATTAGGAGATGGGAGGGTAGGCCAGGGAAGGGAGATGGGGTCAAAGACCACTAACTTGAGGTATCGTCTGCCCTCTGCCTGAATCTCCAACAGGGCCACCCGAGACTTGTGTTTTGAGAGCCTTCTCCAAATCTTCACATTCAAATGGTCTATCTGGTTTCTTGGTCTTAAATCATTTATCTTCCTTCTCTTCATCCTCCTCTTTTTTCTTCTTCTTCCCATCTTCTTCCTCTTCTTTGACCTTTTCTTTTTCTATCTCTGCTTGAAACCTCAGCTCCTTCTAGACTAGAAGATTTCCTATCACTCATGCACCCGGACTCTCTTCATGCCTAAAATGACATCCTCACTCTCTTCTATTGAATGTGGCCCATCTCTCAATGCCAAGCACAAATGTCCCCTCATCAGAATCATTCCTTCTCCACCCTCTGCCTTGGTTCAGCTCCTTGTCTCATCATCTCTCCCTTCCCCAGATCAGTACAATGAGGGTCAAAGCAGCCTTCTTGTTCAGATCTCACTCCTGCTGATCCGTTGACTCACAGCAGCCAGCGTGATCTTCTTAAAGCCAAATCAGATTCTCGCTTCCCTCCTCACAGCCCTTCACAGCCTCCGTGAAAGTTTTGGTATACAGTTTAGATTTCTTAACTTAACACCAGGCTGTTCAAATGCAAGCCTTGCCAATCTTCTTGGCTTTGCCTTATGCTATCACCCAACATATACCATATCCATGCTCCAGACCCATGCCATTTCTTACATTTCACTACAGGCATCTTTTGAAAACTATTATTTTTATTTTTTTATTGCCCTGCACTTTTACACAGCCTTTCTCCAATTCCTGAACTTTTCATCTCTCTCAGGTAAGCTTCTCTAAACTCCCCTCCCCAGGCCATTAGATGGTCTGCACAACTTCTTCTCTAGGAGTTGCCACACAATAGTATCATCATCCTTTTATTAATCTGACTCTCCAATTGTCCTAGATTCTTGTTTGATAAGAACCATCTCTCTCTCTGGCACAATACACAGAGACTGATATATAGACACTGCTCAAAAGATAGTTGCTGTACGACTGTGTGAATGAATACATGAATGAATCACTCAGCCCATAGTGAACTCTGTTTTCTTCTTTGAACCCTTACACTTCTTATCCCACATGATACTGGATTCAGTTCAACCTAATGACCATTTCCTGAGGGCCTACTGTATGCCATTCTCTGTGCTACATTGCATGCACAGCATTCTTCAAAAGGGCATGTGTTTTTGCTATTGCTTTGGATGTTACATCTTCCAGGAAGGGTCATACCATTGAATTCTCCAAATGCCACCTCTTCTGAGAAGCCTCCTGGCTTCTTTTGCTTCTCTGACCTTCTACATTATGACCATTGTCACTCTCTTTCTTATCTAAGGAGATACAATGTAGAATAGTGGTTTCAAGAAAAGGCCCTGGAGTCAAACGGACCTTAGTTCCAGTACTAGTTCTACCATTTGCTGGCTGAGAGGTTTCAGATAAGTTACTGCAGCCTCCGAGCCTCTATTACTAACTTACTTCCTATGGTTGTTGTATTATGCATGTAAGAATATACATTATGTCTGGCTTAGATTAAGCATTAAAAAAAGTTAGGTATTATTTTTACCACCTCTATCAATGTGTTACTTGCAAAATATTTGCTTTATTTATATTTGCATCCTCCATGGCATATGTGCTTGGCCAATATCAAGTGCTCATTAAATATATGCTGAATGAATAAATGCAGTGTTCCTTACATAGTCAGGAACTCAGCAAATCCTTCCACAAAAACCACAGCAAGTATTTATGGTGTGCCAAATATTAAGAACAACCACTGTGTTAGTCAAAGTGGAGGATCACAGTCTAGGGGATTAAACCAAATACATATACATAAAAAGTGTACTTGGCAACTTCAAAGATAATCTCAGTTTGATCAGTTTATTTATGAATCAATCAAGTAATTAATATTTTTCTCAATGGATCTTTATTCAATATACATCAGTTCACCCCTTTGTATTAATCTTCCCAAGTCATAGCCTATTAGGACTGACGCTTGCCTGAAATCACTCCATGGTTTCCCCACATTCGTGGGGTCCCAAATTCCCTTTCTAGCTTCAGTTCTAAAGCCCATTGGAACAATGGAGGTGGGACTTTCCTAGAAGAGGCAATGATAATAACCAACACGCGCAATCACGCAGATTATCTTTCCTCCAACTCACCCTCTTCTTTCCCATTCGTCTTTGCTCAGCAGTATCCTCTACCAGAGATACCTTGCATTCCCATCTCTACTCAATGGCATTCTACATAGTCCTCAGGAACCATTTAAAATGGTATCTTGCATGCACACATGCACATACACAGGACTGGATTAAAATGTCCCTCCTCTCATCCCATTATAACTCTTTGATTACCCCTCATTTACAGTATGATTTTTTTTTTTATTTTACTCACCTTGCAACATATTCATTTATGTTTAGTTTTCTATCTTTTCTATTAGATTAGAGTATAGGCCTCTTTAAAGGCAAAGATTTTTCCTTGCCAATTTTACATTTCGTAATATTTAATGTAGTGCCATGGGCATAGGAATTATATATAATATAATTCCTATGTGTGTGTGTATACACGTACATACATGTATTTGCTGAATTGCTGAATTGAGTTTTTGAATATAATTGGTGCTAGACTGACAGTGGAAGATAATGAGATAAGGAAGATTAGGAGGAAGGGGAAAGGAAAGAAAGGAAGAGAAAGAAGTGTGGAAAGAGAGAAAGGGAAGGGGAAGTGAAGAAGGGGGTAGAGGGAGAGGACAGGGCAGAGCAAGAGGAGCAGTCTGATGAAGAGTAGTGTCGGTAATCCCATTTCTCAGTAGCTAGACGTCACAGATGGAGCGAAGATGACTATTTTCAAAATCATCTTGCAACAAATAGTAGAAAAAGAAAGTGTAGGAGAAATGTTTAAAAATAACATTTTTTTGAGATGCTATCCTTCTTAGACATTGAGCTTATAACCACTAGCCCATTTATCCATCCCACCAACTAAGAGTTAGGGATCATGCTCCCCACTATACAGATGAAGAAATTGAGGCTCAAAGAGGATGAAAAGACAGAGAGTGAATAGGTCTCCTTTTTCTAAAGCCCCCTCCTCTCCCACACGCCCATCACTTTATGTGGACTTGTAACCTCAGGGTGATACACTAAGTGATTGTTGCCAGTACCTGGTCTCAGCAGCAGCTTTGGGGTGAATCATCTTTGTTAGGAATTAGTCTAGAGTCACAAGCAATGGCTCATGCCTACAGCCTCTCTTGTCCAGTTAGCAGGGACCTGGAGGCACTAATGGGAATTTATGTTCCTGGCTTCCTGTGGCTCTGCCGATGAGGCCCTTTCAATGAAAGAGCAGTGCCTTTCGTGTCTTCATGAAAAATGAGATTACTGATTTCCACCCAGCTAGCTGCATCCAACTGTTGCTTTTACTTTATGAACATAGGAGCACCTTGTTCTATGCTCGCCAGAGGAGAAGGATTCTTCTCAAGAAGAAAGGGATTGAGGATATCAATCAAAGACTCAATCAGAAACCGAATAGAATGAGGAGGATGGGCAGAGAAGATTTAATTAGAAATCGGATAGAATGAGGAGGATGGGCAGAGAAGATTTGCCAGTGATAAAGACTAGTTAATTAGGCCTCTGAGCTTCCTTAGGTCTTTTAATCTGTAAAATGGGAATAAGAACACATGTATCTCAGAGCTATTGTTCTTCATTTATTTGGAAATCACATAGAAAGCACCTGATCTAAAAACCAAGAGGGTTCATAAAATAAGAATACTAACAATAACGGCTATTATTTGTGAATAATTATCATGTGCCAGGTATAGAGCTCATTTCTTTACATGAATATTTCATGTAAACCTCAACACAGTCCCATTTTTCAGATTTGAAAATTGAAGCTCACAGAAGTTAAGTAACTACCTTTTAGAGCAGGAATTTGAACCCAGATCCACTCAGTGCTGGTATTCTTAAACTCTACATAATTTTGCTTCCCAACCTGGGGCATATATATAATAGTCATGGTTTTTACTAGATCAGGAATTTATATAGCCCTTTCCATGTGCCAGCACCATAACCTTTCTAGGTTCTGCTATTTACTTTAGACAGTCTGTGATTTTCCTAAAATTACTTGCCAACTTGTGTAGGTGTGACCGATTTCCATAATTATTCTCATATTCTGAAATGGATCTATAACCGGAGAAGACAAAAAAAAACCCTAGAATAGATGATACTAGGCTTTGCAGCAACCCAGGAGTATATGACTGTAAAAAGAGCTGCTTCTGACCTACAGAAACCTGGAATCTGGAGGGAACTTAAAGACTCAGACTTGGGCAGGAAGGAGTAAAGAATTCTAAGCAAGCACAAACTGATGGGGTATAAACTGATGCTGAGAGAAGGAGTATCAGGGAGTTACTTCTTGGTATGTAGCCATGTGGGGCTATACCATTCAAATAAACTTGTGGCCAAGTACGCAGCATGGAAATCGTGAGAGATAAATGGTTGATGTGGCAATTTGGTCTATTTAACAACCATGTCCCATTAGATTCCTTGTCGATCTCATTGATTGTGCAGAAATGAGGCATCAGGATGGCCAAAACCTAAATAAGTTACCCATGATAATTAGTTTATTGACTCCATGGAGATATGGTGCCTGTTTATTTTTTAAGATGATTGGGCCACTTCTTATCTTCTTCCTAACAACTTACCTTAGAATTAAGCTCTCCTTTTGCACTGTCAACAAAGCATTTTTAATGTGCCTCTATTATATTCCAGATACATTCTGTCTTGTCTTATGTGTACAATTGTACACGTCTGCCACTAAATTGTAACTGAGATCGCTGAGAGGAGAAACCATATGCTTTTTCATTTGTTCATTATTTGCTTCTCTTTCTCATAGTGTTTAGCTTATAGTAGATGCTCAATAAATGTTTACGGTTTAAAGTTATTTGAACTGTCGAATCGATTTGTTTTGAATCTTATTTGTTTATTGTTGCAAAATATACACAACATAAAATTTAACACTTTAATCATTTTTAAGTGTTAAATTTAGCAACAGTACATTCACAATGTTGTGCAAATATCCTTACTATTTCTACAACTTTACACAACCCCCAAAACAAACTCTATACCCCCTAAGCAGTTATTCTCTATTTCCCCTTCCCTTCAGCCCCTGATAACTACTAATCTGCTTTCTGCCTCTATAGATTTGCCTATTCTGGTTGCAGTCTGCCCTCTATACCCTTGAGTTCCATATCCGTGGGTTCTGGGTCTGTGGCTTCAACCAACCAGATAGAGACTATTTAAAAATTAATAATAATAATACAACAATAAAAAGTACAAAAAGTTAGTACAGTGTAACAGCAGTTACATAGCATTTACATTGTATTAAGTATCATAAGTAATCTAGGGATTATTTAAAGTATAAAAAAGGATATGTGGAGCGTATATGCAAATACTATGCTATTTTATATAAGGGACTTGAGCATTCATGGATTTTGGTATCAGAGGGTGGTGGGAGGGTGGGATTCTAGGACCAATCCCCTGCAGATACCAAGGGATAACTGTATTTCAAATCAATGGAATCATACAATATGTGGTATTTTGTGTCTGGCTTCCTCCATTTTACATTTTCAAGGTTCATCTATGTTGTAGCATGTATCAGTACTTCATTCCGTTTTATGGCAGAATTAATACTTCATTGTATACATATACTACATTTTAGTTTTTCATTTATTGGTCAGTGGACATTTAGGGTTGTTTCCACCTTTGACTACTATGAATAGTGCTGCTATGAACATTCATTTACAAGTTTTCATTTGAATGCTTGTCTACAGTTCTTTTGAATATATACTTAAGAGTAAAATTGCTGAATCATATGGTAATTAAATTAAAAAAAGATTTGGTGTAAAAATAAGTGTATTTTGTGGCAGATTTCATTATTACATTATTGTTCGTTTCCTCTAAGAGGATTATATACATACAGTGCATTTCCATGTGACTGGCAGCACTGCACTGTGGGAGGCTCTGTGACTTTCCATTTTAGTGACATTGGCCTTGTCCATGTGATTTGCTTTGGACAATGGAATGTGAGAGACATGGTACATGACACATTTGGGCAAGACACTTTAGGAGACATTGTCTGGCATGGCTTTTGCTCTTTTCCCTTTATCATAAGAATGGCATATTCCTGAAAAAAGGCTGCACCTTTAGCCTACATCTGAAATGAAGAAGACATCTGGAGCAGAGCCAAAGCACAGCTGACACGAAATATGAGCAACAAATCAACCTTTGTGGTTATAAGCCACTGGGATTTTGAGGTTATTCGTTACCACACAGTAATTTAGCAAAAGTGCCCTAATATTAAAACACTGGATTAAATAACATAAACCACATTTATTTACTGCAGGACTTCTCAGTGTCTTGACTGTGCTAATATGTATTATGAGTCTAAAGAGGTGAATTAAGTACAGAGTTTTCTGAATGTATTTGGGTTTGGGCATATTTGCAGATTTGTGATTCTGTGGCATACAACTTGGCAAATGCTGGACCATATATACTATTCAGGTTCAATCCTGTACAAAATGACTTTCCCAAACTCCTCTACTATTATAAAAGTTAGAGAGGTCTTCTTTTTTGTTCCTATGCAAACTCGTGCATATGTATGCATATATTTTATTGTCATTTTACATTTATAAATCTTTTTCTAGTGCCAAACTAGAGCCCCATGAGGCCATAAACCATGTCATATTCACTTTTTGTATCTCTAGCATCCAGTATAGAACTGGCTTAATAAAGTGGTAAATGAAAGGACTTTCTTAATAGATGTTCAATTGAGTACTTTAATTTTTGCATACCTACTATGATCTAGCACTGGGCTTGTTACCTTGGAAAGAATGCAAAAAAAAGAGATAAAGTTATTGTCCTCAAGAATCATAATCTATAGCAATGGATCCATAACAAATTATTTGCTGAAGTTAGTGGCCAAGTCTTTTAGCACCATTGTTCTCTTAAGAATATCTTTGTGCCTATGTATTTTTTTACTCAGATCTTTCTGAGCACATGTCTGTAACTACTGAGATGAAATTTAAAAAGCCTCGTGTCTCAAGCTGTAATATTGTGAAAGAAGATACAGGTTTTGCTAATGAGGGATGGCTGTAGAGATGGGGCATGCTAAACATAGAAGACAGAACCACAGTCCTCTCTGAAACACATTCTGTCTAAAATTGCCTTCATTCAAACACGTACTCTGGGTACTCAATACTGTGCTAGATGACAGGGAAATGGTAGATGAATGAGCTGTGTTTTGCATTCAGGAAGCTTATAGAGTAGGAGAGACATGAACATGAGCACACATATGATACTGTAAGTGTCCCATTGGGATTTGAAATATGTGCAAGGTGCTTTTGGTTGCCAGCAGAGAGACTACCTGAGACCACATAAGACTTCTGGAGAAAGGAATAGAAAACAGGGCAAGGTCAGAAAATAATGTCACTTAAACAACTACCCTGTACTAAGAGCTCCACAAGTGCTATTTATGTTATTTTATTTTCAGGTTCATTGACATATAATTTACATACAGCCAAATATACCCTTTTGAGGTGGACTCTTCTATGAATTTGACAAGCATATTCAGTTATGTAACCCCCACCACAATCAAGATATAAAATAGCTCATTTAATTTTTACACTAGCTTTATGAAAGAAGCTTTGATAAGAAAACTGGGGATCAGAGAAGTTAAGCCTCTTAGCTTCTTCAAGGTCAAACAGTTAGTGAGAGCTGAAGGCAAAATGTGAACAGGAGAGAACTTGGCATGCTTGGAGAACAGAGATAATGGTATGGCAGGATATAACAAGAAAAAGAAGGGAGATGGGTAAGAGAATAATTTGAAGACATCAGCTGATCCAGGGATCAGGTAGCACAGACTCTTACAGGTACCAAATTTGGTTTGTATCATGACTTCTGTGAAGAAGCTTATATTTAAATTGAACCAACCTCTTCTTAAAGCTTCAAGAACATGTTCATGTTGAAATTTTATGAAATTGAAAAAAAAAGTATGCTGGCTTCCTTATCCTTGGTGATTTCATAAATTAAGCTATATTATCTTTTTTTGAAGTTAAAATTCTCATTTGGAAGTCCCTCTGGCCCAACCCCTCTAATCAGTATAAATCCTTTCTATTTTTATTTATTTATTTGTTGTCTTATCTCCCTCACTACAAGGTAGGTTCCATGACAGCAAGGATTGTGTCCTTGCCTTTCCTAGTTCCTTGTCTTTTCTCTAGAACCTAGAACAGTGTCTGCACATGATGGATGCCTTATTGATCTTTGCTTGACAAATGAATAAACAACAGCACAGAGCAGAATCATAGAAAAGTCAGGTTGGAAAAAATCTTGATGGTCATCTAGTAGAAGAGTTGGCAAACTTTTTCTGTTAGGAACCAGATAATTAATATTTTAGGCTTTGTGGGCCGCATGTTCTCTGTAGCAACTGCTCAACTCTTTTATCTGCATGGCTGTGTTCCAGTAAAATTTGTTTATAAAAATAGACTGCAGGTCAATTTGGCTATAGTTTGTCAACTCCTGTATCTGTTAGTATAAGCTAGGTTATGCTGTGCTAACAAACAATTCCTGAATCTCAGTGATTTGCCAAAGTGAATGCTTATTTCTTCCTTATGCTACATGGTGGTCACAGTACTACTGTGATTCTGCTCCTCCGATGGCCCCTATCTGGAACATTGTTGGACTTGTAAAAAGAGAGATTGATGAGCTCATATGTTGTTTTCTATAGCTTTGTTTGGAAAAGACACACATCACTCGCACTCATATTTCATTGGCCAAAACATGTCATGTGAACTTGTTTAAGTTTGGAGAGTGGGGATGTGTAGTTATCTCTAAGAGGGGACATTATAAGAAGGAGCACTGAATGTGGGTCAATGATAACCCACCCTACCACCTGCCATCTGAATCTTTGATGGAACCAAGATTTGTTTGTGCCATGTCACCTTTCAAACTCTGCTTCCACACTTCCAGTGTTGGGGAGTCCTCTGCTACCAAAGCAACCTGCTTCATCCTTTGAAACGTCTGATTGCTGAAAAGGTGATTTTATTGTGCTGAATTCCATATACCTGTATCTTTCACCTAAGGATTCCAAATCTTCTTAAGATCCTGCAGAGCAGATGATTTTATTTACAAACACAAAAGATTACTCTAACCAGGAGGGGACATTTCCGAATTCTTATATCAAGGAAGCAGGAACCCACTCACCAACCCCCAGGTATCTGCCTTTCCTCATTTTCCAGAGTGTAAATGACCCATCATGGAGACAGAGCTGAACTTCTGAATGAGATCATAGCCTTTTCGCCCTTTCTGCACAGTTTCACCCGGTGAATTATTGTCTTATTTTCATTCCACTCCAATGAGCTGTCAGCGATGGATACTGTAATTCACAGCAATAGAAACACAAACAGATGGGTAATTGACCTGCATGCCTTCATTACACTGGAGTTCAGCATGGCTGTTGGAGCCATAAAGTCCTTTATCTGCCAGTCTGAAATCCCTGGGCTTTCACAAGGAAGGGGATCAGGCTGACTTTTTGCAAAAGGTGCAGTCCTTGCTGTTGTTCTCCTCACCTTGTGCATTTCGGAAATGGACAGAATTTGACAAGCAGAACTTAGTGGTACAAGACAACAGCTGGGGCTCCTATAAAGCTCAGAGATATCTACAGGGGGCACATTCTGATACAAGAACAGGATAGAAAAATATTTATATTCAACTAAAATAGAACCTGTGTTTTTTCCTTCTTCCCTTGGCACTGTAAGAAATCGTGTATTTAATATCTAATGAAATAGGTCAGAAAAGAGCAAATCCATCAAAAATACCACTGTATTAGGTAATTAGGATATAGAATAAAACAAAATAAAGCTTACCAAAAACAACCTATGACAATGCATGGTCTTTGCCTTGCATAAGAAAGGCTTAGATTGACCCAAATTATGCCCTCTGCTATGGCATACTGAGTTCACTTTCTTTATCTACCTATTCAGACCATGCTCATGTTTCAAGATTCAGCCCACATCCCACAGCCATTACAAAGTCTTCCATATTCATTATTTCCAGGCCTATTTTCTTTCGTCTTCATAATAGATCACTGACTTATTCAATACTTGAAATACATTTATAAAAACCTACTATGTGCCAGACACAATACTACTTTTAATGTTTTAATCATCAATCAAGGACTTTCTTTCCCGTTCTTGAATTTTTTTTTTGCTTTAGTTTTCAATATCTGAGTAACCTCTCTGTTTCTTTAGGAGGTGGGAAGCATGCATTAAACCTCTTATTTCCTCCAACAATTCCTAATGTACTACTTGTTAAAAGGAGAAACAAGCTGAGTTCCTGTCAGCAAAAGAGCAGAATCAAAGTCAGCGATGAAGATTGGGCTATAATCTTCAGGTCTTAGGTTCACCTTCAGCTTCTGTTGATTGGATCTTCTTTCCCAGTTATCTTTTCCAGATATTCTTCTTTCCCCAGCCTCACAGAGCATGGTCAGTTGATCCAAGTGCCTGCTAGCAATATCATCAATGTTGTTGAAGGTCTCCAGAGATCCAACTTGAGGGTCCCCTAAAGTTCTTCTGTTACTTGAGTACTCCCAGTGGTTGAAACTCAATAACACAGTGAGCCCCATTTTTTTCCTGAGTCTCAGAATCCCATCTTATAATGAATAAAGATCTTTCTTGTACTATAAGAAATGCTATTTCCTCTAAGGAGCTCACAGATTTCTGCTTTGTGTCACCCTTCCCTTCAAAATTTTGATCTCTTGTGTGCAAGTACTCTTTCTTTTCTTTTCTAGGGAACTTGTAAGCAAACAAACAAAAGAAGACGAACCTTAGTCAGAAAGAAATGTGAGGGCCAAGTTGATTCTCAGCTGGAAGGAGTTCTATGCCCGTGGCCTTTTCCATGCTCTTCCCGCTGTCTAGACTACTCTTTCTGTGGATCCCTCATCCCCTAGTGCCCTTGTATCCATTAGGTCTCAGCTTAAATGCTACCCCCTAGGAGAGTGGAGAGTGCTTTTAACACCCCTAATCCAGTCCATGCTGAGTTCATTGTTCTTTCCCTGTGTTCCCTGAAAAACTTGTACTTCTCATAGAATACTGGTTTCATTGCATCCAAGCAACTAGTTTACATCTCTTTCTCTCTCTCTCTCTCTCTCTCTCTCTCTCTCTCTCTCTCTCTCTCTCTCAGTAAACAGTAAGACCTACAACAAGAGGGAGTTGTCTGCCTCATTCACCCTAGTATCCACAGCACAGCTGCCTGGCACATAGTAGGGCTTCAGGAATATGTGTGAAAGAAGGGAAGCAGAAAGATGGGAAGAAAGAAAGGAAAGATAAATGGGAAGAAGGAAGGAGGGAAGAAAATGAGGAAAGAAGGAAAACAGGAAGGAAGGAAGGAAAATTAATAGAAGAAAAATGATGGAGTGATTAAAAACGAAGACCAATAATAATTATTTTAATCCTCATATAAGAAAATGCATTCTTAGCATGTTTTATACTGGCTCAAATGGTGCTATTCAAGGAGGATTTTTCAAGAAGGGTTCAAGTTTGGTCCAGGTAATGAATGTGATCTGATATCTAGTTAAATGGGGGGCAACCTAACATTTGTTGAACACTTAATTATGACAGTGTCTTGGTCTGCTCAGGCTGCTGTAACAAAATTTCACAGACTGGGTGGCTTACACAAAAGGAAATTATTTGTCACAGGTCTGGATGCTGGGAAGTCTAAGATCAAGTACCAGCAGATATGGTGTCTGGTGAGGGAGGGACTGCTTCCTGGCTTGTAGACAGCTACAAGCTGTCTCTTCTCCCATCTCTTCCTTTTCTTATAAGGGCACTAGTCCCATCACAAGGGCACCACCCACATGACCTCATCTAAACCTAATGACTTTCCTAAGTTTCCGGCTTCTTATACCATGGCATTGCAAGTGAGGGTTTTGGCATATGAATGTATGTATGCAGGGGACAGGGAGCGCAAACATGCAGTCCATGGCAGCCGAGTTGTGGCTTAAGTTTATGCCTTTTCTCTCTTTGTTAGTATACAAGGAGATTGGGGTTTCAACCTCATAGCCAAAAAAAAAAAAAAAAAATCCCTGAGTTTCAGGGGGTATAAAACATTGCCAGAGGTCTCAACTGTGCTGGAGCCACCACAGGGGTTGTAAGCCAGGTCACCCTCGAGTGTGTCAGAACTCAAGTTGAATTCCTAGATTGGAGTCCTGGTTCTGTTACCTTAGTTGTGAGACTTTGGCCAGGTCACCTGATTTTTAAATTCTAACACCTCAGAAGCCTCGTGAGGCACTTTCTTTTCATCTTGGAGAAGGAAGCGTTTAAAGTTCAAAGTCAACACTTCCTCCTTGCAGGAGGAAGTGTTTAAAGTTCAAAGTTCCTTTGACTGTTAGGGTGCAGTGGCTTATGCCTGTAATCCCAGCACTTTGGGAGGCCGAGGCAAGTGGATCATGAGGTCAAGAGCTCAAAACCATCCTGACCAACATGTTGAAACCCTACTCGGGAGGCTGAGGTAGGAGAATCGCTTGAACCCGGGAGGCGGAGGTTGCAGTGACCTGAGATTGTGCCACTGCACTCCAGCCTGGTGACAGAGTGAGACTCGGTCTCAAAAAAAAAAAAAAAAAAATATTTATTTGATCAACAAATGAGTGCCTGGAGCCTACACTGGGCTTGACCTTAGTTTATACTCTGGGGGCCCTTAGAGGGCAGACAGGTCCCTTCTTCCCTAGAGCCTACTCTCTAATGGGGATGATAGAAAAACTATTAGAAATAAAACAAATTCAAAAGATAATTTCAGCCAGGAATTAATCCTATGAAAAAAATTGAAGATGCCTTTTAACCTGGGTCTGGGAGGGTCTGGATTATAGGACAAGGGATCAAGCAGAAATCTGAGGAGAGAATATTCGGTGCACAGGGAAACGCAAGTGCAAAGATTATGGGAGGAACAATATTGATGTGTGTATTGCAGGTACTGAAAAAAAGGCAGGGTTTTTCTGATGTATTCTCAGTACAGAAGAGAATATTAGGAGATAAGAGGAAGGAGGGAGGCAAGGAAATAGAGATATCCCATCATGTGACACAGAGAAAGAGAAATAATATCTCAGCACACAAAGACTGTATACAAGCTACAAAAAATATTGTGAGATGCACCTGTCGAAGGTGAATTGAAAGGAAAAAGAATGAGGCACAAATCAGGAAAAGAGAAGGAAGACATCTTGGGTGTTCCCACATATACATTGCCCACATGCTCTGCAGAACAGTGAAACATTCCATTTTAAATTATAACAAGATTATTTTAATATATAAAAAGATTGGGAGAAAAATATTCCATATGTTCAGTGTGGGTGAGTTGATGTTCAAATAAAACTCTCAACTATTGCCTGCCTGGGTTTTCTAAGGCAAAATTTATATGCTTGGCAATAACAGTAGCCCTTTTCTCTCTCATTTTCTCAGTTTTCTTTTCTCTCTCTCTCTTTCTCTCCGTGTGTGTGTGTGTGTGTCTGTGTGTCTGTGTGTTGTGTCTTTGGGAACTGTGGGGACAGAATATTTCACCCCAGCCGGCAGCTGTATATCTTTCAAACAGTGGTTTCACAAGCCAAATCCCCCTCCAAATTATTTATGGTTCCCATTGAAGCAGGCAGGATTCAGGCGCCCATGTAGGAGTTCAGCACTGGGCCTCTTTGTTGGACACAGGCCATCAGGAGACGACTCTGTCTGTGACTGCTGTGTGAACCTCCGCTGCCGTAGAAATGGTTATGTAACTTTAAACAGTAATGACATTTTACAGAAAAGTGCTTTTTAATTGCTATGTCTTCATTGTTCTCTTTCGAAATTGCCCAGGAGATTCTGCCTCCAAGACAGCTCGGCATGTTCTGAGTTTCCATTTTTAAAGAGCAGCCAGTTTTGTATTTTAGCTGCTCCCAGAAAACCCCCAACCCCAAACTTCATCTGTTTTCAGTTGCATTAAATGGGGTAGGTAATACTGCCTTTTGTATCCTTGCCAAATGGAAAAATGATTTGACGCAATTTTCTATAAATGCTCTCCCCAAATTCCTTTTGGGCTGGGACCAAGAATAGAATATTTTATCCCCTACAGAAGGGAGAAAGAAAATGATGAGCAAGCTAGAAAAATAGAACTGAGAATATAGTCTGTAGAGTTCCTTTAAGCAACAGAAACTTAACCCCGATCCATACACCCAGTTGCCTATGGGGGATTGGGATCAGCTAAAAATAAATTTGGCTCTAGAAGAGAAAATGGTGATATAGATAAAATGACTAAAAGAATTGTAGACTCAGAAAGAATTGCACACTCTGAAAGAATTGTAGACTCAGTTCAGAAGGGACTTTATTCTTGATTTGTTTTACCTCACGTTTTGGTATGTGTGTTATGCCCTTGTACAGTAGCCCTCCCAAACAGTCACTCAAACCCATACGGACTCATTGCTCATCAATGTGGAGCTCACTCAGTCTCACAGCAGCCCGTTGTTCAACTGTATAGCTTAATCTGCTAGAATCCCTTCCATGCATATTGACATATACACCTTTCTCAACAGCCCTGTCACCAATGCTGGTTCAACAGGCACAGAATTCTAAACCCTCCTGCTTATCAAAGCTCTGCAAATATGTGAAGACTGCCTTTTGATTATACACCCACACCTGTTTTTCTTTCATTAATCCTGAAGGTTTTGTTAAACCTTTAACCACTTTAATCAGAGGAGTGGCATCATCATCAATATCGTCATCGTCATCACATCAAAAATAAGAACAGACAACATTTATTGTTTGCTTGCTATGTGCCAGGAGCTTTTCCAGATAATTTGTAGGCATTCTTTCATGTAGTCCTCTCAATAATCTTTGTACATAGATACTAAGTGGAACCTAACAGGCAGGCTGAATATTTTGCTTGAGATGACTTAGGTAGTAAGAAGAGGAGCCAGTGCAGCCCTGCCCAGGTTTTTGACCACACCGTGCAGTGCAGCCATGCCCAGGTTTCTGACTACAGCATGCAGTGCAGCCATGCCCAGGTTTTTTACTACAGCGTGTGGTGTCCTGCCATAAGGCATGCTGGAGGAATCATCTTCTTTCCCACAATGTCCCTCTGAAAATATTCTCTTTTAGCTGCCATGTGAAGACAGGTTGAAAGGATGGGGCTTATTTAAGTATATATAAAACCTGAAGAAAATGGAAAAAAGATAAAAATCTAGAAACAACTGTGAATAGAAAATGGAAGAAATGCTGACCTTGTTGAGCAAATCCCTGATGAGTTGGATTAAGGAGTGTCCCTGAAGCATAAATGAGAAAAAAAATAATCCAAATAAGAATACAGTTCTCTTTTACACAGTGAGTAGTAGAACCATTACCTCATATTGGAAGCTAAAACTGTTTGCAGCTCCAAATGAGGTGGAGAGAAATGTCCTAAGCGAAAGTGCCCTAATGAATTAAGTTAGCCCAGATCTGTCCTTCTCTCTGGGCACCACAGACAATAGACCACTCTGCTGACTTTTCATAGGTACCAGAGTAGTGCTCATGTCCAAATAAATCCTTCTCTATCATTGGCTCTCTGTATTAAGACTTTGAATATTCAAGTATAAAGAGAGGATCATGAGATGTAATCCAGAGTGCTAATCCTGTAACCATGGGCTGGTCACTTCCTATTGGTAGACCATGGCTTCCTCACTGTTAGAGCAAAGAAGAGAAAATTAATTATCTAGTGATGCTTGTGTCTAGTGATGTGTTAGTTTTTATGTTACAGTGGTCCTATTAAATTATATCACTCTAATTATGTTACTCGTACCCTTCAAAACTACCAATGTGTACCTATGATCCACAGAATAATGTCCAAATTCCCTAGCATATAATAAAGCCCTTTGCACACTGGCCTCTGTCCCTCTCTACAGCTATTTTCTACAGCACGAGCACCTCCATTCATCCAAGTTCATTTCTTCACTAGGAATTTCCAGACACATGATGCCTTTCCTCTTTTAAGAATGTCCTTCCTGTTCTTCTTTTAACCTAGTGTTCTCTTACTTGCTTTTCAACCAGCCCAAATTCTGTCTCCTCTATGAAGGTTTCCCTGCTATCTAAACAATGTTATTTGCAGTCTTCTGCTGTTCATTTGCCTCATATGGCTCTCTCTGCTATAGGTCTATAAAGCCATGTTATGATGATGTGCGTCCATGTCTACACCTGCTGATTATATTGTAAACTCCCCAAGGGCAAGGATTGTGTCTTTTTTTTTTTTTTATCTCTACAGGCCTAGTGCCTAGCTCAGAACTTGTGTTTCATAAATAGGGTTTATATAAATACTTAAGGAAAGCACTTGAGGAAATAAAGAATAATAAACAATAATGTTATATTTTCAATAAGAGTTTTCTCCACAAATGGAAAAGGTATATACCATATGTGGCTCTAGCCTCAGTCCTACTATAACAGAATAGAGTATGCCTTTCAGAGATGGCCAAAGTCATGACCTGAGAAGTTTAAGTAAAAGTGATGCAACTGGAAGCCTCACCAATAATACCCTGTCTGGATCTAGGTTGGCCCAGAAATATATTGGTTCCAATACACAGGGAGAAATGTAGCAGCTTCAGATTCCTATGTATCACCTTTGGAAATTGTTAATGAAACACCTTTTTTTAAACCTTTCTGTTTTCCCTTCTTGCTATTCTCACACAGGTCTTCAGATAATCTTTCCTCAGTATCTGCAAGAGAAGTTTGTCCAGTCGGCCTTGAGCTATATCATGTGCAATGGGGAGGGGGAGTACCTGTGCCAGAACAGCCAGTGTCGCTGCCAATGTGCCGAGGAGTTTCCGCAGTGCAACTGCCCCATCACGGACATCCAGATCATGGAGTACACGCTGGCCAACATGGCCAAGTCTTGGGCCGAAGCTTATAAGGACCTGGAGAATTCAGGTAGAGAGTCTCACTCAGTGCCACTGCATGAGTGGCCTTGAGCCAAGTCTGAAAGGGAGCTAATCTAACTGGAATTAGGACTGCTGCAAGGGAAAGTTCAGTGACCCTGACCCTTTCACTTTGGAGTGTCCAGATGCAAGTATAATAGCTGTCACAGAGCAGGCACTCAATAAATCTCAACTGAATAAAATTAATGAATAGCATAATCCAGTTTGTGGTCATATGATGTATTGTTTCTGTCGTACCCAGAAGACAGAAAGAATAAATCTGCATAGGAAGCCTCTGGAGAGGGAAGAGTCAGAGGTAGTTGTATTGATTCCTTGGGCTGTGTATGTGTGTGTGGATATTTGTGTGTGTATGTGTTTGTGTGTGCACCCACACACTTCTGTCCATCTCTATAACTAGATAAACATACCTCTATGTGTATATTTATATGTGCATATGCATAGAGATATAGATATCCAAAGAATCTACAGACTATCAAAGCTCAAAGTCTCTTTTCTGGTATCTTAGTTATTTTCTGCCTTTCATAGTTCAGAAAAATGAGTTTCAGGGGTGGAAAGACAGTCATCCAAGCTCCTAAAGTGGATGAAGTCTGAAGTAGGATCTCTACCTTCATGGACATTTGAGTTTTGTTGGAAAGCCAGGCATTAATTATGTAACCATGCCAATGATTAGGAAATGTCAAGGATACGTCTGTAAAAAGGGAGGAGTTGCTGTGAACAAACGATGTAGAGTTGGGGGTCAATGTGGTCAAGGAAGTCTACCTTAAAAAAGAACAGAAATGGAAGTATCTGACTATGGTGCAGATATGAGAAGGTGATTACAGGTAGACCAATGGGAGGCACAAAGGGCCTAGGAGAGAGATGACCATGATGTGGGTTAAGGAGATGGTACAAGTTGTAAAAACTGGAAATGTGCAGATATGCCAACATATTTAGAAGGAAAAAATGGCAGAGCTTGATGTTAGATTGTCTACAAGAGTTGAAGAGAAAAGGGATATTGAGGTGATACTCATAAACCTCCTTTAGATAGGCATGTTAGACAACTTGATAGATGTTGATATCTTTCATTGAGCTAGAACACCCTGAAAGATTTGGAAAGAAGACCATGTGCTCACTTTTCTATAGGATAAGCTTGAGAATCCTTGAGACTTCCAAGAAGAGATGCCAAGCAGGTACTTAACATATAATATGTGCTCAAGTACCTGTTAAATAAATGGACTCATGCAAAAAAGCATTCCTGTCTTTACAACAACATTATATTTCTTAAATCTGTTATAATAGCCACCTTAAAGGAAGTACTAACATTTCTGAATTACAGAGAAGGGAACACCTCCTCTATAATCCTCCTGCAAGACCCAGTGTTTTCCCTAGGGTTGCACAGTTAGTAAATGGCAGGATTGGTAATGGAATTCCTGATTCCAAATCTAGTGCTCACAGCAGATTTGGTAACTTAATTTTACTTTGTCCCCCAGGCCTGAGGTTCCCTCATCTGATAAATGAGAAGACATGTTTGTGTTTTTAATATTTGAGTTTATTCAAGTCTTTAGACAAGAAATTATTTGATCAAGCAAAATCTTACCTAGGAGCCACTGTGTACCACAGATAAAAGCAGAGTTCTATGGAATAGCATTTGAAAATAACTGGTTTCTGTGAACTCTAAGCCCTAACCCAGCTCTGGGAGCCCAGAATGCATCAGGGATCCTGCTCCTACAGTGCTGTACAGCTCAAATGGAACTGTGGATGTCTTATAACGACACCCATTAGTCCACTGAAAATCCTGGGAGCCCATAAAAGAGAAAAGTTCATGATGGAAATGTACTATGATGATTATTTGGCCCCAAACAAAGGAAGCATTTGATAAAATGCTTTTGCAGAAAGATTTGGCTGATTACTACAAAAAACAAAAACAAACAAAAAAAAAACAGAGGGAATTTAGGCTATATGCACAAGGAGTAAGACTCTTTAGCATACAATCCTTATTCCCAAGGAAAAGAAACCACTTTAAGTGGATGGATGAGGAAACACAGAAAACTGAGATGCTGCTGAATAAGCTGAACAGGCCAAGAAAATGATTTATGTCACACTTTCTCCCCAAAAGGCATACACTCCCTCTAGATCTCCTGTGCTTCTCTATTTGAAATGGTTTTACCCTTTAAGACAAATCCATTCATCCGTATGTGCATCACAGCCTTGTGCATATGAGTTTTCCTTTGGTCCATTTTTAGCCCTTAACCTTCGCTACTCAGCCCAGGTGATTTGGAGAGATTAATGACCAGCCCAAAGTAAAAGCCATTGGTTCCTTGATGGCTCCAGAGTGTGGGTGGCCAAATAGGGCCTAGTTTCTATACATAAATGGCAGTCTACATCTCCTTGCTAGGGGATTCGTTGTAGTACTTCTACTTTTATTCAAGAAAGTTGGCCAGGTGCAGTGGCTCATGCCTGTAATCCCAGCACTTTGGGAGACCAAGAAGGGCGGATCACCTGAGGTCAGGAGTTCGAGACCAGCCTGACCAATATGATGAAACCCTGTCTCTACTAAAACTACAAAATTAGCCGGGTGTGGCGGCACATGCCTGTAATCCCAGCTACTGGGGAGGCTGAGGCAGGAGAATCGCTTGAACCTGGGAGGCAGAGGTTGCAGTGAGCTGAGATAGTGCCATTTCACTCCAGCCTGGGCAATAAGAGTGGAACTGTGTCTCAAAAAATAAATAAATAAATAAATAAATAAATAAATAAATAAATAAATAAAGTTAATGTATTTAACTCTTAAATTCTATTTTCTTATCAGACCCAAATTTGGGTTCATTGAAGGCCTGCTTTCCCCTTTGACATCCACGGAGCCCTCTGCAAGATAAGCTTTATGTTTTCCATGAGAGGAGAGTCTAGCTGTCCCAAACAGAACAGAGTCATCAGGGCCTGTCTCCTGCCTTCAGCCAGCTCACTGAGTCAATCAATCAGTGTAGAGTCTTGTGTCATCCTGTCAATCTTATGCTACCATCAACCGAGTACTTTCTGTGTCTCAGGAACTAGTTAGGTAGATGCAGTCCTATGCCACTATGTCATTCTCAGCATTTGGATTAGATACTATTATTCCTGTTAGCAGATGGGGAAACTGACGCCTTGAGAGAATAAGGGTCCCACAGCTGTTCAGCACTCAAGATGTGACTCCAACTCTTGCCTGTCTAACTGTCTATAATTAAATGCCTGAGTTTTTTCTAGGAGTCAGAGACTTCTATTTTTTATCACCTTTTATTTACTGTTTTCTCCTAATGTACTGAGCCTCGGGATTGCCCTTTTTATGTGTCGAGAGGAAATATAATATACTAAGTAAGAACACAGGATTTGGAGCCAGACTCAAGTCTTAATTCTCCTATCTACTGGCCATTTGACCTTGGGCAACTTCTCTGTGCCCTATTTTCTTTAAAATGGGGGCTCTAAAATACCTACCTCATAGGTTTGCTATAAAATATGGTTATATATGTTAGGTGATTAGGACTGTGCCTGGTGCCTGTCAAGAGCTATGTAAGCATTTTTTAAAATAAAATGAAAGCATAAATGCATAGTATACCTAAAATGTCCTTGGAGCTTTTATAACATGAAGTGAAAAGTGTTAGGCTGAAGATTTATAATATTTATATAAATCCAACCATTGGCCTTTTTTCCTACAAAATGATCAACCCCTTGATATTTTTAATTTTCCAGGGATGGGGTGATAGGGATTAGAATTACAACAGATTGGATTATTAGATTGGAAAACAGAAACTCAGGACACAGACCTGGATCTTGTCATTTATCAGCCACGTTACCTTTAAGAAATCATCTTCCCATTTTGGGCTTCAGTTTTCCTATTCATAGAACAAAAGAGCTGAACTAGATAATTTCTATGGATGTGCCAAGTTGACACTCTGAAACTCAGCATCACAAACTGAGGCAGAAACTTTTACCTGGGAGGCCCAAGAGTTTGTCACCATCTCTTAAGCTGGAGTTTTTTGAAATGTGAGTTGATGCTAGATGGGACACCCATACAACTTCAAACAACACTGGATCACCGGGTGGGGAAGTTGATCCATTTCAGTTCTCTGTGGAACCTGCAGATTACATCAAAAAGTTTCAGTTTGGTGCTAGCATGCCTTTAACACCTAACACTTGCTAATTGCCTGCATTTCAACATGAGAGCAGTCATGGAGGTTTGATTTTTTTAGCAGGCAACAGTGTCTGACTAGAATTTATTAACATTATCTTCAACATATTTATTTTTATAGCTACCATCTTCTGAAGGCATGCAATAGTGATTTTCTTTGGAGAATTCAATAAACATTTTGTTTTCCTTTTTTTTTTAATTTTTTTGAGACAGAGTCTTGCTCTGTTGCCCAGGCTGGAGTGCAGTGGTGCAGTCTCAGCTCACTTGACCTCTGCCTCCCGGGTTCAAGCGATTCTCCTGCCTCAGCCTCCCGAGTAGCTGGGATTACAGGCACCTGCCACCACGCCTGGTTAATTTTTATATTTTTAGTAGAGATGGTTTCGCCATGTTGGCCAGGCTGGTCTAGAACTCCTGGCCTGTTATCCACCCGCCTTGGCCTCCCAAAGTCCTGGGATTACAGGTGTGAGCCACTGCACCCAACCTTGTTTTCAATTTTTAAGTGAAAAACAATGATTTGATTCAAATAACATGTTAAGTAAATGTAATAATATACGAATATTACTATGAGGTTGGTATTCCGACGCCAGAAGTTTGGGAAGCCCTGTCTTAAGCAAGAATGCGGTATGCAGATTCCCTTCATAAGAAAGCATAGTAGCTTTTGCCCTTTCTAGTAGGGGCAGGACAGACTAATGCAATGTTCTATGGCCCTTAAGAAAAAAAAATTATGTTTGCAGGCCTGGTTTATTGGAAAGTGACACTAAGCATTCAAGGCCACTTTAGATGGGTGTTATCATGCTTAGCCCTTCTCTCTCGGCCTTTGTCTCTCACTAGATGAGTTTAAATCATTTATGAAGCGCCTCCCCAGCAACCACTTCCTGACCATCGGAAGCATCCATCAGCACTGGGGCAATGACTGGGACCTGCAGAACCGCTACAAGCTCCTGCAGAGTGCCACGGAGGCACAGAGACAAAAGATCCAACGCACTGCCCGCAAGCTTTTCGGCCTCAGTGTACGCTGTCGCCACAATCCCAACCACCAGCTGCCTAGAGAGAGGTAAGTGTTGCCACCACCTCCACCTCTGCAGGCACCTACCTGGCGTTAGCTACATTATCTTGCTGCAGAGTGAAATGCAATGCAGATGGTGCATTTGTGGGGTGGCAAACAGGACCTCGCATGGTCCAGACCAACAATTTTCTGGATTGCCTCTGGGTCCTCACCTACTGGCTCCACATTGTTTCAGATTCCACATTGTTTCCTGAATGTACCATGAATTTTCAGCCTCTGTGTTCTGTCTGATTCACCTGATTGAGGAGGGGAACACTAGCCCTGATAGTTATGTGGCATTATCCTGGCTGTTAAAAATATATTTCATATTTAATTTTAAAATTACTGAGCAAAGCCAATTTTAGCATCCCCATCTTAATGGTGAAAAAACTGGATTAACTAATTAATCATTCGCCACCTTATTTATGAGGTCCTTTGAGCAGAGCCAGGAGTGAGTGACACAAATAACAAAATGTAATACAAAATGTCAGGAGACACTTGCGGGGTCATTGAGTGCAGGGTCCTCACCTGAGAGAGTGTCACCTTCAGTGCCTGGCTACCTTGCTTGCCTCCCCTAGTTCCAGCCATGTCCTGGATATACCGGGTATTCTGCTAGATGGTGGAGAATACAGAGATGGACAAGACAGGGCCCATGCCTCCATAGAATTAGGGTTTACTACTCTCTCAGGGGCACAGAAGGAAGGAGCCAGGACTTGAATCCAGGTTTTTTGGACTCTATTCTTCCGGGGCATTTCTGATCTGCAGCTGGTAGTTCCTACTGTAGAGGTGCCTCCAGGGTTTCTAAAAGGGCATCACAAGACAGCAAAAGGGCAGGTTGGGGCTCTCTCTCCACCCTGCTTCAGACAGAGCAGCTCTGCTCTTATTTGTTGCATATTTGGGGGTTCTACCTTCAATTTAGTTCTAAGAAAAAGATCCACTCTTAAAAAGAACAAGTCCATTCACATTCACCTAGCATACCCTGTGTCAGTCACATATTTATATATATGATTGTTACCCTGTTGTACAAATCTGGAAATGGAAGCTGAGAGAGGTCAAGTAATTTGTCCAAAGCTACAGTGTAAATCAGTGGTTCTCACTTGGGGGTGACGTTTTCCCCAGGGGACATTTGAAAATATCTCAAGACAATTTTGAGTATCGTAGCAAGGGTTAGGGGTATTATTGCACAGGCAGTTCTCACAACAAAGAAATATGTGACTTCAAAAGTTGCTGGTGCTCAGGCTTAGCAATTCTGATGTAAGAGAGACAAGATGCCAGCTATTTTAGGTTGATGCAAAAGTCATCGTGGTTTTTGCCATTATTTTTTAAGTTTTGCCATTACTTTTAAGTAACAGCAAAAACCACGATGACTTTTGAACCAACTTTAATAAATCTATAAATCAAAATCTTATCTTCCTAACTAGTCTGTTCTACTGGCACTCAACATTTAACAACGGCAGTCTTCTACCACAGTCCATCCACCTAATTACCCCGATGAGGTGCACCCTTTTTTCTCTCGTTTTTCTTGCGTCAGAGCTAATGCTGCTATTCCCTCCATGAAGTCTTTCCTGATTGTACTAGCCAATACAGAAAGCTTCTTATTCTAGATTCCCACTAATCTAAAATCCTTTCCTTAGCATATTTCTCTCTCTTTCCCCCCTTATGAAACCTCCTCCTTGTACAGACATTCAAACTCATCTCTGTTTTCCCTATTCCCTCCAAATTTGAGCCCACTGCTTTGCATCTAGCTTGTGATAATTATATTGTTTTGTGGATCAAATAGAATTTCTTTTGCCAGTTTCTTGTTGCAATGCTGCTGAAGCAGGGACTAGAAAAGGTCACAAACTTACTTTCTTGTCGAGCACAACAGATGCTCAGACTGCTACCACGAGCAAGTCTCTGAAGAAGCTTCCTTTTAGATCCATCACACATCTGCCATGAGACCTGCATCGAGCACTGTGGGAAATTCAGAAATGCACACAGCGAACAGTGCTGTGGAAGATGTCTTGTAGAGCAGGAGTGGGGAGGGGTTCTTTTATCAATCAGACCCCATATGTATTAGTTTATGATGGTTGCCATAACTAAGTACCATGGACTCAGTTGCTTAAACAATAGAAATTTATTTTCTCATAGTTCTGGAGGCCAGAAGTCCAAGATCAAGGTGTCAGCAGGCTTGGTTTCTTCTGAGGCCCCTTTTTCTGGCTTGTGGATGGTTGTTTTTTTCTACCTGTGTTTCCACGTAGTCTTTCCTCTGTGTGCATCTGCGTCCTAATATCCTCTCTCTCTCTCTTTTTTTTTTTTTTTTTTTTTTGAGATGGAGTCTCGCTTTGTTGCCCAGGCTAGAGTGCAGTGTCGCTATCTTGGTTCACTGCAACCTCCGTCTCCCAGGTTCAAGCGATTCTCCTGCTCAGCCTCCCCTTGCGAGTAGCTGGGATTACAGGTGTGCACCACCACACCCAGCTAATTTTTGTATTTTTAGTAGAGACGGAGTTTTGCCGTATGGGCCAGGCTGGTCTCAAACTCTTGGCGTCAGGTGATCCACCCACCTCAGCCTCCCAAAGTGCTAGGATTATAGATATGAGCCACCATGCCCTGTGCTAATATCCTCTCTTAAGAGGATACCAGTTATATTGGATTAGAGCTGACCTAAATGGCCTCATGTTAACTTAATTACCACTTTAAAGACCCTGTCTCCAAACACAGTCACAGTTTGAGATCCTGGGGGCTAGGACTTTAACATATAAGTTTGGAGGGGTATGTAATTCAGCCCAGAATATTATAGGAGGTAGCTTTTGATCAGATCTTTAGGTGAAAAAGCTGTGCATCCCAAGGAGCAACGAAGCTCGATGCAAATCTGATTGAGGAGGGCCATGTTTGACCATGATAAGAATTCAAACAAATAACCTCTTTCAGTTACGGTGATTGTCATCTCAGAAAATGGAGAGTAAGATCCAAAGGTCCCAAAGACATTAGGCAGGCATATTTATTAAAGTTGAGTGAAATCTCCAGAACACCAAGCATCATCAGATATGCTAAGTTCAAGGGAAGACTCGAGAGGATTTTAGAAGGAGGGTAGCTGGATAGGTATTACAAGGGAAGAAGGAGGGACAAAGCTGGGTAATAGGAGTAACACTGGGAAAAGTCAAGGAGTCTGGATTTGTCCTACCACTAGTAAGCTGTGTGTCCTTGGGCAAGTCACTTCACCATGCTCAGTGCAGGTGTCTGCATCTTTGAATAAGTCTCTGCTCTCCTTCTGCAAGTCGTCAGGTGTAAATAGCTAAAAATGCTCTACCATCATGGGACCTTCAAAGAAAGAGCTCACAGTGTTGCCGTCTCTCCTACTAAGGAGGAGAAAACCTGCCCTAATCATCATATTCTTCTCACCTGGAGAGGATGTCTGGCGTTCCACCATTAGCAGGTCACTCAATTATATTAATTTGAGGAATTTTGAGTGCTAGGTACCGAGGGGTAGGAGCACACAGACACTAGGCTCTGTGGCTAATTCCTCTGAAGCCTTCCCAGGAGAGATGAACTTCCTTGGACGGGCTGTGGGCCGCTTCCTGACATCTGAATCTGAGGCTTTAATGAGTATTTCTCACACCGCAGGGCACCTCTCTGGCATGGAGCAGTGTCGGACAGAGGTGCTAACACTGGGAACCTTGGGCCACCTCTAGCTGAGCAAGCTGGTATTTGCAAATGAACTGATTGCATGGTTTCAATGTGTCTGCTTGCTGAAGTCTGTGGAAGATGAGTGTGCTGAGCAGGTGCCATTACTGCAGCAGGTGCCACAGAGATGTTTACTTGTCTCACAAACAGGTGGCTTTGTTAAGGTAAGGTGGGAGAGGGAAAGAGGGAACAAGCACAGGGCCTTAGCCACACATGGACTGGTCCGAATCCTGGCTCCATCACTTACCAGACACAGAGCTTTATGTAAGTCCTGCACCTCATTTGTGAAAGGGGATAATAACACTTGCCTTCAGGTTAAGTGTGATGATTAAGATTTTAAAATTTAAATAACCTTGGTAAAGTGCCTGAATCAGTTAAAAGGAAGGGAGGAAGGGAGAGAGTAAGAGACAGAAGGGAAGGAGCTGTCACTTAGTATGTGTATTCTAAAGGTCAGGCACTGTTCTTTAGCATCTTATATGAGATTAACTAATTTCTTCCTCACTACAGTCTTATGAAGCGATACTGTTACCATTCCTATTTTACAGATAAAGGAACTGAGGCACAGAAAGGTTAATAATGTACACAAGGTCAATAAATGTTAATTTATTGTTACTTCAAAGAAATGTTAAGATTTAGATTTAGTGAGAGGTCAATTATAGCTGATTAAAACTTGGCTTCAATGCTTGCTAGAAACTTAATATTGGCTGGAAGGCAAAAGGGGTATTTTGGCTCTCTATTGGTGTAAAACAATTCACCCCAAAATTTAGTGGCTCAAAACAACACTATGTTATTATCTATTATGAATCTGTATGTTGACTTGGTACAGCTGAGGATATCTCTAGTTGGCTGGGGCTCTTGTCATCTGGGGGCTTGACTGGGCTGCATCTCCACAATGACACTCTCTCAGAGCCAGTTGATGCTGGCTGTCAGCTGGGGGCTCAGCTGGGGCTGTCACTGGAGTGCCCACACAGGACCTCTCCACGGGGACTGGACTTCTTGCAGCATGGCAGCTGGGCTCAGAGAGGGAGTGTCCTGAGACCAAAAGAAAGCTGTGAGACTTTTACACAGCTTAGCCTTGGAAGTCGGAGAGCATTATTTGTACCACATTCTGTTGGCCAAAAGCCTAACCTGGCTTCAAGGGTGTGAGTATTGGGAGGTGCAGTTCATTATGGGGGCAGGGGACATATATTTTGGAGATGAGGTACAATAGCAATTGAGTAGAATTGGAGCTAGAGGTGACTATCAGATATAGGGAACATAAGATTAATAATAATAACAACAATAATGAAGCAATAGCAGTTACTTACTGAGCAGCTAGAATAACAAGCAATAGAGTTGTCTATTTGTAAAGATTCTGGAGTTAGACTGCCTTGGTTCAAATTCCAACTTCGTCACCCGGTTACATTGTAAGTCTGGAGGAAGTTACTGAAACCTTTGAGCCTCAATTTTCTTATCTGTAAAATGGAGCTAATAATAGTGCCTACATTATAAGGTTGTTTTCAGGATTAAATGCCTTAACCTACATAAATTTCTTAGGACAGTGAGTAGAACATGGATAGCACTCAATACATGTTAGGTATTGTTCTTATTCTTTTTCCCCCAAGAACTGATAGTTGGCATATAAATTTCTTGGCACTCAGTAATTAGTTACCTAATGAAATTGAGCATTGGTGACATATATTTTTTATCTAATACTCATGCCATCTCTGTGAAGTAGATGCTCTTGGATCATTTATGGGTTAGGGAACTGATAAGGCAGATGTAATTAATTTATCCAAGGTCACATGGGCAGGTAAGGAGCAGATTAGATTTATTTTGCTGACTTTACTGTTGGACTTGATGGTCAAGATCACTGTGCAGAGCAGCAAGAATGCATGCTGTCTAAGCAGTGGGCAGTGGCAGATAGGAGACTGCACTGGGTTTGGGACGCCCTGGTTTAGTGTATGGTAAAGCCAAAGGCAGGGTTTGCTCGTCAAGGTTGAGGGTAGTAGACCAACATTGAAATATATATACTGTAGTGTGCTGAGATGCAGGAAATGGCCCTGAACATGGAGCCCTGAATTAACTCTCAAGCCCAAGCAGAAACCCAGAAAGACATGTTCCCTGTAGGTAACCAGAAGAGGCCTGGTTCAGTGCAGTCCAACTCAGCATACATTTCCTGAAAGCTTACTATGTGCCAGGCTTTGGAAGCATGAACATAAGTAAGATTCATTCCACTCCAGCGCCCAGTGCTTGTTGAGAGGACAGCAACAAGATAATTCCGGACCACACCTGTTGATGGGGACCAGTAATGGGTCGACCAGATATTTATTGGGTAGTCATTATATATTAGGTTCTGTTTGAGGATCTGGGGATACTGTGATGGATTTCTGTTAGCCCGCAGGAGAGCTGACCCTAGTGTCAGACTGCAGCTGGACATATCAAGGGAAGGCAGGGACCCACAGTAAGATTCCTGTGGCTTGTCTTGCCACCAGGAGATCCTTACACTGTGCAGTTAAAAAGGGAAAGATGGACTTTAAGTTTGGTCTCAGCTATTACTGGACACTGAGACTTTTTAAGCCTTGGCTTTATCACTTATAAAATGGGTATAATAATTTCTGATTGCCTATCTCAGAGGGTCACTGTGGGGCTCACCAGGGGTAGTGTATAAATTTGTGAACTCTGAATGCTGTAGAAAGGGGGCTATGCAATTGGGATGAACTTGAAGCCAAACACATCAGGATGGGAATGGGAATGGGCTAAGTTCAGGTTCATGGCAACATTTAATAGTTAACACTTCTAAAGCATTTACCATGCACCAGCCACAGTCTTATGGCTTTCATCTTATTTAATCACTGTAACAACCCTATGAAGTAGCGCTAATTTATCCCACTTTATGAACAGAGAAATTAAGGCATAGAGATGTTAAATGACTTGCTGATGATTAAATAGCAGGTAGAAGACAGGCTTCAAGCCCACCAGAATCCCTTCTTGTTACTCCTCTGCTATTCTACCAATCTCCGAGACAAGATGATCCAAGGTGTTTAAGTGACCTGCCAAGACTAAAAACTGCATTGCATAGTGGTGGAAATTGCCTGTCATGGCAAAAGGGAGATGAAGGAAGGACGGAAGGGAGGGATGCAGGAGAGAAAAGGAAGGAAAAAAAGAAGAGAGAGGGAAATAAGGTAGAAAGGAAGGGAGGGAGGAAGAAAAGAAGCACAAAGTCATCTTGGGCAATGCTGAATTTAGCTGGTTCCTGTGCAATTACATAAATGTTTACTAACCACCTTATCTTCCAATCTCGTGTCAGCCACTGAAAGGCATTTAAAGATACAAGCAACTGTGCGTTGGTCCTCCAACCATCATTATCTAGCCTCTGGGTGTGCTAAAAAGACATTGTTTCATGAAGCCAGAGACCTAAGTTCAAGTCCTATTCTGTCCTGTGTGGGCTGGACTAAACCTATAACTCACACTCTGGAGAGCACTGGGTACAGAAATCGTGCCTTGCAGAGGTGAGGTACAGGTTGAGTAGTGAAAAAATTGTACCTCACCTTAAACGAGAGCAGCTCTTTAGCGGTTTTCTTTGTGGAAATTCTGAATTAAAATTCATTCAAGAACATAAGGTAATTTTTCTTTCTTTCTTTCTTTCTGTTTTGCTAAAACAAAAACAACAAGACTCAATTATCTCTGAGGTCCTTCTCAACTCTAAGAGACATAACATTTACAGAGAATGAGAGTAATAGTTCAATTCAAGACTATTGGTAGAAGGTCAGTAATTGAATCTTTGAGCAGCATTGCTTTCAGATGATGCTAATTAGTCAATTTTAATGAGTAGCCTATAGTTCAAAGTAAAATCTTCTTTTGCCTGAAATTACAATGGCCTTTTAACTAAGTCTCCCAGAATCTACTCTAGTCACTTTCCAATCTATGTTCCATGGCAGTCAGAATTCAAATTCAATCTTGTCACATCCCTGTTTAAAACTTTTTGGTTACTACTTACTGCTTTTAGGAGAAAGAACAAAATCCTCAGGTGGCTGACAGATCTGCCATGATCTGGTTCCCACCTACCCCTTGGCTGGGTTCCACACCATTTCTTGTCTCTCTCAGTGACAGGACAGTTCTGCTAATTTTCTTTGAGTTAACTAAATGTCTAATTCCACCCACTCCCAGTAGCCCTTCATTTCAAAGGATTCACATGGGCTGCTCCTTCTGCTTGAATGTGCTTCCTTTTTTTTCTTTTGTTCTTCACTATGGTAGCTTCTACCTGCCCTTCAGATCTCAGGCTCAAAGATTCCTTCCTCAAGAACATGGTCCCTGCATTGAAAGGCTGTTTCAGGACTTATTTTATATGCTTCCTTCTCATTCTAATTTTCCAATTGAACCCAAGTTCCAGTTTACCATCCAGTTTACCAGTATATCTTTTTTCTTTTCTTTCTTTTTTTTTTTTTTCTTTTTTTTTCTTGAGGCAGAGTCCTGCCCTGTCACCCAGGCCGAAGTGCAGTGGTATGATCATAGCTCACTGTAGTCTCAAACTCCTGGGCTTAAGTGATCCTTCAGCCTCAGCCTCCCAAGAATCTGGAACTACAGGTGTGCACCACCATACCTGGCTAGCTTATCTAATTTTTTTGTATAGCCAGAGCCTCAGTATGTTGCCCATGTTGGTCTCAAACTTCTGGACTCAAGTGATAGTCCCTCCTTGGCCTCTCAAAGTGCTAGGATTACAGACCTGAGCTACTGCACCTGACTACTGTTTTCCCTTTTTAAATCTATTTATTAATGCCTATCTCTCCTATGAGACTATCAGCGCACACATACATCTTTTCTATATTCTTCATAACTTTGTTCTTATAACTTCCTACCACATGACCTGTCACACAATAGCCATTCAAAAAACTTGTTCAATGAATGCACACATAGATTATTTGCTTCTCCGAATATGCCACAAATGCATGTTGATATAATCTTCTGCAAATTGAGTTCCGTGTTCGTATATAAAGTGTATGTACTTTCTACATATGTTGAATATATTTAGATTATCTTCCTCATTCACAAATGAAGAAACTAAGATCTAAGGGAGGTAAGTGACTTTTCCAGGGTCACTCAGGGAATTTGTGAACAGATCGTAACCAAAATTCAGGCCAGTAAACTGACAGTCCAGACAGTTTAGTAAAATTGAAACTGCAAATGGCGATTGTCTTCAACTGACTTGAATCCAAATCCTGAAGTTATTTCTTGTTAAGTCTATTACTTTGGGAAATGTTCCCTACTGAAGAAAAAAAAAAAAAGAAGAACAAGAAAAACAGACACTATTCAATTCAATGAAATGAGATAAAATTCCTAGCATCAAGTAGGTGTTTAAGGTCAGTGTGATTTGATATTTCTTACTTATATCTGGCTATCACCTGGGTTTTTTTAAAGATTAGAGTATTGTGAAGCAAATAAGATCCATGGAAGCTTAACTTGAGGGCAGACAGTAGAATTATTAGCATTTTCTGATGATGCTTGGTCTTTGATTTCTTTTTACTTCACAAATTCACATGGCCTTGACCCAGCAGTCCGAGCCTTAGCCAAGCACAATGTAATTACCCATTGTTGAGATGAAAATCTCTTGGGGGCATCAACTTCAGGCTCAGATGCTGGGGCCGTAGCTTCTGAACTCATGTCAGCTTTTAACATATTTCCTTCTCCATACAGTGTTTAATTGGTGTCTATAGAAAGACTCTGGCTACCAAGATAATCGTTATCTCTATTCTGATGACCCTCAATATTCATACTGATTTTGATTCTTCTCTGTGAACCCTGTACTTATTTGTCTCTGGATTTCATCTCCATAGACTCCTGCAGTGGGGCGGAGGGATATGGCTTCTTATATTTTATTGAACTCAAGTCAGTTTCAGTTTATTAGACTGACAGTCCCGGCTCTGTCATTTATTAGATGTGTGACCTCCAAAAGTCTCCAAACCTACCTGATCCCTCTGTTTCCCCATCTGTATGGTTAGGATAATAAGAATAGCTACCCCACAGAGTTGATGTCCTAGTCAATTCATATGATATATGGGAAAATTCTTCATAACTTGTAAAGAAATATACAGATAGAATGTTAATATATTCAAGGCTGGGCACGGTGGCTCATGCCTGTAATCCCAGTACTTTGGGAGGCCGAGGCTAGCAGATCACTTGAGGCCAGGAGTTCAAGACCAGCCTAGCCAACATGGAGAAACCCCATCTCTACTAAAAAATACAAAAATCAGCCTGGCGTGGTGATGCACACCTGTAATCCCAGCTACTCGGGAGGCTGAGGCACAAGAATCACTTGAGCCTGGGAGGCGGAGATTGCAGTGAGCCAAGATCACGCTACTACACTCAAGCCTGGGCAATAGAGCAAGACTGTGTCTCAAAAAAAAAAAAAAAAATTAATATTTTCAAGAGCACAGCAGTAGTAGACCCTAGATATTTGATGACATAAATAATTGATGACAACACTTTCTATTTCCAAGAAGTGGATGTTTCTGTTGGGTAAAATAAAGCACGAGCCTATCAAACAGAATGTAATCATATAATAAAGAAAAAAAGAACTTAAGAACCTTAGGACTTCAGACTCTCTAGTCTGACAGACCAAAGTGTGTGACTGTCATTTACTATTGATAGTACTTGGCATAGTATTAAGGCATTCAGGCTTCAATTTTCTGCATGGCGTGATGGAGAGAAAAATAGTAGCCAGCCTTGGAAAGCCAATAATAGAACACAGATGCCAGGGTTAACACATAGCAAAATGGCAAAGCATGGGGCTCTTTGTTGGACGAAATTGGAACCAATAGTTTGTTGGGTAATTGAAAACGTGAAGTTAAACTAGGAAATCCTAAAATGTATACATGCTATACATATATGAACCATTTTATTTTAACTTAAAAACATATAAATGCACATTTCTTGGCCAGCCTCTTGAAGTAAAGCCAAAATCTTTTTTGAGGGTAGTGGTATATTCTATTTAACATTCTACTGGTGTTCCTGCATAAACCATACCATAATTGCGTAACATTTCAAACCTCGGTTTATTCAAAGTGGAGCAACAGCTTAGACTCTTAAAAAACAAATGTTTGCAGATTTTTTTGTTACTTCCCCTTTATTTAAATCGATAGTCATTTTTGTCAATAACTTGTCTTTATAGAATTTTCCCACTGAATTCAAATTAGTTTCCACAGAAAAAAGCAATTCACATTTCATTGATTTATTTTAGTTTTAATTTAGTTATTTCATAACTTTTTAGCTATATTAGAAGATATAATAATAGCAAATGCAACGGGCATAAACAGGTTTGGGAATAAACGAAACTGACTTTCAGCTCGTATGCTTGTTACTTGGTGGAAATAGAAACGTGGAAATGTAACCCACCAGACAAGAGTGTTCAGTGCTCCATCAGCTTCACACACCACATTTATCTGATGGGAGGAAGAGTCATTTTCCCAAAGTTACTTCATGGAGGTCAATTATGAGAACTTGTCCCACTTGACAGAGAAGCTGTGATTCCTAGTAACTTGCAACTCTTAGTGGAACAACTTGCTCAAGGTCACCTATTATAGTAAGAAAAAAATGATGATAATAATACCTGTCATACATTGACCATTTATTATGTACCAGACAGAGTTGTTGATGCTTTACATATATTAATGTGTGTAATCCTTATGACAACCCTATCAAAAAGGTTCTACTATGCTTCCTATATTATAGACAGAGTTTGAGTAGCAAAGGGAAATGCTGCAAGAGAAGAGAGTGAGAGAAATGCATTCCTGCTGGGGAGACTGGAAAAAATACTTTCCTCTGTCCGGATTACTTTATTCATCCTTTAATTTTCAGATTCATCCCTGATTTCTTAGGAATATTTGGTCTGACTCAGTGAACCAAGTTGCACCATCCTATTAAATGCCTTTACTGCATCTTCTGTTTCATTTTTTTCTAGCACTTGCCATATTTGCAATGCTGCGTTTAAACCCAGACTTCCCCTACTTGACCACAAATTCAGTGAAGGCAGATAACTTGTTTTCCTTGCTAACCAATGTTTCCTCAGTGACGGGTAAAGTGCCTGGAATATCACGACATAGCCTTTGCTGCACTGAAGTGAGGGGACATTTCACATGGGAGCTGAGGGATGATTATGCTTTGTACTTGCAGTGAAAAGAATGATTTTCCATTCAAGAAAGCAATACGTACCTATGAAGAATAGAGTGTGGGATTAATTTTATCCAGAAATGTCAAATCAGAAATCAGAAACAGGATGTAAGTCAGAATTAAATACCTGGGCTTTGGAACCAGAGGACTGAGGTTAAATATTGGCAAGCAATGTGCTGAGTGTCCTCTGCCCTGAGTGTCCTCATCTGTAAAATAAGGATAATATCTCCTCCACAGGTTTATTGAGAGGATCACCCAAGACACATATTCACTGTTCCTAGCATGTAGTAAGTGGTCAATAAATATTAGCACTTAGTGCAATTGTCCTTATTGTTATTGAATAAGGTTAGACCTTTATGTTGGGAAATTATGGAGGGATTAAATATCTAGTGGTGGAGTTTGCATCTTATCATTAAGGTGATATGAAGCCAGAGGGAAAAATAATAGAAGGGATGCTGTGGTTTAGTAAATGTTCTCTGATAGCTATTAGAAAGATGAATTGGAGAATCGATGGGATCTCTCTTTTGGGTGTAAGAGGATTCAGTATTTCTTCTCTGTGCTGATATGATCTGTGGATTAAAGCACTGCTTCCCAAACTGGGATTGGCATCACCGTCACCTGGAGTACTTTCTGAACATAGATTACTGGGCCTTGTGTCCAGGGTTTTTGATTCAGTAGAACTGAGGTGGGTCCTAAGTCCCAGGTGATACTGATGCCACTGGTCTAAGCGCCATACCAGACTTGGATTAAGTCTGTCTTCACTGCCTTAAATATGGTCACATCTCTTTCTATGCACTTGGTAGAAACTAAGCAAAAATGAGTTCCCCTAAGTGAATCCTATAGGACTTTGAAAAGGAGGAAAATAAGGAAGTGGTATCTGTTTGAATAAGTTTAGAAAATGTTGAATTACAAAAAAATGCTAAATAAAGAAGAGGTCAAGTTTTCATATGTTTCAAATTTATTTGGCCATAAAATCTTTCTTTTTGAAGTTTTTCAAGAGATTGGGCTCCTCAAAACACAGCTTTGGAAAAAAAAGTGGTTTACACCAGATTAAGAAGCTATGACACAGATTATTTGGTGTGATACCACAGGTTGTCATATTCCCTTCTTGTCAGTAGAGATCGTCATCTTTCAGTAAGTCTTCTTTGAGTTGAGTTTCTAACACCTTCTGCTTAAGCAGATGCTAATGGCTTTGTCTCCCTGCAGGTACCACCCCTGCTGAGAGGTGGCACGACTGCTAACCAGCAGCTGCAGAAGTAACAGCAGGAAGGTGCTCCATTTCTGGTATAATTAGGAAATAAATTTACCCCATGTGGCTTAGGGACATTCCTAACCTTAAAAAGTAAACTATTACCAAGACAAATACCTTATGTATAGATTACTTTAAAGTTTGCAAAGGGCTTTCACACTGATGATGTTATGTGATCGGAATAACCAGTGGATGAGTTAGAGTGAGGATCAGTCGGCCTCCCCGTTTACAAAGGAGAAAACTGAGACTGACAGAAATGAATGACTTGCCCAAGATTATAAAGTAATACTCATTATCCTGTTGCCATCCTACATAGGCATAGGCCTCTTTTCTTGTCAAATAATATTTACATTAATATTTATACTGAATCTTCATTTATTCATTCATTCATTTATTCATTCAACAAATATTTAGTGAATACTCACTAAGTGCCAGGCGGGATACAAGTGGTAGGGGGGTGAGCAAGACAATGAGTGCCCCTGTTCACAGACAGCTCAAGATCTAGAAGATAGACTACCTAGAAGATAAAACTGGCCCAGAATTGGTTTGGCATCCATGATTTACTTTAGAAACCTGAGGCTCAGGAAGGCTAAATGACCTAATATTATGAAATCATAAAATTTTGTACCTGAAAGAAACTTAAAAGATTGTCCAGTCTATTCTTATCATTTTCTTAAGGAGTAAAATGAAACAGAGTGTTTTGTCCAGAATAACTATGTTAATTTTTATTATGTAGCAAATTACCATAAATTAAGAGACTTCATGTAGATTTATTATGTTATAGTTTCCAGGGGTCAGGAGTTTAGGTATGGTATAGCTGGGTCTTCACTTTATGCTTCACAGGCTGAAATCAATGTGTTGGACAGACCAGGCTCTTACCAGTGGGTTCTGGGGAAGAATCCAAGTCCAAGCTCCTTCAAGGTGTTGGCAGAATTCAGTTTCTTGTGGTTGTAGGACTGAGGTTACTGTTTCCTTGCTGTTTGTTGCTAGGGATTCTATGTGAATGGCTAGGGGCCCTTCTCCAGGCCTTGCACAAGGTCCTCTTCATCTTCAAAAGAATAAAGATGCATGGAGTCCTTCTCACACTTCAGACTTCTCCAAGTTCTGCCAAAGCGAGAGAAAACTCTCTGCTTCTAAAGGGACACATCTGATTGGATTAGGTCCACTAAGATAATCTTCCTCTGTAGGTCAACTGTGTTATGTAAAAGAACACAGTCACCAGAGTGCTATCTCATCACCGTTACAGGTCCTGGGAATTAGAGCCTGGAACCTTGGGGAGGAAGAAGGCATTTTTAGAATGCTCCCTAGTACAGTAGCATAGTTCGGGAATAATAGAATGAAAAAGAGATAACCTGAGTTCTCTTTGGAGCTCATAACATATACTGTTCTGAATATATATTGCTGTATAACAAATTGACCCAAATTTAGGGGCTTAAAATACCAATTATTATATTATGTTCCTGATTTGTGGATCAGTAATTCATGCTGGAAGTTGCTGGGCAATTGTGTTCTATGTGGAGTTGATTGCAATCACTCATTGGTATTTAGCTGGGAGCAAAGCTGGCTTGGAAGTCCCCAGAAGGCTTCCCTCACATGTCTGAAGCAGAGATGGCCAGAAGGCTGGCCTCAGCTGGGCAGTTCTTCCTTTCCAAGGTCTCTCCGTGTAGTCCTACAGCAGAGTGGCCAGACTGCTTAGAATGGATCTCAGAGGTACAAAAGGGAATTTTCCAAGGGATAGGAGGTGAAAGCTGCCAGTCTCTTCAGGCCCACACCTATAAACTATGTGAATCACTTCTGGCTTACTACATTGGTCAAAGCCACTGTAGGATCTTCCCAGATTCAAGGGGAGAGTACATAGACCTGTTGTCTTTACGGGAGAAATAGCAAAGGATTTGTGGCCACTGGATACATAGAGTAGGTTTTTCATTTGTTCATTTTTCCAGTGTAAAACATTAATTTTTTTGCAAGCACTTTATTTTTTGAAAACAAATTGTATTGTGTGTATTTGAGGTTTACAACATGCTGTTATGAGATACATATGGACAGCAAAATGGTTACTATAGTGAAGCAGATTAACATAGCTATCATCTCACCTAGTTACTTTCCTGTTACAAGAGCAGCTAAAATCTACCTATTTAACAGCAATCCCCAATGCTGTATTAATTCTGTAAATGTGTTCATCCTACTTATTTGTTATTTTGTATCCTTTGACCTACATTTCTCCATTTCCTCTCTCCCTACAAGCAGAGTAACCACTATTTCCATTATCTATTTCTCTGTCTCTGTGTATTTGAGCTCTTTTTTTCTTTTCCTTCTGCATTTAAGTGAAATCATGCAATATTTGTATTTCCGTGTCTGGATTATTTCACTTACAATAATGTTTTGTAGATCTATCTATGTTGTAACAAACAGTAGGATATCACACTTTTGAAGCTGAATAATATTATATCATATACATATGGTCAGCCTTCCATATCTGTGGGTTCCACATCCATGAATTCAACCAACTATCGATAAAAAAAATTTTAATAAAATAACAATGCAATAATAAAAATAATACAGATTTTAAAAATATAGCATTATAACCATGTCATAGTATTTACATTGCATTAGGTAATATAGGTACTCTATAAATGTTTTAAAGTATACAGTAAGACATGGGTAGGTTATGTGTGTAGGTTATGCAAATACTATGCCATAAAAAGAAACTTGAACATCATCAGATTTTGGTATTTTTGGGGGGTTGAGGAGCCAGTTCCCAGTAGATACTGAGAAACAACTGTGTACCACATTTTCTTTATACATTTATTTGTTGATAGGTATTTAGTTTCTTCCCTTATCTTGGCTATTGTGAATAATATTGCAGTTAATATGGGAGTGCAGATATCTTTATCTGTGCTGATTTCATCTCCTTTGGGAATATACCCAGAAGAGGGATTTCTGTGTTGTATGGTAGTTCTATTTTTAATTTCTTTAGGAACCTCTATATTGTTTTCTATAATGGCTGTACCAATCTACATTCCTACCAACTGTATAGAAAGGTTTCCTTTTCTTCACACCCTCACCAACATTTGCTATCTCTTGTCTTTTTTATAATAGCCATCCTTATGGGAGCAGGGCAATATTGTATAGTGGTTTCAATTTGCACTTCTCTGATGATTAGTGCTGTTGAGTACCTTTTCATATTCCTGTTAGCCATTTTTATGTCTTCTGTGGAGAAATGTCTGTTCAGGTCCTTTGTTCATTTTTTAAATTGGGTTGTTTGTTTTTCTGCTATTGAGTTGTAAGAGTTCTTTGTAAATTTTGATTATTAATCTCTTGTATGTGGTTTGCAAATACTTTTTCTCAGTCTGTAGGTTGCCTTTTCAGTTTGTTAAATATTTCCTTTGCTGTGAAGAAGCTTTTTAGTTTACTATAGGCTCATTTATATTTGTTTTTGTAGCCTGAGCTTTTGGTATGATATCAAAAAATTCATTGCTAAGGCCAACGTTGAGGAGCTTTCTACTTATGTTCTCTTCTAGGAGTTTTTTGGGTTTCAGATCTTCCAATGAGGCCTTTTATCCATTTTGAATTGATTTTTGTGTATGATGTAAGATAAGGGTTCAATGTCATTAGTCTGCATGGGGAAATCTAGTTTTCCTAGCACCATTTATTGAAGAGATTATCCTTTTCCCATAGTATCCTCTTGGTGCCCTTGTTGAAAATTAGTTCACCATTTATGATTGGATTTATTTCTGGGCTCTCAATTGTGTTCCATTGGTCTATGTTTCTGTTTTTTTATGCCAGTTCTATATTGTTTTGATCACTGTAATTTTGTAGTATAATTTTAAATCAGGAAGCACGATGCCTCCTTACTTTGTTCTTCTTTCTCAGTATTGCTTTGGCTATGTGAGTTTTGGTTTTCTTGAGATTACTTTTTCTATTTCTGTGAAGATTGACATCGACATTTTTATACGGATTGTTAAATCATTATATTGCTTTGAATAGTGTGAATATGTTGATAATATTAATTTTCCCCATCCATGAACACAGAATATCTTTTCATTTATTTGTGTCTTCTTTAATTTCTTTAATGTTTTGTAGTTTTCAGTGCACAAGTCTTTAACTTCCTTGGTCAAATTTATTCCTAAGTATTTTTTTTGTAAATGAGATTCTTTTTAAAATTTCTTTTTCAACTAAGTTATTTGTGTGTAGAAGTGCTACTCATTCTTGTATCTTAATTTTGTATAATTCAACTTTATTTAATGCATTTATTCTAATAGTTTTTTGTGGGGGGATCTTTGGGGTTTTCTGCATATTAGAATTATGACACTTGCAAATAGAGTTTATTCTACTTCTTCCTTTCTGATTTGGATGCTTTTTTATTTCTTTTTCTTGTCTGGCTACTCTTGCTAGTACTTCCAGTACTGTATTGAATAGAAGTGGTAAGAGTGGACATTCTTGCCTGGAATTGAATATTAGTGGAAAAGCTTTCAGTTGTTTCCTGTTGATTATGATGTTAGCTGTGGGTTTTTCATAAATACCCTTTATTATATTGACAAACTTTTATTCTATAGCTAAATTTATGAGTTTTAACAAGAAAAAATGTTTAACTTTGTCAAGTACTTTTTTCTGTATCAATTGAGGTGATCTTATGATTTTAATCTTTTATTCTGTTAATGTGATACATGACACTTATTGATTTGTATATATTAAACCAGCCTTGCGTTCCTGGGATCAATTCCACTTGGTTTAGATGTGTTGTTAAATTCAGCTTGCTAATATTTTATTGAGGATTTTTGCATCAATGTTCATTAAAGACATTGGCCTGTAGTTTTCTTTTTTTGCAGTGTCTTTGTCTGGCTTAGATATCAAGGTGATGCTGCCTCATAACATGTGTTTGGAAGTATTCCCTCTAGCTCTATTTTTTGGAAGAATTTAAGAAGTATTGGTAACAATTATTTTTTGAATATTTGGTAGAATTGAGCCATGAAGCCATCTGGTCCTGGGCTTTTCCTTAGTGGAAGGTTTTTAAATATTACTTCACTTCAATGTCTTTGTTAGTGGTCTGTTCAGGTTTTCTTTTTCTTCCTGATTCAAACTTCATAGGTTGCATTTTCCAGGAATTTATCCATTTCCTCCAGGTTATCCAATTTGTTGGCATATAATTGTTCATAATAGTCCCTTATGATCCTTTTTATTTCTGAGACATCTGTTGTAGTGTCTCCACTTTCATTTCTGATTTTATTTATTTGAGTTTCCTTATTTTTTTTTTTTTTAGTCTAGCTAGGGGTTTGTTGATTTTGCTTAGTTTGTCAATGAACCAACTCTTGGGTTTATTGATTTTTTTTCCATGACTTTTGTGTTCTGTATTTGATTTATTTCTGTTCTGATCGTCATTATTTCCTTCCTTCTGCTAAATTACAGTTTAGTTTCCTCTTCTTTTACTAACTCCTTAATTTATTTGGGATCTTTCTTCTTGTTTATTATTTATTGCTGTAAGCCTCCCTCTGATAACTTCTTTTGATGCATCCTATAGGTTTTCATATGTCATGTTTCTACTGTTATTTGTATCAAGATATTTTTCAGTTTCCCTTTTGATTTCTTCTTTGACCTATTGGTTGTTAAGGAGCATGTTCTTTTATTTCCACATACTTGTGAATATTTCAAGATTTCTCTTGTTACTGATTTCTAGTTTCATACCATTGTGGTTGGAAATAATACTAGATATAATTGTAATATTATTGAATTTACTAAAACTTGTTTTGAGGCCTAACATGTGATCTGTCCTGGAGAATGTACCATGTGCTCTAGAAATGAATGTATAGTCTGCTGATGTTGAATGAAATGTTTTATATATGTCTGTTAGGTCCATTTGGTCTAAAGTGCAGTTCATGTTCAGTATATTTTGGTTATTTTTCTGTCTGCTTGATCTATTCATTGTTGAAAACAGGGTGTTAAAGTCCTCTACTGTTATTGTATAGATATTTATTTATTCCTTCAGGTTCATTAATATTTACTTTATATATTTAAGTGCTCCAATGTTGGGTGCATATGTATATTTATATTTGCTATGTCCTCTTGATGAACTGATGCTTTTATTGTTATACAATGACCGTCTTTCTCTCTTGAAATAATTTTTGACTTGAAGTCTATTTTATCTAATGTAAGCATAGCAACCCCTGTTCTCTTTTGACTACTATTTGCAAGAAATGTCTTCTTACATCCCTTCACTTTCAGCTGTGTGTCCTTTAAGCTAAAATGGGTCTCTTATAGGTAGCCTATAGTTGAGTCTTTTCTTTTGTCAATCTACTCAGCCACTCTATGTCTTTTGATTGGATATTTACAGTTAATGTCATTATTGATACGGAAGAATTTACTACTGATATTGGGTAATTGTTTCCTGGTGGTTTAATAGATCCTTTTTTTCCTTTCTTCCTTGTTTACCTTTGTGGTTTGGTGATTTTCTGTAGTGCTGATCTTTGGTTTCTTTCTTTTTCTCATTTGTGTATCTCTGTAATATTTTTTTTCTTTGTAGTTACTGTGAGGCTTACATAAGATATTTTGTAGTTATAATAGACCATTTTAAGCTGATAACTTAAATTTGGTTGCATATACCTTTTACCTTTACCCTCCCCCCAACTATTTATATTTTTGTTGCCACAATTTATATGTTTTATACTGTGCATTCCTTAAGAACTTACTGTGGCTACAGTCATTTTTGGTCATTTTAACTTTTAACTTTCATACTAGAGATTTGATAGATTTATATATCACTATTATAGTCATGGGATAGTCTGAATTTAATTATGAATTTACCTCTACCAGTGATTTTTATGCTTTCATATATTTTCTTGGTAGTAATTGTCATCCTTTTACTTTTAGTTGAAGTACTTCCCATTTTTTTTAAAGATGGGGATCTTACTCTGTTGTCCTGGCTGAAGTGCAGTGGCATGATCATAGCTCACTGTAGCCTCAAACTCCTGGGTTCAAGTGATCCTCCCACCTCAGCCTCCCAAGTAGGTAGGATGACAGGCACATACCACCATGCTTGGCTAATTGTATTTTTTTATGATTATTTTTAAAACTTTTGTAGAGATGGGGTCTCACTGTGTTGGCCAGGCTGCTCTTAAACTCTTGGTCTCAAGTGATCCTCCCCTCTCAGCCTCCACAGTCTTTGAGATTACAGATGTGAGCCACCATGCCTGGCTCTAAACATTTTTTCTAAGGCTGGTCTAGTGGCGATGAATCTTCTCAGCTTTTCTTTGTCTGGGAAAGACTTTATTTCCTCTTCATTTCTGTGCTAGGTGTAATATTCTTGATTGAAAGTTTTTTTTATTTTTTCTTTCAGCACTTTAACTGTATCATCCTATTATTTCCTGGCCTTTTAAAATCATTTCTATGATGTCTTTGATATTTTGATTATAATGTGCCTTGTGGAGGACTTCTTTGGGTTGGACCTATTTGGGAACCTATGAGCTTTGTGAATCTGGATGTTCATGTCTCTTCCAAGACTTGGGAAATGTTTAACAATTATATCGTTAAATAAGCCTTCTATGCCTTTCTTCATCTATTATTCCTCTTACACTCATCATGTAAGTACTTGTTTGCTTACTGGTGTCCCATAATCCCATATACTTTATTCACTCTTTTTAATTTATCCAATTTTTAAATTCCCCCTTTACTGGGCTATTTTAAAACACTTCCCTTCAAGTCCAGACTTTCTTTCTTTTACTTGATGTAGGCAGCTATTGAAGCTCTTAATTTTGTTTTTTAATTCATTCATTGAATTATTCAGCTTTAAGATTTCTCTTTGGTTCTTTTTAATGATATCTTTTTGTTGAATTTCTCCCAGATCTTGAAGTTTTATTAATTTTATTGAATTATCTGTCGATATTCCCTTGTATCTCAATGAGTTTTGTTTTTAAAGATCATTGTCTTGAATGCCTTTTTAGGCAATTCACAGTTTCCATTTTGGAGGATTTGTTATTGGATAATTATTTTGTTCTTTTGGTGGTGTCATGTTTCCTTGTTTTTTCATGTTCTTTGTGTCCTTATGTTTATATCTGTGCATTTAGTGGACAATCACCGATTATAATTTTATAGAATAGCTCTCATAGAAAAAGACATTCCCCTGCAGATGTGTCCTATGGTGTCAGTTGGGTAAGGTGCTTAATTCTGGTTCTGGGTGGGCGCACTGGTGTAGCCATCATGCAACTTCTTCAGTTGTAATCAATGTCAGAAATTTCTGTGGGTACCTTAATAGCCTAGTCTACAAGACTTTGTGGCAGTGGTGGTGGCAAGGTAGATTGTTAAGGTTATTGGCAACAAGGGCTTCAGGGATCCTGTTGTTCTCATTTTTCCCACAGTGTGAAGACTTAGCTGAATTGAATTCCTTTCGGAGTTGGGTATAATATAGGTAACAGGCAGCCATAGTGGCACTGTTTTCCAGGACACAGGTGCTTAGAGTGGCAATGGAACTGGGGTCCTATGATCAGTGTCTTGTTGAATACTGTGGCCCATGTGACATGGGTGCAGCTTTACTTTCTTAGCTCTCCCACCAAGCAGAGGATTACGATTCCAAGGCACTTCAGTAGCTCAGGCCCAGATGGCAGCGATGTAACCGTGACTCTGATCCTGGGTGTCAGGACACTGCACTGGTATGGCTCCCGGAAGGAAGAGGTGTTTCAGTGGCTCAGGTTCTGGGGAGCAGGATACAATTGCAGTTTGGGTTGGAGAGCCAGCAGGGCACAAAGACAACTCGGGCATCAGGAGAGAGGGTACTGCTTAGTGGTGACTCTGGACCCTGGAATGGTGGGACATAACAGCTACCCAAATCCTCTGAGGCGCTGTAGAAACAAGAACCAGGAATGGCAGGGCGTGGCTGTGGCTTGGGCTCTAGGGTTCAAATAGCAGTGCAATATTGGCTTTACTGCGCATTGGAGGTAGGGCCTCTCAGTCGTGCATACTTCAGAGGGCTGGTCCAGATCCAGGGCAGTAGGGCACTGTAGCAGTTTGACATAGTGGACAAGGTGATACAGATCAGCCAAGGCTGTGCTTCCCTGGGGGTCAGGTGCTGTGTGGACTCAAGCACCAGGGTTGTGGCTGCTCCCTGGGCCAAAGCTCCAATTACCTGAGACTAGTTGGTTCAGGTGCTAAGTGTGCAAGGCTGCTCTGCCAGCTTGGGCATGGCTTTTCTGCTGGGCTGGAGCACCTGGTCTCCAAGGGATAGAACACCACCAGGGCTTAGGCATGCGGTCATGGCTGCTTCCATGTGTCAAAGCTTCAGTTTCCTGGGGCCAAGGTACAGGTTACTTCAGGCATCCAGAAAGTGAGGCTTCTCTCCTGACTTGGGTGTGGCTTCTCTCCTGGGCCAGAGTACCTGGTCGTGGAGGGGCAGGGTGCCAAATTGCAGCTGTTCCCTGGCCAAAGCTTCATTTCCCTGGGGGTGGGGCAACAGGCTGGTTTAGGCAATGAGGGGACACAGCTGCCTTACCTTCCCAGACATAGCTTCTCCACTGGGACAGACTGCCTGCTCCACCGAGCCTAGGCTGTGACCCTAACATCTGAGCCCAGGCAGTGCCCTGGGCTCAGGTGCCAGGAGCAGGGCACAGCAACAAATGAAATGGGGGAGATGGAGTGCCTCCCAGGCAGCTTGTTCCCCATGGGTAAGGAACTGCAGCAGCTTGGCTGGGGAATGGAGCACTACTGTGTATGATCATAGTGCAATGATGTCAGTGCCTCAGGGATGGAGAAGCGCAGTGGCTACTGGCCACTAGAGAAAAACACACTCTAGCAGGGCTTTGCTTTCAAAATGTCACAGTGCAGTAGCAGGTTGAATAAAAGGGTCGGGAGTGGGATACAACGTGGGCTTCTTTTCTGGAGTAGTACAGCTGTGCAAACTCCAGGCAGTTCCCTAAACTGGGCTCAGGGCCCATGAAGACTTTTCCCTTCAGGGAGAGGGCTCACCTGGTTCTGAGCTAATCCTGACCGGGGAGAGGAGGTAGCAGAGACAAGATGTTTTGTTTCCTTCTCTATAGAGTCATCCTGCTTTTCTGTGCCTCACAGGGTTTTCACCACCCCCTTACTGTACTTCAGTGCTCTCCGTTAGTCACTTTAGTCAAAATTTAGTTGTTTGTTCATTGTTTTGGTCCTTTTTTGTGTTGGGCAACGAGTGTTAGCCACCTCTAGTCAGTCATCTTGCTGACCACAAGCCTGTGATAATTTTAGTACAAAGGCTAATGCACTCTTCAGAGATGTTGTGAGGAAATATTTTGTTATGCAAGATTGTCCTTTAAAATCTAGTCAATCAAGATTGTTGTTTAGTGGATTTATCTTAAGGTTTCAGCCGCTGTCTAGGTGCATATTTTGTTGTTGTGTGTTGTCATTGTTCTTGTTAATGTTTTTTTGGTGTTCTTGAAAGCTGGTTTAAGTGGGGGCGAATGTACCATAAAATACTATTATTCTATTATTTGGAGAGGGGTATAGATAGTGTGGGTACTGAATGAGGGAAGGGAGGGGATGCTACCAGTTGGTGGGTATTCCAGTTATGATATAATCCCCAATGTGCATTCTAGGACTGGGGAACTACCACCGGAAGTACCCACTGGACCCACTGTGAGATGGACCTGAGCTAAAACTCCATTCATCATCTGACTTCCATAAACTCTTATTCTGATTGGTAGACCACAGTGATATTTTACATCTCCTGGAATTAATGTCAGTTTAGAGCCAGTGTGCAAAAGTCTTTGGAAAGCATTATTATTTCCTTTTCTCACTCAGTATACAGTCACCCAGGTAAGATGTTATAGGCCTGTTTGGAGAAGGCTAGGAGGAAGATTAACAGTATAAATTTTGGGAAGTGTGCAGGCTTCTTCCTCAAGGGGAAGATTCTGGTTCTGGGCTTCCAGGTACTACTCGTGTGACTGCAAGCAGATTACTTAATGTCCCTGGACTCTGTTTCTCATCTGTCACAGGGACCAGGCCTTGCCTAAGTGTTATTTAGCTTTAAGGTTCTGGAATTGTCACTATAAACTCATAGGCAGCTCTCCCCAGGAGAAGTTGCTACTTTGATAGTCCCTGACTACTGATTTTTGTGTGCATGCATGTGTGGAGTGGGGAGCAGGGGGTATAATTTGAGCAACCAAGACTTATTCTGAGTGTGTATTAAATTGTCCTATAAATAAGAGGCACAAGCCCACAATGTGAAGTCAGGCTAGCTCAGGGCATCTGGCTGTCAATCACAAGTGCTTACAAGTGTCCTTCTAACTATGTGGCAATGAAGCTTTTAGCTGAGAATATCTTCGGAACTTTCTTTCTATTTATGGGCAGGAAAAAAAAGGTAGTGAGGTCCAAAATGGTGGCAACCGAGGGTGTACAATCTAGGTGAGGGGCAAGGAGATGTGTGGCAGTGGCTGAGCTTCACTGCGAGTGCTGTCCGGGGTGTATTTAAGTCAACACTAGTAGGAATCTCTCCATTTGCACCCATGCTTGTTATTCTGCATTTGTAGCAAGTAGGGCAATTGACTCACTTGGCTGATGCAAGGCAAGAAAATAAGCATCTCCAGTTCCTTTCTGTTGTTTTTGGTTTTTTCTTTTTTTCTCCCCCCCTGTGGCTCGGAAGTAGCTTCCTGTTTGGAATAGAATCTGTAAGCTCAGGGGATTTAGTCAAAAATAGACATAAGTCTTATAATTTCTATGGACTGCTTCTTTTTAATCCCCTGTCAGAGCCATCACCCAATTCTCCTGTCTACCTCCACCCTCCACGTCCTGCCAACAAACTCACGCATGGGTGAGTTTTAGTCCCAGTGATGTGACAAGTCACTAGTGACCATCAGGAAGTTACTTCCCTTCTCTGAGCCTCAGTTTTTTCATATCGTTACAATGAAATGATACTCTCTCAACCCAGCCTGGGACACAAATCAATTGTGAGGATCAAAATTAGAGAACAAACAGAAGAGCTTCAGAAAGTTGGAAAGTGATATGAAAATGTCATGTTTTGCTGCCTTATTAATATCATTCTGATTGTTTTAAAGGACAATCTTTTTGGTAAATATTTTACTAAAGTATTACATACGTACAGAAAGTGGAAACAACATAAATGTACAGTAAGATGAATCTTTACAAAGTGAATTCACACGTATGACCAGCACCAGATCAAAAACTAAGGCATTCTCTGTACTGTACAGCCCCCCGTGTCTTCTTCTAAGCCTTATCAACCTTCTCCCCAAGGGAATTATTTTTTTCCACTGCTTCATCCAGTGTAGGTCAGTTTTGCTTTATATATGAAATGAACTCTTTGTGTCTGGTTTCTTTCACCTTTTCATCTTTCTAAATGGAGATATTCCTCCATTTTGTTTTGTTTTGTGTAGTTGTGGCTCACTCATTCTCAAAAATATTTTATTGTTTATATAGAATTCTCTTCTACTGCTGATGGTCATTTGACTAGTTTGGCATTATTCCAAATAGTACTGCAATCTTATACATGTCTTTATATATGCCTTTTGGTTGTGTACATATTAGGCATGGAATTGCTGGGATGTACTGTATTCATATGTTCAACTTACTGGCTATTTTAATACATACTTCCAGTTTTCTGAATTTGTTGATGCAAGTTTTGTTCCTAGCAGTAGCCTAGGAGAGTTTCAATTGTTCCACAACCTTGATGACTTAGTGCTTACCTTCTTTTTAATTTTGTATTCTAATTTTATTTTGCCATCCTGCTGAGTAATATATCATTGCCAGTTTAATTTGCATTTTTCTGATAGTGAATGAAGTGGAGATTCATTGCATATTGACTTTTTGAATATGCTTTTTGATGAAGTGCCTGTCCATATCATTTGCCTATTTTCCCTTTTGGTTATCTGAATTTTGCTCACTGATTTGTAGTTGTTTACGTATTATCTTAGTCTGTTCAGGCTGCTATAATGAAATAACAAAGACTGAGGAGCACATAAGTAGCATGAATTTATTTTTCACAGCTCTGAAGGTTGGGAAGTCCGAGATCAAGGTACTGGTAGATTGGTTGTCTGGTAAGGGCTTTTGGGTTCACCTTCTACCTGTGTCTTCACATGTTGGAAGAGGCAAGGAGTCTCTCTTGTGTTTCATTTATGAGAACACTAATTCCACTAGTGAGAGCTCCACTTTCATGACCTAATTAGCTCGCAAAGGCACCATCTTCTAATATCTTTACCTTGGAAATTGAAATTTCAACATACAAATTTGGGGGAGGGGTATACAAGCTTTCAGACCTTAGCATGTCTTATACATACAATCTCTTGTTAGCTAGAGGTATTGCAAATATATTCTGTCATTGAAAGTTGTCTTTTCATTCTATGGTATCTTTTGATGAATCTGTTTTAATTTTTGTATAGTCCTGTTAATCAATTATCTTCTTTTACGGTGAGCACTTTTAAGAAATCTTTGCCTACTTTCATAAAGATGCTCCCCTATATTTTCTCCTAAAAGTTGTTTTGTTGATGTTGTTGTTTTACTTTTTTCATTTAGATCTGCAAGCCATCTGTTTTGATTTAGGAGTACAGAGGAAGTTAAGTGTCAAGATTTATTTTGTTTAATATGGATATTCAACTGATCCAGCAGCATTTGTTGAATTCTTTCCCACTCTGAGTTTTTAAATCTATAATTACTGATTTCAGAGGGATCATTTACTATGTGAGCTCAAGAGAAACACAGTTTATTTGCATGAGAGACAGTGTGTACCTACTATATGTTAGAAACTTAATGCACATCATCTTATCTGAGCCTCAGAACAACCTTGCAAGGATTGTATTATTATTCCATTCTGTAGTTGAGAAAACTGAAGCTTAGAAAGGACAAGCAATTAACTCAAGGTTAAATAATGAGTAGCAGAGCTATGACTCAATACTCCTTTTTTTTTCTTTTTGGATTCCAAAGCTCATGTTAGCTCTTTCTTCTTCAAGTATCTTGGTGACAGCATTCATTAGAACTGTGGAGACTGAATAACCAATGAGTTGAAGATATTAGGCTATGATCAACTGGGCTGTTTTAGTAACCAAGAGGAATAATTTTACTGAAGGCATTTATAAAGCATAGTTATTCCTTGCCCTCAGTAACAATCATGGTTAGTAATGGTCAGTCATTACTTCTTTTCACTGGAAATCTCTCTAGAGCTTTGCATATTCCATCCTAGCTCTTAAGACAAAGTGAAAAGTAGATGTTACCTTCCCCATTTGACAGATAAGAATACTGAAGGTCAAAGAGGTCAGGTGACTTATTTAAGGTCAAATAGCAAGGCCAAATATCCAAGGTCAAATAGGGGTAGAGCAGGGCCCAGCACTTATTTAACTTACTCTCTCACCTGTGATCACCGCTTCTCACTGCCAAGATCATAGATCTAGATGACCATTATTGTACTTCAGGGTTAAGGCCCACTAGACCCTGGGTAGTCCCCTCTTATTTCATAGCTTTTTGGTTGAAGTCTGTTATTATACAGTCTAACTACTGCCCAAGAAGAATAAACCACTCTTGTAGCCCTCCACCAGGGAGTGTCCTGCTGTTTTTAGCCTTTCTGTCACCCTTGAGAAGCTCCGGGCGCCTTCCTTCACTTGTCTTCAGCACATTCATGCCCCAAAGCAAAATGCTGAATTTGAATATGCAGCTGATGTTGCCTGTCACCTCCTTCCAGACACAGAACTGTGTAATTGCAAAAATTGTTTCGTAATCCTCCTCAATTAGGCTCCTGACAACCTAATTTTAAAGACCCTATTGGATTTTTTACATTGATGCTCTTCTCCTTCTTCCTTCTTCCATCTTCCTCTGCCCTCTCCAGTAAGACCTATTACCTTCACTCCACAATTGAAAATTAGAAAATAGTTTCAGCATGACAAGGGACCGTAACATTTTCTTTTGGTATTTCTTCCTTATTATTATGAGCTACTTAATGAGGCTGTGACACCATGTGAAGAACTGAGAGAAGGAAAAACAGGTTATTAAAGCAATGTTAGAAACTCAAAGAGGGTAATGATTAAAAGCTAAATATTTATCTGGGAAAAATAGTGAACAGAGTGAGTCTGATGGCCAGTTATAATTCATACTAGCACATCCATAGCATTTCTGAGGCTGTTTTCAGCGGAATCTCAAGTATTCTGACACCACTGACTTGACGTATTCATCTCTTATAAATACCACTTCTTTAACACACACACACACACACACACACACACACACACACATGCACAGAGAGAGTCACACACAGCACAACTAAAGAACAGCGCATCATCAGAAACCTAAAAAAACAACTGTTTGTCTTCTCAGTTTAGTCTGTGGTCTGTGGAATACACATTTTGTGGAGTCACAGAATTACTTGGGCACCCATTACAGTGTCAAAGAAATGCCAAGGAAAAAGCAAAGGGCATAAATAAAAGAATAATGCAGAGCTCCAATTTCATTTTTTTCCATTTCCTCTGTACTTTTAAATACACACTCCTGGTAGGCAAATGGGAGTTATGGATTATAGCTTTCTATTTTAACCTAGATCTGTTTTTCTTCCTCTCTCCTTGGCACTCGATTTGTATGATCTCCCCTAAAATGCCACTGGCCCCACACTGTATTCCCATCTTAGGCAAAACCTCCAATTAAAATCAGCAGGGAGTCTGCTTGAATTAGGAACCCCAGCCTGGGCTCCCCAGCCAGGGGGTTCTGAAAGGGAGATGTGTACCTTTGAAAGCACTGATGGGAAGCCCTGGGTGACGGAGACTGTCCTCGAAATGATGAGCGACTCCATGCTGTGTCACCAGGAGACCTGTCAGGTTGCCAGAAATTCCTGGCTGAGGCAAAGACAGAACCTGCAGGGGGGCAGCTGAGGTGTTAACATGGTCCAGAGCCTCTTTCTTCTCCAGTTGGGGGTTTAGAGGGCAGGGAATATAGAGCATGGGCATTGAGGGAGTATTGGGTTTGGACCCAAGAATTCTGAACTTTGCTCTGCTACTCCCATGCTGTGTGACCAAGGTGAGTCGCAGTCTCTCTGTGGCCTTCAATGCCCTCATCGGTGGGATAAAAATCACAAGGGAATCCTATCTCATGGGGTTGATGTGAGGATAAAGTGGTAACTGCCATGATGTAGAAAACACTTAAGAAACACTGATTTTTTTGACCTCAGCAACCAAGTCTCTGTGTTCAGGCCTAAACGTGAGAAAGAAGAACATTCCCAAGGTTTCTTCTTGAAGTTTCCCTGCTTCTAATGGTCAAAACTGCTTTATTCAGAGCCAGTGTGGGTACCTATCAATCAATCAGGCTCCAGGGTTTTCCAGTTTAGAAATGAAAATGCAACTTCCTTCTTTCTCCTACTTTCTCCTTCCTTCTCTCCTCTCAGCCCCCTATCAGAATGAATTGAAATCCCATCCAACAGAAAGATGCTGATTTGGATGTATTGCATCTCAGCTTTGGCTGCAGATGGAAGATGCTTTGGATCCTTAGGGACAGAGAAAAGCACTTTAAAACCTGCTTCTCCCTGCCTCACACTGACTGGCTTTCAGTGGGGTTGTGTCAGCCTTTGTGAGACCCTCCCCTCTGAAGCAGCCTATTAAGCTGCTTCTCTGTTGCCGGGGTTGAGGAAGGCTATCACCAACTAGCCTGGGAAGTGGTATTTATAGATTGCAATCCCTGCTATCCCTGATCCCCAGCATCCCCCTATGCACTTGTCGGGAGCCCCAATTATCTGTGAGTGGAGGAGAGGGACCCTGGCAGGTCCAGAGGAAGCAAGGAATGTGATAATAGGCCCTTCACAGGCTCAAACTTTCAGTATTTTTCCGTTATTTCAATTTATTTCTTTTCTTGTGTCTTGCTTTCTTCTTATTACTCACCATATCATTATAATTTTACATTATGATACCTAGAAGAGAGTGCACTGATAACTTATCTGAGATCACAAAGGTACTCCACATTCAGATACCAAATTTTGTGATCTCAGACAAGTCATCTCACTTCTCAAGGACTCATTTTTCTTTGCCTGTAACATGGAGGTGGTTTCATGTGCTGTTCAGGGAGACAGTGTGAAGAACCTCCAGCACTATGCCTGGTATACAGTGAGAACTCAATAGTTGTAAGTCACTGATGCTCTCAGCTGGTTTAGGACACTGCCTACAATTGAACCTTGTAGAGTTTATGACTATCCATGATAACTACTGAGAGAACTGGCTGGAGATAGGGGAGGTATAGGAGATTGATTTGATTGAGGGTTTTTCCTCATTATTGCAATTTGCTTGTATTCAAAAGACACACACACACAAACAATGAAATGAGCTTTTTGTGGTTCTAATCTCAAAATGAAATATGGAAAAGCAAAAGAAAGTTTGTTGACCTGGGGGATCAGGACTCACTGGTAACATTGCTTTACCTCTCTGCCCCCACTGTCTCTGCAGTTGGCCTCTCTAGAAAGGGAGGAGAATGGACAACTAGCCCACCCTTAAATGGCCCATCCAATAGTTGAATTAGGAACCCCCGCCTGGGCTCTTTCCCAAATCTGTGAGTGAGTTAACACAGATGATGCCTTGGCTGCATCTCTTTGTCTCTATCCTACCCACTCTAATTTCATTCCATTTCATCCTCCCTGTCCAGGGTCTCCTCCATAGCCTGTGTCTGCTCATTTGCTCCACATTTCCCCACCATCTCCAACACCAAGTCCTTTTCTCCACTTATCACCCTTCCCCACTCTCCACCTTTCCCCTCTGTTTTCTTTCCTCTTTCCCTCAGCCTCGTGCTCCCTGCTCCCCGTGAACACCACCTGCTTTCTAAGTCCTCTTGCTGTATCATTAATGCCTTCTTTGATACAGCCCACAACCTCATGATTATTCTGAGGTCAGGAGATGCAGGTGCCACGCAGCTCGCGAATGTATCTCAGAGGCCCTCTGTCCCCAATTCCTCCTGCCTGACAGGGCTGGAATCCTAATTTGCCACTAGCCCCGTTGCTTATTGCAGCATCACCAGGAACTTTCATCTTTTTATTTCCCTCACCGAGGATTCTGAGAGTTCAGCCACAATGAAGCATTGATTCAAGGAGTGGGGGCTGTGGTCCTTACAAAGGGTCCCAATGATGAGACACGAGAAAGGGGGCGCTCTACGGGGTTATAGAATGCCTTGCAGATGGGAACAGAGGAACTCTAAATGGGGTACTGTCCTGTCACTTGGAGAGGGAGTGACAGGGGCAAGTGTGGGCCATGTGAAAGGGGCATTTTGAAATGACGCTCTCGTCAGATGGAACCACGCAATCAGGGCCGTGTGGAGGGCCCCTGCAGCTCACAAAAATATCAGATGACTCATACCCAATATTCAGTCAATGTTCTGGTTTGGGAGGTGGGAGCCACATAGCTCATTATTATTCCAGCTCCGTTTCCTGAAGGCTGGGCCTGCTGCTGTTCTCCAGGCTGTAATAGGATTGGTCTCACGAAGCAGAAACTGGGGAGGCCTGGAGCTGTGTGGGTGGATGGTACGGAAAACGAATACTGCAGTCCTGAGGGGAGAGGTAGAAGTTTGTTTTTCCTTTTTTAAATGAAAACTAACAAGAAAAATATGAATATTCTTTATGCATTCATTCATCAAACATTGATTCACTCAGCAAGCATTTGTAGAGCCAGCCTCTGGGCTAGGTGCTCGGAGAAGAAGGGACCTCTCCTCTCAAGCCTAAGAGCCTGGAGGGGAAACTGACAAAGAAACGAGGGGTTTCAATACAGTGTTTTGAATACTGTCAGGGAGGTTTTATCGCCAGGTCCGGGTGGTTCTGTGGATTTAAAAAGGAGAGGGTTTCAAGGAGCCCACTAATTATTCCGCCATTTTTTCCCAGCCGATAAGCAACTCATCGAAAGCAAAGCATGCTGGGAAGCCATTTCAACAGTATCCATTTTCAAATGGATATAACAAAATGGTTTTCCTCAAACTCCAGAGCGATAGTGAAATCCCCGAGAGTGTCTCAATACCTTCAAAGGAAGAGCTTATTTTCTGGGATAAGAGTACTTTTTATTATTACCTTTTCCGTAATTGCTCTGTGCCAGGCTCTTTTAAGCACTTTAAATATATTATCTCACTGAATCCTCTCACCAGCTGCCTAAGATGGGCTTTATTATCCTCATTTTAGATATTGATACTGAGACTTAAAAAGAGATGAAGTGACTTGATCCCGGTTATAGAATGCAGCTTTGAACTCAGCTCCGCTTGGGCCAACAACCATACTTTTCAACATTAGGCTCTACTGCCTAATTAGGCTCTTGGTGTTTGTGGTTTGGGGATTGTGGCTCATCAGTGGAAGTGATAGAATAGATGGATTGTTAACACTTCCTACCACAGAGAGTACAATGCAAATTAGCTTCTGTTTCTAGTTTTATAAAATGAAGATCAGGAACCACTGAGAGCATCATCGTCATCATCACCATCACCATCTCCACAGCACGACAGCCTTAGGAAAGGTGCTCTTGACTCTCGCTTGACAGACAATGCAAAAAGCCACAGCTGTGAGCCAGGAGACTACTCTGATTGTTTGTTTGACTCTGAGCAGTCCTTTCACCCTTAGCTTCCATTGCCATGTCTGTAAAATATTGCTGACAGTCCCTTTGCAGGAATAACAACCGCTTTTATTGAGCTCTTAATAAGTACCAAGTTTGGGGTTAAGCCTTCACATAAAAATTCATATAATCCTCACATAGCTCTGTGTGGTGGGAATGATTAGGAAGGTGAAGAAAACTGCCCAACATTACCTCAGCTTGCAGGTGGAGGAGCCAGGATTTTCAGCTGTCTCTGACTGACCTCAAGTCCCAAGGTATTTTTAGGGTGTTGCTGTGAGGCTCAAGCGAGAAAATTGGAGTGAATATACCCTGTGCAGGGTAAAAAGTGCTAGACACACAAGAGTTTATTGGTAGCATGGAAGACAGCCAAAGGGTGACTTGAATGGAAAAAAGGAAAGATGAGAGGCCTCTAAGCTGACTGCCTTGCATATTTGTTCCTACTCTGATGCTGCTTCTTATCTGATGGAATATCTGTCTTCATTAGAATGTTTTGGTGGCTGAAATCAGATTATAGACTTTGGTATCATTTATAGTGTTGAGGGCCTGTGGGGAGGGGGCCCAGAGGCTGCAATAGAAATCAACTGAATGGAGAGTTTGGAGCTCTGGAAAAATGCAGGGAAATAACCCCCCCTTTTTTTTATTATACTCTAAGTTTTGGGATACATGTGCAGAACGTGCAGGTTTGTTACATAGGTATACATGTGCTATGGTGGTTTGCTGCACCCATCAGCCCATCATCTACATTAGGTATTTCTCCTAATGCTATCTCTCCCCTAGCCCCCCAACCCCTGACAAACCCCAGTGTGTAGTGTTCCCCTCCCTGTGTCCATGTGTTCTCATTGTTCAACTCCCACTTACTAGTGAGAACATACAGTGTTTTGTTTTCTGTTCTTATGTTTGTTAGTTTGCTGAGTGTGATGGTTTCCAGCTTAATCCATGTCCGTGCAAAGGACATGAACTCATCCTTTTTTATGGATGCATAGTATTCCGTGGTGTATATGTGCCACATTTTCTTTTTTTTTTTGTCTTTTTTTTTTTTTATACTTTACTTTAAGTTTTAGGGTACATGTGCACATTGTGCAGGTTAGTTACATATGTATACATGTGCCATGCTGGTGCACTGCACCCACTAACTCGTCATCTAGCATTAGGTATATCTCCCAATGCTATCCCTCCCTCCTCCCCCCACCCCACAACAGTCCCCAGAGTGTGATATTCCCCTTCCTGTGTCCATGTGATCTCATTGTTCAATTCCCACCTATGAGTGAGAATATGCGGTGTTTGGTTTTTTGTTCTTGCGATAGTTGACTGAGAATGATGATTTCCAATTTCATCCATGTCCCTACAAAGGACATGAACTCATCATTTTTTATGGATGCATAGTATTCCATGGTGTATATGTGCCACATTTTCTTAATCCAGTCTATCATTGTTGGATATTTGGGTTGGTTCCAAGTCTTTGCTATTGTGAATAATGCCGCAATAAACATACGTGTGCATGTGTCTTTATAGCAGCATGATTTATAATCCTTTGGGTATATACCCAGTAATGGGATGGCTGGGTCAAATGGTATTTCTAGTTCTAGATCCCTGAGGAATTGCCACACTGCCTTCCACAATGGTTGAACTAGTTTACAGTCCCACCAACAGTGTAAAAGTGTTCCTATTTCTCCACATCCTCTCCAGCACCTGTTGTTTCCTGACTTTTTAATGTTTGCCATTCTAACTGGTGTGAGATGGTATCTCATTGTGGTTTTGATTTGCATTTCTCTGATGGCCAGTGATGATGAGCATTTTTTCATGTGTTTTTTGGCTGCATAAATGTCTTCTTTTGAGAAGTGTCTGTTCATGTCCTTCGCCCACTTGTTGATGGGGTTATTTGTTTTTTTCTTGTAAATTTGTTTGAGTTCATTGTAGATTCTGGATATTAGCCCTTTGTCAGATGAGTAGGTTGCAAAAATTTTCTCCCATTCTGTAGGTTGCCTGTTCACTCTGATGGTAGTTTCTTTTGCTGTGCAGAAGCTCTTTAGTTTAATTAGATCCCATTTGTCAATTTTGTCTTCAGTTGCCATTGCTTTTGGTGTTTTAGACATGAAGTCCTTGCCCACGCCTATGTCCTGAATGGTAATGCCTAGGTTTTCTGTCTAACGTTTAAGTCTTTAATCCATCTTGAATTGATTTTTGTATAAGGTGTAAGGAAGGGATCCAGTTTCAGCTTTCTACATATGGCTAGCCAGTTTTCCCAGCACCATTAAATAGGGAATCCTTTCCCCATTGCTTGTTTTTCTCAGGTTTGTCAAAGATCAGATAGTTGTAGATATGCGGCATTATTTCTGAGGGCTCTGTTCTGGTCCATTGATCTATATCTCTGTTTTGGTACCAGTACCATGCTGTTTTGGTTACTGTAGCCTTGTAGTATAGTTTGAAGTCAGGTAGTGTGATGCCTCCAGCTTTGTTCTTTTGGCTTAGGATTGACTTGGCGATGCGGGCTCTTTTTTGGTTCCATATGAACTTTAAAGTAGTTTTTTCCAATTCTGTGAAGAAAGTCATTGGTAGCTTGATGGGGATGGCATTGAATCTGTAAATTACCTTGGGCAGTATGGCCAGTATGGCCATTTTCATGATATTGATTCTTCCTACCCATGAGCATGGAATGTTCTTCCATTTGTTTGTATCCTCTTTTATTTCATTGAGCAGTGGTTTGTGGTTCTCCTTGAAGAGGTCCTTCACATCCCTTGTAAGTTGGATTCCTAGGTATTTTATTCTCTTTGAAGCAATTGTGAATGGGAGTTCACTCATGATTTGGCTCTCTGTTTGTCTGTTGTTGGTGTATAAGAATGCTTGTGATTTTTGTACATTGATTTTGTATCCTGAGACTTTGCTGAAGTTGCTTATCAGCTTAAGGAGATTTTGGGCTGAAACAATGGGGTTTTCTAGATATACAGTCATGTCATCTGCAAACAGGGACAATTTGACTTCCTCTTTTCCTAATTGAATACCCTTTATTTCCTTCTCCTGCCTAATTGCCCTGGCCAGAACTTCCAACACTATGTTGAATAGGAGTGGTGAGAGAGGGCATCCCTGTCTTGTGCCAGTTTTCAAAGGGAATGCTTCCAGTTTTTGCCCATTCAGTATGATATCGGCTGTGGGTTTGTCATAGATGGCTCTTATTATTTTGAAATACGTCCCATCAATACCTAATTTATTGAGAGTTTTTAGCATGAAGGGTGGTTGAATTTTGTCAAAGGCTTTTTCTGCATCTATGGAGATAATCATGTGGTTTTTGTCTTTGTCTCTGTTTATATGCTGGATTACATTTATTGATTTGCGTATATTGAACCAGCCTTGCATCTGAGGGATGAAGCCCACTTGATCGTGGTGGATAAGCTTTTTGATGTGTTGCTGGATTCAGTTTGCCAGTATTTTATTGAGGATTTTTGCATCAATGTTCATCAAGGATATTGGTCTAAAATTCTCTTTTTTGGTTGTGTCTCTGCCTGGCTTTGGTATCAGAATGATGCTGGCCTCATAAAATGAGTTAGGGAGGATTCCCTCTTTTTCTATTGATTGGAATAGTTTCAGAAGGAATGGTACCAGTTCCTCCTTGTACCTCTGGTAGAATTCGGCTGTGAATCCATCTGGTCCTGGACTCTTTTTGGTTGGTAAGCTATTGATTATTGCCACAATTTCAGATCCTGTTATTGGTCTATTCAGAGATTCAACTTCTTCCTGGTTTAGTCTTGGGAGAGCGTATGTGTGGAGGAATTTATCCATTTCTTCTAGATTTTCTAGTTTATTTGTGTAGAGGTGTTTGTAGTATTCTCTGATGGTAGTTTGTATTTCTGTGGGATTGGTGGTGATATCCCCTTTATCATTTTTTATTGCGTCTATTTGATTCTTCTCTTTTCTTCTTTATGAGTCTTGCTAGTAGTCTATCAATTTTGTTGATCCTTTCAAAAAACCAGCTCCTGGATTCATTAACTTTTTGATGGGTTTTTTGTGTCTCTATTTCCTTCAGTTCTGCTCTGATTTTAGTTATTTCTTGCCTTCTGCTAGCTTTTGAATGTGTTTGCTCTTGCTTTTCTAGTTCTTTTAATTGTGATGTTAGGGTGTCAATTTTGGATCTTTCCTGCTTTCTCTTGTGGGGATTTAGTGCTATAAATTTCCCTCTGCACACTGCTTTGAATGTGTCCCAGAGATTCTGGTATGTTGTGTCTTTGTTCTCGTTGGTTTCAAAGAACATCTTTATTTCTGCCTTCATTTCGTTATGTACCCAGTAGTCATTCAGGAGCAGGTTGTTCAGTTTCCATGTAGTTGAGCAGTTTTGAGTGAGATTCTTAATCCTGAGTTCTAGTTTGATTGCACTGTGGTCTGAGAGATAGTTTGTTATAATTTCTGTTCTTTTACATTTGCTGAGGAGAGCTTTACTTCCAACTATGTGGTCAATTTTGGAATAGGTGTGGTGTGGTGCTGAAAAAAATGTATATTCTGTTGATTTGGGGTGGAGAGTTCTGTAGATGTCTATTAGGTCCGCTTGGTGCAGAGCTGAGTTCAATTCCTGGGTATCCTTGTTGACTTTCTGTCTCGTTGATCTGTCTAATGTTGACAGTGGGGTGTTAAAGTCTCCCATTATTAATGGGTGGGAGTCTAAGTCTCTTTGTAAGTCACTCGGGACTTGCTTTATGAATCTGGGTGCTCCTGTATTGGGTGCATATATATTTAGGATAGTTAGCTCTTCTTGTTGAATTGATCCCTTTACCATTATGTAATGGCCTTCTTTGTCTCTTTTGATCTTTGTTGGTTTAAAGTCTGTTTTATCAGAGACTAGGATTGCAACCCCTGCCTTTTTTTGTTTTCCATTTGCTTGGTAGATCTTCCTCCATCCTTTTATTTTGAGCCTATGTGTGTCTCTGCACATGAGATGGGTTTCCTGAATACAGCACACTGATGGGTCTTGATTCTTTATCCAATTTGCCAGTCTGTGTCTTTTAATTGGAGCATTTAGTCCATTTACATTTAAAGTTAATAGTGTTATGTGTGAATTTGATCCTGTCATTATGATGTTAGCTGGTTATTTTGCTCGTTAGTTGATGCAGTTTCTTTCTAGTCTTGATGGTCTTTACATTTTGGCATGATTTTGCAGCGGCTGGTACCGGTTGTTCCTTTCCATGTTTAGCGCTTCCTTCAGGAGCTCTTTTAGGGCAGGCCTGGTGGTGACAAAATCTCTCAGCATTTGCTTGTCTGTAAAGTATTTTATTTCTCCTTCACTTATGAAGCTTAGTTTGGCTGGATATGAAATTCTGGGTTGAAAATTCTTTGCTTTAAGAATGTTGAATATTGGCCCCCACTCTCTTCTGGCTTGTAGGGTTTCTGCCGAGAGATCTGCTGTTAGTCTGATGGGCTTCCCTTTGAGGGTAACCCGACCTTTCTCTCTGGCTGCCCTTAACATTTTTTCCTTCATTTCAACTTTGGTGAATCTGACAATTATGTGTCTTGGAGTTGCTCTTCTCAAGGAGTATCTTTGTGGCATTCTCTGTATTTCCTGAATCTGAACGTTGGCCTGCCTTGCTAGATTGGGGAAGTTCTCCTGGATAATATCCTGCAGAGTGCTTTCCAACTTGTTTCCATTCTCCCCATCACTTTCAGGTACACCAATCAGATGTAGATTTGGTCTTTTCACATAGTCCCATATTTCTTGGAGGCTTTGCTCATTTCTTTTTATTCTTTTTTCTCTAAACTTCCCTTCTCACTTCATTTCATTCATTTCATCTTCCATTGCTGATACCCTTTCTTCCAGTTGATCGCATCGGCTCCTGAGGCTTCTGCATTCTACACGTAGTTCTCGAGCCTTGGTTTTCAGCTCCATCAGCTCCTTTAAGCACTTCTCTGTATTGGTTATTCTAGTTATGCATTCTTCTAAATTTTTTTTAAAGTTTTCAACTTCTTTGCCTTTGGTTTGAATGTCCTCCTGTAGCTCAGAGTAATTTGATCGTCTGAAGCCTTCTTCTCTCAGCTCGTCAAAGTCATTCTCCATCCAGCTTTGTTCCGTTGCTGGTGAGGAACTGCGTTCCTTTGGAGGAGGAGAGGCGCTCTGCTTTTTAGAGTTTCCGGTTTTTCTGTTCTGTTTTTTCCCCATCTTTGTGGTTTTATCTACTTTTGGTCTTTGATGATGGTGATGTACAGGTGGGTTTTTGGTGTGGATGTCCTTTCTGTTTGTTAGTTTTCCTTCTAACAGATAGGACCCTCAGCTGCAAGTCTGTTGGAATACCCTGCCTGTGACGTGTCAGTGTGCCCCTGCTGGCGGGGTGCCTCCCAGTTAGGCTGCTCAGGGGTCAGGGGTCAGGGACCCACTTGAGGAGGCAGTCTGCCCGTTCTCAGATCTCCAGCTGCATGCTGGGAGAACCACTGCTCTCTTCAAAGCTGTCAGACAGGAACATTTAAGTCTGCAGAGGTTACTGCTGTCTTTTTGTTTGTCTGTGCCCTGCCCCCAGAGGTGGAGCCTACAGAGGCAGGCAGGCCTCCTTGAGCTGTGGTGGGCTCCACCCAGTTCGAGCTTCCCGGCTGCTTTGTTTACCTAATCAAGCCTGGGCAATGGCGGGCGCCCCTCCCCCAGCCCGCTGCCGCCTTGCAGTTTGATCTCAGACTGCTGCGCTAGCAATCAGCGAGACTCTGTGGGCGTAGGACCCTCCGAGCCAGGTGCGGTAATATAATCTCGCGGTGCGCCGTTTTTTAAGCCCGCCGGAAAAGCACAGTATTCGGTGGGGGAGTGACCCGATTTTCCAGGTGCCGTCAGTCACCCCTTTCTTTGTTTCGGAAAGGGAACTCCCTGACCCCTTGCACTTCCCAAGTGAGGCAATGCCTCGCCCTGCTTCAGCTCGCGCACGGTGCGTGCACCCAATGACCTGCGCCCACTGTCTGGCACTCCCTAGTGAGATGCACCCGGTACCTCAGATGGAAATGCAGAAATCACTGTCTTCTGCGTCGCTCACGCTGGGAGCTGTAGACTGGAGCTGTTCCTATTAGGCCATCTTGGCTCCTCCGCCACATTTTCTTTATCCAGTCTATCATTGATGGGCATTTTGGTTGGTTCCAAGTCTTTGCTATTGTGGACAGGGCTGCAATAAACATCGTGTACATGTCTTTATAGTAGAATGATTTATAATCCTTTGGGTATATACCCAATAATGGGATTGCTGGGTCAAATGGTATTTCTCATTGTAGCTCCTTGAGGAATCGCCACACTGTCTTCCACAATGGTTGAACTGACTTATACTCACATCAACAGTGTAAAAGTGTTCCTGTTTCTCCACACCTTCTCCATCATCTGTTGGGAAATAACCCCTTTCTAACATGTTCTAAAAAACCACCATGAGGATCATGTAAGATCATCAATAGAAATCACTACATGATTTCTAGCGTATGATAAAATATAATTTGTTTTTGTTGAAGTTGGTAGATGTTATACACCCTCATGGGAGGAATCTGTAATGGGGGTTGAAACATGTGGTTTAAGTAAACAAATAACCCCTAAGGTCTTTTTCATTGCTGATTGTTTACAATATGTTGTCATCCAGAAGGGGTATTTGAGTCTAGACACTTTCATTTCCTGAATCACACTTTTCTGGGACTAGTGTATAATGGAATCAAAGAGCTGGAAGGACCCCAAGGAACATTTACTCCAACCCCTTCACTTTGCAGATGAGGACATTGAACATTAGGAAGGTAAAGTACGATGTCATGCAGCTGGTTTGTGGCATTAGGAGGAGCTACAATGTAGTTCTTACGTTTATATTCGATGCCCTTCCTGTATTGTCACTGCTCCATCCAGTCCTTTCATCTTTTTGGCAGCTCCAGTTCGCATTATCAGTTGGATAACTGTAACTCACAGACCCACTCATGGTAGCTAACCTTCTCCAATTTTCCTTTATCTCCCAGGACAATTCAGCAGTGGCTTGCAAGGGTCCAGTCACTCCTCTACTGTAATGAGAATGGGTTTTGGGGAACCTTCCTGGAGAGCCAGCGGAGCTGCGTGTGCCACGGCAGCACCACGCTGTGCCAGCGCCCCATCCCCTGCGTGATAGGCGGGAACAACAGCTGCGCCATGTGCAGCCTGGCCAACATCTCCCTCTGCGGCTCCTGCAACAAGGGCTACAAGCTGTATCGAGGCCGCTGTGAACCACAGAACGTGGACTCGGAGCGGAGCGAGCAGTTCATCAGCTTTGAGACTGACCTGGACTTCCAGGACCTGGAGCTGAAGTACCTGCTGCAGAAGATGGACTCACGCCTCTACGTCCACACCACCTTCATCAGCAACGAGATCCGCCTCGACACCTTCTTTGACCCTCGGTGGCGCAAGCGCATGTCCCTCACTCTCAAGAGCAACAAGAACCGCATGGACTTCATCCACATGGTGATCGGCATGTCCATGCGCATCTGCCAGATGCGCAACAGCAGCCTGGACCCCATGTTCTTTGTCTATGTCAACCCCTTTAGCGGGAGCCATTCGGAGGGCTGGAACATGCCCTTCGGGGAATTTGGCTACCCACGCTGGGAGAAGATCCGTCTCCAAAACAGCCAGTGCTACAACTGGACTCTTTTGCTGGGCAATCGGTGGAAAACATTTTTCGAGACGGTCCACATCTACCTACGTAGTCGGACTCGGCTACCTACCCTACTGCGAAATGAGACTGGCCAGGGCCCCGTGGACCTGTCGGATCCCTCCAAGAGGCAGTTCTACATCAAGATCTCAGACGTGCAGGTGTTTGGGTATAGCCTGAGGTTCAACGCCGACCTCCTGCGCAGTGCAGTGCAGCAGGTCAACCAGTCCTACACACAGGGCGGCCAGTTCTATTCCTCTTCGTCAGTGATGCTCCTCTTGTTGGATATTCGGGACCGAATTAATCGCCTGGCCCCTCCTGTGGCCCCGGGGAAACCCCAGCTGGACTTGTTCTCCTGTATGCTGAAACACCGCCTGAAACTGACCAACAGCGAGATCATCAGGGTGAACCACGCCTTGGACCTGTACAACACGGAGATCCTCAAACAGTCGGACCAGATGACAGCCAAACTCTGCTAACCCGGGACTCCTTGCCATGGACTTTTCCTGTTGTTGTACACACACAACAGAACAAAATGAAGCAAAACAAAACAAAAAAACCCACAAAAATTTGTAAAATGTAATTAATATTCAAAGAAAAGGAGGAAAATCTTCATTTGTTGGAAATGAAAACGTTCTAGCAACTGTATAAAAGCGTTGGGCATGTTTGTTATTTCTATACTCACTCTGTCATGAAGAAGGGTCTCAGCCTTTTGTGGAGCATTGAGGGAGTTGCTTCTTAGGCCTCAGGTGCTGTATTGGGGGAGAAGGGAGAAAGCATATGCAATGAATTGTAAAGATCTCTGCTGTGCAGGTGCTAAGATTAAACACTAAAAAGAAAGAGAGATATATGTAATGTACAACTGACACTGCCATTTTTCCTTTTTGGAGGAAATGGACATAGATAAAGAAGATATTTCTTCGGTTAAGATTTATTCCCTCTTTATGCTTAATTAATTCCTTGTGTGTGTTTGTTTTCTCTTCTTTTTGACTCTTTCTCACACAGGGGTGGGAATACAGTGACAATGCTATCTTACCCATAGGGCATCTTTCATTCTGAATACATTAAAACTAATGCAAGCTGGCCAGTAGGTGGGATTAGGAGGGGGTACATTCACATAGTCACAGGACAATAAGTAATTTTGGATATCAGCTCATCAAACTCCTTAGTTTGAGAAAGAAATAATAGGCTCAGAGAGGAATGGCATGCCCATGATTACACCCAGAGTTACTGCCTGAATGAGGGCTTGACCCTCACTTTCTGACTCCCTTGGCAGTGCACCTTCTTCCAAATTACACTGGCTGCTTTTGTATTTTCTCCTTCAACATAGTTGCCAAGGGATGAAGTTTTTTTTCAGTCTGAGGTTGTTTGTTTAGAGAGAGAGTTTGAAGAAATTTCTCCCCCTTTGCTTTCTAAAAAAAAAAAAAAAATTTAGGTTTCCCAGAAATTCTTTCTATATTAAAGGTAAAGTTAGTTAGTTAAGTTTTAGTTTAAATAAAATCAGTGACCAAAAAACAGGGTAAGTTTTAGTATTGCATTGGTTTGCCAGACAGAATTCCCTAAGAAGTCTAAATATATATAATCTCCTTTGATAATACATATGCACATCTACCACCTATACACCCACTCCCGTTCCCCACACACAGAAATATAAACACTGCCACTTCCTTGGCATCTGTGAAAGGGTGAGAGGCCTTATGAGGGTTAAATCAGGATGATAGACTAAGAAAGACAGCTTTAACTTGGGGGTTAAATCAGGATGAAAGACCAACAAAGACAGCTCATTTGAAAGCAGTTCTGTAAAGGATTTGGTCAAACATCACTTCTTAGTCTCCAGAAACTCTGAGTTCATCTTTTTGCTAAGGTAGTGCTTGCAAGAGCTTCCTCCTGAGCATCTGGATCCTCATTTCTGCATTGGAAGAGAAATGCAGAATCACAAAATTTTAAGGTTGGAAGAGAAAATAGAACTACTGTGATCTAAACTTCTCCCAGTGCAAATCTCTTCATCATTGGGAAATCACCACCATTCACTGACTAGATCATACCAGGGACAGGGAGCTAGCTAATTAGCTCTATCTTCCACTTTCTTTGAATTATTAACATTATTTCACGGAAGAAGAGTAATAGCTCCCATTCCAGCTTGTGTTATAAACCAGATCTAATTGGAATATCCTTCCATACTTTGATCAGCTTTGCATATTTCACCCACTGGCTCCAGTTCTGCAATGTGCATTTCCTTCTTATGGTAATGTCCTCCTGGATAAAATACACAGACCTGTCTCAGAGGTTATTGAAGTCTGTGTTAGCAGGACACAAAGTGAACACCATCCCTAGTGTAGCTTATTTTAAGGTGAAAGAATGGGAGGGTTTCAATGCATAGAGGTAAAGAATTATCTACTTTGTCTAAGTGTGTCTGGGAAGAAGATTCTTTTTTTTTTTAAGAATGGTAAATTCCAACTTTAATATTTCAGTTTTTAGTATGAATTAGCATATGTTCCATACCAACTTTCACAGGGTGGCATGCACTTTACACTGACATAGGTATTTGGACCTCAGATTTTGAGAAGGTTCAGTGCTCATTTAGGTTGAAAATCCTTTATGCCAGAGGTCACATCACAGCTTATCCATCAAGCATGAAATTTGGCAGAAGGCCAGTCAATGACCAAACATTTCTCAAACACCTAGCAGGTGAATGGGGCATGTCCAAAATACACAGATTTGAAAGGAAATCATTCATGCTTTTGTGCCAGTCATAAACTAATGAAAAAGACAGACACATAAACCAATTTAAAAAACAACAATAATTATTGTTTACCATGATCAGTGCTTTCATGCAGTCAGGCACACAGAGAGGAGCCCTGAAGGAGGTGTTAACTCTGTTTATGGGGTTGGAAAAGCCTTTACAGAAAGGACTTATTCATTCTAAGTGTAGAAAAATGATCAGGAGTTGGGCAAGTAGAAAAGAATAGAGTGACCAAAGGAACAGTGGATGCGAAAACGATTATAAAGTATAAATATGCATTGCATATTTAAGGGTCAGTTCCAATAGTGATTTTAAAAGGTGTTATTTGAAATAGTAAACCTACCAAAGAGAGTGAGGATTTTGACTCTATATGAGCAGTAGAAACAATTATCCATAATCTTCATGATTTAAAGAATGAATTTAAGATTAATTGTTCCTCAGTTCCCTCCCTTTCTTTTCTCCTTCATCTATACCTTCCAGGCACTTCCAAAGACTCCTAATGTAATAAGCCCTTGTATTTACACAGTACTTTACAGATTGCTAAGCAATCTTCATATGCAGTGTGCTACTTAATCCTTATCACAATTCAATTAGGACCTTCAATCTGAGTTCTTTTCCAGACTTCATTCACTGCAGTTGTAGGAAAAATTCTTCCCTTCACCTTGAAAATATTAACTCAGTCACTTCATCTTATAGAAAGAATACAGCATTGTCTAATGACTAGAAAGGTCAGGGAAACAGAACAATTTTCAAAGAGAAAGAAGGATTCAGACATCAAAATATTTATTCAATGGTGAGAAAAAAAAATTTGCTATGAAAGGACAAAAATTTGTGTGGATTTCCAAATGTTTCCTGCTTGGGTCTGGCTGGCCCTTTGAGCTAATAAGGTTCCCCTCTAGCTGGAAGAGAAGCCTGAAGCCTCCAAGTGATATTTTAATTCAATTAGTGTCTTACCAATTTGATGCAGCAACCAAGGACCTATGGTGTCTGATTAATATGCTGATGCTAAGACACAAGAGTGAACAGAATGCCTATTTGGATAAGGCCTGGCAGCAAAGCGTGGCATTGCTATGGAAACCACAGAAGGACATTAATTAGCTATCAAATAAAATCATTGGAAAATTCTGGACCCTGGCACATCTGCCCCCTTCAAAGAGAAGGGCAAGAAGAGGTCACACTAACAGCAAAGCTCCCTTCAGTGATTAAAATCAAAGTTACATGTAGTCCAGAGACTACATGTTGCAAAGTGGAAGAAAGATGGGGGAGCAAAACGGGTGAACACAATAGGAATGAGGCTTTGGGATTATTCAAGTCCAAGAATATAATTTGGAATGTGGAGTATCTTGTTGGGTTGTCTGTATTGATAAAATGATCCAAATGACAAATATGTTATCCTATACTCTGTTATGTAGAAAGAAAATGATAATAATGATACGGATCCATCCACTAGACGGTGATAAATGATCAGGGGTAGAGACCATAGAGTCCAAGACTAAGGGTGATTAACCCCTAATATAATAGATGCAGATCCTATAACTTTTAAGTTAATAGAGAAAAAAACAATTGAAAAGAAGGCAAAAAAGACAACAAAAGAATCATTAAAATAGCTGGACACATACAAACATGTACAATAACGAAACTTACTATACAGATAATCACAATAAACATAATTGGATAAAACTGGTCAGTAAAAAACCAGAGACTACAAGTTATTAATTTAAAAGTAGATAAAGGTTGAAAATAAAAGAATTGACAAAAATATGTTAGACACATATTGACTAAAAGAAAGCTAATGTAGCACTGTTCGTGGCAGTCAAGATAGATTTTTAGGAAAACTACTTTATTAGAGTTACAGAGGATTAATTTACCAGGACAAATGGAGAGAAGACTGCACAGGTGGAATTATAGACTTTTAGGGCTAAAGAAGATGTTACAGATCTTTAAAACTTCAACTTTTTGAATTATATAATTATATAATTTATATAAAGAATTTGTATAAAGAGAGGATTATACCAAAAGTTTGAACACTGACCGTGAGTTTAGTCCTCTTTTTACTGTCTGGAAGTAAAAGGTTTTCTAGTCTAATCTTCTAGTCAGTATAAGAATCAAGGATCAACCCCATGATATTTATACTAATGGGTTACCAAACACTCTCTCTCTCTTCATATCTATATAGATATATACACACATACACACACACACACACAAATATATATGCTGCCAGACCACATATATATAAACATATAATTTCTTGTTACCAAAATTTTATACATAGACATTTTTCCAACTAAGGATCAACTAAATCCTTGGATGTTCATAATAATCTTAGGCTGAGTGGAGGTCGATCTCTTCTTGAGAATTGCTTATCAGTGACTCCAGCCTTAGCAACTCTAAAAACCTAAAAGGAGGAGGCTGCCTGAGTAAACTCTTATCAATATTCCTTCTCTCTCTAAATTGTTACCAGGACCTGCAGTTACACATGTGATGCCATTCCTTACTTTTCAGTATTGGATCTAACTGTCAGCATTTGCAGTCAAGGAACATAGTATATTCTCTCACTACTTTGTCTTGGAACCCTCCTCCCTTCTCAGCAAACTCACAAATTGACATGGATGCAAAGAATGCAATGGGATAGATTTGAACCAATGAGTGGGAAATAACATCACGTTTACTAAATAAACTTGTCACCTAGTCAACTTGGGGGAAATTACAAATCTCTTTAATTTTAATTAATTTGAGGAAAGTTACAGATTTCTTTGCGATATCAAAAGCTCTATCTAGGTTCCTTCCCAATAAAAATGTACCTTCATATACACTTTTGAAAAATATTTCACAGATGCCTTAACAACTTTTCTTGAACATTCTGGAATGCTACCAGCCTTGGGTGAGTACCTCTGATCTAGTCTAAACCATGAGTTTAGTTTCCTTTTCACTATTTCATGCATAGTTTGAACTAGGATCACTTACCAAGTTAATATAACTTGCATAGCACCCTCCTGCCCATCAGAGAAGGCAGTCTTTATATAAAGATAAACATCTTGATAGGAATGGTAGTTATGGTCACTTTAACAAAACCTTGAAATATATCATAGAAACACATTTATTTAGTAGATACATTATTTGTGAGTATTAACTGAAAGAAAGAGGCTTCTAAACTGGCAAGTAAAGAGTTAGGCTAAAGGATGAAAAAGAATGCCTTGGTATATATGGCATAATCAGTAGACAGAAAGCATCTAGATCACTGAACCTGGGATAATGGTGGGCATGAGGTTTGAAGGAGACATTGTTAAATCAGTAAAAGAAAAATATCTGCCAAGTAGCTTGGAATAAACAAATAGGTTTCATGAATCACAAGTTGAATTGCTCTCTGATTGAATATTTGACCTCCACTCCCAACATCCCTCACTTGGTAGGTGTCCCCTGAAACTGTGTTGATTCTACTCAAGGGCCAATCTCTCCCTAAGAGTGGACAATGAGCCTTTTCCACAGTTCAGGCTTCATAGTCTTCATGAAACTTCCAGATGGAGGTATTTATCCCAGTCCAGGAAGAAAATGGCCTGGATAAAAATTTTAAACAAAAAGCTGCAGAGCTGATGATGGGGAGAAATAAGGGATACCCACACTGAAAGTCTGAATTTTGTGCTGATGTCACCAGAGATGACTGTGCTTTCCCTGTCTAGTGATTCCCCTCAAGCTTTAACCAGGGAGCAGAGATTGTACTGACTTTGCCACAGGCCTGAATGCATAAGGAGATTGTAATGCCTTTATAAATTAGGGATGATTATAAACACTGCCAAGGGTTTGTTAATTATATGGTGTTAATGGTGTAAAAGATAATTATAAATTAATAATAATGTCACCTAACATTTTGTGAGTGCACAAAAGTATTCTGAGCTTAGAGACTAGACCCAGGTTCTGGGTTTTTCCTGAATTTTCAGGCACCTACAGAACCAGAATTAGAACTCAAATTTTCTAATTCCCAGATTAGTGATTTCACCATTACACTCAAGCTTATTCCTGACATGAGAAAATAACAGGGAGCATACAGCTGTGGCTAAGAGCACAGATTTCAAGACAGGAAATGGGACATAGAGCTTGGCTATATACCAGCTGTGTGACTTGACTGAGATATTTAACCTCTCTTGCTTCAAATGTTTCTTCTGTAAAATGGAGATTCTTAGTAGGTCCTCCCTAAAATGGGTGTTATAAGAATTAAGTACTTTTAAAAAACCTAGAACAGTGTCTGGCATGTAAGGAGCCTATCTATTTGTTAAATAAATGGCACAAATAAAAAATATAATTTTGATAAACAGATAGATAGACAAATTCATCTTAATAATAAACTAAAATTAGTTGAGCTCATGGCACTAGGGAGAGCCAAGTACTATAGTACGAATTTGATGCAAGTTATTTTATGTCTTAGTCTGTTAGGAGTGCTATGACAAAATACTGAGACTGAGTAATTTATAGGCAACAAAAATGTATTTTTCACAGTCCTAGATGCTGGAAAATCTAAGATTAAGGCATCAGCAGATTCAGTGTCTGATGAGGGCCTGTTCCTCATAGATGGCCTTATTGCTTTGTTCTCCTCACATGGTGGAAGGGGCAAGGGAGCTTGAGCTTCTGTTACAAGGTCACTAACCCAATTAATGCGACTGTAGGGTCATGGCTTAATAACTTCCCAAAGGCCCCACTTCTTAAAACTATAATACCCTAAAACTTGGGTATTAGGTTCCAACACATTACTTTTGGAGGAGAATAACCAACATTCAGATCATAACATCTTATTTAACTTCATGGCAACCCAGTGAGGTGGGTCTAATTAACACTTCAGTTTACACACAAAGTAACTGAGACTTAGAAAAGTGAAGTAATTTGACTATGGCCATGCAGCCAAGTAATCTGACAGGTGGCCATGATGGAATTATGATTTGTCAGTCTCCATAAACAGGTCTTCTAACTTTGCCAAATGCAATTTCCCCAAAAGATACAAATAAATGCTCTAAGAAAGTTATCTGTAAGGATAGCTCAGACTCTAAAGGCATCTGGTACCTCTCCTTTAATACAGAACCATGAAATCCCTCCGTGAGCCAGAGTCAAGTGTATCTGGATAGTGCTAAATGTACTGACACCTGGAATCATAGAGCTTCCGCCTGTTCTGGAGGGCAGATTTTCCATCTGGAAGAATGTAGTCTGACTCAGAGCACAGATGCATTTCTTACTCCTTCTCAAACACCTCAGGGAAGCCTGCTGGCTCCAGGTAGGGCTGCCAGCTCTCTCTGGCAAAGCAGTATTGACTGTGCATCACTCTTGTCTGGGAAGGAGTGGTACTAAGGGAGTGAAATGGGCAGACACTGAGCAGTGGCATGGGTATTTTAGATCAGGAGATGAAAACTGTAGTCTGTTCCCCAGCACTAAGGCACATAATGAAGGCCGTTGATCTCCAGCTCAGCCAGTTCCCATATTTCATCATAGTGGGTAGAGCGGGGAAACAGTCTGGTCCAAGCCCCGTGAAAACCTATCTGAGGTCCAATAAATGTAGACCAATATAGCTTGAGGGGATTTTTAGCATGAATGAGGAGGAGGAATGACTTCTGTAGACAGTAAGTGGGGCCCTGTGAAGGCATCATTGTCCTTGTTCAGCATCCTCTGTCTTTCTACTTTCTCATATTATTTGTGTCTCTCTGATCCCAAAATTCCAAGAATTTTTATCCTTGACCATAAGAAGTGAACCAATTTCCCGTCTCTTATGGTGACACTGAAATTTTTGACAGGCAGAATGAAGACACCTTATCATAATAAGAAAGTTTAAATGTTTACGAAAGCATTACTTCTATAAGTGATGTCTCCGGAAAAGGGAACTATAAATGCCATTTTCTGCTCTTCTAGGTTCAGTCAAGTCTTAGGATTCAGCACACATTGATAGAAGAGGAAAAGAAGGCATATAATTTTTACTGAGCCTCTGTGATGTCCCAGGTATTTAAAATGTATCTTATTTAATTCTTACAAATCTCTAAGACAGAGTTATTATTTCCATCATACAGGTGAGGAAACCAAGGCACGAGAAAGGGCTGGTAACTTCAGTTTTGCAATTACTGATTTAGCACAAGTGTTAAGACATGAGGATGATATGGAGTGGTTAGGAGCAGGGGGCCAAAGGCCTGAAGGGGTTTACTTCTTGGTTCTGGTCTTCACAAACTGTGTGGCCGTGGAAAGTTACTAAATCTCTGTAACCTCAGTCTCTTCATCTGTCATGTAGGTAGAATAACTCCTACTTCATCTTGTTGGCATGAGGACACATCTTTTGCCAGGGTGTCATCGCTTACATGAGTTAGTGCAGTTAAGGCCCTGTCTATAACTTCCTGGCACCTAGTAAGCATTCAACTGAAGTTAGCTTTCATTATTCCCTTGAGCCAGGCATGGCTCAAGACCAAGACTTGGAATCATTGTCCCTTTATGCTCCTTGGCCTTCCCTATTGTGTATGTGTCTCCTCTGAAATCCTCTCCAGCACAGGAACTGAGTGGAAGAGTTAGAGATAAATCTCTGCCTTCCAGGAGTTCACAAGTGACCAATGACAACAAATGTACTTTAAACTCAAAATGGCAGCAGGGTACCATCAGAGGAGACATCATTTTTAAATAATTAAAATGGAATCTAGGCTGGGCGTGGTGGCTCATGCCCGTAATCCCAGCACCTCGGGAGGCCAAGGTGGGTGGATTACCTGAGGCCAACATGGTGAAACCCCGTCTCTACTAAAAATAGAAAAATTAGCCGGGCATGGTGGCACACACGTGTAATCCCAGCTATTCAGAAGGCTGAGGCAGAAGAATTGCTTAAGCCCAGGAGACAGGGGGTTGCAGTGAGCTGAGATCATGCCACTGCTCTCCAGGCTGGCAGACAGAGAGAGACTCTGTCTCCAAAAAAAAAAAAAAAAAAAAAAAAAAAAAAAGGGAATCTGGAAACAAGAGAATGAAAGACTAAATTTGTAAGGGAAGGAGCTCCCAGCGACTGTTCCCAGTGTCCTCTCCCCTGACAAAGCTTCCTATAGCCTCACCCCATTTCAAGGCAATCAGGGATGTTGCTTAGCAACCCCACCAGGAACAGTGGAGTGAGTTCTGTCCTAGTAGCATTAAGGGTTGCTACTGCAGTCCTGAAAAGGACCAAACTTTCCTTTAAAACCCCTCCTCCAACACAAGGGACACCAGCAAATTGGAGGCAACTGGGAAGAGAGTCCTCTGAGGGGTAAGGATGAACAGAAGGCAGGTAAAGGGGAAAATAATCCATCTAAGTTAGTGGAAAAATATAGAGAAAAATATTATTCTTATTTTCTTCAAGCACTGCAAACACTTGGTGGGTTAAGAGAGATTTGCCAAGCCAAGAACTTGGTGAGTCTGCTTCACTGAATTTTGATGTGGCAATTGAGGCCAGCAGGACATGCCCAGTGTATTAGTCAATTTTCACGCTGCTGATAAAGACATACCCAAGACTGGGAAGAAAAAGACGTTTAATTGGACTTGCAGTTCCACATGGCTGGGAGTCCTCAGAATCATGATGGGAGGTTAAAGGCACTTCTTACATGGCAGTGGCAAGAGAAAAATGAGGAAGGAGCAAAAGTGGAAACCCCTGATAAACCCATCAGATCTCATGAGACTTATTCACTATCACGAGAATAGCACAGGACAGACTGGCCCCCATGTTTCAATTACCTCCCCCTGGGTCCCTCCCATACATGTGGGAATTTTGGGAGATACAATTCAAGTTGAGATTTGGGTGGGGACACAGCCAAACCATATCACCCAGTTGCCAGCTCCTGTAGGCAATCACTCCCAATAGCTGCAGCCTCTTGGTTACCACCTACAAGTTCAATCTCAAAGTAAGATATGGAGAAAATATTATCCTTAGTCAGTAGAGACTGAAGGTGTTAAAGTTCAACTCTATGTTAATTCATTCAACGCATATTTTTTGAGGCTTGCAGTTCAGATAGGCAGTTGAGCATTAGTTTTTAAGTGTGATACATGTTAAGGAGAGGGAAGTTTAAGATGCTATTGGAGTGCACGACATGGACTCTTAACCTAGATTGGACCGGGAGGGGAAGGTTGCAGAAAGCACCTGAGGATCTGATGTTTAATAGGAGTCTTGAATGATAAGTCAAATTGAATGAAGAGAGCAAAGGAAACATTTTTCCATGGGGAGTACACAGTTTAGGCAGTGGTCCAGTTCAGCTGGAAATGAGAGAAGTGGATGAACTGGGGATGGGGACACAGAGTAGTAGTAGCAGAAGATAAGGGTATTAGGCAGTCATATGACGAAGTCTTGCAAGTCATATGAGGATTTTGGACTTTATCCTAAGAGCTACTGGCAGCCATTGCAAAATTTCCAGCATGACGAAATATAATCAAAAGTACCCAGCATCCATTCAGCCTTTCTGCTATCCCATCCTACTCTATTGTTGTACCACAGTATTTGGATCCCTGCTCCAGTCTCTTGAACTCCTTGATTTCCTTCTTAGATTCCCTGTCCCTGAAGAAAGGGAACCTTGCTAGTTTTTTTTTTTGTTTTTTTTTTGCCACATCCGCACTCCTTCTTTGATGTATAGAGTCCTGCTCTTGCACATGAGCTTGTAGCATCCATTTACCTGTCATTTCTTCTGTCTTTGCCTGTTACAAGACTATCAGTCATAGGGCTTATCCCTGTCACCCATTTCCATGTACTATTATGGCTGCCCCCGATGCTGTTTGATTAGACTACCTCTCCATTACTCTCTATTATCTTCATCCTCCCTATACCAGGTAACACCCATTGAAGTAGTTATCTTCCCACACACTGTAGCAGCTGTGTGTGAACCAACTACTTGCCCAGGAACTGATCCGCTCCAAAAGACCTGTCTCATTTTGAGTTCTGTCCAGAACAGAGATGACCCAAAATATTCATCCTAACCATTCACCTTTTTAGAATAGTGGCTAAGCACACTGCTTCTGGAGTCAATTTCCCTTGTGAGTGAATCTTGGCTTGCACTATGACTTAGCTGGGTGAACTTTGGCAAGTTAGTTAATCTCTCTGAGACTAATTTTATTATTCTTACATGAAGATATTGTTGCCCACCTTATGGGGTTGTTGTGAGGATTAAAAGAGACTATGAAGAGAAAATATCTGGAATAGCACCTTGCACTAGAAGGAACAAAATAAATACTGGTTCCTCTTCACCCTTCCTCTGAAAGCACATTATCTGCACAAATTTCTGGTTTTGATCCTTACGATATCTTTCTAAAATTGGAGAATCAAAGGAGATTCTGCATATAAAGCACAGATATATAGTATAAACAAAATAAATATAGCTAATATTATTCATTATTATTATAAATGAAGCAGCATACCCCAATTGAGAGATTAACTGTGTCTTATTTTCTTGAATATAGGCTCATGATTAATGAACAAGAGGTAACCATCCATATGATAATTCCTTTCTGTATATTCATATGTACCATGCACATACTGCAGTATTTGTCTTCTAAGTTCTCTTTTCTATCTTTGAGAAGGACCAGCAGCCTCTAAAACCTTCCTGTTAGTTTCAGAGGCTGTCCTGAAACAACAACAACAACAACAACAACAACAACACACCTTCCTTTTCGTTTCAGAGGCTGTCCTGAAAACAACAGCAACAACAACACACACACACAAAAACAACTCCCTCTGGGAGATTAACAGAATAGCTGAATTGCAAATCTTCATAGCTGCCATTGTTATCCGAGTTTAGAAAAATGGCATCCCATGCAGCAGTAGTGATGATTAATATTATGGGCTGAATTGGGTACCCCTAAAATTCATACGTTTTAAGTCTGAACCCTTAGTACTTCTAAATATGACTATATTTGGAGATAGGGCCTTTAAAGAGATGATTATGTTAAAATGAGGCTTTGGGGTGAGTTCTCATTCAATCTGACTAGTGTCCTTACAGAAGAGACAATTTGGACACACAAAGAAACACCAGGGTTGTAAGTCCACAGAGAAAAGGCTTTGTGAGTACATAGCAAGAAGACAGTCATCAACAGACCAAGGAAAGTGGCCTCAGAAGATTCCGAAACTGCTGACACTTTGATTTTAGAACTGCTGGCCTCCCAAACTTTGAGAAAATACATGTATGTTGTTTAAATAACCCAATGGTATTTTGTTATGGAAGCCCTAGCAAACGAATACAGTGGCCCATTAAAAATTAGGCAATCATTGTAGAGGTAGGTAGAGGCCAGGTGGAGAGAGATATGTGTTTGAATCAAAAGAGAGAATGGTTGTTTGGGCAATCCCGGCTCAGATGTCCTGAGAATGGGTGGATAGAGACCTGCATTTTGCTTTCCTACGGAGAACTGGATCAATGCAACTGCTGCCCTAGGTGCCTTGGAAAATGGATGCCTGGTGTGTGTCCTTGAGGCCAGTATCTAGGTCCTCTTGTGAAGACTGTAAGACCATTAAGAGGACACCACAAGTGGCCTCAGTGTGACTCTCCATGGAAGCAGCACCCTCAAAGGATGCCTTCACAACATTTCCAGAGACTGTTTGCAAGGCAGTGGTTTGACCACTAACCGGACCTCTGCCTCATTTTCCTGGGGCCATATGTGCAGAATTGATGCAGTCTCCAGAAGGAGGTTGCAGGGAGCTTCATTAATGAGTGCAGTGGTCATCCTGCTAATCAGGTGGGAGGCAATTCAGAACCAGAAATAATATATTTTAAAAAGAAAGACATGTAACATTTCTAGCATCTGTATGTTGTGGAATAAACTAATATCCATCATATATAAATAGAGCAACTAGAAAGTCACAATGTATATTAAGGCAAGAGGAATACTTATTTTGATCTCTGTTGCATTCCTACTGCAAGCATAATGTCTGGCACCAGGTATGTGCTCAGTAAGCATTTGTTGAATAAAAAAAAAGAAGCATTCATATGTTATTTCCTTCATTTCAGAGACGCACAGGCAGAGGCCCAAGCAGTAAAGAGACCTCACCGAGATCATGCAGTGAATCAATTGCAGAGACAAGGCAAGATTGAAAACATTTTGACTCCAATTCCAATGCTCTGCTGAAAGCCCATGTAGATATTTAACATCTTTTCTGCCTGGGCCAGAATGTGCAGAATTATCTAGTGTGACAAATCCTCTTTTCCTCCGTCCCCGTGCAAAGGGAATTGCCATCTTCTGTGATCATCAAGCTGGCAACATCAATCTGGAAGTTTGTTAATGACACTGACCTAAATCTGTCACATTGCAAGAAACTCTTCACAGCAGCTGGGATTTGCTGCCATATAACAGCTTTATGGTATGTGGAACTCTCTAATAAGCTGATTAAAAAATAAAATGTTTGAAGCCTTAATATGTACTTTTCAGACATCTGATAAGAAGGAAAGTGAATGGAAACCTCAAGCTGAGTGTAAAAAAAGCAGGGATCCTGTTGTATGAGAAGATGCACATCCTTGGGTTGAGGCACTTTCTCACAGTTATCAGAGCAAAGGTCTGGCATGACCATATCCTTGTTTAAACGTTTCTTGGTGGTTTGTCTTATTGACAGTTCAGTACATGCAGAATAAAGTCATAGGTAAGCAGTGGGCCTTCTTAGGATGAATTGACTTCTGACTATGGCTATGAAACAGGACCATTTTATCACTTATGTGCCTGACACTGACGTGTGCATCTATATCTCTAATTCTCTAAAAGACTCTGAAGGCAAGATACACATGGCCACCCTCATTTTACTAAATAGGAAACTGATTCTCAGCAAGTGTCTTTGGTCTTGAAACTTTGGAGTAGCAGGAGTCACACAAGCTCTGTCTGACACTCACGCTCATATTATTAAGCCATTCTTTCCTTCTTTCAAATCAAGCAAATGTGAGCACCTACTATGTGCTTGGTACTGCAGTTAAATGGCTTGCTACCTCAAAGCAAAGGAAAATGTACTAGAAATCTTCCTCAATTCAGAAAGTTTTTACAGTGTGCTTGAGTGTACCAAACTTCTAGTTGAAATACAGATCTCATTATTATCAGCACTTTTCTATTATAGTAGGAAACCTAATCTCATAGATGAGCATTTTATAATTAAATATTGGGCAGAAAACAAAAGTTAATTTAGCAGAGCTGGGTTACTTAAACCGTGCACATTCCCAAGCAAGATTTGTCTTCAGGGCTGGTCTTTGGCCAACTCTTAGGAGAGGGGTTCTGAGCCTTGCTTTATTCTGCTTGATGAGAGTATTTTTGTATGCTTAGGGCCATGGGCCATGCTGTACCATTTTGACCAGATAGCTTCTGCTAATAAGTGTTGTTTATGGTGAATCCCTGTTTTTGCTCTGGAGATCTGGAATCAAAATAGTTGAGATCAGTTATACAGATGTTGCATGTCTATGTAACCAGTCCCTGCTAAAAATCCTGGACATCAAGATTCAGGTGAGCTTCCCTGTGAGGCAACACTTCACATGTATTATCACACAATGTTGCTTGGAGAATTAAAGTGTCCATGCAACTCCACAAGGACTGGACACCTGGAAGCTTGCATGAGCAGTTTCGCTTGGACTTCACCCTATACAACTTTTCCCTTTGCTGATTTTAGTTTGTGTCTTTTGCTGTAATGCTCTTTAACAGTTAATATAACAACTTCTGTGAGTTCTTCCAGTAAATCATCAAGCTTCAGGGTAGTCATGGGCACCCCTATATAACTATCTGCTTCCCCACTCATCATCTTCTTTATTCCTCTTCACACTCCTGAGAGCAACTGAGCTGGCATATCCATTCTGTGAATAAGGACTCCTGGGCTCACTAAGGTAAAGTGCCTTCTTTGATGGTGTTTTAGGGGGTCCAAAGTCACCTGCAGTCTAAACCAGCTGACCTTGAGAATGGTTAAACAGTTGGAGATCTATGTTTTGCCTGTCTCACTGAAAAAGGAGAGGACTGTGGATGTGGCTTAGGTGCACATGATAAAGGGCTCTCTATGACTACATCCCAGAATTATGGGTACACCCACCCAGTCACAAATGGCCCTGGATGACTACAGTCCTCTGTGAGGAATGAGTTTCCCTCCCAAGCTTATGGCATGTTAGGGAGAAGACTGATGCACGACTTTGCAAGGAGACAGAGCCAGAAAGTCACTTGATCTCTCAAACACAACTGTCAGAACAGTCACTGCATTCTTACATGAGGAATAAGTGAGGAAGTAGAGAGATTCATGGAACATGCTTCTGATTAATAGGTGCCCTTCTATGCAGACTCAGTGACAGAGAGGAAAGAAAATTGCTTGGATATTTCAGAAAGTCAGCAGTGCTGCCAGAACTAGAACTCCCAGTGTTCCTGGAGGCCAGGACATGTCCTCCGACAACATTCTACATTGACCTCATGGCAAACACTGTGCTTTTTATTGTTGACTTCTGACTCTGAGGGTCTCCATGACATAAGATACTGCCAATGTTTAAAATACAAAAAAGCAATAAACAACCTTCATTGAACTCAATTAGCACCATATAGTTGAGGAAAACAACCTCCCTCCCTAAAGACCCAGGACTATTTCTAAAAGACTGTGCCTGAAATATAAGATAAGCATAAATCTTTAGTTCTTCTCAAGCTATTTTGCCTCTATCAGAATGTGGCCAGATATTCAGACCTGGCCCCATCAGCCACTTCTTAGTCCTGTCTCAACTCTCTCCCCTTTTATAGACTAAAAAAAGCTGTTGTGAAACATTAGGCTTCTGTGTCTCAGCTTCATTCATTCATTTGTTCATTTATTGAGCACTCATTAAGCATTAGCTATGTATTAAATGTTAATCTATATTTTGAGGCTGCAAGAACAATGAAGTCCTTGCCTCAAAGGGTTTACCCTCAGTTTTAAGAAGTAGAGCATGCTGATGAAACATAGAAACATGGACTCCCAAAACAAAGACAGACTTATTTGCAGGATACAGTCAAGATATAGATGAGAGAGTGGTACATCTTATTTGCACTCTAAAAACACCTACTTCTGCCCTGTCATTCACATCAGCTCCCCATTTTCTCCCCAACTTCCAATTACCTCTTTTTGCCCCATTCTTCAGTTATTCCCAACACCCACTCATGATTTGACTAAGTGCCCTCAGTACCTATATCCCTCACCAACCATGATGGTTTGGACCAGATGCTCTACTGAGCCTAGTGCTCAGTCTGTACCAGTTCAATTGCCATTCAGATTTGGGCCTTGCAGCCTGCCTTGGCAACTTCTGCAAGGCTTTTGCCGGCAGAGCTCAAATTGCACCTCCAGAGACCTAGAGGTTGTGTTGTACTTTCTATGGCAAGCGTATGGCCTGGAATTGCTTATCCAAGCTGAAACACAATCCACTCACCTCCTGGTTTGGGGGCATGATTTAAAGCCTTAATGGTGTCTCATCGATTTCTTAAGGTATGCTCAGAACTGGCACTCTGCTCTTGCATATTTTAATCATTACTGTTTCATTCTTGCATCCTGAGGTGATTTTATTGGAAGAATACATGCTTGAAGAAGTTGAATTAAATAAAGATAAATCTCATTAATTCAGGCTCCACTAATTCAGGCTGTACTCAAACATAACTTTGTGTTATCCAGAAGTAAAAAAGATTTTCTAAATAAATTAATGATGGAAATAAGACCTCAGGGGGAAGAGAATGTTTCACCTGTTTAAAAGGCAGTGCTTCCAGACACTGTAGGGATTTCACAAGGGCCATCAACATACAATTTCCTTTGTGTTTGTTTATTAAGGCTAAAGACTTATTCATCAAATACAAATTTCCTGTTTGGCAAACCTTTCCTTTAGTTTGTTATTTTGTAGAGTTGGAAAAAAATAAGGCTACACATCTTTTAAAATAGTCACCAAACCTAATCCTCTCCATAATGCTAAATATATTAGAGACATATTGTATCTACACATAAATACATGTGAGCACACATTAAAAATACAATGGAAACCTCTTAAAATGAAGTGGCATATTTATGGTGGGTAGGAGAAAAGGTGATTTTTATTTTCTACTTTATATTTTTAAGTATTTTCTGTAAAGAATTCTTATTTTTATCATCAACATAAACATGTAAAAAATCACTAAAGTTTTTGAATACCTAACAGGTCTTTCTTCCCTCCAAATAGTATATATTAAGTAAAGCTGAGTCATATTCAGCATTTATGAATGAAAAGACTTGGTAAGTAGTGTGAGAAGCTGTTGTACCACAATTCCAAAATTTATCTTTAGGCCACCATTGTTGGAAGCAAACAATCAGGCAATCCATTCAATTTAGAATATGAAGGGAGCCTTGAATATCTCTTACTTTGCATCAGCAACCACCTGTTATGATCATGGCAGGATTGTGGGAGAAGTCGAGGAGGATGTTGATTCTGCCTTTGTATGTGTTCCACAGAAGTTCAGAGGTGTCTTGGTCAAACTGAGGCAGCTGACACCCAGCACAGTAGACTCTGTGGTAACTGAATACCTTATAAGCCATTAGAAGTGCTAAACACCTCCCATTAAACTTCTCCAAATCCTATTGGTTACCATTACAATGATTACATTACAATGACTGCAGGTGAATTGAATATCTTATTTGTTCCAGGTAATTTTCCATGCACTTTGAAGATAGAATTTACTTTTTCACCACAAATAATCACAGATTGATGCTCAGGGATAGGGAAGAAATTGTCCAGGTTTCCACAGCTGGTGCACTACGGAGGCGATATTCAAAGCCACAGTCAGCCAAAAGAAAGCCCCTACCCTCAACACCATACAGCACTGAGTGCCACAGCCTAATAGCCAGACCGCATTCCGGCTGTTGCAAATATCCATCCAGGCAGTGCACTGGGAACTTCAAAGGGCCTTAGTGTTTGCTGGTCATTCTTGAATTTTGATGTTTGATTCTTGAGATAAACATGAGGTTGAATTGACCAGATACCTCCCTTGAGACTGGAACATATTTATAGGCTCAGAGAAAGCACAGTGTAAAGAAAGAGCACTAGATTAGGGGTCTAACAGTTTTGAGTTTTAACCTCTGCTTCTTCTCCTAATTGAATATATGATCTTGACTTTGTGTTTCACCCCTGTAAACCTCAACATTTTAAAATCGATCAGCATATACACCAATGAGGAGAAAAAATGAGATAAAGTATTTTATAATGACTTTAAACTTTCTTTTTATTAATATAATTTTAATTAATGACATCTTCAGCTTCACAATCAACTGTCCTCAATGATCTAAGCATGCAATTCAGAATTCTCTGAACTAGATAGTGCACATAGGCTTTTGTTTAACATAGACTTCAGTAGGTCTTTCTGGAAGTAAATAGTGCCATTTTAAACAAGAATGTGAGTCCAGTCTGCAATCAGGCAGGTATTAGTAATTTCTATTTTTCTTGCCTGCCCTAACCTTCTAAAACTCAAATCATGAACTCAGATATTTTATTATTGATAGAAATAGATGTCAAATGGCTTGATAAATAACCAGTTAGGAAGGTTGTTCTTACTGTAATAATCCCAAAATCTCAGTGTCATAACATTATAAAATTCTCTCTCTCCGTATCATAGTCCAATGTCAGTTGGGTGTCTCCTCTTGGTGTCTCCTCTGTAAGTAGAAACCTGAAGATCCAGATGCCTTTTTCCTTGCAATGTCAGCATGTTAAATATGTGGCCTCCACGGATTATTACAGAAGAGAGAGAGGTTCTTACTGAAGATTTTAGAAATCAGACCTGAATATGTTGTGTATTCCTTTAGGCCACATTATATTGTCCAGAATGAGTCATATGATTTCAGCCTACTGCAAGTCTTACTGTGTGTCTAGGAAGTGGAGATGGAATCTGTGAATACGGTGGTTTCTTTTCGGGACATGGGGCTGAAACGCAGCCACAGTGCTTCAGTATGCTGAGAGTCTGTTCTTACTGGCTGGTGTCTTTGCTGTTCCAGTTGTTCAGTATTATGCTGGCTGAAATTGCTTGTTATAGTGATTAAGGGCAGTGTTGAAATAGGTTTATGTTTTGTTTCATTTCATTTTATTCCATTCCCTTCCATTTTACTTTATTTTATGAAGAGAGTGTAATTTTATTGCCACAAATTACCATCCCATATGTCTTGTAATTGGAGTCATAGAATATGTAGCCTTTCCGATCGAGGTTTTCACGTAGCAGTATGCATTTAAGGTTCATCCATGTTTTTGATAGCTTGATAACTTGTTTTTTAATCGCTTTGTTGAATTGGTGTACCACAGTTTGTCTATCCATTCACATACTGAAGGACTTGGTTGCTTCCAGCTCTTGGCATTTATAATACAGCTGCTATATATATTTATGTGCAGATTTTATGTATATATAAAGTTTCAAATCAGTTGGGTAGATACCTAGGAGCACAAGTGTTGGATTGCATGGCAAGACAATGTTTGATTTTGTAAGAGACTGCCAAAGCGTGCAAAACGTACCGTTTTGCATTCCCAGCAGCAACGAATGAGAGTTCCTGTTGCTCCATGTTGTCACCAGCAATTGGTACTGTCAACTTTTTAAAAATTTGTCATTCTAGCAGGAGTGTAGTTGTTAGAAATCCTTTTTCTTTTTTTTTCTTTTATTTTATTAAGTTTTAGGCCTTTTAAAGCTTCAAATATTCTGGGACCACTATAAACACAGCCAGACAGTGGCCTAGCAAATCCTCTTGACATTGACATTATTCACTCTGAGTGGGTGACTGGATAGGTGATGATGTAAGGGAAGATATAATTTTCCCCATGCAGATTGGATAAGCAATTGCACAGGGTTAAGCTGTATAAAATACTCATTCATTAGAGGGCTGAATGATCAGCTGGTAAAATCTCTGATTTGACCCGTCTCTTGGGCACAGTGACAGTGCCCACCACAGAGACAGTGGTGTTCTCTAAATCCATCTCCTTCACACCTTCTTGGAACATAAGTTTGTTGCTAGAGCCGCTCTGTAATCTATTTTCCATGGCAGAATTAGCTGAGAGATAGACAGATTTAAATCATCACTTAAATTATATAGAAAATCCTGACTCTAAGGTTTAAGGGAAACACAGAGACTCGTTCTTATAGAAACCAAGAAATTGATTTCTAAGGAAAAGAATGCCCCCAGGGAAGAGGACATAGCAGATATGATAAGAAAGAATCTTGAGTTAATACCTCAGAAACTAAGCTTCCAGCTATTCAACTTTCTCTTCTGTTTACACAAAGCAAATAGCTTGTGTGAAAGAATGGCCTCCATTCAAAGATAATTGATAACATCATAAGATTCAGTATTTTACCTATGTATAATACATAGGTGCAAAAACATGTGGGAGTACGTATATGAACAAACCTTCACCCCATACTCAGAGGGAAATACATTACTGAAACCAGGCAAAAAAGAATATAAAATGTACAATCAGAAGAATAAGTGAAACCAAAATTATTTAAAAGTATTCAGAAAAAAATATCTCATTGTCTGGAAAGAAAAAAGTTAACTTCAGTAAAGAAAGAAGTCCATAAAGCATTATAAAAGAAGAAAACAAGATGATAGGGTATAGACATAAAAAGTGAACTAAATTAATTTTTAAAAAATTTAGAGGAGAATAATAAAACCATTAGAGAAATTGAATCATCATTAGAAGAAAAAAAAAAGTAGAGTTAAAACTTTACCAAACATCAAAATTTGTGAAGGACAAGTTTAGAAAAATAAGATAAAATAACAAGAAATAGGAAAGCAGTAAAAGTGATCCAGAAAATTTAGCTAGGATTATAGAAGAAAACAGCCATATAAATGATTAATGTTTCTGAAAAAGAGAACAAATTGGGTAGAAAACAATATTTATAATGTAACAGAAAAACACTGAATTAAAAAAATACATACACAAAGTGAAAGTGTGTACAAAGTCTTCAAAAATTTGATTTAGCAGAAAAACATCTAAAGAGAAACATATCAAATGTGAGACATAGCTGTATAAGTTATTGTTTCTAAGATAAAAAATGACTCCTAAAGGCATTCAAACACACACACACACACACACACACACACACACACACACACACACACTCCCCTTTGGAGAGGGGAATGAGGAATAGACTAGTTTCTGCTGTTTTTTTTTTTTTTTTCTAGGCAACAGTTAATGCTAGTAGACAGTGAAGCAATGTAGACAGGCAAGGTGTACCCTGCTCTAGGGGAAGGGAAGTGTGACCCAAAGACTTCGTGCCATGCCAAATTGGTGTTCAAGAATAAAGGCAATCAAAAGCCATTTTTATACATGGTAGAACTCAGAGTAAACGTCACCCATGAGCCTTTCTTGAAAAAAGATGTGGTCTTAAAGTCCAGTCAACCAAGAAATGAAGCAAAATAAAATGCATAGAAATGGAGGAACTATGGTAACAAAGTTCTACATACTGAATTTATTTTAATTTGAACTAACTTTGAAGAATGGTTGGAATTTTGGTTAATATGCAAAATGTTGAGTATTATAAACCATGAAAATACATATGAAAATGAAACTAAGACAAATTAGAAGTGAGAAACAGAGAGGTGGATGGAAGTTTGTGTATGCATGTGTATTTGTTTGTACGTGCACATGTGCTAATTTTTAAAAGTTTTCATTGTGGTTGGATAATTTTATAAATATTACTTATATCTGAGAAAGCAAAAACTTATAGATATCATTAATAAAAATGAATGTAGCAAATAGGGTTTTACTTTTATTGTTAAAGAAACTTCTAACTTAACAGAAGGAAATCAGAAATATAAAAGGAAACAACAAAACACATGCCCAAAAGCAAAACATAGAAAATATAATGGCACAAAAATCAGAGGTAAACATAAAATAAAATGATAGAATGAAATCAAAACCAGACAGGTTCAATTACAATGAGATGGACTCACATATTATTTTTTAAAACCCATCATATTGATTCAGAAAACAATATGGAGTTAGGAGAAGTTAAAACAGATATCTCCAAACAATTGTAAAATACTAAATAGAGGCATACTAGTCTAACAAAAGTAAATCAGAAATTAAGTTACAAGCATAAGAGAAAATTAAAATCAGAGTTAAAATAATTAAAAGAAGAGCACTTTTGAATGATAAAACAATGGAGGTCTCATTGTCATGAAGTTTCATGTTTCTAATATCACAGCATTGATATTTTTAAAAATGTAGGCTGGGTGAGGTGGCTCATGCCTATAGTCCTAGCACTTTGGGAGGCCAAGGTGGGCAGATCACTTGAGGCCAGGAGTTCCCTGACTAGCCTGGCCAACATGGTGAAACCCCATTTCTACTAAAAATACAAAAAAAAAAAAAATTAGCTGGGCATGGTGGCAGGTGCCTGTAGTCCCAGCTAGTCGGGAGGCTGAGGCAGGAGAATCACTGGAACCTGGGAGGCGAAGCTTGCAGTGAGCCGAGATCACATCACTGACCCCAATCTGGGCAACAGAGTGAGACTCTGTCTCAAGAAAAAAAAAAAAAGTAAAAAATGTCAAAATTAGCACATACAAACGACATTGGTGAGGCTTTCCAATAAAACTCTCAGCTGAAGAAAAATAAATCAAGTAGAAGAAAAAAATTAGATGCAAAGATATTATGTAAATAGCATAACTAATAAGGCACATATTATTAATTTTATACCAGAGAACAGCATATTCTTTACAAATGCCCATGGAACATTTACATATCCCAATCTTGTGTTGATTTACTTCAAACTTGAAAACTTCAAAGTTAAAAAAAAGAAATTGTATAACTAAATTTCTGCTCACAATGAAATCAAAATGGGATTGCCAAGGCAAGATCAGAAACTCCATTTATCCCACACTCCAAATGATTCTTAGAACAAAAAGAAAATTACAACCAAAGTTATTGAATATCTAGAAAATAATGATAACAAAAATACCATAGATCAGGCTATATGTCATAGAGTTATAATTATGCTTAGAGAATTCATAGTTATTAAAGTATTTATACATAAAAAAGCATGAAAATAAGTTACTCATTCATCTAAAAAGTTTCGAAAAAGAAGATCAAAGTAAACAGAGGCAAGACAAAAGGTGGGAATTAATGAGCAAAAACCAAAATTAATTATTTTGAAAACAGAAATAGTAGAATTAAAAAATACAATGACCATAGTCAAAGGTTGTAGCTTTGGAAAAAATATTCCTTAACTATCTAATTTTCTACAAAGTGTATGCATGTTTGTATGTGTTAAGGGTGGCATATGTGACTAGAAAATGACAACATCGATGCCAAAACCAGATAACTGGAACAAAATAGAAAAATGCAATATATCACATCTCTGGATATTGTTATAAAACTCTAAAGTCTTAGCAAATAGACTCCATCTCTATATGAATAAGTAGGTAAACACATTATAATCCAGTAGTTTTCTTTTTTCTACGAAGGAAAGAACTATTCAAGATTAAGTATTACATTAATATTATTCAATATTATTCAATATCTTAATAAAGCAAAGGAAAAAAGACTCAGCATGTGGTTATCTCAATACATAGTCAAACAAATCAACTATAAAGTGTACCTAATTTAATTTGTATATGCTTAATAAAATAATGGAATAGAACTTCTTTTTTTTTTTTCTTTTTTTGAGACAGTCTCACTCTGTCACCAGGCTGGAGTGCAGTGGCCCAATCTCGGCTCACTGCAACCTCTGCCTCCCTGGTTCAAGTGATTCTCCTGCCTCAGCCTCCCGAGTAGCTGGGACTACAAGCGCGTGCCACCACGCCCAGCTAATTTTTGTATTTTTAGTAGAGACGGGGTTTCACCATGTTGACCAGGATGGTCTCGATCTCTTGAACTCGTGATCCGCCCGCCTCAGCCTCCCAAAGTGCTGGGATTACAAGTGTGAGCCACCATGCCCGGCCAGAATAGAACTTCTTTAACCCCGTGTAAAACAAAAAGTTGTGAATTTTGAGACAGTAGAGGCATTTTTATTAAAGTCAAGAACAATGCAAAGAAAATACGGTGTAGGCTATTAGGAGAGTTCACAGTAGTGTTCTTTGGGGTGTGGACTTTTCAGAGAGACTGATTTTTGCATTATTTGACCATTTAAACCAAATATTTACCATATGCATGCATTTCTTTATAGTAAAATACCTAAAGGAGGTATTTTGTCTAAAGGAGGCAAAATGGCCATACTTTCCATTGAATAAGTGAGAGTTATATAATTTGTAAAGGCTATTTCATAGTTTTTATCAATTAATTTACAAATAAATAAAATAAAATTTATTTTATCTTGAATAAAAGGAACTAATAGATGATTGATAAATTGTAACATAGTGGTTAAAATATTAGTCTATGGAGGCATGCAGGCTTAGCTGGAGTCATCATCCTGTCACTAAAACATGTGTAATCTCTAGTCTTCTATTCAGCAAGCAACTATGCTCTAGGCAGTTTTCTTATTTTCTATGAACCTCAATTTCACATTAAGATGGGGATAATAATGGTAATAATAATAGAGATAATTAGATTAATACCTATCTCATAAAACTATTATGAGGATTAAATAAGCAAATGACCATAAAGCTTTTAGCACAATTTCTGACACAGTAATTACTTAAAGTATATTAGCTATAATCAAAAAGAGTAGAAAAAATATGCCAGCCAGTCACCCTCTCACTTTAGGATTACCTATTAAGATATAAGGTGAGAGAGAGAGAGAAGGAGGGAGAGAGAGAAAGAGGGAGCGAGGGAGAGAGAGAGAGATCTATGAGAGACACCTATGTAAAACAGACATGCCATTTATCTTATTTGTCTTCTAAACAAAGTGGCATTCATATAGTTTGAAAGCCTGATTTTACTCATTAGCAATGTATTGCCAATATCTTTCCATTTCAGTAAGCACACTTCTGTCTCTGCTGCCATGACTTGATTCAAGCCACCATATTTTCTTGCCTGAATCTTTGCAACAGCTCCTAACCTGTCTCCTTGCCTCTATTCTATTTCTTGTTCACGGTCATGTTACTCAAATTCTTCAAACTTGTCAGCATTCCCCACTGCCCACAGGGCCCAAGCTCTATTATATGGCATAGGAGGCACTGGATGATATAATATTTGTTTATTTGCAGAGCTTTTTATTTCATCACATTCCTCCATGAACTTTAGGCTCTTGTCACACCTTACTTAGCAGAGCAAAAGACTCTAGCACTTGCCTTTCTAGGAGTCAAAACAGTGGAACTTGGGCATGGAAAGCACACGGACTTTGGATCCAGACCAACTTGTGTTTCTAATCTTGGTTCCAACACCAAGTGTGATGTGTGATGTGTTGCCATAGGAAATTCATTTGATCTTATTTGCTAAGAAAATTTGCTTTTGATGAAAAAAACTTTTCTTGTTTAAACATCTAAATAATTGTTGGGCTTACAAACCAGAATACAGCAATAACTTGCAAAAAGTACAGTGTTTCCCAGATAGTAATAACTGGCTTTTTTTCTCCTTACAACAGAGGCAGGCTTTCTAATAACTGGACTTTTCTTTAATTTCCACTATCAGTACCTTAGTTCCCTTAGTCGTTCTTACTTGGATTATGACAACAGCTTTGTAAACTGGTCTCCAAATCTCGATTTGGTCCCTCCTCCTATCCTTTCTTTCAGATTCATCTTTGTAAACATTTCTCTGATCATGTCTTTCTGCTGTTTAAAAATCTTCAATGATTTCCCATGACCCCAGACTAAATTCCTACCTCCTAACAATCAATATGCTCTTCCAGCCCATGGTATCCCAGTCCCCTACCTTTGTCTGTGCTCCAGCATTCTCCAGATCTTTCCCATCTCTGTGTCTGTGCTCAAATTGTTCCTGTTTCCAGAATGTTCTACCCTAACCACTGCCTTTGGGGGTATTACTCCACCTTTTTGCCCATATTGCCAACACTTCCATGAAGCTTTCTTGGACGCAAATGGGTTTCACTTCTTCATATTGGCACCACATTGTTGGGATGATTCTCACATGTATATATTATATGTTTACATTATAAATCTTTTTTAAACCTCCGGTAGATTAGGAGTTCCCTATGAACAAGGGAGGTAACATTCATCTTTCTACTTCCATCATCTGGAACCATAGTTGGAACACTACGATAATTTAAAAGGTGAAAGATTTATATGATTTGAAGAGAAACCAGAGTATAACACTATGATAATGTAAAAGAACACTCATTAAATTAAGTGAGTGAATAAATGGCTCAGGAGCATAACTTTACCTCTACCTCACTACCAACATTGTGTGGTTGAAGTTCAGTTGAATAATGACTTCAGTGCTGTACCATTGTATGGAAGGCTTAACAGCAATAATGCCTACATTTTTTGACACACTAATTTTTGAAAAATTAACATATGCATATATATAAATAATATGTATTTGTGTATATGTATATACATATATGTGTGCATGTGTGTGTGTACATATATACATATATATATATATACTTTTTTTTTTTTTTTTTTTCATTTTATGCACATGGGCCATCTCGAAAAAGACATCAATTTTATGCTGGGCACTGTAGTAGTTATTTTATATTTTGGTCACATTTCATTCTAACATCCCAACTAGACCCATTTCATTATCCCTGTTTTACAGATGAGATAACTGAGATTCAGAGATGAAAACCTAGCCTACTTGCCTCTGGCATTATACATTTTCCTATTACATTACATAACCTATAGAAATACAGTTCCTTTTTCATGGCATAACAATGACATGCCAGCTTCTGTGTTTGGCCCATTACATCTGTCTCTTCTTATCATTATGCCCTTTTGTAGGACATGAGATTCCAGAGGTTAAATGATTTTCTCAAGGCCATTCACCAATAAAAAAAAAATTAAAACTCCTATCTGTCTGGCTTTAAAACTCCAGTGCCCTAGATTAGACTCCATCACTGCCTTAAAAGACATGCCACAAACTATTTTATTCCACTGAATGAGATATGATGTAATAACTAATTTGTTAGGCTGGTTCATGAGGTTCATACAGGAGCAAGTTAAGAGACAACGTGTGTAAGAATCAGATCACCAGGGACTTTGCATGCCATATGATGCAGTTTGGACTCTCTCCTGCAGGCAAAGAGAAAACACTAACTTTAGCAGAGGATACACAAACAGAAGAGATAACTATTGGGACTCCTGATGGTGGCTAAAGCATAGGTGATGAAGAGGAGTGGACTGAATTGAAAAAAAATATTTGGAAGGTTGTCCATTTAACACCTCTGACAATTGCCTCTTAAGCAAACTTTGCAACAATATGAAGTTCATTTCAGCCTCTAATGTAACTGTTAAAACTAAAGTGAAATTTGTGGTTACTATTACCCATAGACCTCTGTCACCATTAGTGGGGATAAGATACTCTCCAATAAGAAAAATGATCATTTTACTTCACAACATCATTACATCATTTTAGGAGATAGCAAGATACTGCCCTCAGGTTGGTGTACAAGAGTCAGTCTTTCCTTTGTAAAAGAATCAATAGCTGTTCTGCTAGCAATGGCTACAAAGCACCTTTTAAAAATAGTAATCGTGGAAAGGCTGAATCCTTCATAATAAAAATCTTTAAAACCTTTATAAAATCTCTCAGTAAAGCCACTTTCCTGGGGAGACCTATAATTATTGAAAGGCAAGATGAGAGCATCAGCCCATTTCACATAAACATGGGCAGTGTGAGCCTCAGCCGGGAAAGCTGAGGGCAGAGAAATAAAACTCAGATCTGAGAAAATGAACCAGGATCAATTTTTCTTCCCAATGTATTTTATTGTATACAAACGATAAAGCATAAACAGCTTCTGATTTCCCACCAGACTGATTTTTTTTCTAAAACAGCTGTGTGCTAACATTAACTCTCAAATCCTATCATTCCAATATACACGCCACATTCAAGCTCCATGCATTCTGCTGAAGTTAACCCTATTTTCATGCCGCTTATTGTACTTGAATTTTAAATTCAGGTATTTAGTTAACATTTAAAATCTTCTCTGGGAGCAGTGGCTCACACCTGTAATCCCAGCACTTTGGGAGGCTGAGGTGGGTGGATCACCTGAGGTTGGGAGTTTGAGACAAGCCTGACCAACATGGAGCAACCCCATCTCTCCTAAAAATACAAAATTAGCCAGGCATGGTGGTGCATGCCTGTAATCCCAGCTACTTGGGAGGCTGAGGCAGGAGAATTTCTTGAACCTGGGAGGTGGAGGTTGTGGTGAGATCGCATCATTGCATGCCAGCCTGGGCAACAAGAGCGAAACTCCGTCTCAAAAAACAAAAAACAAACAAACAAAAAAATCATAGTGGTGGGGTTAATCATACCCCTTCAATCTCTGCTCAATATACTAGATTAGTTGTTATTCAAAAGGCAATGAGAAGAGAAGCTGGTTAAAGTCAAGTTCACCCCAACTGCCCCTCCAAGCAATACTTCTGCTTTTAGCAACCTTTTTCAAGGTGCTGTTTCCAGCAAAGTCTTACAGGACTTAGACAAGTCTTCTTATTTTATACTGCATGGGCAGAAGAAAAAACAGAAGGCCAAGAAACCAAAACTCTGTGTGGCCTTGGTGATCTATTTCATCACCTGGGTCTCAGTTTATTTAGCTCTAAAATGAGGGTGTTGGACCAGTGCTTTGAGGATACATAGTTTTAATCTCTTGGACCAATTTTGATCATTCAATAGTGACTGCCTCAAGTGTTGCCTGGATTCTGAAGTAGACTCCAGCCTCAGGAGGGGAGGATATCATGATTGATTAGAGGTGTCTACCAAAAGTGCAAGATGTGGTAGCAGCAGCATAAATGCCAATTTTTTTATATTCTTGGAATATGGTACTTTTAGTTCCTATGTGATTCCTGCTACCATTAGAAAAGAGGAGAAAGGCTATATACCTTGACTAAGCATGTGGATTCAAGAGTTGTTGGAAGAGGAATTCAATATTCCAGAAAATGATGACAAAACAGGTATTAAAATAGAATCCAGAGACAAGTTATTGATCATGAAATAAGAAAATCAGGGAGATGAAAGTGGAGAGAAATACGCACAGGCATATAAATGGGCTGACAGTTGAGATAAGGCATGTTGTGTGCAGTTGGTTCTCCCTGGCATGATGCTTGAGGTTTAGCTGTGTATTACGGAACCCTCCCCTTACCTGAAAGACATATGGAAATGTCCCAAGACATTTTTGATTGACATGACCAGAGAGGAGTACTACTGGCATCTAGTGGGTGGAGGCCAGGAATGCTACTGAACATTCTACAATGCACAGGACAGTCCTGCATGAATAATTATCCAGCCTCAAATTCAATAGTGTCAAGGTTGAGAATTTCTGTATTAAAAGAATAAATCAAAAATAAATAATTTAAATCCCTATTCTGCATGTAGTCTACTGTGCCAGGGACTCCAGTGTTCATCCACATGCTTGAACTCCTCTTCTTCTTTAACCCACATCTGGACCATGTTTTCCATCCATTCTTTAAAGTCAGCTATGACCATATGATAGAGTTTGGTTCAATGGGATGGGAATGAAAGTTACATATGACACTTCTGGGACTGACCCTTTAATAAACTTTCCAATATCTCTTTTTCTTCTTGCAATAGCTGAATGGAGAGGACTCGCTCACCTAGAGCAAGAAAAGCCACAAAATGAACGGAGTGTGGGCCTTGAATTACTATGCAGAGAAGAGCATCCCCTCAACCCTTAATTCCTCACATTGGATTGTGTCGTGCAGGAAATATAAACTTTAAACTTTTATTTCATCAAACCCTTGAAAGGTAATGGTGATATATGACAGGAATTTGGCTACTTGAGTGAACAATTAAAAATCTGACCAATTGGACTGTCTTAGTCCATTCAGGCTGCTAAAACAAAATACCTTAGATTAGGTAATTTATAAAGAAGACAAATTTATTTCCTATAACTCTAGAGTCCAGGAAGTCCACTGGGAAGACATTAGTGGATTTGGTGTCTGGTGAGAGCTGCTCTTGGCTTCCAAGATGGCTCTCTGCTGCTATGTCTTCACATGGTGGAAGAGCAGAAGGGCAAACTCACACCCTTACGTTTTTTTTTTTACAAGGACATGAATCCCATCCATGAGGTTGGACCCTCATGGCCTAATTGCCCCTCAAAGGGTCCACCTCTTAATTCCATCACCTTAGGGTTTAAGTTCCAACATATAAATTTTGGAGGGACACATGCAATCAAACCACAGCATGGACTGAAAGTTATTCCCTAGCAGGATCAGTAGATCAGCATTTTTTCCAGCCTAGGTCAATCAGTTGGTTTGTTTCTATTTCTCTCTTTCAACTGTCTTGTACGTAGATGCAAGTTTTGTTAACTTCCCTTTTATGCTCTTTATTATCAGTGTAAACTTCCCCATTCTTAGGAACTCATTGTGCATCTTTTTTTTTCTTTCTTTCCAAGCAGGTTGACAATCTGCCTTAGTAGCTACAATGTCTCACAAGCAGGAACAAGGGGATAAGTACCGCCCCCCCCCCCATTTTTTATATCAGGATTTCCGAGATCCCTGAGGCATCTTGACTTCACAACAGATTACAGGCACCTTGTATGATTTTATTTTTAAAAATGTAAAGTACTATACTAGGCTCTATGGGTGATATAAATGTGTTTTATATGATCATTGTCTTCAAGGAATTTATATTCTGGTAAAATAAACATAAAAATGCAAGGAACGCTAAGATAAATACATTATAAGAATGTAAGAATGTCCCAGAAGACTTCACAGAATATCATATGTGGTTAGAAATTTCATAAAATGATGAAGTTAAGCACTGTCCTTTATGGTTCGGAAATGGGTAGAATTTTGATGGTAGTATTTTGATGGTAGTATTTTTTTGATGGTAGTATTTTGATGGTAGTGTTTTGATGGTAGTATTTTGATCGTAGAATTTTGATGGTAGTATTTTTTGATGGTAGTATTGTGATGGTAGAATTTTGATGGTAGTATTTTGATGATAGTATTTTTTTTATTTTATTGTTATTATACTTTAAGTTTTAGGGTACATGTGCACTATGTGCATGTTAGTTACATATGTATACATGTGCCATGCTGGTGTGTTGCACCCATTAACTAGTCATTTAGCATTAGGTATATCTCCTAAAGCTATCCCTCCCCCCACCCCACAACAGTCCCCAGATTGTGATGTTCCCCTTCCTGTGTCCATGTGTTCTCGTTGTTCAATTCCCACCTATGAGTGAGAATATGCGGTGTTTGGTTTTCTGTCTTTGTGATAGTTTGCTGAGAATGATGGTTTCCAGCTTCATCCATGGCCCTACAAAGGACATGAACTCATCATTTTTTATGGCTGCATAGTATTCCATGGTGTATATGTGCCACATTTTCTTAATCCAGTCTATCATTGTTGGACATTTGGCTTGGTTCCAAGTCTTTGCTATTGTGAATAGTGCCACAATAAACATACGTGTGCATGTGTCTTTATAGCAGCATGATTTATAATCCTTTGGGTATATACCCAGTAATGGGACGGCTGGGTCAAATGGTATTTCTAGTTCTAGAGCCCTGAGGAATCGCCACACTGACTTGCACAAGGGTTGAACTAGTTTACAGTCCCACCAACAGTGTAAAAGTGTTCCTATTTCTCCACATCCTCTCCAGCACCTATTGTTTCCTGACTTTTTAATGATTGCCATTCTAACTGGTGTGAGATGGTATCTCACTGTGGTTTTGCTTTGCATTTCTCTGATGGCCAGTGATGGTGAGCATTTTTTCATGTGTTTTTTGGCTGCATAAATGTCTTCCTTTGAGAAGTGTCTGTTCATGTCCTTCGCCCACTTTTTGATGGGGTTGTTTTTTTCTTGTAAATTTGTTTGAGTTCATTGTAGATTCTGGATATTAGCCCTTTGTCAGATGAGTAGGTTGCAAAAATTTTCTCCCATTCTGTAGGTTGCCTGTTCACTCTGATGGTAGTTTCTTGTGCTGTGCAGAAGCTCTTTAGTTTAATTAATCCCATTTGTCAATTTTGGCTTTTGTTGCCATTGCTTTTGGTGTTTTAGACATGAAGTTCTTGCCCATGCCTATGTCCTGAATGGTAATGCCTAGGTTTTCTTCTAGGGTTTTTATGGTTTTAGGTCTAATGTTTAAATCTTTAATCCATCTTGAATTAATTTTTGTATAAGGTGTAAGGAAGGGATCCAGTTTCAGCTTTCTACATATGGCTAGCCAGTTTTCCCAGCACCATTTATTAAACAGGGAATCCTTTCCCCATTGCTTGTTTTTCTCAGGTTTGTCAAAGATCAGATAGTTGTAGATACGCAGTGTTATTTCTGAGGGCTCTGTTCTGTTCCATTGGTCTATATCTCTGTTTTGGTACCAGTACCATGCTGTTTTGGTTACTGTAGCCTTGTAGTATAGTTTGAAGTCAGGTAGTGTGATGCCTCCAGCTTTGTTCTTTTGGCTTAGGATTGACTTGGCGATGCGGGCTCTTTTTTGGTTCCATATGAACTTTAAAGTAGTTTTTTCCAATTCTGTGAAGAAAGTCATTGGTAGCTTGATGGGGATGGCATTGAATCTATAAATTACCTTGGGCAGTATGGCCATTTTCATGACATTGATTTTTCCTACCCATGAGCATGGAATGTTCTTCCATTTGTTTGTATCCTCTTTTATTTCATTGAGCAGTGGTTTGTAGTTCTCCTTGAAGAGGTCCTTCACGTCCCTTGTAAGTTGGATTCCTAGGTATTTTATTCTCTTTGAAGCAATTGTGAATGGGAGTTCACTCATGATTTGGCTCTCTGTTTGTCTGTTATTGGTGTATAAGAATGCTTGTGATTTTTGTACATTGATTTTGTATCCTGAGACTTTGCTGAAGTTGCTTATCAGCTTAAGGAGATTTTGGGCTGAGACAATGGGGTTTTCTAGATATACAATCATGTCATCTGCAAACAGGGACAATCTGACTTCCTCTTTTCCTAATTGAATACCCTTTATTTCCTTCTCCTGCCTAATTGCCCTGGCCAGAACTTCCAACACTATGTTGAATAGGAGTGGTGAGAGAGGGCATCCCTGTCTTGTGCCAGTTTTCAAAGGGAATGCTTCCAGTTTTTGCCCATTCAGTATGATATTGGCTGTGGGTTTGTCATAGATAGCTCTTATTATTTTGAGATACGTCCGATCAATACCTAATTTGTTGAGAGTTTTTAGCATGAAGGGTTGTTGAATTTTGTCAAATAGATGCAATAAAAAATGATAAAGGGGATATCACCACTAATCCCACAGAAATACAAACTACCATCAGAGAATACTACAAACACCTCTACGCAAATAAACTAGAAAATCTAGAAGAAATGGATAAATTCCTTGACACATACACCCTCCCAAGACCAAACCAGGAAGAAGTTGAATCTCTGAATAGACCAATAACAGGATCTGAAATTGTGGAAATAATCAATAGCTTACCAACCAAAAAGAGTCCAGGACCAGATGGATTCATAGCCGAATTCTACCACAGGTACAAGGAGGAACTGGTAACATTCCTTCTGAAACTATTCCAATCAATAGAAAAAGAGGGAATCCTCCCTAACTCATTTTATGAGGCCAGCATCATGCTGATACCAAAGCCGGACAGAGACACAACCAAAAGAGAGAATTTTAGACCAATATCCTTGATGAACATTGATGCAAAAATCCTCAATAAAATACTGGCAAACCGAATCCAGCAGCACATCAAAAAGCTTATCCACCATGATCAAGTGGGCTTCATCCCTGGGATGCAAGGCTGGTTCAATATACGCAAATCAATAAATGTAATCCAGCATATAAACAGAACCAAAGACAAAAACCACATGATTATCTCAACAGATGCAGAAAAGGCCTTTGATGATAGTATTTTGATGGTAGAAGTTTGATGGTAGAATTTTGATGGTAGTATTTTTTGATGGTACTATTGTGAAGGTAGAATTTTGATGGTAGTATTTTGATGATAGTATTTTGATGGTAGTATTTTGATGGTAGAATTTTGTTGCTAATATTTTGATGAGGCAGTAAGGTGTCAATTATACTAGGGGGCAGCAGAAAGCGTTATTGTTTAGTTTAGAGCAGTAATGTCCAATAAAAATGTCAGTCACAAATGAAAACCAGATGAGAATTTTCATTTTTCAAGTAGCCACATCAGAAAAATAAAGTACAGGTAAAAATAATTTAAACAGTTAATTTTAACTCAATATATCAAAATATTATTTTTCAGCATATAGCAAATACAAAAATATTAATAAAATATTTTACTTTTTTCATTTGTAATACTTGAATTCTGTGTTATATTTCACACTTCTGTCACACCTCAATTTGGACTAGTCACCTTTTTTAAGTGCTCATTCATCTCCCATGTGCCTTGTAGCTATCATATTGGATGGTATAGGACTAGAGAACATGTAGGTTCAAGGACTTTATCATTTTAAAAATTATCTGCATTGCCCAGAGCACAAATATTTTTACAGTAGAGCTCAATGCGATCTGTTAGGAAGAATTGTTTCAATACATACTTCCATGGGAGACACAGGTTTATGAAGCCTCTAAGACAGGCTTTTCTGTTGTGTTATAGAAAGAGCTATTTCACTACAGAAGAAAGTTTTAATTGGTTACCCCCCATCACCTTTCTGAATGCCAGTCTCTGATATTTGACTTTGACATTTTAATGCCTATCTTTCTGTCTCAGCTACAAGAGACTCATTGCAATGAAGTCACCAACATCACCCTGGGGCAGCAGGCTTTAACATTCTTAGACTTGTGAGCAACATCACCAACTTTAGTCCCTGAACCATGTCTGGGTCTTCCAGAGCTAATTCTGTGGTTCTGAAGGTTGCTCAAAATCACTTTTAAAACTTTTAGACATTCTGGATTTAAAAATAATTAAACCTGATGTCCGCATTTTCTGTTTTTTAAGTTTTCTATTTTGTGTCTACATTTTTCCCCCTTTGAATCCATGCTTGTCTAATCACCCTTGTCTTCTTAAATTCTCTGCAAAAGTGTTTAACGTGCATAATGGAACTCTCCCCCGACCCAAAGGACATATGGAAATGTCTGAAGACGTTTTTGATTGACATGACTAGAGAAGAGTGCTACTGGCATCTAGTGGGTAGAGGCTAGGAATGGTAGTATTTTGATGGAGGAGTGAAGGCCAAGGCATTTTTCTTGTTCAGATACTCACTGCTTACTTGATTTCAATACCCTTCAAATTGACCCTCTGACTTAAATCTCATCCCCCGCCATCGATTCTCCACACTGTTGCTTGAGTAGTACTTCAAACAAAGTTGGGGCATGTCCTTACTCAAAAGAGTACCACTGCCTCTGCAGTGCTCTCAAATTATAGGTCTCAAATTAGAGGCTGCTTTTGGAGTTTTCTTTTATTTAGCCATGAACTGTGTATAATAAGAGTCATAAAACATAATTCCTTCAGGTGCCCTGCTGAGTTCACCTCTTAACTGCAACTGCCTGGAATTTCCTTCTTAGTTCATTTAGCCTCCTTTTTGTGCATTGGAAACCCTAGGTTTATGGAACCAAGTCCAAACTTTTCACATTGATGGCTTATCAGTGCCGTCTCAGATTACCTTTTACAGACTTGCACAAATTTCTTGATGCTTCTTATACTTATTGTTCCTGAATGCAAGGAGTAAGAGCTGAATAAAATTTCAGTGATTGTTATGTGCCAGGCACTGTGCTTGAAATGCAAGGGTTGCTTTAATTTTCAGTACAATCCAATGAGATAGATGACATTTTCTAGAGTCAGAAATCAGGGCTATGACCTTAATGAGGGTCACAGAGCTACTACATATGAGAGTGAGATTTCAACTGTAAGTACTATCAGATACTAAAGTCCAGCAGTTAAGTACTTAGCTGTGTTTTGACATCTCTGTAGTGTTACTCATGGCCTTCTATCACCCTAGAGAACCCCTCACTCCAATCTCCAGGTGGCAATACCTTTCTTATTTCATTAGGCACAGACTAATTTCACCCTTCTTCATCTATGAAGCCTTCTGTGACATGTCCTGATAGATCATCCTATCCCTTCATTTGTACAGAAGGATTCGGCAAATACTTCACTAATACTGTCCTTTACATTGGTAGCTGGTTCAAAGTATTTCACCTACTGGCTCTTAATAAGTCACTATTTCTTGCACCTCAATTCCCTTTTCTTGACATGTATGTTCTAATAGTACATGTCTCATCATGTTGTTGTGAGAAATAAGTGCCAATGAGATAATTCTCGTAAAATCTTTAAAACAGGGACCGGAACAGGAAATTATCAATATTAGTTAACAACTTTGCTATTATTAACTATCCTTACCATTATTACCATTAGACTGTGTATAAAGGAATTTGGTTTAGATATTTCTATACCCCCTGTGCCTAGCATCATGTCTTTGACACAGTAAGTGTTTCATAAATGTCTGGTGAGCTGAATCATGGTGAACTGCTATTTCTTCCATCTTTCTTGAACTTCTACTCTGCAGAGCCTCTTATATCTGTCAGCTTTTTGCTTTTTACTTCATGCAAATTTCCATATTCTTTGTTTTAAAATATATCTATCTGCTCACTCTAAATCTAGTTTCTCAATTTCTTTTCTTTTCTTTTTTTCACTTCCCCTGTTTTGTTTGTTTGCTTGTTTGTTTGTTTTATTTTTTCCTAAGGGCTGAAAATGAAGTAAGAAACAAGATAAGTTATTTTCTATTTACATGTAGCTTACTTTCTAGTGGATGAGAAAATGATATACAGATAACAAGTAAATATACATACTCTGAAAAAAATCAGTGTACGATAATAGACAATATAGATTAATTGGGGATGGGCGAGCTATTTTAGTAGGTTGAATGGTTTCTCTGATGAGACTTCAGTGATAGATGAGATGAATCAAAAAGCCAAATAAAGGTGTTTCCAGGTAAGGTACATAAAGTAAAAGGTCTTGACTCTGGAATAGGCTTGGAGCTTACCACGAATAACAAGAAGAGAGAGTGTGAGAAAACTCAGCCCATGAGACTGAGCGATGTCAGTTGATTTATGGTCATATTATAGACTAAAGTATACATTTTTTCCAATGACTCTTGGGTTGTGGACAGTGACACGATCCAATTTACATTATAAGTGGATCACTTTGGCTTCAGTGTAGAGAAAAGAAGGTAGGACGACGAGAGATGCTAGACCAGTTAGAAACCACTAGAAACTTCCAGATCATGGTTATGGCTTGAAATAGGGGCAGCAAGAGAAATAATGGGCTGTGTTTGTATTTAAGATAAGCCTTAGGTCCTGTCTACTGTTATATATCCTTCCCTTCCCTTCCCTTCCCTCCCTTCCTTCCCTCTTTTCTTCCTTCCTTCCTTCCCTTTATTTCTCATTTTCTCTCCCACTCCCTTTCCCCAGCAGGGGTTGGCAAACTGTTCCTGTAAAGGGCCAGATAGTAAATAGTTTCAACTTTTAAGGCAGAAATTACTGTCACAATTACTCAATTCTGCATTGCGATGCCAAAGCACTCATAGACAGTATGTAAATGAATGAGAGTGGGTGAGTTCTAATATAACTTTATTTATAAGAACAGGTGGTAGCTGAATTTGGCCCATTGACCATAGTTAATTGACCCCTGCCCCAGGGTCCTATGAGGTAAATACCACACATCTTATCCTATATTTCAATAATTAATTCAGTAAGTATCTCTAACAGATCAGAACTCTCTCCTCTCCCTCCTGACTCTTCCCAGTTTCCCTCATTTTCCCCTCCTCCTCCTCATTCTTATTACCATATTACTATTATTGCACAACAGAATTATACAATTATTATCATGTAATATTCAATCTGTGTTCAATATTTCCACATTGTATAGTTTTTATTCCCAAATCAGAATCTGAACAAGATCTACACATTTAATGTATTTAATATGCTTATTAAGTCTACTTTAATCAGTAACAGTTCTCACTCCCTCTTTATATTAGTTAATTCAAATGTTTTTGGTTTAGAGCTTACTAAAACACATCCTAAGTCTATATATCAGTACATTTTACATAGCCATGTCTGTAGAAGTACATGCATGCTCCTTAGACCACACAAATTATGAGCCAGATGATGTCTAGCCATATGCTCCTTTGAGCCTATATGCCCCCTGTAAAGAACCACCATTCTATTATTTATAGTATAACTTACTTGTGCCTGTTTTTGAACTAGGCATAAAAGGAATTTCTTTTCTCTTACAGAATTAACATTATTTTTACTTTAGAGAAAAACTGGGTTATCTGTCATGCAGAATTTCCCATGTTATGTATCTTATCTGATTGCATCTTTATAGTGTTATTATAAAATCTGAAAGCTATGTCTAGAGGATTGATTAGATTCAGGTTAGTAGATAGTAATGGGGACTTCCTATTGCATTCCAGGGACACATGGTCTGGTGGCCACTCTTTAAGTCACGTTAAGTCTGACTAGTGGGTTGTGAATTATTTTCTCCTCTATATTGAGATCTCCTTCGGGCTGGGTCAGTACCTAATATATTCCTGAAAGTTAAACACCTTGCTTTTTGCCTGGCAGAGAGGAGGCACTGAATCAATAATAATGGAGGGTAGAAAGGAAGAAATGGCAAGTGGAAAACAAAAGTTTGAAAAGAAGGAAGGAAGGAAGGAAAAAGGGAAGGAAAGAGGGAAGAAATGAAGGGAAAAAGGAAGAAAATGATGAAAAAACGAAGGAAGGAAGATAGGGAGGAGAAAAGGATGAAGGAATGGGTTAAGGAAATTATATGGATGATCTTTTTTACTAGATGGAGTTTCTTAAGACTAGGGTAATTTTCCTGTTCATCTTTGTATCTCTAGTCCTTACCAAAGAGTAGTAATTATAAAAATAATAATAATAAATCCAACAAAAACACATTATCATGAGGTAATTCTTGTTTGCAAACATTTTACTTCATTCACAATTCACAGAAACTTTTGAATACTTTTTCTAAACCATTATTTTTTCAGATGAATAAAATAAGGACCTAAGAAATGAAGTCACATGCTCCTGGTCATTAAAATGCCAGAACCAGAATTTATTTATTTTTTTCCTGCACGTCTCCATAATACCTTCTTTGGCTCAAAAGGCAGATAATGTTTGTTGAATGAGTGAATGAAGTTATAACTCAAGTGACTGGAACATAGTAATGGCTTATATAATGTCAGCCAATCTCATCATTAATTTTCTACTCATTTCTAGGGTCTTTATAAAAGGCCTCCTTCTCAGTAAGACCTCCCATGTTACCAGCATATATGGATCCTGCAATTGTTCATACTCATAACTTATTCACTAAACAGTTCATATATTTCTGTCCTGTCTTTTAGAGTCAGTGAAAAGCACCTTGTGTGCAGAAACAGCATCTAAAAGGTTGCTATGTCTGTCACTGTTTTGACTCCAGTGACAGCTAAACAGTAGGCACTCTATAAATGCCTCTGGATGGATTGGTTGAAGTTTAATCTGGAAGCAGCTCTGTGCAGAAGGAACATGAGATTGACTGGCGAAGGCTCCAATTCTGGCTCAATTACTGGCTGTACAGGATGAGGGGGCCACAGGAAAACCAATTAAGTTCTCTGTGCTTTGACTTCCCAACTATAAAATTGAAACAATAGTCTCTATCCTCATAACTCTCAGGTGCATGGTGAGGTTCAAATAGGATAATGCAAACTGTAAATTTCAGCAGCGATACAAGGTTTTATTATCCCAGTTACATTATAACCCTCTGTCTACTTGCTACATATTACCACCTTCTCACTTAGGTGAACACTCAATATTCACCAAATGATTTTACCTAAATCAATAATATAAACAAAGAAAACAAGATGATCTAGTAAAAGAGGCTCAGGAAATTGACTCTCAGATTGTATGCACAGTATTCTCTTGGAAAGGGAGGTTGATATAATATGCCACTAACTCTCTAAGTCAGAGAAGAATTTACCAGAAAGCTTGCAAGTAAATGCATTTTCCACAATTCACTCTAGCACAGCAATTCTCGGGAGATAACACCATTAATACTCCATTTCAAATTAAAAAACATATGCTTTTTCCTCTTTAAAAAAAAAAGTGAGGGAACATGTCCCATTTTCTTCCCTTTACAAAAACAAAAGCTTTTAAAATGATAAAAATTGCCTCTGCTTGATAAAACAGCCATCTGTATCTGATTTAGTTAAGCATTATTCCTATAGCTTTTTATATTATTATTATTGCTGGTTGGGGAAAAATGCATACATACAAAGAGAGGTCTTTGGAAAGGTCACACTATTTCTAGTTCAGTCATCCCTGAAACTTCACCTCATCTTCAGATTGACCTTAAAATTGAATCCTAATCCTCAATAGAAAAATTTGAAATAAAGCTTGAGAAAATTGTGCTCATTTTTTATATAGGATGTCTTACCTTCTCCCTTCCACACTTTTATGATGTTGGTGAAGAGATCAAGAAACTTTAGAATAAAGAATCCCTATTGCATTTGGCATTTATATGACCCTCTAATATTGTAATCATTTTTATTAGTTATTTCTCATGTCAGCTCTGGGAGAGAGATTGGATAAGCTTAGTATTCAGAGTGGGTGAGCTCCCCATATGCTGTTAACTCCAGTATGATGGTCATAAACACCAAATGGCATGCCATATGAAGCAAGCACAAGGCAGGTTTTCCAAATATGCAATTAAGATAAGGGGAGATGCCATCTCCTATACAAATGCTACAACGGCTTCAGAATTAATCTCACGGAAATAATTCCTCTGAGTTTAGAACAAAGAGAGCATGAGAGAAGGTTTGTTGATAATGCCCTTAAATGGGCTGCATTGGTATTACCAGCTGAACTCTGAAGATAAAGTAGCTGTGAGAAATGGGGCTGGGTGTGGTTTTGAATGTACATGTTTATGCTTTGATTAAGAGGTGGAAATGGTATTACATCAGATGAAGAATTAGAAAATCTGAAGACACGGATTCTGGTGCCCTGCTCTGCAACCTATACACTTCATGACTCAAATCCTGTTTCTTACATTTTTGTCTTCTGTAGAATGGGTATAGTGACTCTAGCATGTCAGCATGTAAAAAGTGGTCTTGTCGAAACAGGGCAACCTAGATAAGCAGAGTTATGAGAGCATTCTAAGCAGAATGAGCAAAGACACAGAGGGGAACAGTCTCTATGTATCTGATGCAAGAGGCTCAGTGTAATGGCATCTGATAGAGCAGTGGGATCTAAGATGAGACCAGATCATGGAAGAGTGGGGACATTGTGCCAGGAATTGTGCACAATGAGCCAAGAAGCCGTGGCTTGGTTGCTTTTCCTTATAGTTCTTGGTTGGCTTGTATGTTTATTTTTTAGCAAGGAAGTGAAATGTTAAGTCTTTCAGGAAAAAACAAATTAATCCAATTAAGTAAAATGGATTGGTAGAGGAAGAAAAAAGGCAGGGAGGTCAGTTAAGAGACTTTTGAAAAATTTGGTTCAAATCAGGGCAATTGGAAAAGGAATGGAAGGCAGTGGAGAGTTGCAAGGAACAGAGTTAGAATTCTGTACGCAGCCCTTTCTGCATGACAGATCTATACAGGCAGGATGTGATATCCGTTATAACTTCCTCCGCTGGGCTGTCCTTCGCCATTAGGAGATGACCCCTCTGATGATGATGACTGTGTTGTGTGCAGCTGAGGCTGAAGAAAGTGACTTGAGGGAGCAGGATTTATCACACAAGTCAGAAGGCAGCCTTGTAGACATGAGTCTATAAGGAAGAGCAGGCGTTTGCTCCCCTGACCTCCCTTTTCTTTCAGAGCTCTCCCAACCTCCTCTCACTCCATGTGCCCAGGATCCCTGTCTTCATAATGATAGAATCCTAGATGGTTAGAGCTCTGAGGGATGCACTCATAAAAGAAGAGTGACATACATATTGGCAGGTGTTGGACTATAAGATAGTGAATTTGAAGGGGCAGGATGTTAGGTTCAAATTGTGTTTCTATGGCATCCCCATAGTTTGCTGTACTATAATGTATATGTACCATACATTATATATGTTATATATGTGCATACATATAACATATAGTGTACATGTACTATAATGCATAAATGCATTAGTTTGTGAGCTTAGGCAAAGATAAATCATCTCTTAGCCTCTGTTTCCTCACTTGTAAAGTGGATATACAAATGCTTAAATTACATGTATTATTGTAGATTAAATGAGATAATGCATGTAAAACATTGAACACAGTGCCCTATGAACACAGTGTTTATGGAATGAAAGCCAAGAAAAAAAGGTAACTATTCTTTTTTTTTTTTTTTTTTTTTTTGAGACGGAGTCTCAGGCTGTCACCCAGGCTGGAGTGCAGTGGTATGATCTCAGCTCACTGCAATCTCCGCCTGTTGGGTTCAAGCAATTCTCCTGCCTCACCCTCCTGAGTAGCTGGGACTACAGGCATGCACCAGCACGCCAAGCTAATTTTTGTATTTTTAGTACAGACGGGGTTTCACCTTGTTGGCCAGGATGGTCTTGATCTCCTGACCTTGTGATCCACCCGCCTCAGCTTCCCAAAGTGCTGGGATTACAGGCATGAGCCACTGCGCCCAGCCGAAAAAAAAGGTAACTATTCTAATGAGTAGGAATAACATTGCTTGCTACGAATGTCACATTTCCCCCTCTCATTTTCTTTTCTCTCTCCATTTTCCTCTCTTTCTCTCAATGCCAGTGAATATCCCCAAACAGGTTGCTCTCCTCAAAGAGCACCTTTTGGGATACTGAAAAGGCACCATATTGGAGACTAGCATGGTTAGTGTGAAGCAAAAACAGGATGATATTTAGAGGACATGCAGCCAGTGCACACTCCACATTCTGACATTTTTGAAGCAAACATCAACAAGACCTGTTACTGTGCAATAGTCTTGGCATACTATGATAAAGACCTTGTAAGTAAAATGGACATTTTAAAATAAAACTTACAACTTAAAAAGTTTATTTTTTAAAGGAGAAAATTAGTCAAGAGAGGGATTGTTAATTATGGTGGACATCATGATTGATTCTCAAATGTTCAAGTTTATTGGTCCTATCCAGTGGTTCTCAACCCAGGGACAACTTTACCCCCAAGAGAACATATGGCAATGTTTGGAGAATTTTTTTATTTGTCATAACTGGTGAGGAGTGCTATTGTCATCTAGCAAGCTAGGGATAATGCTTCTTCAATGTTCAGAATAGCACCCCCAGGACCAAGAATTGACTGGTTCCTAAATGTCAATAGTGCCGTGGTTGAGAAATCTTGTTTTTAGTAAATCATGCTGACTCTTCTCTCTTTACCATTGATGGGTTCAGGAATCCAACAAGCCAATGAGTGTATCTCATTGTGTTGGTGCCTCTTATTCATCGAAAGGTAGGCACACATCCAAAATAGGCTAAAGGAAGAAGCACATTTCAAGATTGGGAATTTTGTTCCCTGGTCAAGGTACACAGAGAAAAACAACATCGCATTTTCCCCATGTTCTGAACTTTAGGAAGTGAGTCTGATATTAAAGTTCATATTTCAAAAGTAATAAAGAGGAGGGACAGAAAAGATTCCAGTTCTTGAAGACACTGAATCTATTTGCAAGGAAGTCTACCCTACATTCAGAAATTTCATAATGTGAATAATAAATACTATCATTGAATAAGTTAGTTTACATTGGAGCTTTTCTTTTTTACTTGCAAACATAACTATAGTAACTAACACTCTGCACAGGTGATCTCATACTTTTCGAGGAGTTTTGTCTCCTTCTATGGTTTCCTGCTTGGAGTGCAATAATTTCCAAGCAATATACTCCTCCAGTACGATGCTTTGGCCCACCAGTTGGTACACAATTCTCCTTCTTTCTATTTCTCATTAATAGAGCTGAGACCAGATAGGATTCTATTATTATTATTAATATTATTATTATTATTATTTTTGAGATGGAATCTCACTCTGTCACCCAGGCTAGAGTGCAGTGGCACGATCTCAGCTCACTGCAGGCTCCACCTCCTGGGTTAACACCATTCTCCTGCCTCAACCTCTTGAGTAGCTGGGACTACAGGCGCCCGTCACCACGCCTGGCTAATTTTTTGTATTTTTGAGTAGAGACGGGGTTTCACCGTGTTAGCCAGGATGCTCTCCATCTCCTGACCTTGTGATCCGCCCGCCTCGACCTCCCAAAATGCTGGGATTACAGGCATGAGCCACCGCGCCCGGCCAGGATTCTTAAAAAAAAGAAAGAAGAGAAAAATACTTCAAAAGAAAGAAGCAAAATAAAAATAAACTCAAGAGAGGAAAAAGGGAAGTTTTAAAATGAAAGTTAAGTTACAAAGTCTCTAGCCCCAATGACTATCACAATTCAACTCAATTCAAAAAGCATCAAGCATCTATTCAGAAACACTGAGAAATTCTGTAGAGGCTGAGGATATATTGGTCAGAAAAGGCAGAATTTTTTTTTTCCACAAGGAGTCCAGTATCTTGTGTGTATGGGAGTACATCAATAAGGAGTTATGAGAGTATGGTGGGACGGGCTCAGTAAGAGCACAGGGAATAAGGAAGATAGCCACCCAGAGGAAGGAGTGATGTAGCTGATCACTTTTCTGATTTCTTTCTTTGCATCTCCTAATCTATTTCAAAGTGAACAATTCAATGTTACAATTAACTGCATAGAATTATCTCCCAGCCACCATGATCCCTTTATGATGAAGATCACTAAAGATAAATTCTCCACCCATCTACCATTCATCCTTTTGGTTGCTTTCTGGTTTGAGAGACACTATACACAATGAAACCCTGAATGACTGTGCCTTTCAGGGAAGAACATGCATACAACACCATACAGGCAAGGAGGGATAATCAGTCCAAGAGTGCTTTACATTCATTACAATATGATTCAAAACAATAAGTGATTATGCAGTGCAACAAAAAGTTGTTGAAATAACAAAACTTACACAAATGCAGATGTAGGGGAATCATCCCTTCATAAACCCGTACTAGGGACACAATGTAGAAATGCGAAGAGAGGTGAACAAAAAAATATGTTTCTAAGGAAGAATCAATAGGACTTAATGACATGAGGAAAAAAGTAGAGAGTGGAGTGGAAATGCATCCAGCATTTGAATACCAGATTAACTGGACAATGATTGTTTTACTCACTAAGGACAGGCTTGGGGGAGAGGTTAGGAAGAGAAGATGGTTTAGGAGAGTACTAAATAATTTATCTTGGTCATATTGCTTCATATCTACTAGGATTGCAGCCTACTGTTGTCACATTCCAGGACTAATTAAAGGAAGAGGCTGGGAACAGATATAAGGAAGGAAACTTAAGAAAAAAAGAAAGAATAAAAACAAGTTTTTTCCAAACTCTGTCTACCAGTGGTCAAAGATATCGTGAGTTGATATGTGTCTTCTGTTTCCCACCCCTCCCATTTCTGTCAAGCATAAAATATAGACCAATTTGTCACTGTGTCTGCATAATGTTGGATATGTGCGTACTGTTCTCTTCCCTTAGCAGAGGTCACTGAAAGAGTGTCTCTAAGATTGTCTGAAGGAAAACAAACGAGCAAGCCCAGAGATTGGAGGCAAGGTGCTCTGCTGTAGCAGGGGAAATGCAGAGATGATGACTTTTGGAAAATTGCACTGGGTTTATCCAACACAGGACTGTTTTAATCACTGCACCAGGGGACCTGCTTCAAGGACGGATGGATAATGCATGTTTCAGAAGGCTGATAGGGAGATAGTGTGCATCCTCAAACGTCTTGAGCAGACCATTAAGTGAGCAAATGTCCTTGGATATCTGCTTGGGGGCATGGGCTCAGAGTTTCAGAGGAGAATTCAAGGTTTCCCGGTGGGCTCAAAGGAGCACTGGGGGAGGCAGACAGACTGTAGCAGTACTCTGGAGAGAGAGGAAGCACATTCTGCTAAGTTCAATCAGGGCTTAATATCCCCCAGATCCACAGACAGTAACTGGAAGACAAATGATTGATAGGCAGATGAACAGACACTCTGATAGATATGTTGACCTTGTTATACTCTCATCTCCTAACTTCCCAAACCTTTCTTATGGAACTGATACAGGTGTCAAGGACTTAGGGAGGCACAAGGGAATGTGAGTGGGGGCTTATATCTACTCTCAACCTTGTGATTTTAAAGAAACAGAGAGAGCTGTGACATTGATTATCCAGGTTTATATCCTAGCTTTATTACGAATTACTTGGCAACCTTGAAGAGATCTCTTAACCTCTCTGGTTCTTCTCTTGTAAGTGGAATAAGTGTTCCTATCTGATGGCACTTGCAAACCTAAAAGGTTATACAAATCTTTGTTGCTGTTACAATTATTATTTTTTAAATTTTTAGTGTTATTTTCTGATGAAGGAATTGCTTTCTGACTGTGGAAATGTCGTATCACTTCCCTGGATGTTAATTTTCTTATATGATAAGTAGCACCTTGATTAATAACATAAACAATAATAGTAATGATATTTAAGGAGCTCTCAATATGCGCAAAAATTATTCTAAACATGATACAGGCTCACTATACAGGCTACTTTGGGAATGTTGGAGATTTTGCACCAGACTATTGCAATAAACCAAACACCACAATAAAGCATGTCACACAAAGTCTTATTTCTCAGTACATATAAATGTTGTGTTTACACTCTAGTTCAGTAAGTGTACAATAGCATTGTGTCTAAAAAAACCAAAGTACATACCTTAAATAAAGATACTTTATTGCCAAAAATGCTAACAATCATCTGAACCTTTAGCAAGTTATCTTTTTACTATTGGAAGTCTTGCCTTGATGTTGATGCATGCTGACTGATCAAACTTTTCTTCTGCAGCTTCCTCAACTCTCTCATCCTTCACAGACTTGAAGAGAATTAGGGCCTTGCTCTGGATTAGGCTTTGGCTTAAGGGAATGTTGTAGCTGTTTGATCTTCTATCGAGACCACTAAAACTTTCTCCATATCAACAATAATTCTGTTTTGCTTTCTTATCATTCATATGTTCTCTGGAGTAGCAGGTTTAGTGTACTTCAATAACTTTTTCTTTGCATTTGCAACTTGGCCAACCATTTGATGCAAAAGGCATAGCTGTTGGCCTCTCTTCACTTTCAACATGCCTTCCTCACTAAGCTTAATCATTTCTAGTTTTGATTTAAAGTGAGGGACATGCGACTCTTCCTTTCACTTGAACAATAAAGAGCCATTGTAAGATTGTCGATTGGCCTAATTTCAATATTGTTTTGTCTCAATGAATAAGGAGGCCCAAGGAGAGGGAAAGAGATGGGGGAAGGGGTGATCAGGGGAGCAGTCAAAACATATTCATTTATCAATTAAGTTTGCTGTCTTATATGGGCATGGTTTGTTGGGCCCCAAAACAATTACAATAGTAACATCGAAGATCACGGATCACCAAAACAGATATAATAATAATGAAAAGGTTCAAAATATCATGAGAATTACAAAACTGTGACACAGAGCCTCAAAGGGAGCACATGCTATGGGGAAAGTGGTGACACTAGATACACTTGCTTCACGTGAGGTTGCCATAAACTTGCAATTCAAGAAAAACACAGTATATTCAAAGTGCACTAAAGCAAAGCACAATAAAACAAGTAATGCCTGTAAATGAATTTACTAAAAAATAAGCTTATGCTATAGGTAACATTATTATCCATCTTTTGAATTTGAGAAAAATGAGGCACAAAGAGGCTGAGTTTCTTACCTCAAGGCACACAGTTTGCAGAACTGGGATATTATTTTAGACATTTTAACTTCAGGGCCACCTATCTAACCTCTTTAGTACCTTGTCTAATGTGTTAATCCATTTATGTGTTACTGTAAAAGAATGCCTGAGACTAGACAATTTATAAAGAAAAGAGTTTTAATTGCTCACAGTTCTGCAAAATGTGTAGGAAGCATGGCATTGGCATCTGCTCCTAGTGAAGCCTCAGGAAGTTTACAATCATGGCGGAAGGTGAAGGTGGAACCAGTGTATCACATAGTGAGAGCAGGAGCGAGAGAGAGAGAGAGGAGAAGTCCCAGATTCTTTTCAACAACCAGATATTATGTGAGCTAACCAAGTGAGAACTCACTTATCACCAAGAGGATGGTGCTAAGCCATTCGTGAAAAATCTACCCCCATGATCCAATACCTCCCACTAAGCCCCAACTCCGACACTGGGAGTCGCATTTCAACATGATATTTGGAGGCAACAAACATCTAAGCCATATCATTCCACCACTGGCCCCCCAGATTTTATGTTCTTCTGAAATTTCAAAATACAATCATGCCTTTGCAATAGTCTCCCAAAGTCTTAACTCATTCCAGCACTAACTCAAAAGTCCCAAGTCCGAAGTCTGATGCACAAAGTTTTATCTGGAGATGAGTTCTTTTCAACCTATAAATGTGTGAGATTTAAAAAATGAGTATTTACTCCTGAGATACAATGGCGGTACAGGTATTAGGTAGACATTCCCATTCCAAAAGGAAGAAATTAGACCAAAGAAAAGAGCTACAGGTACCATGCAAGTCTGAAACTCAGCAGGAGAGTCATTAAATCTTAAAGCTCCAAAATAATCTCCTTGGACTCTGACCCACATCCAGGGCACACTGGTATGAGGGATAGGCTCCCAAGGCCTTGGGCAGTTCTACCCTGTGGCTTTGCTGGATGCAGCCCATATGGCTGGTTTGATGGGTTGGAGTTCAGTGCCTGCACCTTTTTCTAGGCTGAGGATCCAAGCTGCACTGGCTCTACCATTCTTGGGTCTGGAGGGTGGCAACCCCCTTCTCAGAGCTCCAGTAGGCAGTTCCCTGGTGGGAACTCTGTGTGGGGGCTCTAACCTCTAGTAGAGGCTCTCTGTGAAAACTCCACCCCTGCAGTAGGCTTCTGCCTGGCACCCAGGCTTTCCCAGATATCCTCTGAAATCTAGGTGGAAGCCACTAAGCTTCCTTCACTCTTACTTTTTGTGTACTCGCAGGCTTAATACCACATGGAAGCTGCCAAGGCTTATGGCTTGTGACCTCAAAGCAGTGCCCCAAGCTGTACCTGGGCCCCATTGAGCCAAGGCTGGACCTGGAGTGGCTGGGGTGCAGGGAGCAATGTCCTGAAGCTGAGGAGGGAAGCAAGACCCTGGGCCTGGCCCCTGAAATAATTCTCTTCTCCCAGCTTTCAGGGTGTGTGATGGGAGGGGCTGTCTCAAAGACTTTTTTTATTTTTATTTTTATTTGAGACAGTGTCTTGCTTTGTCACCCAGGCTGGAGTGCAGTGGAATGATCATGATTCACTGCACTCTCAATGTTCTGGGCTCAAGTTATCCTCCCACCTTAGCCTTTCAAGTAGCTGGGACTGTAGGTTCAGGCCACTGTGCCTGCTTATATTTTATTTTTTTGTAGAGATGGGGTCTCTCTATGTTGCCCAGGCTGGTCTCAAATTCCTGGGTTCAAGCAATGCTCCCATCTCAGCCTCCCAAAAGGGTAAGCAACCAAGCCCAGCCCCAAAGACTTCTGAAATGCCTTCCAGGCCTTCTCCTCATCGTCTCGGATATTAGCACCTGGCTTCCTTTTAGTTATGGTAATCTCTTTAGCCAGTGGTTGTTTTGTAGCCTGCTTAGATTCTTTCTCTACTACTTGTCCAGGTTACAGATTTTCTAAACTTTTATCCTCTGCTTTCCTTTCAAATATAAATTCCAACTTCAAATCATTTCTTGGCTCTCATATCTGATTATAGGCTGTTAGAAGCACTGCTTAGAAATTTCTTCCGCCAGATACCCTGTCATCACTCTTAAGTTCAACCTTCCACAGATAACAAGGGCACAATGAAGCCAAGTTCTTTGCTAGGGCTTAACACAGGTGACCATTACTCCAGTTCCCAGTAACATCCTCATTTTTTTCTAATATCTTGTCAGTCTGGCTTTCACTGCCCATATTTCTATCAACATTTTGGTTGCAACCATTTTACCGGTCTCTAAGAAATACCAAACTTCTCTCTGTCTCTCTTTCAGTCTCCAAAGTTTGGAACTTCTTAGAGACTGGGAGAGACAGAGACGGTGGGGGGAACTTCTTAGAGACTGAGAGGGATAGAGAGACGGAGAGAGAGAAAGAGAGAGAGAGAAATAAGTGGAGATGCTAGGCTTTTAAGCAAACTACTAACTGAGCAAGAATTCCCTTATCACCAAAGGGATGGTGCTAAGCCATTTGTGAGGGATCCACCCCCGTGATCGAATCACCTCCCACCAGGCTCCACTTTCAACATTTGGAATTACATTTCAACGTGAGATCTGGAGAGGAAAAACAGCCAAATCATATTATCTAACAATACATGACATGAGAATAACACAGGGTCAGAAATGGGTTCTTCACTGGTCTCTGTTTTGGTCTCATGGATATATCTTCCTCTCCAAAAATGTCTTATGATTAACCTTAGAACAGAAACCCCTGATAGCACTAGCAGCTTCTCTTGGTGTGTAGATCTGAAAGATTAGAAGGGGAATTACTTTAATACAAGGTAATGAAAGCAGCATTTTTAGAGAATCTTTTGAGGAGGGAGCTGTAGAGCCATGGAATGTATCAAAGATGGAAGAGGCAAAATAACCCACTTTTCTCCATTTCTAGGTGGTGAAACTGATAGACAGAGAGACAGGGAATCTGGCCCAAACTTCTGCTAGTTAGAAAGTAGCAGAATAGGGACTGGAATTCTGCTGATTCCTAAGCCAATTCTCTTTCTCTTACATCGTATGCCAAGCATTGAACTCAGACCTCAGTACTGTATTGAGTCCTTGCTATGATCTTTTATGTGCATACGATTAAAACATTATTGTAAAAATACTAGTTTATTTTCATTTACAGACTGAAAAAATTGACTTTGAATAACGTGGAACATCTCTGTTGAAGCAAACACTTGGTTAATTGCTTAGTACATGATTGGGTACACAGCAGGTATTTAATCAATACTTCTCAAATTAGACTGAATGTCTTGTATGGCAGACACACAACTCTTCCATCTGTCTTTAAATTGTTCCTTTAATCTCAAGTCCTTAGCTGAGTTTATACTTCAAGGACATAATTTATCCTCATAATTTGTGAATCAGCAAATGGATCATACCTTATGTGATGAGCAACTTGAATTTAAAAAGACAATATTGAGGTCCTAATGCCATGCCATTGAAAGAGGGCCTGAGGACAATTCCTGTCTCACAGTAACTCTTCATAAATATTAGCTATAATATTGTTATTGTGAGAGCCCATAATACACTATAGAGATAAATGGTGACTAACAAAGTTTTGCCATTTTCTCCAGGGAGCCCCAAATAATGGGGATATTGCCACATTAACAAATACTTATAATACAATTATTATTGTTGAGATGACAGATAAATGTAAAAGACATGTGATTGTTAAAAGGGAGTAATTAATTATTCAATGTTCTTAAAGGCAAGCTCAAAGTGGACCTCATAGAGAGGAGATGTTGAATGGGGTCTTAATGGGTGAGCAGGAGCAAGGAAAGCTACTCTAGTAAAATCAAATCAGAATGGGAAACCACGGGGCTCAGATCATGAAGAACCTTCATGGAACTGAAAATAGACCATCAGTCACTGAGCAGAAGTGTGTGCATGTCTGTGTTGGAGCAGTGTTGGGCAGGGATGAGGCTCCAAGGTAGGAAGGGGCTGATTCCTTTATGCCAGATTCAGAAATTTGAGTTATAGACTGAATGCAACAGGGAACCTGTGTAAGATTTTAAATGGGAGAGCAACATGATCAAATTTCCATCTTAGAAAGATGACAAATAGCAGCATAGATACTAGGAAGCAAGGAAGCAGTTGCAGAGAAGAGGGAATTATTCGGGAGGCTTTTGAAATAACATAGAAAAGATTATGGAGGCCTGAATACTTGGATTTTGTTGAGGAGAGGCAGACAGAAATTTAAGAAACAAACTTGTCGGGCCTTGGTACGAGATTGAATGTAGAAGCTGAGGGGGTGTGGGTGGAGCTTACTTCCCATGGTGTGATGAAACATGTACCTTAACAGACTCCTCCTCTCTCTAGTGAGCTCACATTCTTTCCAGCACAGGTATTCAAATTCCCCTCCTTTGCAAGAACTAAAATGTAAAAGATGATTGTTCTCTTTCCAGAGCCAGCTATGAGTGAGGATGCTGGCAAAAATCTCCCTCCTGCACCTCTCAACCCTGTTGTGTTTATCATTCGAGCTATTTGTCTTTGCTGAGTGAACATGACCATCTGTTACTACAACCCAACTATGAAAAAGAGATGCTTTTATTTTTCTCATGTCACTTTGTACTGCTTGGGTGACACCTCAAGGAAGAAAAAAGGGCAGAAAGCAACAACAAACAGCATCCGTGATGAAAAGGAAGAGGCTAAGCTTCCATTCCTCACACATTTTTGCAACTAGCCACATAAAAGAACGCACAAGATGTGCAGTAATATCAGTGCAGATACTCATCCAGCTGTCTGTATACATTGTGGCTCTCACAGAGCCCATTTCTTACAGTGAAGTTATTTTTTTTTTCCTTTCTTTGTAATCTCTTCACCTGGCAATAAGTGTAAGTTTGTAAAAGCACACTCTAAGGTCAATAAGTTTTCTGAATCTCTCTTTAACACATGGTGTCTATGCTGGAATTATTTAACCTGTCAACTAAACCTCTCTACAATACAAACTCAACTCACTTTTCCCTCACCAACTCCCAATTTACTTCCTCCGGTATTCAAAGCCCTTACCAAATGCAATTACCTGTATTTCTAAGGAAAGTTTATGCCTTTTTTTCCCCCATATCTATTCCGTAGCCCAGAATATCCCTTCCTATTGTCCCTTCTTGATTATTGACTCTATTTAACTGACCTTGTTTCTATTCCACAGACATCATGCTCCCTCTCTTCAGGGCTTTTGCACATGACAGTCCTTCTACCAAACTCTCTGACTTCCATTTAACTCAGTCACTGTAGACATCAATGCATGTGTTACTTCTTCATGCATTGGACACCCTTCCCCACTCTCATTGGATCACATCAAGTTACACTGAACATTTCCTTTTTTGTTTCTTAGCTTTTATTTTAGGTTTGGCAGTACATGTGGAGGATTGTCATATAGGTAAACTACGTGTCACAGGGGTTTGGTATACATATTATTGTCACCTGGGTAAAAACTACAATATCCAAGAGGTATTTTTTTTTATCCTGTCCCTCCCCCCACTCTCTACCCTCAAGCAGACCTAGTATCTGTTTTCCCCTCTTTGTGTCCATGCATTCTTGCTGTTTAGCTCCGATTTATAAGTGAGAAAATACAGTATTTAGTTTTCTGTTCCTTTGTTAGTTTACTTAGGATAATGGTTTCCATCTCCTTCCATTTTGCTGCAAAGGATATAATCTTGTTCTTTTTTATGGCTGCATAGTACTCCATTGTGTATATGTACCAAATTTTGTTTATTCAGTCTACCAATAATGGGCATTTAGGGTGTTTCCATGTCTCTGCTGTTGTGAATGGTGCTGCAAAAAACATGCATGTGTATATATCTTTATGGTAGAACAAATTATATTCCTTTGGCTATATACCCAATAATGGGATTGCTGGGTTCAAAGGTAATTCTGTTTTAAGTTATTTGAGAAATTGCCACACTGCTTTCCACAAATATTAAACATTTCTTATTATGTAATAGTTACAATCATTGGTAATGACACATGTATGTGATCATTGGATTAGTGTCTATGTCCTCACCTAGACTGCAAGTTCCATTATGCTCACCATCCTATCCTCAATGGCTAGCATAGTGTGGGTACAACATATAGTTTCAACAATTATGTACTAAATAAACAAAGAACTAGAGAAGTGAATGAATTAATACGTAAATGTGAAAATCGTATTCATTTCTCAAGGACTATCTCTAATGTCACTACTCTTATAAAACCTTTTCACATGTTTCCTCTCATCACCTTAAAACAAAAATGCCAAAAGTGATTTCTTAGTCATTTGAATATTTAGAACATATTTTCTATTCTTTCTTGTGCAACTTGGAGGATGGCTTCTATTGGAATAGTAGCATTACTTTTTGGATCCCAAATTAATGGCAGAGTTTATAGGAAAACTTCTCTTAAAAACTGCTCTTCCTTCTTATTTTTTTAGGGTTAGGCAAAGACATGACTTCTGAAAACTTTTCTGGGCTTATCTATTAAATAGAGCCCCCTAAAATACCTCTAAGGTATGTTCAAACTCTGTGTACCTATTTTTAAGTGGTTCAAATTAAAGATGAGGAATTTGTGATTTCTAGAAAGGAAATAAGTCGCTAGCAAGTTAGTGGCAAAATTTGGTCTAGTGCCCAGTTTCCCAACTTCCAGTTTAGTCCTATCTTTAATAGTCTATGTTTATTGTCATATAGATACAAATAGATATTAATATGGCCAAAAGAAAAGAAATAGCTTATTTATTTCCCCCAATTGATACACATTTTCTTAATGGGACACCCATAGACATTATTTACCTTCGACGGTGGGCTCCAATTTTAATACACCAAGCCTTCTTGCCAAAACTGGCAGGGCAATTCTCTACAAAGTTGCAAAGAATCTGTAAATTAGCCACATCCACCACACACTGACATGTTCCTGGGATGACACAATACTGAGAACCCGGAGCCCCAGTGTAGGTGTCATTAATAACAAAAAGTAATTTCACAAAGCAGAATACTAACAGAAAGACTTTTGTAATTTTAGAGCTGGAAATTGTGTTGGAATCATTACTGATTTTACTTGAATATATATGTATGGAAGAGATGGTAATCGAGACTGTCTTAGATTTAACTCAATTTAGGAAGACAGCATGGTTTGCTGGGAAGAAGTCTGTTCTACCACAAACTTGCTGTGTAACTAACCTTGGGCAAACCAACTCTTCTCTCAGTTTCATAATTTGTAAAATGAAACTATGTTGTCCCATGTAAATGCTAACGTTTAATGAATCATTTTGGATTGGCTTAATGGAGAGTTTCTCCATAAATAACTCCAGGCGTTTGCAGTTCAGTTGAACACACAGTAAGTAAAGACGTACAATGTGAAAGGCACTGTACTGGTGTTTTAGTGATAGAAGTAGGCAAAGCATAATGCCTGACTTCAGGGTGTTCACAGCCTAAAGAACAGGACTCATATATAAACAACCAAATTAAACGAGAGTAATCGAAAATAGGAGAAAACTCAAATAAACCATGATAGGAAACAGAAATAACTTATAACCGTGGATACAGAGAAACTATATATGGATGAAAAGATGAAAGAATGATGGATGAAAGAATGTAATGTGCAATGCTTTGCTAATAAACTTTAAAATATATAGAAAATTACTTCTGAAATAAATATAAATTATCAAGACTGATGTAAGCATATGTTGAAAGTACCCACGGATGTAATGTGAAAACTATTCAAGTAATACAGAGACAGCAACGCCCAGAGTGTTTAATAGAAAGGTCTTTAAATTTTTTAAAATGCAGTTTCTATGTAGCTTAGTTATTTAAAACAAAAGGAAGGAATTCTTTAAAATTTATTTCACTAATTTGGAATAAACATCATACTGATTCTAAAATGTGATAAATATAGTATATAATCTTTTTTTTTTTTTTTTTTTTTGAAACGGAGTCTCACCCTGTCACCCAGGCTGGAGTGTAGTGGTGCAATCTTGGCTCATTGCAACCTCTGCCTCCCGGATTCAAGCAATTCTCAAGCCTCAGCCTCCCGAGTGGCTGAGATTACAGGCACCTACACCATGCCAGGCTAATTTTTTTGTATTTTTTAGTAGAGACAGGGTTTCACCATGTTGGCCAGGCTGGTCTCAAACTCCTGACCTCAAGTGATCTGCCTGTCTTGGCCTCCCAAAGTGCTGGGATTACAGATGTGAACCACTGTGCCCAGCCAATATATTATATAATTTTATCTATACATATAAATGAAACATAGCACAAGAAAGACTATTAAATCAGGGCATGACTTCTAATAATGACTGCATGATGAGGACAGGTGATTTCTTTCACAGAAAATAATGATAAAAACTGGAGAACATCAAGATACAGTGTGATGTTACAATGCTTGTATATTATGTACAATTACTGTATTAATTATACATTTAAATATAGTTTAAAAACTGGACATTAGTTTAAAAAAATTTAAAGATGAGCAAAATAATAAAGAGCAGGTTAAAACTGGAGGAAAGCTTATGCTTCAGAGACTGTCATGCACCAAAGAAGAACCAGGAGATTGTGGCTTTCTTATCCCAGTGTCTTGCCGAATCCTCACAGATTGGATGATGGGAAACAACAGCCTTGTTGGTTTGAGGGTAAAGATGACAGAGCAAAGGAAATACTGGAAATTTAAAAGAGAGTTTTTGAAGTCAGAAAGCCACTGAAAGACTTATATCTAAAATTTGAGTAATAAGGCTGCTCTAATCCCTAGCTGGTCAATAAACTACTCACACGGAGGACCTCAGAGAGCTCATCAAAAGAATAAGCAAAAACTGAAAAGGTCTACAGTTGAAATAAAAGAACTACTCCTAATATGATTTGTGTGTTTTCTTCACCTTTGACTGAGTTATTTTTCAACCCATACAGAATTTCAGTGAAACCGTCTTGGCTTACAGTGTTCAAGTAGCAACAAGAGCTGATAAAGGAATCAGAAAATTAAGTGAGAAATCCTGGGATCATGAAAATCACAGAGAGGCTAAGCGCCCCCAAATCTGAGGACAGAGTCTACCCTAACTTTTGGCTGGCCACTAAAGATATGCAGATATGGGAAATACCTGGAAGATGTGCCTTAAAAAGCAATAGCTTGGAAGCCAAGATAAATGAGCAAATATATCAGCTGCTGCACACCACAGGGAGACAGATTTCATAGTTTCAGTAAAGGCATGTTAACTGCCTGTTAGAACAATCAATTGACAGTATTCAGAGGAACCCAACAAATTCCAGAATATCTATAATGTATTATCTGCAGGCTGGGTGCAGTGGCTCACGCCTGTAATCCCAACACTTTGGGAGGCCGAGACAGGCGGATCACGAGGTCAGGAGATTGAGACCATCCTGGCTAACATGGTGAAACCCCGTCTCCACTAAAAATACAAAAAATTAGCTGGGCGTGGTGGTGGGCGCCTGTAGTCCCAGCTACTAGGGAGGCTGAGGCAGGAGAATGGCATGAACCCGAGAGATGGAGCTTGCAGTGAGCTGAGATAGCGCCACTGCAATCCAGCCTGGGTGAAAGAGCCAGACTCCATCTCAAAAAAAAAAAAAAAAAAAAACATATTATCTGCAATGTTCCATTTTTAATCAAAAGATATCAAACACGCAAAGAAGCATCATCAATATATATGTAGAAAAGCAAACAAAGAAACAAACAAAACCCAGTCAATAGAAATTGACTCTGAGTGTGTCCACCTGTTGGATTTAGTAGGCAAAAACATCAAATAAACTATTGCAAGTGTAGTCAAAGATTTAAAGGCAAATAAACTTGAAGAATTAAGACTATATGATATTAATGAATTAACAGATTTAAAAACTGAGAGAAATAGAAACTATAAAGAGTAACTTAAAACACTTGAGATCAGAAGAAAAGTATAACAACTGAAGTGAAAACAAATCATTAGGTGGGTTCAACAACGGATTTGAGATGGCAGAAGAAAGAATATCCGAACTTAAATGTAGATCAATAGACATTTTCTAATCAAAATAAAAGAGAGGAGAAAGATTGAAAAAAAATGTAAGAAGCCTCAGAGACCTATGGTGAATATTGAGCAGCCCAACAATTAGAATCCCAGAATAAAAAGATAGTATAGGGCAGAAAAATACTTGAAGATGTAATGATCAAATTTTCCCTAAATTTGTTGAAATAAAACATTAATTTATTGATCCAAGGAGTTCAAAAACTGTCAAGGAGTATACAGATGAGTACACACATGCACACACACATACACATGCATAAACACACAAGCACATCATAGTAAAATTGCCAACAGCCAAAAATAATACAAAAAAAGCAGCAAGATAAAAAACAACACGTTACATGCAGGGACACGATATGATTAATGCTAAATGATCATTGGAAACAATGAAAGGCAGAAGATATTGGATTGAGATATTCAAAATGCTGAAAGAAAAAATGTATGGCATAATGAAGTCATTTTCAGTTAAACAAAACTGACAGAATTTATTGCTATGAAACACAATTTAGGAAATGATAAAGGAAACATTTCCAGAAAGAAAAAAACAGTATCAGATAATGACTTTCGTACTTGTGTATATAAGAAATGATAAAGAATACTAAAAATGGTGGATATATATATATAAATCAGTGTTTTGTAGTTTTTCTTGTACAGAACTTTCATCTCCTTGGTAAATTTATTCCTAAGTATTTTAATTGTTTGTAGTGATTGTAAATTAGATTTGTTTTCCTGCTCTTTTATTGTTGGTATATAAAAATGCTACTGATTTTTCCATATTGATTTTGTATCCTGCAATCTTACTGAATTTATTTATCAGTTCTAAAAGTTTTGGTGGACTTTTTAGGGTTTCTATATATAAGAGTATGTGGTCCGCAAACAAGGACAATTGGACTTTCTCCTTTCCAATTTGGATGTCCTTTATTTCCTTTGCCTAATTACTCTGGCAAAGATTTTCAGTACTATGTTTAATAAGAATGGTGAGGTGGGCATCCTTGTCTTCTTTCAGTTATCAGAGAAGAAATTTTCAGCTTTTCCTCATTCAGTATGATGTTAGCTGTGAGTTAGTCACATACGGCCTCTATTGTGTTGAGGTACCTTTCTTCCATATCTAGTTGGTTGTGTGTCTTTTTATCATGAAGGAATATTGAATTTTATCAAATGCTTTTTCTGTATCTATTGAAATGATCATGATTTTCATCCTTAATTCTTTGATGTGATGTATCACATTTATTGATTTGAGTATGTTGAACCATCCTTGCATCCTGGGGATAAATCTCACTTGATCACAGTGAATGCTTTCTAAGGTGCCTCAGTGTTTGGTTTGTTAGCCTTTTGTTGAGGACTTTTGCATTTATGTTCACAAGGAATAGTGACCTGTAGTTTTCTTTTTATGCTGAGTCCTTGTCTAATTTTGGTATCAGGGTAATGCTGACCTTATAGAATGAGTTTGGAAGGATTTTTCCTCTTCAATTTTTAGCATGTTCTCTTGAAGGTGATCCAAGAAATTCCTCTCCATAGTGATCACACTTTATTACATTAAAGGCAATTTAAAGCAAAAATTATGACAATCATTTTGGGTTTATAACACATATCTGTGAAATATAAATATAGGTATGGACTCATATGCTATATATAGTGTGTGTATATATATATATACACGTGTGTGTATATATGTGTATATATACACGTGTGTGTATATATGTGTATATATACATATATGTGTGTGTGTGTGTGTCTGTGTGTAATATATGGCAACACAGTACCAAAAAAGGATGGAGGGTGGATAATTGGAAATTTACTGTAGCCAGAATTGTCTATCCTTATTTTAGTAGACAGAAGACATTCAGTATTATTTTAAGTACATTGTGACTAATTAAATACACATATTGTGTTTGCTAGATCAAACAAAAGTAACAATTCATGAAAATGTATTCAAAAATTCATATACTAAAATTTTTGTTTAAAACAAGGATGAACAACAACAACAAAAAAACAAAATGGGACATTTGGAAAAGAAATCATAAAATTGATGGACCTGGAGACATAGTAATTCTATGTTTGTATACACTTAATAACTGTTTCCCCAAATATATAAAGCAATGAAATAACTCAAAAAGAGAAATAAATAAATCCACAATTGTGGTAGGGGGTTTTAAGGCACTTCTCTCTTGAATTATAATGAGAGTACATAAAAGATCAAAAATATATAAATATATGAACAATTTTTATGTTCTCACACTTTACTGCACAAAGACAACCATTGACATATATAAACACTGCATTCAATATTCTTAGCTGAGGCATATAAAGTAGTTACCTAAAGTGATCATATGATAGTACATAAAGCAAACCTTAACAAATTATGAAGATTTGAGATCATGGAGAGTAAAATCCTGACCATAATGGGTTTAAAACTGAAAATCAATAACAAAATATAATTTGAAAAATCTACATTGCCAAGAAATTAAATAATTTTGGGCCAAGAAAGAAATTGCAATAAAAATGTTAAAATATTTGAACTGATTAATATTCAAAATGTGACCTGAAATTTTGTCACATGCATCTGAAGCCATGCTTACACTTAAAATCTTTAAATACAGTAGATAAGGAGTAAGACTGAAAATCAATGATCTAAACTTTTACCTCTTGATATTAGAAAAAGAAAAGCAAATCTTGTTGTGACTCTAAAGAATAAAGAAACAAATAGCAAAAGCAGAGGTTAATAGAAAACAACAATTTAATAGAGAAAACCAACAAATCCAAATGTTAGACATTAATATATTAAGGAAATGTATACGTTATTAACTTCTAGTTAAGATGTATGCCCTTCCTGCCCTAACAACATAAAAAAGCCAGATAAGCTAACCCTTTGGATGGCTGTAGACCCAAAGAAACCTATATAAATTAATTTTTTAAAATGAGATATTCTTAGGAAAGCAGTAGCTTGCAACTGCTGTCGTCTTGTTCAGAACAGAAAGAGGCAGAAGAATCTGCCATACATGTGGGTAAAGTGAAAGTAGCCAGACATTTTACCAAACTTTTAATATCTATGTATGGATTATTCTGATGGATTAGAATCTCAAGACAGCCCAGCTACAGAGTAGGCCTGCACCCACTCACCAATTCTTTCCCATTGGCCTTTACCAAGTAAGTGAGCAAGACAGGGTAGGATTGCTGAGAGACATCCCTTCTTTGGTACGTTGTGTCTTACAAAAGTACAAGCCGGTGGCCTACTGAATGCTTAGAAGAGGTTAGGAGAGTTGAAAGAAATTTCTCGAAGTCACATTCTTGAAGGTATTTTACTGCACAAGTAAAAGAAATAAAGGGCATATTAATTAGGAAAAAAAGTAAAATGTAAATATCCTTTTTTTTTTTTTGAGACAGGGTCTCGCTCTGTCACCCAGGCTGGAGTGCAGTAGTGGCCCAGTCACAGTTCACTGCAGCCTCCACTTCCCAGGCTCAGATGATTCTACTACATCAGCCTCCCAAGTACCTGGGACTACAGGTGTGCACCACCATGTCTCGTTAATTTTTGTATTTTTTTTTTTTTTATAGAGACGGGGCCTTCCCCTGTTGCACAGGCTGGTCTTCAATGCCTGGGCTTAAGTGATCTGCCAACCTTGGCCTCTCAAAGTGCTGAGATTACAGGTGTAAGCCACTGTGTCAAGCAACTGTTTCTCTTTGCAGATGATATATATGCATACAGGTGACCCTTGAACCACAAATGTCTGTACTGCTCAGGTCTGCTTATATACAGATTTTCTTCTGCCTCTGCCACTCCTGAGACAGCAAGACCAACACCTCCTTTTCCTCCTCCTCCTCAGCCTACTCATTGTGAAGGCAACAAGGATGAAGACTTTTATGATGATTCACCTCCATGTAAGGAACAGAAAATATATTTTCTCTTTCTTATGATTTTTTTAATTTTATTTTTTATTATTATTATACTTTAAGTTTTAGGGTACATGTGCACAACGTGCAGGTTTGTTACATATGTATACATATGCCATGTTGGTGTGCCGCACCCATTAACTCGTAATTTAGCATTGGGTATATCTCCTAATGCTATCCCTCCCCCCTCCTCCCACCCCACAACAGTCCCCGGAGTGTGATGTTCCCCTTCCTGTGTCCATGTGTTCTCATTGTTCAACTCCCACCCATGAGTGAGAACATGTGCTGTTTGGTTTTCTGTCCTTGTGATAGTTTACTGAGGATGATGGTTTCCAGCTTCATCCATGTCCCTACAAAGGACATGAACTCATCATTTTTTATGGCTGCATAGTATTCCATGGTGTATATGTGCCACATTTTCTTAATCCAGTCTATCGTTGTTGGACATTGGGGTTGGTTCCAAGTCTTTGCTATTGTGAATAGTGCCACAATAAACATACGTGTGCATGTGTCTTTATAGCAGCATGATTTATAATCCTTTGGGTATATACCCAGTAATGGGATGGCTGGGTCAAATTGTATTTCTAGTTCTAGATCCTTGAGGAATCGCCACACTGACTTCCACAATGGTTGAACTAGTTTACAGTCCCACCAACAGTGTAAAAGTGTTCCTATTTCTCCACATCCTCTCCAGCACCTGTTGTTGCCTGACTTTTTAATGACTGCCATTTTAACTGGTGTGAGATGGTATCTCATTGTGGTTTTGATTTGCATTTCTCTGACTGGCCTTATGATTTTTTTAATGGCATTTTCTTTCCTGTAGCTTACTTTATTGTAAGAATGCAATATATAATACATATAACTTATAAAATATGTGTTAATCAGCTATCTATGTTGTCAGCAATGCTTCCAGTCAATAGTAGGCTTTAGTAATTAAATTTTTTGGGAGTCAAAACTTATATGCAGATTTTTGACTGTGTGTTTGGGGGGATTGGTGCCCTTAGCCCACACATTGTTCATGGTTCAACTGTATATTTATATAAAGGTTGTAACATACAATTCTAATAAATCTAAAATTATTGCAAGTAATAAATGATTTCAGCAAAGTCACATCATATTTCTGAAAGTTGCAAAAAATAGAAAATTAAAGTTAAATATAGAATATTACATTATCACTAACATTGTAAAGCATGAAGTATATACAAATAAATTTGACAAAATGTGTGAATTACACACTACAATTATAAAAAATTGTTTAGAAAAGCTAAATAAGAAAAAAGAAAGACACATACCATTTTCATGGATTGTAACATCCAATACTTTCCCTGTATTAAGTTTTAGGTTCATTGCAATCTCAATGAAAATCACAGCTGTAAGTTTTTGACACAAACTGATAAGCTAGTTCTACAGTTTATGTAGAAATGCCAAAAACCTAGAATAGCTAAAACTATTTTTAAAATAAAGAATAAAATTACAAACTTTTACACTATCTGACTTTAAGACTTACTATATAGCTGCAAGTAATCAAGGCCGTGTGCTACTGAAAAATAACAGACCTATAGATCAAGAAACAGACCCACACTTATAGGTTTAATTGATTTTAGAGAGAGTGTCCTACGTAATCCAATGGAGAAATTAGAGTATTTTCAATAAATGATGCTTAAACAACTGTATCATTATGGAAAAATAAACACCAACCCATAAATCATAGCAGTCATACCATTATGTGATGAGAATGGATCATATATGCCTAAATATAAAAGCTAGTAGTATAAAAGTTTTAGGAGAATAAACATAAAGAATTATCTACAGACTTAGGGTAGGCATTTATTATAATAGGGAATTAGACTTCACCACAATTAAAATATTTTTTCTTTCAAAAAATAAGGTTGAAAAAAGCAAACACAAAGAAAATATTTTATACAAACATACACAAGAGAGTGTGTATATATATGTATATAGTTTATATAATTATATATGTGTATGTGTGTATAATCTGACAAAGGACTGGTATTCAGAGTACATAAAGACCTTTTCAACTCAATAAGAAAACAACCAAATTTAAAGGTAGTCAAAGGTTTGAACAGATGTTTTAAAATATAAGATAAACAAATATCTAAAAAGCACATGAAAAGACATTCAACAACCTAAATTTAAATCTGTATGTTTTTTCAAAATTCAAAACCACATAAAATTAATTAATGGTGTAGAAGTCAGGACAGGTTTGATGTGTGGGAAGTAGTGATGAGTAGAAGAGGGCACAATGGGGCCTCTGCGTGCTGGTAAGTTTCTCGGTCTGGATATAAATTGCACACATGTTCGTTTGTGGTTTATGCATATATGAATGTTACAGCTCAATAAAAAGCTTACTAAAAAAATCAAAAGCTGTTTTTTTATAAAGTTGATAATGTTAAAGTTTATCTCCAAGAATGAAACTTCTGAAAATAGGTACAAAACATTTTTGGAGCTGAGTAAAGTATATGGATTTGGGAGTTTGTAGTTGTGGTGTCAGGCTGACCTGAGTTTTAATCTCAGTTTTACCAGATAATAAATAATATTCATCTCAGTTTCCTTAGGTGAAACATTTATATAATCATTGCACTGACTTCAGAGGATTGTTTGGAAGAATAAATCCGACATATTTTGTAAAAGTAGTAAGCATTGTATATTGAAATATGTTATATATATTGGCCATGATCAATAAATGGTAGCTATTAAAATAATAACAGTGTGTATGAGAATAAGAATAATATTGATATGAACCAAAATAATTTTAAAATAGAGTAGCGATAGGGGAACAGGCTGATGGGTTATTCTTAAATGTTCATAAACTGGTCTGAGTATAGATAGGAATCAATATATAATACTGGTAGCATTTCAAGCAATGGGGATTAGATGAATTGAATCATAAGTCATTTTCAGACTCAAAAGCAGACAGCAAAAGGTGATAAAATTTTCATGTGGCTTACATGACAGACAAAGGATGATATAAAAAACTCATGAATCAATGAGAAAAAAAGATAAACAACTCAGTGTAAAGTGAATCAAGGACCCAATTAGGAAAATCACAAAAGAAAAAAATTTATTTAAATACTATATACATAAATTTAATATGCAAAATAAAGCATATTCGTATATACCCCATTGTTATAACCCCATCACAGACGAGTTATGTCAAATCAACAAGCTATATCCTTTTTGCTTATTCGATGGCTTATCAAAGATCATATATTCATGTTACCTTTGTGAGGAAGCAGACGTACTTTGCGTTTGAAAGTGAAAACTGGTAGAATCTTTTTGGAAGATAATTTGGAAATATGTACCAAAAAGCTTAAACTTGTGCATCTTCATTGATCCAGAAATTAGTTTTGTTAAAATTTATCAAAGAGAAGTAATTGTGATCATACTTAAGGGTTTAGATATAAAGAGAATAACTGCCTTCTCATTTGTAATGTGAAACTTTGGTTATAACTGTAGTTCAGATAATAGAAAATTATTCCATTCATCCAAGGAAATACTTTTTAGCACTGACAATGATATTAAGAAATAATTTTAAACACAGGAAATAATTTTTACAATATATTCTTCCATTTCAAAAAAGCCCATTACAAAACAATATGGATAGTATTATTCTATTTTTGCAAAATAAACACATATGTTTGGAGAAAAGACTAGTGGCAGAGTCCCACAGAATATTAAAAGTAGTTGCATCTGAATGACAAAATTATGGATGATTTAATTTTTTTCATTCTGCTTATCTATATTTTCTCAAGATTTTATAAGGTACATATATTACTTTACAATAAAAAGAAAGTTACAATATTTCAGTGCAATTTATGTAAAGGTAGCACCATTTGATGCATTGGTGGTAAAAATAAGGGAGTAATATATATGCTCTCTGCAAGGACAAATGCTATCTTTTCAAAACCAGAGTTTGGTAGTCAAAAAAAAAGACAATAGGCATGCAGAAATTGTGGAGAGCCTTACAACAGGCAAAGGAACATTATCTAAAAAGGTCAAGGAGTTGTAAACCATTTGGCAGACAATGGACAGCAATTACGTGCCTATAGTTGCTGAATCTCTGCCTCTTAGTTAATCTGGGTTAGAGGTGAAGTGGGAGATAAAAGCAGAAGTCACATTCTGCTAGGTCAGCCGATCATGTCATGCTAAGGAATTCAAACTTAATCCTTCAAAAACCGGAAAATAATTGAGTTAGCAGAGATCATGACCACATCTGAGTTTTTAAAAGTCCTGGTAGCATCGTTGGGGATGAATGGTATTGCTGGTGAGCAAATGGATATCACTTACTTAAGATGTCATTGCAATGGTCCATGCATCAGTGAAGACTTGTAATAAGGCAGTTATTATGGGAGCTAAGGGAAATGTGAGTTTGAGAGAAATTTAGGGTGTAGAATGAATGGAAATTGGTGATTATTAGAATGAAGAAAGTGGAAGTGAGAAAAACATCAAGGAATCTCCAATATGCTATTTTGAAGTATGAGGTATAGATAATGTTAATATTGCCTATATGCTCTCTATTTACCAGATTTATATGGATAGATAGATAAATAGGAACTAGGCAAAGCCAAGCTTATACAGGTACCAAGTATATATGGATAGATAGATAGATGCCTATCCATATATATGTATATACACACAATTAATATATACACACAATTAATTAAATTATACACACAATATATACACACAATTAATTAAAGACATTGTGGTGATTCCTCAAAGACCTAAAGACAGAAATACCCTATTTGTCTCAGCAACCCCACTACTGGTTATATACCCCAAGGAATATAAATCATTCTACTATAGAGACACATGCATACACGTTAATTGCAGCACTATTCACAGTAGCAAAGACATGGAATAAATCTAAATGCCCATCAATGATAAACTGGATAAAGAAAATGTGATTCATATACACCACAGAACACTATGCAGTCATTAAAAAAAAAAAAAACGAGGTCAGTCCTTTGCAGGGAAATAGATGGAGCTGGAGGCCATTATCCTTAGCAAACTAACACAGTAACAGAAAACCAAATACAGCATGTTCTCACTTATAAGTGGAAGCTAAATAATGAGAACACATGGACACATAGAAGGGAACGATACACACTGGGGCCTATCAGAGGGTGGAAGGTGGGAAGAGGGAGAAGAGCAGAAAAAATAACTACTGGATACTAGCCTTAATACCTAGGTAATGAAATAATCTGGACAACAAACCCCCATGACACACTTACCTATGTAAGAAACCTGCACATCCTGCACATGTACCCCTGAATTAAAAATGAAAGTTAAAAAAATTTTTTTAAATATGTCTTTAAACTTACCCAAACCAAAACAAAACAAATAAAAATAATTAAGGTAAATAGGGGAGTGAGAAATGACAAGAAAGAAACAAAACTTACAAAGAAAATAGGAACCAGGCCAAGCCAAGCTTATATAGGTACCAAGTAAAACTTTTTGGCCACAGAAGCGCTTGTGAGTGGATCTATGAATGAGAGGATTAAGAAAGCACAGACAATGTTTGCTTGTGTGCTATAGATTCTGGTCTTCATGTAGAACCACTTTTTTTCTGAAAAAAACAAAACCCGAATGCATTTTTCATATTAGATAACGCAACTTGATTTCTTCCATTTTTTGTTTCATTTTTATTTAAAGTTTTTCACAATTGTTACTGCTTGCTAAGAGCATAACTATAGCATTATATAAGTGTTTGCTGTAATCATGACTTTTTGTGCTTTTGTGGAAGAATTAAGTGTGGGCAGGAAGGCACCTTGGGTGGAGCAGAATGTACAGATTTGCTAGTCATAAGAGCTTTTCCTGGTGTCTGTAGCACCCACTCCCATCATGGCTCTTTACACAGCATACAATGAGCTGTTGCTTACATTTCTGTCTCTCCCATTTGAGGGTGCATAATGCAAGATGAGGCAAGGGCTTTCCTAGGTAGACAGATGGACAGATGGACAGATGGATGGATAGATGACAGATAGATAGAGGAATAGATAGGTTGGTGAGTCATTCATTAAGCAAATGTTTAGTGAGGGGCCTTTCTGTGCCAGAGGTAAACATGGTCAAGTTCCTGACATAATGGAGCACACACATTGCCCAGTTTCCTCCACCATTGGCTAAAACAGGCTGTGTTTAGCATTGGCTAAAACATGGAGTTAGCAGGGGCTCCATACTCAGCAGCCAACTGTGTTGACCTGGATGTTGGTCCTGATTATTTGCCTTTTAACGATGTGCCCCTGCACATGTTGCTTGACTGAGTCTTCTGTTTTCACTGCAAAAGTTGTATGTGCTGAGGGATGATAAAAGAAGTGGGGCCAGTATCAATGCAGACATTTTTATAAAGTGAATGAAAAGTGAGAGGCAGCTCATCCTATCTGCAGTCTGAAAGTTGTCTGGGCAGCAGAAGCTGTCAAGTGTGTGTTTCAGATAATGACAGTGGGGAAGGACTTGGAGGCAGAAGTGTTTCTTGTTCATGTGGTTATCCAAATGCCTGGTGATTAAGAGCACAGATTGTGGAATCACCTAACTCAATTTTTTCCCAGCCTCCAGCTTTACTCAGGTACAATGACAATTAAAAATGTGATGTTTTGATACATGTATACATTATGAAGTAATCCCCACAATCAAGTTAATTAACATGGCTATTACCTCATGTAGTTACCTTGTGTTTAGGGTGAGAGCACTTAATATCTATTCTATTCGCTATGCACCCCATGAATATGTACTATTATTATTTGCCAATTAAAATAAAGAAGAGGAAAAGATCTACTTTCTTAGCTAATTTTAAGTATATAATGCAGCATTATTAACTGGAGTCACAATGGCGCACGTTAGATCTCCAGAACTTACTCATCTTGTAACTTAAAGTTTTCAGACTTTAACCAAAATCACATTTTCTCCACTCCCAAGCCCTGGCAACCAATGTTCTACTCACTGTTTCCATAAGTTTGATTTGTTTAGAGTCCACATATAAAAGAAGATCCTGCAGGATTTATCTTTCTGTGTGTGGCTTATTTCATTTAGTATAATAACCTCTAGACTCATCTATGTTGTTACAAATGGCAGAATTTCCTTCTTTTTAAAGGCTTAATGATATTTCATTCTATATGTATTACATACCACAATTTCCTGATCTGTTAATTCATCAAAGAACACTTACTTTGTTTCCATATTATGACTACAGTGAATAACACTGCATTGAACATGGGAGTACCAATATCTCTTTGAAATACTGATTTCAATTCCTTTGGATATGCACCATTTTTTTTTCAAACAAAAATAGAAAAGGCAATCCTAAAATGTGTATGGAATCACAAAAGACCCTGAATAGCCCAAACAATCTTGAGAAAAAATAAAGCTGGAGGCATCACACTACCCAATTTCAAAGTATAGTATAAAGCTGTAGTAATCAAAACAGTATAGTATTGGCTTAAAACAGGCACATAGTCCAGCAGAACAGAATAGAGATAAACCCATGCATACGTGGTCTACTTATATTCCACGAGGGCACCAAGGGTGTGCAATGGGGGAAGGAATAGTGTCTTCAATAAATGATACTGGGAAAACTGAACTTCCACAAGCAAAAGAATAAAATTAGATCTTTATGTTACACCATACACAAAAAGTCAACTCAAAATGGGCTAAAAACTTAAACTTAAGGTCTGAAAACCACAAAAATCTTAGAAGAAAACATAAGGAAAAACTTGACATTGGTCTTGGCAAGATTTTTTTGGATATGACACCAAAAGCATAGGCAACAAAGCGAAAAATAAACAAGTGAGACTATATCAAACTAAAAAGTTTCATCTCAGCAAAGGAAATAGTAAAATAAAAAGACAACTTATGGAATAGGAGAAAATATTTGCAAATTACATATCTGATGGGAGTTGGTGTTGAAAATTTGTAAGGAACTCACACAACTCAAAATTCTAATTCTAAAAGTTTTTGTCCCACTAGTCTTTCAACTTTGGTCAAGTTACATGACTTCTTTCTTCCTGTATAAAATGAATATAACAATAGCTTCCATTTATTGAATGTATGCTGTATTCCAGAAACTATGACATAAACTCATTTTCTCTTCAAAACTGTCTCTACGAAGCAGATAATTCCCTAATGTCATTTTATACACAAAAAAGCTGAGAAACAAGAGTGGCCAAATAACTTGCTTAACTTCACAGAGTAATGAGAGGTAGAGTTCATCAATGGTAAGCTGACTGATTCCAGGACTGTGCTCCTAACCACCACATTACATTGCCCCTACTTATAAAGTAATATGATGCAGTAATATAAAGCTACATTATAAATATAAAAAATGCTAAGGGACTTGTTTAGGCTAAGAAGCAGTGGAAGTGAATTGCTGGCACCAAACAAAAAGCATCATTATTATAATGATAACTACCATATCCTGAGTCCACATAATACAGTAGGCAATATGTTGGGTGCTTTAAAAAGTTATTTCAGCCGGGTGCGGTGGCTCATGCCTGTAATCCCAACATTTTGGGAGGCCAAAGTGGGTAGATCGTGAGGTCAGGAGATTGAGACCATTCTGGCCAACATGGTGAAACCCTGTCTTTACTAAAAGAAAATGTAGCCGGGCGTGGTGGTGGGCACCTGTGGTCCCAGCTACTCGGGAGGCTGAGGCAGGGGAATCGCTTGAACCCAGGAGGCGGAGGTTGCAGTGAGCCAAGATCACGCCATTGCACTCCAGCCTGGCAACAGAGCAAGACTCCGTCTCAAAAAAAAAAAAAAAAAAAAAAAAAAAAAAAAGTTTATTTCATTAAATCTTCACATATTCCTTGACAGGTACTTGTTACTATTTTTATTTTGTAGGTGAATAAACTGAAAGGTTAAATAACATGTGAAATGTCCCAGTGGTTAGTAAGTAGCAGAGCCAGAATTCAGACCTGCTGGATTCTGAGATCCCTGCTCTTTTCTCTATGCAGTTTCTGTTCACAGGTGAAGGGCCAAAGGTGAGAAATGACTGTCTCAGAGTTCAGGTTTGTCACCTAGGGGAATGGTGGGTAATAAAGCAGAAGCAGAAGCTTGTTCAAATGCAAAATGCAAACTAAGAATCTTCGACTTTACCTTGCAGACAGTGGTGAGCCATTAATATCTAAGCAAGAATGTGACCGGAAATTATCCTACAAACATGTTTCTGTTTCTTGTTGTTGCTGACATGCTAACTACTCCGACTTCCAAATGCATCCCTCAAAACCTGCCAAGAAGTTTTTTTCTGAATAACTATTCTATAGTGGTTACAGCTTCCTCTGAAGCTATTCACTGATGGCACTTCCCAGGGAAAAACAACTGGTATTTATATTGTACTTTTCATTTTTTCATTTCTCGCCTTTTCATCTAGGTTGTGATTTCTTGGAAAGTTGGCATTGTTTCTTAGGTTTCTGCGTGTTAAGTGCCTATCTTCATGTTTGTACAGAGTTAGCACTTAATAAAGGCTAATTCTTGATAACATAACAGGTATGGCATCATTTTAAAAGGGCTGTCTCATCTCCAAAGGAGCAAGATGGGAGAAAAGGAAAGTTTCTTCTTAGTGGAGCAGAAGATTTGAACACATCACAAGGTGACGGACAGTGACCACATTGGGAACACCAATTTCCTTAGCTATACAAAGGAGTCAGCATTTCCTTTGAGAACTAGGTTTGAAAAAAGGAGTGAAAAAGCACCATAAACTATGCCTAGCACATAGGAGACCTTCATTAATGGACCAAAGATGGAAGGATGATGTGTGCTTACAATGAGAATATCCTATATTTAACTTCTGGTTTCATTAGGGTACAGGCTACTAGTTGACCCCCCCAACCCCAACACACACCCAAAGTTCAACACACAGTACCTCAGAATGTGACCGTATTTGGAAATATAGCCTTTAAAGGGGTAATTAGGTTAAAATGAGGTCATATGGGTGGGCTTTCATCCCATAAGACTGTTCCCCTAATAAGAAAAGATTAAGACACATACAGAGAGAGACCACGTGAAGACATAGGGAGAAACTAATCATCTGCAAACCAAGAAGAGAACACTCAGAATGAAACCAACCCTGTCAACACCTTCGTCTCAGACTTTTACCCTCCAGAACTGTAAGAAAATAAATTTTTGTTAAGCCACCTGATCTGTGGTACTTTGTATGGCAGCCCTGGCAAACTAATACTTTACTTCTCTGAACCTCAGTTTGTAGTATAAAAAGGGAATTTTTGTGAGATTTAGATATGATTTATGTAAAGTAGGTGCTCTATAAATGATACCTGGAAGTTGCAGTGATGGCAGTAATAGTAGCAGAAGGGTTGGTGATTGGAAGAATATTATTGGCTCCATCTTCAGGGCTGTTGAGGTGATCAAACGCAAGGATAATTTGTATGCAAAATATAAATTTCAACCTCTGAAATTAAAGGACCTAAATGTGAATCCTGGCTCCACCATTGATCACACAGCTGATCTGGAATATACTCAATCTCTCCAGACATCCCTTTTCACACCATTAAATCAGGTAAAACCTATTTATTAATGAGGTAACCTATTATTAATGAGGTAGAACCCAACTCTTTGGGTTGTTAAGAAAAAGAAAAATGGTTAACACTCATGGAATACTTATTAGTATGTGTCAGGGACTATTCTAAGCCCTTTTTCTGCTTTTACTTGTTTAATATGTATGAAAGTCCTAGAGATTAAGTAATATCGTTATCCTTGTTTTTTAAAAAAAATAAAGAATCTCTGGCATAGATGGGAAAGTCACTTACTCCTTGTCAGGGAGTTAGTAAAAGATGGAGCCAGGACTCAAACTTGAGCAGAAAAGCAGAGATGAAAAATAAAAGATATTTGTTCATTATACATTGTATTATCTGACTTTATTATTCCTGCCCAGGCTTTGTTGTGGGTTTCTTCTTAAACCCTGAGAAAGAGTGAACACATTTCTACAAGGACTAGAATCTTATCAGGGAGTATTTGGAGACCTGCCCAACTCTGAGAACATTATGCTGGCATAAGCACCTCTTAGGATTTTCTTTCTATGCCCACATTCCTTGTGGTAGACACTAGTGCTGTCTCACTCCTGAGCACATAGCTTTGGCTCCCTTGTGGGGAAGTTGGGACATGTCACTAGTTCTAGTCAATAAGGTATGGATATAAATTATATGTATTGCTCTTGGATTCAGAGCACTTAATTGCTGGTAGACTCTTCTGAGCTTAGCTTCCCTTCCTTTGACATGGTGACCAGCAATGGTTGTGAGGCTGCCTGCATTGCCTGGGTTCCTGAGTGACTGCAATGACCAGAACAGTCCCTCTGATTCACAATAGACACGCAGCTTAAATGAGAAGTAGTGTTGATTTAAGCCATTGACATTTTGGGTTTGTCTGTTACTACAACATAACTTGGTCATTTCCATCCCCTCTCACCCGCCGACTAACGCATTCATCCTATTAACTTTAACCTTCTTCTTCCTAGGAGCCTTCCAAGTTTGATCATACTCTCAACCCCTGAAGTCTTCTTTCTCTTTCTGTTACTTTCCTACCTTCAATTTTGTCTTTCTGTCCTATAAAACTCCTTTCTGCAGTCCTGCTCACCTTGGGGTGTCTCTATGGGGTAACCTAAGTATAAATGAATTTAGGGGCAGAGTCACTTTATCTACCCTCTGCTCTGTTTCAGATTATGATCAGAATGTGGAGTCAATTCTAGGTCCTGCTTATGAAATTCACCCACTAAAGCCTGGTTTCTGAAGACTTAGGTGCAGTCTGGGTCACTGCAAGCAAATCATGCACTTCAGACCTTATCTTCTCGATGATAAGATTGTGTCGATCCATGACTGAATGGAGAATGTCCATTTAACAAGGACAAAAGAAGCTGATTTGTTCCTAAAGGGCCTTGAAAATTTACTCCACTAGCATGAAATGGGTCAATAAAAACAAGAAATGAAATTGAGGTCAGAGACTTTCTCTGGAAGAGATAGTAAATAGAATCTTAGGTATCCTCCATCCTTCCATCCCCACAGTGCTGCTGCAGATTCATCAGTAAAGGTGCTGATTAATAGCCAGAGGAAATGTGTTCATTACTGAGTGGGGCTCCAGGGAACACTGTCCCCCTTTCCTGGGGAGGAAACAAGGAGCTGTGGGGAAATCTTGCAGGCCAGGCTGCACCCTTAACAGGAAAGATCATTTGCTTTAATTCCTAATTCTATACTTGGAGCTAACATCCCAGGTCTATGTTTACTGATTTTGCAGGAAGATTTGGTTGGATTATAAGTATTTTAAGAGCAGGGAGTAGGTCTCATTCAAAATTATATCTCAGTGCCTAACACAGTCCATGACACATAGTAAATGCTTATGAGTTTTGATGAATGACTGGATGGATCTATTGATACACAGAACAAGTTTCTCTCTTCATCTCTCTCTCACACACACACACACACACACACACACACACACATACACACACACCCCACACACGTTCCAATTCATTAGCTGCATTCCTTATAAAATTATATATATTCTTTCTTGTTTACAAATGTATCCATTGCATTTTCCACAGTGCCCTACTAAGAGTACTCTGGTAAGTGTTTGTGGGATTAATGATCTAGCCATCATTTACTATATGTTAATATGTAAGGAGAAGAGAACATTGGAATGGAAGACAGGCCACACATATAGTTAATTAAACACTTATTGAGTGTTTGCTATGTGACTGTTCATGTGCTAATTAACAAACATGAGGATATGAACAAGGCAAGACTCCATTCTCATTTTCATAAGGAACACAGGCCTTCTCGCAAAGGATCTCAAGCGCAGTGTAAGTAAAAAAAAAAAAAAAAAAAAAAAGTGTGGGTGCAAATGATAAAGAGAGGCAATCTCACCCAGAAGAGAGAGGGAGAGGAAATGATGACCTCTTAAAGTGACAACCCTTGATCTGACCATTGAATGGATGCGTCAGAATTTGTCATCTGGCTGCATCAGAGAATGAGTATTCTGGGCAGAGGGAAAGAAACTGGAACATGTTGTAGTTCACCACGTACTCCAATATTTATTTTAACATTTGACCTTTCCAATAACCCTGGGAATATAAATAGGACAGAGGTTGCGTTCCACCCTGAAAATCTTCAGGAGAGGCAAAGTGAGAACTTCAGCTTCCTGCACCTTAACAGGCTTCACTCTTCAGTGTGGTTTGTTTCATCCTTTGAAGCTCAGATCAAGTCTCACCACTTCCAAGAAGACTTCAGATTCATTTAGCAAAGGTTTCTACTGCCCTGTGAGCTCAGAGTCTGTGTCTCAAGCAAACTGCGTGATATCACGGAAGTTATTTTTATTTTTCATCTCTTGAAACTCTATTTTAATCAATAACATAGCACATAGCACAAAGTTCGGCATAGTTACTCAACAAATGCTTATTGAATCTGAACTTTAAATATTTCAATGAAGATAATAAAACCCATTTATTTGCTTCTGTGAAAGGATATGGTGAGGTTCACATGACGTATGCATGTGAAAGACATTGCTTGGAAAACTATTAGCTTTATGCTTTATAAACTGTACCTTTATGCTGAACTCTAAAAGCATAAAGACTAGGGGCTCTGGAGCCAGAATGTGGGAGTTTGAATCCCGTTTCCACTACTTGCCAGCTAGGGGAACTTCGGCAAGTTCATTAACTTCTCAGCTCCATTTTGTTGTTGTTGCTGCTGCTGAAATTATTTTTTTCTCATCTATGAAATGTTATTAAAATAAAATGAGTCAACAAAGGTAAAACACTTAGAACAGTGAGTGGCACGTAATAAGCACAGACGAGTGTTAAATATTATAATTGTTACTACATGTTGCTTCCATTCCTTAATACAGACTTCTTAGGATTAATAATAATAATATTACTTTAAGCCTCCTTCCCATGCTTATCTCAATTATTAATGAAAATGGCAGCCTGAGATCAGGGACTCTGTCAGAAAATTCTAACTCATGGTTCATGGTCCCTGGGTCATAGTCACCAGCCTGCATGCTGTAAGAATCAAGGCTGGTGAATCATCTAAGCTGCAGGCACTCTGCTCCTCTGAGCCCTCTGCCCTCCTCCTTGGCTGGAGGACGTTGTGGGGTTATCTGCTTTTTCTCCAGTAATGCTGGCAATACAGGCTTTTCTGATGCTAAAAATATGCAGCTCAAGATTCCAGGTGAACCAGATGCATTGATTTTCAACCTGGACAAAGATGAGAGGGAGGGAAAATAGAATTCAGAAACTTCTGCTTGGATTGAGGTAGGGGGGTGGGGTACTGGACTTACACTTTTATTAAAAATAATAAAAAAATCTATTGGCATTTCTAACTAGTTTGATTAACCATTGTTAAAGTAGAATCACTAGCAATGTCTTTTTGATAGGCAGAGATAAAGAATTTCTCACTATGAGAGACAGAGCCTTTGACATCATCAAAGAGTTTACCATTCCTCAACTTGACCTTTATCTCTTTGGGTTTCTTCTCTGATGATTTCTGGTCCATGAAGTTTACAGAGGCCTGCAATCCAAAAATATCCAGAATCCTCTCTTCAAGAGACTTCCATGAATTATGACTTCTGAATTAAAACTATACATGTAATATTTCTCCAACAATGACATGTCACTTGAGTAGCACTTTGTTCTAATCTGCATGTTTTACAGATGCCATACAGATGCATATCTGTATAAGGATGGCAGAGACTTAGGAAACAAAAATACTACAAAGGAAATGTTATAATGCTTGGCATATTTAGTCAATAAAAAAGATAAAAAGTTATATATGTTGTACATATAACATATATATACACAACAATATATTGTATAATCTTGATAACTTCCCAATGTTAAGAATCAACATCTATTGAGCATTTTGTCCAGGCAACAGCCTAGATGCTTTCTATAAATCGCTTCACATAATCCATACCAACAAGATGATGACAAAGAAAGCAAGAGCTCCATTTTACACATGACGATATGGAGACTCAGAAGGATAAATCAGCTGCCTAAAATCACACAGGAAATGAAGAAGGAAAGATTAGGCCAAGTCTCCAAAGCCAATGCTCTGTCTACTTAAAGAAGCACTCTCTTTCAGGCCAGGGAGAACCAGGCTTTCAGTTCAGAGGACAGTACAGTGCAGTCTGCCCGAGTGGGGTCCCCGATCTGCAACACCATCATCACCTGGGAACTTGTTAGAAATATAAATCCTGGAGCCCACCCCAGACATACTGAATGAGAAACTCTGGAGGTGGAACCCAGCAATCTGGATCTTAACAAGCCCTTGGAGTGATTCTGATCACTATTGTGGTTTCAGTAACATTGGTGAAGAAAGTGAACCTCACTGAGGCAGAGTAAATTGCCCACATTCCCAGAACAGAGCCAGGTTTGGAAGTGAGGTTTCTCATCCCTTAAACGTTTAATGTTGCATGAGGTTGTTTCTCAAATAGAAAAAATTCTGCAGTGCCTAAGCTTTAGTTTTCTTAGCTGTCAGAAACAGTATACTATTGTGGTCAAAGGTGAAGTTTCTAGATATCAACAGCATCTCTCCTATTTACTTGCTATGTGCTTTAGGCTATTTATTAATATCTTTGTGCTTATAGTTTCTTATCTGCTAAATGCTTATGCAGGCTGCTATGACAATCAAAGAAAAACTGCATGTTAAATGTTTTTGTACAATGCCTGCCACATAATAGACATTCAGTAAATAGATAATTTATCATTGATATGAATACCTCATTCTTTCTGTCTAGATAGAGAATATCCTTATCCTGTTCCTGGAGCATAGCAGGTACACAATAAATGCTCACCTTTTTGTTCTTTTCCTAGTAGAGACTTCTTTAGTCCCCTTTAACAGGCTATATATCTACCAAACTGGTCTTTCACCTTCTGAATTTTCTTACTGCAGCCAACTCCTCTAATATCAAGCAACAAAAATGGATCCTGGGGAAATCAACTGCAAAGTCATTACAATAAAAGAGTTAGCTCTAGTCAACTTTTGCATTGAACTCTTACTAAGAGAGCCTGCTCCATAGAGGAGTCGGCCTGCAGCCGTTTCTCTTAAAACCTCAGCTTATTAACTATTTCCCCCAAAGATGCACCCAGTCTTCTCCTCCTTGCTCCTCACATACCCTCTTTCTAAATAGAGCTTCTAAAATTCTTTTCCTTTTGCTGTAGCTTTGAAGAGAGTCACTGCATCCCACTTGGTAAAATAACAACTTAATACTATGCTTAATTATTTTTGAACCAACAACAATATTTTGCTTAATACGGTAATTGCATTTTCCATTTTGCTAGAAAATTGAAAGCTGAGGAGCATTGGAACTTGTCACATCAGTATACCTACCAGAAAAGCAACAGACACACAACTGAAGGCTGTGGCTTCATTGGCAATCACCTGTAATACCTCAAACTCTGAGAAACAGGTTTTGAGGACTCTGAACCCAGTGCAAGAGAAAAAATTCTTTGTATGTATAATTTGATTGGTAAAGTAAATAAGTAAGTAAAGCTAGACAGGCATGGATTCTACACAAGGATTTAACAGATGCTAATACATAATCTTATAATGAAATTGCAACACTTCTCCTAAGTCTTAGCATACCTGTCTCTGAAATGAGAAGAAGAATCATGTACACGCTATTGGTCATTGAGAGGTTTAACAGATACCACCAAAGGTAATGGCTAACACTTAGCAGGTGTTCAATAAAAACAAACCTTCCTTGTGGTCTGAAAAAGAAAATGTCTGAGAGAAATCGATTTCAACACTTAATAAACAACCACAAGTAAAACAAACAAAAATGGGAGAACAATTCCTCCAGGCTTTGTGTAGAGGAAGCCAAGCTCAAAATAATTAAAGTGAAGTCATTCTGGTGCTTCTCCCATCTGTGTTTATCACTCAGTTCATTGTCACACTTCTCCTGCATTGTCTCTATACTTTTTGTCACCTACACATGGCAGATAGCGCCTATGACAAATTGCTGTTTCCATGAATCACAGGGCTGTTAATCCTCACCCTGTCTCCTTAAAACACATTGCTGCATTTCGCATGATGCTGTGCCTTCTTTACAAATCTTTTAGTTGCCTAGTTACTGCGTAATATTGATAATACCTGCTCCACGCCTATTTACCTTGCTCTTCTCTGCAGCCTGGAGGGTCTCCAAAGCACCCTGTGGGCGTGCTTCTGCCTTCAAACTGCTCTCTGTGGTTTCTCTTCCTCTAGTTTCCTCTTTCCAGGCTTCTATTTCTCCACTCCCTTAAAAATGTCATGCAAATGTTTCAAAAGATAGGCTCCAGCTTTTTCTGTTCTTGATACTCAAAACATGTCAAGCCATGCCCCATTATGAAGGCCAAAGCAGTTTGAGCTCTATGGATGTGTCACAAATTGGGAACAAAGAAGTTTATAATCTTGGTAGTCTCATAGTCTTTTTTTTGTTTTTTAAAGTTTTACTTTTCCGCTCTAAAAACGAATCTAATCATTATTTAAAAATTGAAAAAAAATCCTGAAAATAAGAAAAGGAAGAAAACATAATATACATAATAATGGCACCTAAAGGTAACCACTTTGAATGTCATCACATATTCGTTACAAGTAGAATAGATTCTTTCAAGTTTGGCTTTTATAATAATATGATAATACTTATTTGTAATTTTATATTCTGATTCTTTTAATTTATCCTTTCCATGTACCAGCTCTCCTTATTACACTATCTTCATAAACATAACTGAAATGGCTGCATATTATTCCCCTGATGAGAGGTATCAACTTCCTTAAGTATTCCCTTAATTTTTACATCTCTAGGTTTGTTTTTCAATTTCTTATTATAACAAGTAATTCTGTGATTGGCCACTTTGCCAATAAAGCTTCCATTCCAGCAGGAGGCAACAGATTACAAATAGGAAACATAAAATAAATAAATAAGTAAATAAATAAATAAATAAATACATGGCATATTACATTAGGAATTAAGGAGATAGGAAGTAACAATGGGCCAATGGTCATTTTAAAATAGTGGTCAGGGTAGGCCTCGCTAAAAACAAAGACTGAAAGGAGATATTCTCGCTGAGAACAAAAGACTAAAAGGATATAGCCATGCATAAATGTAGGGAAGATCCATCCAGGAAGGAGGAATACAGAATGCAAAGGCTTTGAGGTAGAAGAATTAGAATGTGAAGACAAACATAATTTAAGATAATTGTGCAAAGTCACATAGATAGAAGGTCTTGACAAAATAGTTTTAGGACCTAGATTGCTAGGATTCCATGTAGTGTGTCTAAGTTTTCAAACCTGAAAGCATCAGATGATAGAGCAAAACCAAGAAGACCATAATATTCCCCTTAGGGCAACTCAACTTTACACAAGATTTTCTGATTATAAGTCCCTGACCTCCCTTTTCTTATAGCATTTACTTTAGGAAACTTTCAATTGTTATTCTTTCTCTACCCCTTTGGGATGTAAATCTTCTCCCAGCCTCTTGCAAGATTTGCAATCTAGAAAGGACTTTCTCAAGGACCTGGGAGTCATTCTTTAAAATACTGTCAAAGGAGATAATGCCTCTATCTCCCAATGGCTGTGGGTAGGGAGGAGCCTAACTTTATAAGCATCAATTAGCAAGCACAGATGGCCAACCTCCCCACTAACATCATCCAGTACCTTTCCACTAGCTTAAATTGGCTCTTAAAAATACTCCGCCTTTTGTTTCAGTGAAGTTTCATCTCCCCTATTGCAAGTCTTAACCTCTATTGCAATAGTCTTGAATAAAGGCTTCCCTGCCTGTGTAACTCAATCTGGTGCAATCTTTCTTTGACAAGTGTAGTCTAACATTTCTCAAAATGTCTTCCTTGGAACTCTGGTCCTCAGTATAAGTCTGCAAGTGTTCATCTTAACAATCATAACACACACCAAATTATTTAAGGCTATATCCCCATAGTTCCACAGCTGCATAGACCCAAAACCTAAGAAGCATTTTTTCACTTTTTCCTCCCATTTCACCTTCCATCAGCAAATCCTATTGTCTCTACTTCCATAAGATATCCGAGATCTAGACCTCTTCACTTTTACCTTAACCACTGGCCATACCATCATTATCACCTCCCACTTGGAATATTGCAGTGGCTTCCTAACTGATTCCTGCTTGTTTGTCCTTTTTATGGTTTATCTCCATAGAGTAGGAAGGAATCTTTTTTTTTGAGACAGAGTCTCGGTCTCTCGCCCAGGCTGGAGTGCAGTGGTTCGATCTCAGCTCACTGCAACCTCCGCCTCCCCAGGTTCAAGTGATTCTCCCTGCCTCAGCCACCTGAGTAGTTGGGATTACAGGTGCCCACCACCACACCCAGCTAATTTTTGTGGGGTTTTTTTTGTATTTTTTTTAGTAGAGACGAGTTTTCAACATGTTGGCCAGGCTGGTCTCGAACTCCTGACCTCAGGTGATCCATCCGCCTTGGCCTCCCAAAGTGAGGAAGGAATCTTTTAAAAGTAATAATGCACTCTCCTCCACCCCAGAAGCCTCCTGTGGCTTTCTATCACACTTTCAATAAACTCCAAAGTCTGTCATTGCTCCAAATATCCTACCTTGCTTCTCTGATCTCGTCTTTCATCACTCATGTTCTTATTCATTCCATCCCAGCCATTTGACCAACAATGCTCCCACTCCGGGGAGCTGTGCACCTTGCTGTTGCTACTGCATCGAACTTCTGTATGGTTTCTGTTCTCACTGTGTAGCTACCTGCTGATATATCTCTTCCTCTTTCCATCTGATTGTCCCATCTGAAAGAGTAAGTCTTGGCATTCTCTATCATTGCAGTTTGCTTTCATAACACATAACAGGACCTGACACTATGGGTTTATTTTATTATTGTCTAATTCCCCCACACATACAAACACTCGAATGTGCCATTTTGTTCACTGCTGCATTTTTGTAGCCTGACAGGTCCTGGTATAAACAATAAGTACTAAGAGAAGGAGGGAATAAGTCAAAGATATTAAGAAGTCTTGCAGCACACACAAAATAATTGCTCAACTTTTTTAACCCACTATTTCCCAAACTTACTGACCACCAAATCCTTTTCCATGCAACATCTCTTAATTTGGAACCCAATCGGAAAGCACTGGTAGGGCACATTAAAGATGGCTGCAAAACCTTGATTCTTCTCTGATCAAGAGATAGGATCTATGTTCCCTCTACCTGAATCCATGAAGCCTCTGTGACTGCTTTGTATAATAAAGTGTGGTGGAAATGGTGCTGTACCAGTTTACTGACACAGCCTTGGCAGCATTTGCCTTTCATATTGGAGCCCTGAGCTGCCACAGAAGAAGTCTCATTACCCTGGCAATGTCATGCAGAAGAGGCCATTCATAGACATTCCAGTGCACAGTCTCAGCAGAACCCAGCCTTCTCACCATCTCCCCAAGGCACTGGATACATGAGAGAGGGTTCTCTAGATTCTCCACCACTCAATCCACCAGCTAAATAAATGGAGTCATGCCTGTAATCCCAGCACTTTGGGAGGCTGAGGGGGGCAGATCACCTGAGGTAAGGAGTTCCAGACCAGCCTGGCCAACACGGTGAAACTCCGTCTCTACTAAAAACACAAAAATCAGCCAGGTGTGGTGGTGGGCGCCTGTAATCCCAGCTACTCGGGAGGCTGAGGCAGGAGAATCGCTTGAACCCGGGAGGCGGAGGTTGCTGTGAGCTGAGATTGCGCCACTGTACTCCAGCCTGGGCAACAGAATGAGAGAAAGAGAGAAATAAAGAAAGAAAGAAGGAAGGAAGGAAGGAAGGAAGGAAGGAAGGAAGGAAGGAAGGAAGGAAGGAAGGAAGAGAAAGAAAGAAAGAAAGAAAGAAAGAAAGAAAGAAAGAAAGAAAGAAAGAAAGGAAAGAAAGAAAGAAAGAAAGAAAGAAAGAAAGAGAAAGAAAGAAAGAAAGAAAGAAAGGAAAGAAAGAAATTAAGTGACCTCTGTTGACATCAGATGGAACAGAGAATCTCCCACTGAACCCCGCCCAACTTCCTGACCCACAAAATCAGAAGACGAAATAAAATGATTGCAGTTTTCAAAACAACTTAAACAAGTCTGTCTCTTGGGAGTTTTGTTATGCAGCCAACAGATAATCGGAACACTGATGAAATTCTCTCTCTTCATTTTTTTCAAATGGGGAAACAAAGGCCTAGAGAGGAGACTGATCCTGTTCCATGATCTCTTAGTTCATGGTAGAACTGGAATAAGAAAACACATCTCCTGTTTCTTGTCTAGGCTTCTTCTTGTGGACAAAGAACTTTAGGTGTTGCTGTGAATCCCAGTTGCCTCTTCTCTCACATGGGCTTTCCCGTTCAGATTAAACTGGCATTATTAAACACATTCTGAGTGTCAAACCACAGGGCTAGGAATGTTTACATACTCATTTCATTTAGTCTCTCCAGCCAGGGGAGTTCTTTGAGAATGCAGACTGTGCCGACGAGCAAAGAGGGATGTCACCAAGGCTATAAAATGAAAGGCAAGTCCAGCCAGAGTGCAAATTTACCAGAATATATTTCATTCTCCTGGCTGTGAGGCCTCAAGCTTTTGAATGAATATGTGCTTAACTATTTATAATTGACCTTTGCACAAAGGAACATGAAATTTTTATAGCCCAAAGCTTCATTTATTAACTTTACTGGAGTGTAAAATATTGCTATTTGCCATAAATTTATACCAGGACAAACAATATATATGCTAATTAGTAGTCTTGCCATCATCTGCACGCTGTTGTGTTGGCTGGTCATTTCCAACAGGCAAAATAGCAGAATTCAATCGACAAATGACAACTGAATCGCTTGATACTTGCTGTTTACACAGTGAAGTCTGGAGTGGTGAATTAATGGTGTTCATTATAACGAGTCCATTTCCTTTTCATTTCCTTTATAAATTAGTCCAGGTAACACGCTGAGTTCCTTCGAGAATGGCTCCTTGGGAACCTGCTGGGAAACACCTGCAAAACCCACAACTCGGCAGAATCCCTCCAGCTCTCACCCTGCAGTTTTCATGTTGCTTCTGGAGTTTCAAAAATGTACTGATGCTTCAGGCTTGAAAGGGGCCTCAGAGATCATCTCTACTTGTTTGACAGAGGAGATTGAGGCTGAGGGAGGTTAAGCAAGTTGCTCAAATTCACACAGAAAGGTAGAGATGGAGTCAGGACTCAAGAGTAAATGTCAATGAAAAGCTGAGCAGGCCTTTAGCAATCACCTTGTCCTACTCATTAAAAATATGTAGAAAACTGAGGATCAGAGAGGACAAGTTTAAATGTTATATACTTTGCGAAGCCTGGTACCGCTAAGCAGAACCTGTAGCTTCATTCCACCTATTTATGCAGTAATCTATTTGATTGATGTTTAATGATGAGTACCTACTATGTGCTAGGTATTGGAGATAAAATTGTTATTCAAGAACACATATCCCCTTCCCTTATGGAGTTTGAAGTATAGACGGAGAGGCATATATGAAACAAATGGCACATATTGATATAATAGCAAGACGTGGTAGACACTAAGAGTGTTATGAGGATGACAACAAGGAATGTAATCTAGTCTAGGGGGCTCAATATTACATGTGAGCTGGGATCTAAATGATAAAGGGATTGACAGATGATGTAGGTTGAGGAGTTGGGTAAAAGCATATTCTAGACAGAGGAAATGTCACATGCAAGAATCCTGAAGTAGGAGGAAGCTTGGTCCATTATAAGAAGGAGCAAGAAGAGCATGAGATGAGTCTACTTAGGTGGTCCCAGTTTATATTATACTGGACATTGTGGGTTGCAGTTCTTTATACTAAGCCATATAGAGAACAACAACAATAACAAAAAACACTTTAAGGGACATGGAAATGATATGCAAAACTAAAACATCTTGTTTGTCTCCATTGTAGAACATATTATATTGAATTGCAGTGTTGCTTTCATGGTGGGATCCTTAACTGTGAAATGAGGACTGAAATCATGTCTATTTCTACTTTATGTTCATGGCACCTAGCTCAGCTTTTGGTACGTGAGGAACACTTGAACAATGCCTGCTGCATGAAAAGACAGTTATTCCAACGTCATCCACAAAATACTGGCAGAGAAATGCCTACTGTTTCATCCTTATATCACATGGATCATTCCTTCTTTTCTCCGTTATAAGTGTGAAGATGCAAAACGTGCCAAAGCCACCCCCTCTTCATCTTTGCTGACACAATCTATTTCTGAGAGCAAATTCTCAGCTCCATGTTCCCCCAGTGATATATAGGCTGAAGCCTTCTGAGATTTTCCAGAAAGGCTCTTGTTCCTCAATAAAAGTGGCAAATGAAATTGGTATATCTCCTCAGCCTTTTTACCTTGAATTCAGATGCAATGACTGGAGCTGCAACAACTGTCTTGTGATCATGAGTGGACAAACATTAAAAAAATGGCAAAAGGAACTAGTAATCTATAGACATCAATCCCAATATTCTCGAGCTGTTAAAGCAATTCTTCACTCTGAACCCTTATTTTACAAGATAAAATAAACTCCTACTGGTTTTAGCCACTTTAGTTAGATGTTTTTGTTATTTGCAGCCAATCACAGCCCCAACTGGTACAAAGCTCAAATATAGCACCAGTCACGTAATATAAACTTAATAAATATTCATGCTCTTCCCAATTCAGTCACCTGCTTTTCATCAGTAAATGTCTTTTTCTTATATATTTCTCTACTGTTTCTTCTCTTTATTTGGTTTATTATGTGTATTCTAATATGAGACAGAGAGAGAGAGAGAGAGAGAGAGAGAGAGATTGCAATTATCCTGAGAAGCTTAAAGTTCTGTTGGAAGATGAGACACAGATACCATAAAATAATAACTTCATATCTCATCTTGTTGGGATACAGGGACAAGATCTGTGTTCCAAATCCTATTATGCTATTAACAGTAGCATAATTCTGGAATGTCACTTCATCATTTGGACCTTTATTAACTCTTTTGCAAAGTGAGGTTTTGATCATCTTTAATTTAGTGCTTCTCAAAAGATATTTCACAAACCACCACCATCTAAATCACTGATGAAGCTTGTTAAATGCAGATTCCTGGTCCCCACCTGAGACTAAGTCAGAGTCTCTTGGGCTGAAGACTAATGATTGGCAAAATAAACATGCTCCTGGAGTTGTTATAGCACTGAAGTTTGAGAACCATCGTTAAGTTCTATTCTTGTTTTAGCATTCTTTGATTCACTTGGAATTGAATTCACACGGTAGATTTTACATTGTACAGATAATATAGCAATTTGATGTTTTAAAGCTTTGTTTTAATTGATTTAAGAAGATTAACAGATAAGGCCCTAATGCAGCTGGAGATTCCAGCGCCTTCTAAACCAGAACTTAAGTTTAGTGACAATTGTTGGCTTAAATTATAAGAACCTCCACAGTATCTGCTGCTGGAGCTGTTCGGTGTTGTCAAAATACCCTCTGTGCATATGTGTCAGTGTGGATGTGTGTTTGGACACATGCATGCCTGTGTATAAATATATGCATGACCACATATGGATGTACACGTGGACATGTGTATGCCTATGTGCTTAGGCATATACTAATGTGTGCACATAGGGACTTACTGTATATCTCTATATGTAGCTATCTGTGTTTATAGAGGCAGATATTTTTACACATCTGCACTTGTACTTTCACATAAGAATACACATATGTATGTAGATTTTTTTTTTTTTTTTTTTTTGAAACGGAGTCTTGCTCTGTCACCCAGGCTGGAGTGCTGGAGTGCAGTGGCGCTATCTCGGCTCACTGCAACTTCCGCCTCCTGGGTTCACACCATTCTCCTGCCTCAGCCTCCCGAGTAGCTGGGACTATAGGTGCCTGCCACCACGCCTGGCTAATATTTTTGTATTTTTAGTAGAGACGGGTTTTCACTGTATTAGCCAGGATGGTCTTGATCTCCTGACCTCGTGATCTGCCCGCCTCAGCCTCCCAAAGTGCTGGGATTACAGGCATGAGCCACCGCGCCTGGCCAGATGTAGCTCTTTTTTACATCATACTCACAATTCAATTGCAGGTTGAGTTGTGAGTAGAAAACAATAATCTTTATATAGTAGTCCTTGAAGTGTTGGGAAATAGAAGAAACTGGATGGTTTGCAGAGGTTAGACTCATGATGTTAATTTCATTTAGTTTCTTGAAATGTCTTTTTGTAAAGATAGTTTTTGATAACACAGGAGAGAACACTAGACGTCTGGTACTAGCACTATGGATAATACATTGAATGGTCTTGGGCAAATCGGGCCATCTCCATGACTCTCAGTTTTTTTTTTTCTATAGTCTCAGAGCTCTTTGTTCAAACCTATGTGACAATACTTAGAGTTTGTGTTTACCTCTTTTTCTTAAAATATTAATGTCCCTTTGATAATAGGAACTATTCAGCTCCAATGTCTATAAGAGAGTCTAGCATACCATGATGGTGGTGGTGATGAAGATGATCATGATGGTGACAATGGGAGCTAATATTTATTGAGTTCCATGTTGTAACAGCACTTTCAAGCACTTTACATGGATCACTTCATTTAATTTTCACAACAAACCTTCAAGTAAGTAGTAGCATTTTCCCCATTTTAGAAAGACATGGCTCAGAGAAATCAATTAACCTGCACAGTGCTAGCAGGCTAGGAATTAACATACCTTGAATCCAAATCTATGCCTGTCTGTCTCTGAGTGACCTTAATGGATCACCGTGAGATACTGCTCAGTAAAGAGTTATTGAATAGTACAGTAATAGAATAATATTTAGTAGAATGAAATGCTTATGGGAGGCTCTTCACAAAGAACCTCATTTACAGAGAATAGTTTAGTTAATGGGAGAAGCTCGTTTAGGATCAAATCCAGAAAGACACATTTTAAAAGTAAAAGTGATCACAAAGCTCATCAGACCCAATGACTTTTTTATATATTAAGGAATTTGAAGCCTAAGGAGGTAAAGTGACTCACTCAAAGTGATACAATTGTAGTTATGTAGTAACAATAACACTAGTATCTTCTGTTCTTAATTCCCAGTCCAAGCCTCTTTTCTACTATACCTGAGACTTTGCATCATTTCCTCCTGTTATGCAAAAAGACAAAACAAATTCCAGGTTACCTTGCAGGGGGGCCCAGCCTTTTGGCTTCCCTGGGCCACACTGAAAGAAGAAGAATTATCTTGGGCTGCACATAAAATACACTCACACTAACAACAGCTGATGAGCCAAAAAAATTTCAAAAAAAAATCTCCTAATGTTTTAAGAAAGTTTATGAATTTGTATTGGGCCATACTCAAAACCATCCTGGGCTGCATGGGACCTGCAGACTGTGGGTTAGACAAGGTTGCTTATGGTATCTATGACAATGAAGAAAATCAGTGGAAATTTCCTCTACGTAAACACAAGTTACAATTATCATTGTTATTGTCATAGTTATGCTGCTTATGCCTCTGATCTCTGTCTGCTCTTAGAGTCAACGGACAGTCACCAGGACAAGCAAATTAAACACTCGTAAGTGCCCATCATGACTCCATGTGAACCCAGGAGACAAAGCTCTCATGGGCCAATTGTCTCATTCTCCCAAAGTGCCTCATCTCATAATTAAAAATTAAACCGTTTTCCAATGAAATAATTTTGTTCATTCTTCTTGCTTCTGCTCCAGAGCCTGTGGCACCAGCTAAATTTCGAATTAAATAATTCAACTGCAATACATTTAAAACAGATCACATTTAGGGCTACACTCGCAATTGGCTGCAAAACCAGGCCAGTTGTACAAGATCCCTGTGGATGTCACCCACCAAGGATGTACAAGGCGTGGGATTCTGTTCATGAAATCTGGCTACCTCTCCCTTCCCTTTTTTCTCATTATCGGCTCTAGCATCACAAAATCTTTTTTTCCCCCTTATCCATTTTGTCTCATTTTTATCCCTTTGTTCTCTTTTTTCCTCCCTTTTGATTAAAAGCTTCCTTAAAAAAAAAAGGGAAAAACAGAATACTCCAGTTTGCTTTTCTGATGGGCTGTTCTCTATTTGCATTCAACACCTGCTCACTTGCTAGGACAATAGAGACACATTACAACTCTCTCCATGCAAGGGGGGTGTAGGTGGCAGGATGGATTGACTGACTGTGCTGAGTCAAATGCCTTCTTCTCCTGGGGCTGCCAGTTTTGATCTGGCTCAGGTTTCCAGGATTTCAGAATCATTATTTCACTTGACAGATGATATTGTAAAAACAGCTTGCCCTGCTAATAGTCTTTACCTGGGGAGTCAGCATGGCAGTGATGAGTGCTGTGGCCAAGTACCCCGGGCAGGCAGGGGGCATGGGTTTGATGTCCAGCTGTGTGATCTTGAGGGAGCCACTTAACCACCCTGCATCTCAGTTTCCTCAACTGAACTCTTCTTTGCTCAGACATAGTCATAGTTTTATCTGTTCCCAGGCTTACAAGTAACAGGGAAATTTAAACTGCACATGAACTTTAGGGAAGGTCCACCAGGATTACATGTTAATGAGGACAGCCAAACTAGAAACATCAACTGTTAGGAAGAGAACATGGATGATGTTTTCCCCACAAATCAAGTATTTGTTAAGTGAAGGAAATTCCTATTCTACTGCTAATTTACTTTCCATTTCTCTTTGCTTTCATTCTTTCTCTGTTTCAGAGGATGGGCAATCGCTTGCTGAGGTTGAGAGAAGGATCTAGGTGTGCTCATCAGGCATTTCCAGGCTGCCTTTTTTAGAGCTAACCTGTCCATAGGACCTGCATATCTCCATTATTCTATTGATAAGCTTTTAGAGGCAGTCTCTGCTCAGATCGAGGTGGGGGTCTCGGGGCACAGGGGTGCAGGGCTATCTACGACGGGCAGGTAAATTTAATTCAAGGGTGAGGTAAAGGAAGCCCCGAATGACTGCTCACCTGTTTTCCCATCCCAAAAGCTTTTGTTGGTAGTAAACCTGAAATGTTTGATCTTTATTTGTGTGCTTCTTGAATCTTATTACCAATAAGTTCTGAATATTGTAGAGAAAGAGGCAGTGTTACTCATTAGTCTTCTAAACTTTTTTTTTTATTGCAGATGCCTGAGGAAAGATGAAACATGCCTTAGAAAGAAGGAAAAGTTTGGCTCTTTGAAGCCCTGAAGAACCACTTAGGACCAGCTATGGGAGGGAAACATTCCCATGGGAGGGAAATAGTGGAGGGGAAATCTCTGGAGGTAGTGAGCTCTCCATCACAGGGTGTGTTCTCTTTCTGGTACCATTAATCACTACTATGCACTTTCAGGCACTGATTATTTTACATTGATGTGGAGATAGATGATATAATTGGGGAGCAGGTTTGGCAATATTCCTGGGTACTACTTGACAGGTGTAAGTCCTGCCGCTTTCTTCTACAAGGGCTTTCTCAGTGGCAGATGCCAGGATGGATGTGGTCTTGAATAATTAGTGATTGTGTTGGTCATTTGTGGCTGCATGTTTATAGAGAGAGAACACAAGTTTACCATGCCATGCTAAGGACATAGCAAATGCCTTTACTCCCTGTCAATGCACCTATGGGGATACACAACACACACACACACACATAAACATGCATATGCACACACACACACATATTCAAGGATGCCATTCATTTGTCCTATTTATTAAAATGTGCTTGAGAAACATAGTCATTTTGGAGCAAATACAAGGATAAAAAAAATAGAAAGCTATGAAAAGAAAGTGCAGAATCATTTCCCAGAGAGACTACCAAGTTATGGCACAGTTAGAACAATCGATCTAAGACAAACAGAAAAAATAGCAGACTAGGAACTCTACTGTGTGGCATGACTTCCGGAAGTGTGGAGGCCACCATGATTAGAGACTAAGGGAGGAGATCTTTGATCATCACATATTATTACAAAGTAGCTGATGCTTGTCAACCTACTTGCAGTAGCTTGTGCTTGATTCTGGGAGCTACTAATGATAAGCTTCTACTGATTTTACCTGTCATAACTGGCTCTAGTAGGACAGGATCTGGAAGCAAACGAGCCTGCCAGCCTCATAGGCATGGAGAGACCTGGGGCTCAACACTGGTCATTGAGAAGAGCCCCTTCTTCATTCCTCATTTTACCCTGGCCTCAGTGGTCACCAGCATGTGAGCATTAAAGTCACCCATGCATACGCCACATTCTTGTTTGTTTAAGTTGAATATTAATCAGCAATAGGGAGAACACAGGATCTACAGTCAGTGATTAAAGTTTAAGATCAGGTAGGTGGCGGCCGAGCACGGTGGCTCACACCTGTAATGCCAGCACTTTGGAAGGCCAAGGCAGGTGGATCACCTGACATCAGGAGTTTGAGACCAGCCTGGCCAACATGGTGAACCCCCGTCTCTACTGAAATACAAAAATGACCTGGGCATGGTGACATGAGCCTGTAATCCCAGCTCTTCTAGAGACTGAGGCACAAGAATTGCTTGAACCCCGGAGGCAGAGGTTGCAGTGAGGCAAGATCATGCCACTGCTCTCCAGCCTGGGCGACAAGAGCAAAATTCTGTCTCAAAAAAAAAAAAAAAGAGCAGGAGGTGGGAAACCAATTTATTAACAGATTCTCCATCTGAGGTGTTAAAACTGCCTGCTTTTCTTTGCAAGCTTCAAGTAGAATCTAGAAAAAGAAAGTGCAAAGAAATTTGAGGAAAGGCACAAAACGGAAAGTGTCCCTTTCCTGAACAAGGCTCTTTAGTTAATTTCCCATTCACCTAACTCACAGAATAGTGGAAAAGAGGCCCAGTTTCTATGGCTGAGGAGCTGTGCTTGAGAAAGCTTTATTGTTTCTAATGCTGTGCTTCTGGGTAATTTGCTTGCCTTCTGGTCCTCAGTTTTCTCATCCATTAAATGGGGGAGAGGGTCATAATAACAGCAATTTTTTCACTAGGTTGTAATTATTGGAACCAACTGATATGAAAGTATTATACAATATAATATACCAGCATTCCTACTGTTTCCCCAACTAGAGTTCTGTGAGATTTCTATGGTTAAGTAAAATACATGACATTAATATAAGAATGGCCCTGATGATACCTGATGTAAATAAACACAGAGTAAATATAAAGAAACAAAATTCTTGTTTAGCTTTTCAACCTAGTAGTTTTAACATCTGACTTTACCCTTGAATTCAGTCTCCCGGCGGTGCCACTTCATGTCCCATTTCATATGCTTTGAGGAATTCAAGGTTATGCAAAGAACTTCTGTTTTGGCAAAATGACTAAGCTTAGGGTAGGAGAGGGATTGACAGGCAAGTCAAGGAACGCATTGAAGATCATATGGTGCCACACCACCGCACGCCAAATGTTTTTGCTTGACAATTTTCTGAAAGTTTTGTCATGGATTAGATCAGGAAACCATTAAAAACATGGCAACAACCCTAGAAGTCAGGGTTCAGCGGAAACCTGGACAAGTTATTTTCCTTAAAAGGACCTCTATTTCCTCATCTGTGCTCTGAGGCAAATATCTAGGGTCAGTGTCAACCATATAGATCATCAGCATCAGAATTACTCAGGTTTAAAGACAGATTCCTGAGCCTCACCCAGACTTAGAATAGGAAGGGAATATTCTCGTCAGTAGTTTCCCCAATGGGAAATTTTATGCTCCTGAGTGTTTAAGCGGTTGTTGAGAATAATCTCCAAGCTATACCAACTCTAGCATCCTTAGCTTCCTTTACATTTAAGTATTTGAAGCAAGATGTCCACAGAAAAAATAAAAATAGAGATCAGGAGCCTCAGAAAAAAAGCATCTCCTCCCCATAGGGAAACGCATGGAAGATCAGCCAATACCACCTGTGCACTTGTCAGGACCCACAAGGAAAGCAAAGCAGAGTTGGCCTGTTATCTTGCTCTTCCATTGTAATTCTAGCAAGGTTCATGCACGCCTATGTAGATGACTCTCTGAACTGGCCCATCTGAAGTCAGGACTGTCGGAGTGAAATACAAAATATCACAGAGTTGATTTAATGGCCTTTAAAAGTCCCTCCTGAGCGGCTGTGGAGCTCCTTGTCTGTTTCCCTATGCACTGCTGTGCTCTTAAAGCTGTCACCATTAATCACTGCCCACCGTCCTGATAGCATTTGGTCACACATCAAGGGGACGGAAGTGGTTTCTGAAGGGTTCTGGTGTGTGATGTGGCCACCTTAACCCTAAACCACATCTTCCTTCATTTTCAGTGGTGGGTGTGGCATCTAGTTTCTATTAGACACCTCTCTGGAGGTGTCTGGAGGTAAATGCTGGCTTTACTTCTTTTAATTTTGAATATTTACTCCCCAAACTTCCTGGAGGCAGAATCTGAATATATTCCAAGTATTATTTGCTTCTGCCTGAGCCCTAGCATTAATTCACCTATCTACATCTGTGTATTTCTTGGACTTTGTTTTTCATGGCCATTATTATAGACTAATGCTGTCCAATAGGAACATAATGTGAGTCACAAAGGTGAATTATATATTAAATGTTAAATATTCTTGTAGCGCCATTTAAGAAAGCAAGAAGAAACAAGTGAAATTAACTCTTTAAAACATTTAATAGTATATTTTAACTCAATAGATTCAAAATATTATCATTGCAACATAGAATCAATAACAAATATTTATAAAATTTTGGTTTCTTTTTATTTTGGGACTAGGTCATTGAAATCTGAGATATATTTTATACTTATAGTATACATTAATTTTAATTAGTCACCTTTTGAGTAATTAATAACATGCATGGCTACCATATTGTACCGCAAAGTTTCAGAAATGAAAAGAGATAATTTGGCTGATTGATTACTTCACCCATTCATTCACACACATACTAAGCACTGACTAAAGAATAGACATATTTCTGGGCACTAAGCTACAGAGATAAAAGTCATCTGACTTTCCTGGAATTTATAGTCAATTAGGAGTGACAGGCAATAAAGAAGGAGAGGAATAAATGGACAAAATAATTTCAGGCTATAGTAAAGGATATCAAAGGAAAAAAAAGGTTGATATAATAGAGGGTAACCCAGGGAGAGGAGAGGGCTGGATTAGAACAAGTTATGAAGCAGAACCTCAGAACAAAAGACTGAATGGTAAAAGTTCATTCCCTTACCTTTTCATTGTTGAACAACGAACCATGTACCATCTTAGGACCTAGGTAGAATGAGTTGCTATATTAAATATTTAACTACATTTCTGGTGCATAAAGAAACACTAGACTATAGTGAATATTAGACTATCATCTCCAAGGAAGCAGGAAACGTATCCTCAGGGACTAGACAGATCTCACTCATAATACCTACTCAATATATATTGATGGTTGGACAAGTGAATAAAGAAATAGAAACCCCTCATGAACCTTGGGTTTGCAATGAAACATATAGCGGAAGGCTGAAAATGTTAACTCAATTTTTGTTTGTTTTTAGGATTGTGGGATCTGGATTCCTTAAGCAAGGACATGATCTCAATAGGCACTGTACCACTGCAGACGGATCTACCCACTGGTGCCGAGAAAAAAGATATTTTTATGCTCATCCTTCCTAAGACATATGAATAGAAGAACAGGCTCAGAAAAATGTGCTCTTAGTGCCGAGATAATTTTTGAAAATGCCAGGCCTTCCTTACATGAGCAATTTGCCAAGATATACAGAAATGAAATAAAATTAGAAATGTAACTTCTATAGCCATTGTATTTAAAATGAATAAGAGCTAATGTGGTGTGTGTGTGTGTGTGCACACGTGCAAGTGCACTGTTGTTTTAAGAAGTACAGTGTTTTATAAAACCATGGGAAGAACTTGCCTCAACAGATCAATATTTCCAAAACAGTAAAAGGTGATTCAGGAGAAGGGACACCCATCAGACTATATTTTTACTGCAGTCAAATCAGGCTCATTAAAGAAAAAGATACATTTAGAACTTTTATTTATTGTGTTTATTCTTTCTTTCTTTCTTTTTTTTTTTTTTTTTAGAGCTTCGCTGTTGTTGCCCAGACTGGAGTACAATGATGTGATCTTGGCTCACTGCAACCTCTGCCTTCCAGGTACAAGGGATTCTCCTGTCTCAGCTTCCCAAGTAGCTCAGATTACAGGCATGCACCACCATGCCCAGCTAATTTTTTTGTGTTTAGTAGAGATGGGGTTTCAACATGTTAGTCAGGCTGGTTGCGAACTCCTGAGCCCAGGTGATCCACCTGTGTGGGCCTCCCAAACTACTGGGATTACAGACATGCACCATTGCGCCCAGCCGTGTTTATTCATTTTTAACTTTTATTTACCTTTCTCTTTCCTTTGTGACTTTGATGTAGCCAGCTATAGTTCTGCCAATAATACAGTAATAGCTGTCACATATTTGCATGAATATGTCAGGCAATTTTCTACTTATTTTAAATGAATGATTTTGTTTGATACTCAAAACAGTCATTAATTTGGGAAGACTGGTATGGCATTTTAGAAATATAAAAACAAAGATTAGTGTTAGTGGGCAAACAAATATTTGCCCAAGATCCCTGGAGAGCAGTTCTCAAATTTTTGTATCATGATGTGTTTACATTCCTAAAAACTGGTGAGGACAACTGTATTACTTTTCTATTTCTGCTATAATAAATTACCATAGACTTAGTGTCTTAAAACAACAACATTGCCACAAGTCAGTGGCACATTTGTGTAGATCTATTTTTAGGTTCTCTATTCTATTCTATTGATCTATGTGTCCATCCCTGCACCATCTTAATTAATGTTGCTTATTATAATAAGCCTTAAGATCAGGTTGACTGATTACTTTCACTTTTTTCTTCTTTATCAGAAGTTTAAAATAATTGTCCATATCTACAAAACTACCTTGCAGTGACTTTGATAAGAATTGAGTTAAAACTGTGTATCAATTTGAAAGAATTGAAATCTTTATTAGGTTGAGTCTTCCAATTCATGTGCACCATCTCCACTTATTTAGCCCTTTGATTTCTTTATTCAGCGCTGGGTAATTTTCAGCAAATAAATCCTAAACATCTTTCTTTAGATTTATGCATATTTTGTTCTTTAAGTTATTGTAAGTGGTATTGTGTTATTAATTTTGGTGTCCACGTATTTATTGTTAATATAAGGAAATACAATTGATTTTCATGGTTACTTTGTATGCAGTGACCTTGCTCAACACACTTACTAGTTCTAGGAGTGTTTTGTTTTATTTTTAGGCTCCTTGGCATTTTCTATGTTTATCCTCTGTAAACACAATTTTTTTATTTATTCTTTTCTGATTTGTATGCCTTTTAGTTCATTTTCTTACTTTACTATACTGGCTAGAACTTCCAGCACTACGTTGAATAAGAGTGGTGATACTGGACACCCTTGCCTGGGACTTTGAGCCAGTCTGACCTCTGAGGAAGAGGTGGAAGCTTAGGGTTAAGCCCAATCACACTGCTAATGATTTAATAAATCATGCCTACATCATGAAACTCCAATAAAATCTCCGCCCTGTGAAGTTCAGAGGAGTTAGAGCAATGGTATTCAGTTTTTCATCATTTAGTAAACTGTTAGCTGTTGTTATTTTTTAATAGATACTCCTTTTCAAGTTGAGAAAGTTATTCTCTGTTTCAACTTTCTGGGAGATTGTACCATGAATGGGTGTTAAATTTTGTGAAGTTTTTTTTATGCAATAGATATAATTATGTATTTCTTTCTTTACCTTGATGAATAGTGGATCACTACTCTAAGACCAGCTGCTCTGTTTCAACCCTATCTGTTCTAACACCAACAGATATAGTACAATTCAGTTAAGACACTCACACCTGGAGTTAGTGTAGACCTCACAAAATGAAGGGCAAAATACACAACAAGACTGCCCTCACTTTAAATGCCAGCAAAAAGTTCAGTAGGTCCCAGGTCATCCACACTTCTGATGGGCTGGCTACAAATCTCAGGGTTACCATGACTCCTTCTGGTTCATAATTTGGTGGAATGACTCACAGAACTCAGGAAAACACTATAGTTACAATTCACATTTTATTATAAAGGATCTAACTCAGGAAGAGCTAAGTGAAAAAAACATATAGGGTTAGATTTGGAAGAGTGCTAAATGCAGATCTTCAGTGCCCTCTCCCTGAAATATCACATCACATCATCCTCCAAAGCACATTGATGTATTTACCAACAGGGAAACTCCTCTGAACTTCAGAGGCCAGAGATTTTATTGGAGTTTCATGATGTAGGCATGATTGATTAAATCATTAGCAGTGTGACTGGGCTTAACCTCAAGCCTCCACCTCTTCCTCAAAGAGGTCAGACTGGCTCAAAGTCCCAGCACTCTAATCATGCAGGTGGTCATCTTGGTGACCAGTTCCCATCCTGAGGCTACCTAGGGGCCCACCATGAGTCACTTCATTAGCAAAATGAGAGGGATAGCATAGTAATCCAAAGGGCTCAGGAATAAATAAAAGACACTTGTATCTCTCAGAAAATTCCAGGTGCATTAGAAGGAATTAAGTACAAAGACCAAATATTATTAATATACAATAATAATATTGATAGATTTTTCAAATATTAAACCAGCCTTGCATCGCTGGAATAAACTCCAGTTGGTTATGGCAATCCAAAGGACTCAGGAATAAAAAACACACTTAAATCACTCAGAAAATTCCAAGTGCATAGGAAGGAATTAAGTACAAAGACCAGAAAACTTATTATACAACAATAATATTGATTGATTTTCAAATATAAACCAGCCTGGCATCCCTGGAATAAACTCCACTTGGTTATGATACGAAATTATTTTTATATATTGCTTAATTTTATTTGCTAGTATTTTGCTAATGATTTTTGTGTCTATATTCACAATAAATATTGATCTACTATTTTGTTTTTTCCTTTAATACTGGATTTAAGTGACTTTTGCACGACGAAAATATTGGTTCATGAATGCATTGGAAGGTTTACTTTTATTTTCTTTAAGAAATTGTGTAGAATTTGTGTTATTAAGAAAAATTAACGCCAGGCGCAGTTGCTCACAACTGTAATCCCAGCATTTTGGGAGGCTGAGGCAGGTGGATCACCTGAGGTCAGGAGGTCAAGACTAGCCTGGACAACATGGTGAAACCCTGTCTCTACTAAAAATACAAAAATTAGCTGGGCATGGTGGTGCATGCTTGTAATCACAGCTGCTTGGAAGCTGAGACACAAGAATCGCTTGAACCTGGGAGGTGGAGGTTGCAGTGAGCTGAGATTGTGCCACTGCACCCTAGCCTGGGCAACAGAGCGAGACTCTGTCTCAAAAAAAAAAAAAAAATTATTGAGTAGTTTTTTTTTTTTTTTTTTTTGGTAAAACCATCAGCGTCTGGAGGAAATTTTTAAGTTATAAATTTGTTTATTAAAATGGTTATAAGAATATTCAAATAATTACTGATTTCATGTTGGGTAAGTTGTACCATTTCTATTTTTCTTGGAATTTGTCCATTTTTCTAACTTGTAAAATTTATATGTGTAGCACTGTTTGTAGTATTTATTTATTAATTGATATATGTTGGATCTTAATAATATCCTTGGTTTTATTCCTGATATTGGTAACTTGTAATTTCTTTACTATTTTTCCCAATTGATTTTAGATTTCTAATTTAATTGACTTCTGATCTCATCTTTATTATTTACTCTGCTTGCTTTGGGTTTAGTATCCTTCTTTTTTATAGAATCCTGATGTGGCAGCTTAAATTATTGTTTTAGCTGTGACCCACACATTTTGGTATGTTGTGTTTTCATTTTCATCCAGTTCAATGTATTTTTCAGTTTTATTGAAACTACCTCTTATGAGCCTGAATAGCCAAGTCAATTCCAGCACAAAAAACAAAGCTGGAGGCACCACGTTACCTGACTTCAAACTATACTGCACAGTACAGTAGCCAAAACAGTGTGGTACTGGCACAAAAACAGGCACATAGATCGATGGAACAGATTAGAGGGCCCAGAAACAAGGCTGCACACCTACGACCATCTGATTTTTAACAAAGCTGACAAAAGCAAGCAATGGGCAAAATAATCCTTATTCAATAATCGGTGCTGGGATAACTGGCTAGCAATATACAGAAGATTGAAATTGAACCCATTCCTTACACCATATACAAAAATGAACTCAAAATGGATTGAAGATTTAAATGTAAAACACAAAGCTATAAAAACCCTGGAAGATCAAATGAATGAAATGAAGCGAGAAGAGAAGTTTAGAGAAAAAAGAATAGAAAGAAACGAACAAAGCCTCCAAGAAATATGGGACTATGTGAAAAGACCAAATCTACGTCTGATTGGTGTACCTGAAAATGACAAGGCGAATGGAACCAAGTTGGAAAACACTCTGCAGGATATTATACAGGAGAACTTCCCCAATCTAGCAAGGCAGGCCAACATTCAAATTCAGGAAATTCAGAGAACGCCACAAAGATACTCCTTGAGAAGAGCAACTCCAAGACACATAATTGTCAGATTCACCAAAGCTGAAATGAAGGAAAAAATGTTAAGGGCAGCCAGAGAGAAAGGTCGGGTTACCCACAAAGGGAAGCCCATCAGACTAACAGCTGATCTCTTGGCAGAAACTCTACAAGCCAGAAGAGAATGGGGGCCAATATTCAACATTCTTAAAGAAAAGAATTTTCAACCCAGAATTTCATATCCAGCCAAACTAAGCTTCATAAGGGAAGGAGAAATAAAATACTTTACAGACAAGCAAACACTGAGAGATTTTGTCACTACCAGGCCTGCCCTACAAGAGCTCCTGAAGGAAGCACTAAACATGCAAAGGAACGAACGGTACCAGCTACTGCAAAAACATGCCAAATTGTAAAGACTATCGAGGCTAGGAAGAAACTGCATCAACTAACGAGCAAAATAACCAGCTAACATCATAAAGACAGGATCAAATTCACACATAATAACATTAACCTTAAATGTAAATGGGCTAAATGCTCCAATTAAAAGACACAGACTGGCAAATTGGATAAAGACTCAAGACCCATCAGTGTGCTATATTCAGGAAACCCATCTCACTTGCAGAGACGTACATAGGCTCAAAATAAAGGGATGGAGGAAGATCTACCAAGCAAATGGAAAACAAAAAAAGGCAGGGGTTGCAGTCCTGGTCTCTGTTAAAACAGACTTTAAACCAACAAAGATCAAAAGAGACAAAGAAGGCCATTACATAATGCTAAAGGGATCAATTCAACAAGAAGAACTAACTATCCTAAATATATATGCACCCAATACAGGAGCACCCAGTTTTATAATGCAAGTCCTTAGAGACCTACAAAGAGACTTAGACTTCCACACAATAATAATGGGAGACTTTAACACCCCACTGTCAACATTAGACAGATCAACGAGACAGAAAGTTAACAAGGATATCCAGGAATTGAACTCAGCTCTGCACCAAGCAGACCTAATAGACATCTACAGAACTCTCCACCCCAAATCAACAGAATATACATTCTTCTCAGCACCACACCGCACTTATTCCAAAATTGACCACATAGTTGGAAGTAAAGCACTCCTCAGCAAATGTAAAAGAACAGAAATTATAGCAAACTGTCTCTCAGACCACAGTGCTATCAAACTAGAACTCAGGATTAAGAAACTCACTCAAAACCACTCAACTACATGAAACTGAACAACTTGCTCCTGAATGACTACTGGGTACATAACGAAATGAAGGCAGAAATAAAGAGGTTCTTTGAAACCAACGAGAACAAAGACACAACATACCAGAATCTCTGGGACACATTCAAAGGAGTGGGTAGAGGGAAATTTATAGCACTAAATGCCCACAAGAGAAAGCAGGAAAGATCTAAAATTGACACCCTAACATCACAATTAAAAGAACTAGAGAAGCAAGAGCAAACACATTCAAAAGCTAGCAGAAGGCAAGAAATAACTAAGGTCAGAGCAGAACTGAATGAAATAGAGATACAAAAATCCCTTCAAAAAATCAATAAATCCAGGAGCTCGTTTTTTGAAAAGATCAACAAAATCAATAGACCACTAGCAAGACTAATAAAGAAGAAAAAAGAGAAGAATCAAATAGATGCAATAAAAAATGATAAAGGGGATATCACCACGGATCCCACAGAAATACAAACTACCATCAGAGAATACTATAAACACCTCTATGCAAATAAACTAGAAAGTCTAGAAGAAATGGATAAATTCCTGGACACATACACCCTCCCAAGACTAAACCAGGAAGAAGCTGAATCTCTGAATAGACCAATAACAGGATCTGAAATTGAGGCAATAATGAACAGCTTACCAACCAAAAAAAGTCGAGGACTAGATGGATTCACAGCCGAATTCTACCAGAGGTACAAGGAGGAGCTGGTACCATTCCTTCTGAAACTATTCCAATCAATAGAAAAAGAGGGAATACTCCCTAACTCATTTTATGAGGCCAGCATCATCCTGATACCAAAGCCTGGCAGAGACACAACAAAAAAAGAGAATTTTAGACCAATATCCCTGATGAACATTGATGCAAAAATCCTCCATAAAATACTGGCAAACTGAATCCAGCAGCACATCAAAAAGCTTATCCACCATGATCAAGTGGGCTTCGTCCCTGGGATGCAAGGCTGGTTCAACATATGCAAATCAATAAACATAATCCAGCATATAAAGGGAACCAATGACAAAAACCACATGATTATCTCAATAGATACAGAAAAGGCCTTTGACAAAATTCAACAACGCTTCATGCTAAAAACTCTCAATAAATTAGGTATTGATGGGACGTATCTCAAAATAATAAGAGCTATTTATGACAAACCCACAGCCAATATCATACTGAATGGGCAAAAACTGGAAGCATTCCCTTTGAAAACTGGCACAAGACAGGGATGCCCTCTCTCACCACTCCTATTCAACATAGTGTTGGAAGTTCTGGCCAGGGCAATCAGGCAGGAGAAGGAAATAAAGGGTATTCAATTAAGAAAAGAGGAAGTCAAATTGTCCCTGTTTGCAGATGACATGATTGTATATCTAGAAAACCCCATTGTCTCAGCCCAAAATCTCCTTAAGCTGAGAGGCAACTTCAGCAAAGTCTCAGGATACAAAATCAATGTTGAAAAGTCACAAGCATTCTTATGCACCAATAACAGACAGAGAGCCAAATCATGAGTGAACTCCCATTCACAATTGCTTCAAAGAGAATAAAATACCTAGGAATCCAACTTACTAGGGATGTGAAGGACCCTTTCAAGGAGAACTACAAACCACTGCTCAATGAAATAAAAGAGGATACAAACAAATGGAAGAACATTCCATGCTCATGGACAGGAAGAATCAATATCATGAAAATGGCCATACTGCCCAAGGTAATTTATAGATTCAATGCCATCCCAATCAAGCTACCAATGACTTTCTTCACAGAATTGGAAAAAACTACTTTAAAGTTCATATGGAACCAAAAAAGAGCCCACATTGCTAAGTCAATCCTAAGCCAAAAGAACAAAGCTGGAGGCATCACACTACCTGACTTCAAACTATACTACAAGGCTACAGTAACCAAAACAGCATGGTACTGGTACCAAAACAGAGATATAGACCAATGGAACAGAACAGAGCCCTCAGAAATAATGCCGCATATCTACAACTATCTGATCTGTGACAAACCTGACAAAAACAAGAAATGGGGAAAGGATTCCCTATTTAATAAATGGTGCTGGGAAAACTGGCTAGCCATATGTAGAAAGCTGAAACTGGATCCCTTCCTTACACCTTATACAAAAATTAATTCAAGATGGATTAAAGACTTACAGGTTAGACCTAAAACCATAAAAACTCTCGAAGAAAACCTAGGCAATACCATTCAGGACATAGGCATGGGCAAGGTCTTCATGTCTAAAACACCAAAAGCAATGGCAACAAAAGCCAAAATTGACAAATGGGATCTAATTAAACTAAAGAGCTTCTGCACAGCAAAAGAAACCACCATCAGAGTGAACAGGCAACCCACAGAATGGGAGAAAATTTTTGCAATCTACTCATCTGACAAAGGACTAATATCCAGAATCTACAACGAACTCAAACAAATTTACAAGAAAAAAACAACCCCATCAACAAGTGGGCGAAGGATATGAACAGACACTTCTCAAAAGAAGACATTTATGCAGCCAACAGACACATGAAAAATTGCTCATCATCACTGGCCATCAGAGAAATGCAAATCAAAACCACAATGAGATACCATCTCACACCAGTTAAAATGGCAATCATTAAAAAATCAGGAAACAGGTGCTGGAGAGGATGTGGAGAAATAGGAACACTTTTACACTGTTGGTGGGACTGTAAACTAGTTCAACCATTGTGGAAGTCAGTGTGGCAATTCCTCAGGGATCTAGAACTAGAAATACCATTTGACCCAGCTATCCCATTACTGGGTATATACCCAAAGGATTATAAATCATGCTTCTATAAAGACATGCACACGTATGTTTATTGTGGCACTATTCACAATAGCAAAGACTTGGAACCAACCCAAATGTCCAACAATGATAGACTGGATTAAGAAAATGTGGCACATATACACCATGGAATACTGTGCAGCCATAAAAAATGATGAGTTCATGTCCTTGATGAGTTCATCCCTACAAATGATGATTTGTAGGGACATGGATGAAGCTGGAAACCATCATTCTCAGCAAACTATCACAAGGACAAAAAACCAAACACCACGTTCTCACTCATAGGTGGGAATTGAACAATGAGAACACATGGACACAGGAAGGGGAACATCACACACCGGGGCCTATTGTGGGGTGGGCGGAGTGGGGAGGGATAGCATTAGGAGATATACCTCATGTGAAATGATGAGTTACTGGGTACAGCACACCAACATGGCACATGTATACATATGTAACTAAACTGCACATTGTGCACATGTACCCTAAAACTTAAAGTATATTAAAAAAAAAAAACCCTGGAAAGTAATTTAGGCAATACTATCCTGGACATAGAAATGGGCAGGATTTGACACAGACACTAAAAGCAATCGCAACAAAGCAAAAATGAGCAAATGGGATCTAACTAAACTAATGAGCTTCTGCAGAGTAAAAGAAAAACTATCAACAGATCAACAGAATAAACAGACCACTCAGAAAATGGGAGAAAATATTTTCAAATGATACATTTGACAACGGTCTAATATTTAGCATCTATAAGGAACTTAGGCAAATTTACAAGAGAAAAACAAACAACCCCATGAAAAAGTGGGCAAAGGACATAAACAGACACTTTTCCGAAGAAGATATACACGCAGCCAACAAACATATGAAAAAAGCTCAACATCACCGATCATTAGAGAAATGCAAATCAAACCCACAATGAGATACCATTTCACATCAGTCAGAATGGCCATTATTAAAAGGTAAAAAAAAAAAAAATAACAGATGTTGGCAAGGTTGTGGAGAAAAAGGAACACTTATACACCTTTTGTGAGAGTGTAAATTAGTTCAATCATTGTGGAACTCAGAAAGGTGATTCCTCAAAGAGCTAATAGCAGAACTACTATTTGATCCAGCAATCTCATTACTGGGTATATACTCAGAGGAACATAAATCATTCTGCCATAAAGACACATGCATGTGAATGTTCATTGCAGCACTATTCACAACAGCAAAGACCTAAATGCCTATCAATCTAAATGCTTATCAATGACAGATTTAATAAAAAAAAAATGGTACATATACATCGGGGATTACTAGGTAGCCATAAAAAAGAACAGGATCATGTCTTTCATGGGAACATGGATGGAGCTGGAGGCTATTATCCTTAGTAAACTAACACAGGAACAGAAAACCAAATATTGCATGTTCTCACTTATAAGTGGAAGCTAAATGATGAGAACTCATGAACACAAAGAAGGGAAAACAGACACTGAAGTCTACTTAAGGGTGAAGGTTGGGAGGAGGGAGAGGAGAAAAAAAAACTGTTGGGTAAGAGGCTTAATATCTCGGTAATAAAATAATCTGTATAAACCCCCATGACATGAGTTTACCTATATAAAAAACCTTCACATGTACCCCGGAACCTAAAATAAAAGATAAAAAAAACTACCTCTTTATTTCATGAGTTATTTAAAAGTGTGTTGTATAGTTTACAACTGTGGGGGAAATTGTTTGTTACCTTTTGTTATTGATTTCTAGTTTGATTCCATTATGGTTGATTCACATATTCCATATTATCTACATATTTTGAAGTTCTTGTTTGGTGATGCATACCTTGAGTTGCTATGTTTTCTTGGAGGACTGACACTTTTATCAATATATAATACCTTTCGTGGTAATTTTATTTGCTTTGAAGTCTAATTTATTTGATATTAATATATTCCTCCTGGTTTCCTTTGATTAATAATTTCATGATACATGTACTATGATATTTTCACCTTTAATCTGACTGTATTGTTATATTAAGGTGTATTTCTTATAGAAAATCTTTAGTTCAGCCATATTTTTAATCCAATCTGCCAATCCCTGTCTATTCAGTTGGTATATTTAGACATTTTATATTTAATATATTTTAATATATTAGGACTTAAGTCTGCTATTCTATATTTTTCCTGTTTGTTTTCTTTCATTGTTGTCTGTTTACTTTTTTCTGTCTTCCCATAAATTACTTACTTAAACATTTTTCTTGAATTCCATCTTGATTTATCATTAGTTTCTTAAGTTTATGTCTTTGAATAACTTTTTAATGTTTGCTGTGTTACAAACTTTTTAATGTTTGCTCTAGGTATTACATCATATATGCATATATATGGTCTACTGGTGCCATCATTTTACCAATTTGAATGAAGTACAGAAATCTTAGCTCCCTTACTGTCTTTTTACCTTCCTCTACTTAAAATATAATTTCATATACAAACAGGTAGAAATCAGACAACAATATGCCTTTGCTTCATCTATCAAATTCAATTTAGAAAAAGGAAAGGAATGCCTGTTACATTTCCCCATATTTTTGTGTATTCTAAGGATTCTTAAAATTATTCTTTTATTTCTGTTTTGGGAACTTTATTAAATTCATTTAGGGCATATTGGCTAACAACGAATCTTCTCAGTTTTCCTTGATCTTAGAATGTCTTTATTTCCTCTTCATTTCTAAAGCATATTTTGGCTGGGTGTAGGATTCTGGTTTGCCAGCCCTTTATTTTCAACATTTGAAAAATATTGTGCAATTCCTTTTTGGCCATCATGATAAAAAATATGCAGTCATTTTAAGTGCTTTTCTCTTGTTAATGAGATGTCATTTTTTTTTTCTTGCCACTGTCAAGATTTTGTGTTTGGCTCCTACTTTCAGAAGTTATAATGTGTCTTGGTGTGTGTTTTCATCTTTCAGTTTATCCTATTTGGAATTTGCTTAGCTTATTGAATCTGTAGACTTATGCCTTTTTTGATTACTGAAAAAATTAAGAGATAGAGTCTTGCTATATTGTCTGGGTTGGAGTGTGGTGGTTATTCACAGGGGAAATCAATCCTAGTACATTGCAACCTCAAACTTCTGGAGCCAAGTGATCCTCCCAACTAGCTGGGACTACAGGCCCACCCGGGTGTTTATGGCTAGGTTTATGGCTTGACAAACTTAAGAAGTTTTCAGCCTTCACATCTTTGAGTCTCATTTTAGCTGTGCCATTTTTCTCCTTTCTTTCTGGGAAGTTGATGACAGAAATGCTAAACCTTTTGTTATAGCCCCACTGCTCTCTGAGATTTACTCATATTTTTCAACCTATTTTATATTTGTTGTTCAGATTAAGTGATTTCTATTGTTCTCTCTTCCAGTTTACTGGTACTTTCCTTGGTGTCCTCCATCTGCTGATGACCCTATCCATTGAACATTTTTATTTTGGTTATTGTATTTTTCTGCTTTATAATTTTCATTTAGTTCTTCTTTATATTTTCAGTTTCTTTGCTGAGACTTTTTATTTTTATAATTTGTTTTAAGCCTGTTTGTAATTGCTTATTGAATCATTTTTTTCTGTCATGGCTACTTTAAAATCTTTGTCAGATAATTCTATGTTCTTGGTTATCTTAGTGTGACATATATTGATTGTCTTTTTTTTCCATTTGGTTTAAGACCTTCTTGGTTCTTTGTGTGAAGTCATATTCTGTGAAAACCTATATTTTTTCACATTATGTTATGAGATTCTCTATCTTATTTAAATCTCTTTTCAGCTAACTTTCTCTGACACTACTTCAGAAAAAGGGGCTACTGCCTCATTACATTGTCAGGAAGTCCAGGTTTCCTACTTGACCTTCATTGTCACTAAGCAGGAAACATTTCTCATTCTGCTTCTCATCACTCCTTATTACTGTCAGCTTCCTGAATGGTCTCCACCGATACTGTGCTGAAGGTGGCCTAGTTACCACTTGGTGATGGTGTAGGGCTGATTCTCCATAGGCCACCTCTGAGAAGAAATAGAAATAGTTTGTAACTGTAGAGTGGGTGTGGAAGCCCAGGCTTCCTATGTGGTCTCCAAGGCACCATAGGGATCCCAGCTTCCTACTTTGCCTTCTCTGACACCACCTCAACGGGGATGTTGGGTGTCTCTTTCTAGCTTCATGAGAGTGAATGTCTAGGTTCTCCACTTGGTCATTGCTGATATGGGTGAGCATGAGGAACACTTTTTCTTCCGGCCTGGAGTAGAACAGTTATTCTGTACAAATTTTCCTTCTTGCTAAAAAGATCCTTTCCTTGTCTTTTGACTAGAGATTGGGGTTTTGTTGGGGCTTTCTCTGTCTCTGTCCACAGGTGTCTGTGGGTGGTCAGCTTCTTCAACTCTGGGATCTATAAATGAGAACTCAAGGAACTCACTACCATGCCATCCATTACCGCCCAAGGTCTCTGAAGAGTCTTCTTCCTCTTAAAACCTATCAGTCTTATATTTGTTTTACATGTAATGCCCACTGTATTTAGGTGCATTGTGCTGCTTATTTTTATGAATAAAGTTTTATAGGAACACAGCTATGAACATTTGTTTACATTTGTGTCTACATTATCTATGATTACTTTCAAACTACAATGGCAGAGTTGAGTAGTTGAGAGAGAGACTGTATTGTTTGCAAAGCAGAAACTATTTGCTATCTGGCTCTTTACAGAAAAACATTTGTGGAATACATTCTCTTATAGAACATTTCCTGGAACTTGCAAATAGCACTTTTTTATTCTATTCACCAGAAATTGATCATATCAGGAAGCCTGGTAAAGATAATATCTGTTCTAAATGGTTTGTGTTGGGCTAAAATTTACAGGTTTTATGATAGAAAAGAGAATGGATACTAGAGAAAACTAGTAGTCTTTGTTACACAAAGTATCGTAAAGATCTTCTCTCTTGAATCTTATAGAAGCTATTTCTAAAAGCTTGTTTGTTTCAAACAAACAAACAAACAGAAAGCAAACAGAAAAACAACAGCTAAAACACTAGCTTCATAGATTTCTCCCCCAAACCAACCAAACAAAAACAATCACGACAAAGCAAAATTGTAATTATATAGTTAAACATTGACTGAGTCACATCATATAATACTTTTGTTTGCTCATATATGTCATTAGTATATATGGTCTTTGAGAAACTGAAATTAAGAGATTTCATTAACTATGTTTTTGTTTTGTTTTGTTTCATTTTGTTTTTGAGATGGAGTCTCACTCTGTCACCCAGGCTGGAGTGCAGTGGTGTGATCACAGCTCACTGCAACCCCCGCCACCTGGGTTCAGGTGATTCTCCTGCCTCAGCTTCCCAAGTAGCTGGGACTACAGGCATGCACCACCATGCCTGGCTGACTTTTTTGTATTTTTAGTAGAGATGGGGTTTCACCATGCCGGTCTCGAACTCCTGACCTCAGGTGATCTGCCCACCTTGGCCTCACAAAGCTGAGATTACAGGCGTAAGCCACCGCACTGGGCCAGAGATCTCATTAACATTGAACTAACATTACCAAAACTTATTGAAGGAAGATCTCCTATTAATTGTATATTTTTTTCAAGCCAACCTTGTTTGAACTAACATCTTACAAACTTATTGAAGCAAGACCTTCCATTAGCACTTTATTTTTTTCCAAACTGTATTTATAGTATTCTGGCTGAATAAACTCTATTTTATTTCTATATCCATTGTTTGCCAAACTTAATTGACTACAAAATCATTTTCTTTACACAATACTTTACAAAATACCCAGATTTGCCAAATTTGTGGCTTATGTTTTTATTAAGGCATTTATTAAATTTTGTTCTCTATTACAAGTGGATAAAATGATTTGGTTATTCTAAGTTACAACTGTTACAATCTATTTTTTATCAACCTAATTTGAGATATTGTTGTTAAAGCTATGATATGATTAACAGCCATTACCTATTAATAATCATTAACTTTAATAAAAATTATTAACTATTAACAAAGACGGATTAAATGTGTGTATATACATATAAAAATACATATTATATGGCATAGAGTTGTCACTCATTAAATATTAATTCATAAATGTTTGTTTGCTTCTTCCTTTTTACCAAGACAAAATGGCCATGTTTTACTCATTTTATCATTCACAATAATAAGATAATAGCTACCATTTATTGATTTCCTCCTATGTGCAAGATTGATGACATACATTTCATCTTCATAAAAGCCCCATGAGATAAATATTATGATCTTTAACTACCAAAGAGGGAAACTAGTCTCAGAGAACTGAAGATACATACTCTAAAATCACACATCCAATAATTCTAACAATGGTCTCTCTGCTTTTAATGTTGTGATTGTTTTACCACCTATTTAGAAATATATTCCACATGGCTCCTGAATTCACAGGTCAAGGATAAGTAGCTCAATTGTTCTCCATTAAGCTGACTAAACTAGCAGAACAGACATTGACTTAGATTTTGAAAAGACTTCTGTAGACGGAGGATGCTCTTTTCTCCCTCAGCCTGTTAAACCAGGGAAAGTAGGACATGTTTAGGTTGCTGAAATGATCATTTATATCTTCTGTTAATCAGCCTTCATTTTTTGTATCTCTCCTCTCTGAGGGACATCTTGACCTCCTGAGCCTCATATTCATTGATCCTTTAGCTTCAGTTTTGAAAGCTAGCTGCCATATCAATAAAATCTCTACTATTATTTGGTTTTTCACTAAGTCATCATAACAGTGGGCGATCAAGATGGAAGACAGGTTTTAGGTTAGAATCAACAGGACTTGGTGCTTGATAAGAGGGTAAGGAAGACACTGAAGGAAACACAAGAACCTAAGGTGACTGTGTATGGTTTGTTTTACACAAGACAGGGACAAACAGCATAATTAATAATAATGGTGATGATCGATAGACAGGTGACATTTATTGAGAGCTTACTACATATGAGGTCTTATTTTAAGAACTTTAATGTATTAACTAATTTGAATCTTATACTAACTCTTTAAGAAAATTATTAGCATTCTCATTTTACACTTGCAGAAATTGACATAGGGGAGACGAAGCCACCTGCCTGGGGCAGAAGATTAAAAAGAGAGTAATCAAGAGTCTAGTTTTGTGTTTGAGTTCCAGGGAGTGGTAGGATACCCAGCTGGAGTTCCCTAAAGCACTTGTGCATGTTCAATTACACATAGTTGAAGGAAGTGTGAACTGGTAAACGTGCATCAGCTCTAGTATTTCCCTGAACACTAGCCTTTTGACCTGAAACCTTCCTGAACTGCAAAACAGGATTAATAATTAAATTATGATGCTCTGAAGTATCCCCAAATCTCAATAAGGTAAAGTAAATGAAACGCCTAGCCTCTTGTAGATTTATGGCCAATGCTTCCTTCCTCCTGCATTCTCTTTTCCCCTTCATCCCTCCTTCACAGGAGTACCTGTGAGAATCAAATAAATAATGATTATAAAAGTGATATATCAATATTGATACGATTTTGCTGTGTCCCCACCCAAATCTCATCTTGAATTGTAGCTCCCACAGTTCTCACGTGTCTCATGGGAGGGAGCTGGTGGGATGTAATTGAATCATGGGGGTGGGTATTTCCTGTGCTGTTCTCATGATAATGAGTAAGTCTCATGAGATCTGTGGTTTTATAAAGGGGAGCTTCCCTGCTCAAATTCTTTCTTCCCTTCCACCAGGTGAAACATGCCTTTCATCTTCTGCCATGATTGTGAAGTCTCCCCAGTCATGGAGAGCTGTGAGTTAATTAAACCTCTTTTGCTTCATAAATTACCCAGTCTAAGATATGTCTTTATCAGCAGTGTGAAAAGGAACTAATACACATATATACTTACTTACCTACAGAACTTTTTAGATTGCAGAAGTAAAACTATTTCCCAATGCACATAAAAAAGTAGAAAGGAAGAGATGAAATCGTGTTCAATACTATTAGTCAAATACAACAGCTCTTACCTAGGTGAGACTGTAAGTTCCCTGAAGGCATCGTCCACACCTGTATCTACTAAGTGATGTATTGCCAGCATCTAGAATAATGCCTGGCACAGAGTAGGAACTCAGTACAGATTTGATGAACAAATGAATATAACTGCAGGTGTTTTATTACACATTAGAAAGGTTTCTTCAGCACCCACCATGTTCCTAACCTGATATTTCTTACTGTTATAATTCTAGTGTTTCATTTTCTTAGCTTGTGTGGGTGTGCATTTCCGTTGTAGATATAAGATGCACTATAATAGATGTAATCCATTCCCTACTGTGGATCATTCGGTTCCTCCTTTTTTTTTGGTTTATTTAATTAATTTATTTATTTTTGAGCAAAGTCTCACTGTGTTGTCCAGGCTGCAGTGCAGTAGTGCGATCTTGGCTCACTGCAACCTCCGCCTCCCAGATTCAAGAGATTTTGCTGCCTCAGCCTCTCGAGTAGCTGGGATTACAGGCACACTCCACCACACCCAGCTAATTTTTGTATTTTTAGTAGAGACGTGGTTTCACCCTGTTGGCCAGGCTGGTCTCAAACTCCTGACCTCAAGTGATCTGCCTTCCTCGGCCTCCCAAATTGTATTTTATTTTATTTTAAATAATGCTAGTATAGTCAGAGGCATTTGAACCAGAGCCACTCCATCTTCGATACAGTCTGGTTAAAATGAGGCTGAGAACCACTGGGCCACATTCCCAGAAGGTTAGGCATTCTCAGTCATAGGATGAGATAGGAGGTCGGCACAAGATACAGGTCACAAGACCTTGCTGATAAAGCAGGTTGTGGTAAAGAAACTAGCCAAAACCCACCAAAACCAAGATGATGAAAGTGATCTCTTGTCATCCTCACTTCTCACTGTATGCTAATTATAATACATTAGCTTCCAAAAGACACTCCCACCAGTGCCATGACCATTTACAAATGGCATGGCAACATCAGGAAGTTACTCTATATGGTCTAAAAAGGTGGGGGGGACCCTCAGTTCTGGGAATTGCCCACCCCCTTCCCAGGAAACTCATAAATAATCCACCCCTTGTTTAGCATATAATCAAGAAATAGCTATAAGTCTAATCAGTTGAGCAGCCTGCACCACTGCTGTGCCTCTGGAGTAGCCATTCTTTTGTTTCTTTACTTCACTAATAAACTTGCTTTCACTTTACTCTATAGACTTGCCCCAAATTCTTGCTTGAATGAGATCTAAGAACCCTTTCTTGGGGTCTGGATCGGGACCCCTTTCCGGTAACTGTACTACTGTGCTGCTTCTAGTGATCCTTGATACGTTTGTGATTATTTCTTCAAGGTAAATTCTCAGAAGTAGAATCGCTAGGTCAAAGAGTCTGTGCATTTTCTAAGATTTTGACATGTATTTCCAACTTACCTTCCAGGAACTTTTCTTTATCCACCTAACTAACATATATGACATTTAAAAAATGTTTTGTTTCATTTGCTTGTTGTCATCTCTTATAAATTGTTTCTGTCCTTTACAACTCTTAGGGCTGTGTTATATACCATGAGAAGCCTCAGAGAACAATAAACATGCAAGTAGAAAATTTACCTTTTTTATATTCATAACAGAAGAAAAAAATTCTTACAATATTGTATGAGAAGATAAAAAAGGGTGACTTGAAACAGAGTAATAATTTTGAAATCTACAGTGGGCTCTTATATAGGAGAAGGCTATAAAATATTCTGCCAAAATGCTAAAATTGGAGAAGAAAGAAAAGTGGATATGGAATTTAGTTATCAAAAATGGCTTTCTGGTTATAAAGAATTTGCTCATTCAAAAAGTTTGCTGAATATATTAAAGAACCTCTTTTTTGAGGTGTTTTTTTTTCAGTTCCCCAGAAGTCTAGGTTTTTTCCTGTTTGGGACATTAGAAGCTATATTCCACTTAAACACAGAGAAAAGGATGGCTTGAGTTGTTGGATCAGGTCTGTGTCAAATTTCCTGTGTGAGATTGGGCTACCTGCTTGCCTGTTCTGGGCCTCAGTTTACCCATTTCTAAGATGAAACACATGGCTTGTCTGGTCCTGCTCACTTGCCCCATCAGCTCCCTTGCTCTATGTATAGTGGCTGTCTTTATCTTCCTAAAACTTGTCAGCCTTATTTATAGCTTAGGACCCAGGGTGCTCACCCCAATCCAACTGGTTTGACTCATTTTCACTGTCTTTCAGTTCTCTTTCTCTGAGAGACCCTTTGGTATATTATTTCTTCATCCTAATTCCTAACCATTAAGCATCTTGCCCTTTTTCTTAGCATGATCCACATTGAAATTAAATAATTATTTATGATTTAAAAAATTGACCACTTTTACTGCATTCTAAGCTCTGTGAGACAACAACCACATGGTCATTTCCCTTATTGTCTTCAAGCAGCTGCTCCTATGTCCAGTATGAGCTAGATTCTCAATGTTGCTGAGGGAAAGAATAAATAAATGAACGAATGAATGGGCTGATTCACATCATTTTAACACCTGAACTATCCCTTGAGTCCATGCCATGACCGCTAAAGGCTAGTCCTAGTGGCTCTTACACTTAGGACACAAGATTTCCAGTAAAGAATATTTTTCTCAACTTCCCCTTTGCAATTCACCAAAACTTGTAAACAAACTTCTGGCCAGCAAACCCCAGGCAAGTAAAATATTACTAAACTCCTTCAAAGGGACTTAGCTGCTGGTGGTTGACACATCCTCTCAGGAATGGAGCAAGAGGCTCTCTCTAGTCCTGTGGGGCTGCAGGAAGAGGAAAGGTGGGAAAAAGCAAGACTAACTTCTGCAAAGTTAGGGCTGGTATACAAACACACAGACAGACACACACTCACACAGGTGACCATTGAGTGATTTTTCTTTCTTAAACAGTAGCAGAAATATAGTGAAAGACAGGGATGCACACATTCTTTGGGCGATTTATGGAAGCATGAACAGTGTCCCCCAACCTAGCATAAGATGTAAGGAAGCAAGAGCCATAGTGATTTCAAGAGTTGCCCCACTTGCTGTCTTAGGTGAAGGGCTGCTGTAGCTCACTTCAAGTGGAGGATGGGTTAGCCTGCCTTACGACTGCCCTACTTCAATCTAAACTCCTAGGGGGGTTATTCTAAAGACTCCAGCAAGGCAGCATAATAATTCCTCTGCATTGCTGCTGCTCCTTCCTCCGCTGCGCAGGATGCAAGCAGGGTTCTGTCTCTGCTTGTCCCTGCTCCTCTAGTAGTTCACTTTTCAAATGGCGGAGGTTAGTTGGAAGATAGAAAAGTTCACCTAGCCATTTTTTCCCCTCCCTGTCCCGCTTTCTCACCCTTCCTGGCTCTTTGGAATGCAGCCAGGTTTGAGAAACAGCAGTACGCAGAATTGAGGTGCTGCCAGGTGCCCCGAGGCTTCCGTAAACTGGGTTCTGGGCCTCTGGCAAATCGCCCTCAAGCAGCTAAACTTAGATCATCATAACTTCTCTATGAGTTCACCCTTCCCTCCCCTGCTCCAATTTTATTCCCCCACTAAAAGACAGTTTTAAAGTGCCCTCCTTCACTGTCCAACTTTATGCATCATCTAATACTTCTTTTCTCAATGTCATGTGGACCTCCTGTGATTTACCCCATTTCCTTGCTTAAAATACTGTGATGTTGGCTCATGGACTATAGACTAAAGCCCACACAATTTAATATGGTAAGCCCTGTTTCCTACTTTCTTTATTTACTTTTCTAGCCTCACCTTCTGTCCTCGTCTTTTCATTTAGAATGTCTTGCAGTTCTTGAAATGTATCATATTATTTATTCTTTTCAGATACTTGTGCAGTCTCATTTGCTGGTAATGCCCTGTACTCCCTCCGTCCACAGCTTTTATGTGGCCCACTCCACCTGTTCTTCAGGTCTTATTATGGGCCTTGCTTTTTCATTGACCCCTATTCACAGCAAGAATAATTGTCCATGGTCTATCTCCCAAGTCCATCATACATGTTCATGAGGGCAGGGGCCATGTCTATCCTTTACACTGTTGTCTGTTGAGTATAGTTCTTATGGCAAAGAATGCTAATTGTTCACCAATATCTATTCTCCCCTTATTTAGCAGTGTATATGGACATCCTAAATTTTAGCAGTGTATATGGTCACCCAATTACAGACTATATATTCTAGCTACTCTTGTAGCTTGTTACTGTCAAATGATTAAATAGTAGTCATTAGAATGTAAGTAGAAATAATGCATATCATATAAAATAAATAGTTGCATACCACCTTGACTTTTAACACTTCCTTGATGGCCAGAAAGGGATGAGAGCTGAAAAGTCACTTTAGACCCAGAGATTATATTATGCATAGTTTATATGTAAATATAAATTATATGTACATATGTACACATGTAGATATCATATACACACAGGTATCTGATATAATACATATATATTTAGAGAGAGAGAGAGAGACGGGGAGAGATGAAATAATAGTAAACTTTTATTATATTCTAGTTATCAAGATATCAAAGTGATAGGCATTGCTCTAGGGACTTTACATGCATTAATTCATTGAATCCTTACAAACATTTTATGAATAGGTACTATTAATATCCTCATTTTACAAATGGGGACATTGAGGGCCAGAGAGGGAAGTGACTCACCTGAAGTTAAATACAGGTGTGATACTTTAAACCCACATAGTCTGATTCAGAGCCTAAATTCTTAATCATTGTGCCACACTGTCTTCTGAAGAACAAAAATCACCAAAAACATAGAATGTCAGAGTCAAAATAACATTAGAAAATACCTAGTCCAATTTCTTCATTTTACAGATGAGGAAACCGAGCCCTAGTGAGAAGAAATGATTTCTTCATAGTGACACAACTAGAAAGAGATTTTTTATTTCCCAGAACAATAATTAATTCCAGGGGTAGCATTTCCATCAGTTGCACATTGAAAATAAGCAAGGAAAGAGTGCCATGACAGGAGGAGTGATGCATGCCAGGGGTAGAGAGGAATGAATGGCAGAAGGCACATATGCTACATTGGATATTTGGTCCCAAATCTTCACTTCTCTGTTACAGAATTATACATTTGTACCTTTCATCACACCTTTCATCATACAAGTTTATGGTGCTCTCCTACTGTGTACAAGAGTACTGTCCTATGCTATAGATAGTGAGCTTGGTTATGTAATCTGTTTTGGTCAATGGAGTGTTAGCAGACATGCTTTGAGAAAAGGTAAAAATGTGCTTCTGTATGCTGACTTGTTCACTTGCACTCCTTTGATTTACCCTGAGAAACACATGCCTCACAATTCTGATTCAAGGAGAGGACAGAGGTACATGGAGTAGACCAAAATGGAACCTGAATCCTGGGAATGAATCCACTGGACCTGGACACTAAAACAAAGCTTCCAGAGCCACCCACAAACCCACAGGCAAGAAAAAGAAATTCTTGTTGTCATCAGCCACTGAGATTTGGGGTGGTTCATTATTACATCATTATTATGGCAATAGCTAACTAATGCAGTATGATTCATCTTTGCCATCTGTGCCTAAACACTACACCATTTTATAACCATTGCACATTCTCTTGATATCAGTTTACTTGCTAGAGCTTCCAGAATTTTGAAACTTTTGAAAGAAGATGAGTATTATCCAATGTGCTTTTATAAACTTGTAAAAATTTGGAGGGATGTGGAAAGTAGAGACTGGGAGAAGTTTTGAACACCTTCTCCTTTAGAGAGCATGGAAACTCTTTTAAAGGCCATGGGACAAATAGCTGTTATCCTATGGGATTTCCAAATATGGAATATAAGGAACATAATAGTGCAGCCTATAGAGGAAGCAGCATGGAAAACTCACGTGTTCTTTAAGATCATTCATGTAATAATCTGGTTGAATACACCATTGCTAATTCTTATCACTCTTTATGTACTTTGTTCACTGTGATGTAATTTTTGTGTTCAAGGCTGTCTCCATGACTAGCAAGTCAACTAGGTAAGGGCTTAGACTTATTTCTTTGAAATAAAGGTTAAAATCTTGGTAGTATCAGATGATGTTAGGGTCAGAAATCTCAGAATCCCTGATCTCTGTTGTGCTAATCACTGCTGCTTCTATGGGATCCCAAGGAGCTAGTAAATAAACAAGTCATAACACAACAGGATTAATAATTACCTAAGCACCTGATACTGCAGCACAGCACTCTAGGTAAAGACTGGGCTGGTGCACATGACTTTCGTTTAAGGTCTAAACAGGGAATTTACTTCTCTTATTGCACACACTCTCTCCATTATAAATCTTGACATCTGCTGATTTTCTGAGAGCTGCTTGAAAGAAGTATAATGGAGGGTGGGTAACAACGTGGCTAGGCTTGAGGAGTAGAGTGTGACTCAGTTTACCTACTCTACCATGGGGTGTAGAAAGCAAAGCACAAAAGATTAGACTTGATTGCCCTAAGGATGCTACTTTTTGTCTAAGTATGTACATGAGAAGCATGAAATGCTGTATTTAAGGCATAGTAATCTCACACCTTAGAGAATGTGGCCTCTGCTCCCATCAATCAGATGACTCTTCTTTCTTTGCTGAGTGTCCCAGGCAGGATTGACATAAAGATAAGGGACTGAAGCTTTGCCTCTCCTATGCTGTGAATCACTATACCTCATCATTGATGTTAGGTCCAAGTAGATTGTAGCCACACAAGTGTATTTGTTGAACAAATGAAGAGTTGTGCTAGAGACAGTGGAGTCCAGCAAAAAGTAAATAACAATTCACAAACTGAAAGAACTGATAATCTATGAGGAAAGATTAGAAATGCTCCAATATCAGTTGGTCAACACACATCTGTTATGTTCTCTGTGCTAAAATTTGGGAATACAAAAGCAAATGAGATTGAATGTCTGCCCTCAATAAATTCATGGTCTGGGGAAGAACATAATTACATTGATAACTCTGGCAAAAGCCATGATAGAGCTAATAGAGGAATCTATGGGATGACAGAGAGATAGATGAACTTCACATCACACAAGTGAGGACTTTGTTTTTGAAGATGAGGAGGTGAAATCTAAGCTGGTTTTAGAGAGTTAATTAAAATAAGAAAGGAAGACAGGTAAGCAGACAAACCAAGAAGGCTTGTGTCTTAGTCCGTTCAGGCTGCTATGGCATGAATTCCTAAGGTTCCACTTCTTAATACTATTGCATTAGGGATTAGTTTTCAACAATTGATTTTGTGTGTCTGTGTGTGTGTCGGGGGGTGGGTAACAAATATGGAGACCATAGTAGCTTGCAAAATCCTGGCATGTTTGAAGAATGAATGTAAAATTCTGTATGATTAGATTGTAGGTTGTATACGTATATGTTGGGGTTTTGGTCTGGAAGAGGGTATAACAAGCTGGACAGTTAGAAAGTGGCAAATGATGTTCAGAAAGTCTATGAACAAGATCAGATAAGTGCAGTAGAAGGTTGGCATGAGGTTGTAGAGTAAAAAAGAAATTGTTTATGAGTGAGACAGTATTATTCATATTGTTTATGAATAATAACAAAAATAGACAAAGCCACGACTCTTGCATCTTTAATATGTGCTAAATATTTTATATATACCATCTCATTATATCCTCACTATCTCTTTGCAATAGATATATTTGTTTTCCACTTTTTAATAGAAGAAAACACAGCTCAGAGAGGTTATATGACTTGCCCAAATCACACGGCAGCAACTCCAGCCCATGCCTGTCTGCTCCTAAAACATATGATCCTAACCTTCAGCTCCTGTAACTGTGAAATGCATTTTAATGACGGGCAAGATGTGGGAGGCAGAGATGGGGATTATACATTTTATATAAAGACTACAGCATTGGCCACCTCCAGAGTTCTGAGGTACTGGGCCCCACAGGGAGCCTGAGAAATTACAAAGATTATGAAATGGATCCCCAGGTGTCAGCACTTACCTCCCCAATGCATTATCCCAGAAGAGTCTGCTGTCGTCTATTACAAGAGACACATATTCACCCTGAACTTGTAAAGAGCAATTTATAAAATGTGCACCAAAAAAAGTAAAACCTAGTACTGGAAGCTGACACTTGGACAAACTAGGGCAGAGAATAGTTTATTATTATGCTTTAATTTTCCAAAAAGAGAGTGCAGAGTTTTATCCTATTTATAATAAAAGTCACTGATATAATAAAAGCATCTCATCACATCAGCAGTCATTTCTACAAATAGAGCATTGACGGTTTAGATATTAACATGTGTTATAAATGTCATTGATATATTAAGACATTTTAGACTGTCTATCTAAAAATAGAAGGAAAGCCATGGGGAGGGAGAGGAGGACACAGAACTAATTCAATCAGAATATGGAGAACCTATTCTTGCACAATTAAGTCTTATATTTGTGAGCAATGCAAGTAAACACCTGAATCTGACTGATGATTTGAATTTGATTTGCCAGCAAAGTGTGATGCAGATAGGGGAAAAAAGGCAGGGAGAGAGGAAACAGAGAGTGGGGGACAAAAATATGTGGAATCAAATAATTTTAATATTGAAAAAGACTCAGTTTTATATTCTTCAATCATATTCCTTTGCAGCTGTTGAAACTGAGTCTTGGGAAGGTTATGCAATTCATCCTAGGTCAGAATTTCGTGGTGAAAGTCTTCTTAAATCTGACCTGCATGTCAAATCTTAAAGGGGGTAATAGGTATTTTTCTCTAATGAAAACCGGAAAGCTCTGCGGGTCAGGGAGAAAACAACTGAAAAGGTGTGGGCATAAGAATTAAGAAGAAAGAGAAGCGGAACATCAACGATATTTCGTACCTACAATCTGATGAAAGTATTTCATATAATATCCAATTTGATATTCAAAACACCCTTGGAAAGGAGGGCAATTAGATTCATTTATGAAGACACTCATTTTATTCATGAAGGCTCAGAGAAGTTAAGTCATACGCTCATGGATTGATAATTAAACTGGCATCACTGATTCCTGTCACCTGAGGTGCCAGGCTCATTCTTGACTGTCGAGTCCAAGGACAGAGTTCCTGCTTTACATTTCAACCTAAGCCTTGACCTTGGCTTCTCAGTGCCCTAGAGTGACAGGGCAATCACCTGCACTGCCGCCTCACTGCACAGGAGGCAAGGCTGAAGGTCAGAGGGGAAGGGCTTTCTTGAGGTCTCACAGAACCCAGTTAGGAGTTCTGTTTTCTCTGCCTGGCACAAATCTTTAGCATTGTCTCCTTTCCTTCTTTCCCTTGGATACAACTGTAGGACAGGTCAATTCTTGTCCTGCATTAAAATTTCCAAACTGTCCAAAAACAGGAAAAAAGTAAGAGGACAGGGAAAGTGCTGGATGGGTGGCCTAATTAAATTAAATTTTACTTTATTTTATTTATTTCTTGAGACGGAGTTTTGTTCTTGTTGCCCAGGCTGGAGTGCAATGGCGTGACCTCAGCTCACTGCAACCTCCGCCTCCTGGCTTCAAGCGATACTCCGGCCTCAGCCTTTGGAGTAGCTTGGATTACAGGTGCCCGCAACCATGCTCAGCTAATTTTTTTGTATTTTTAGTATGGATGGGTTTCACCATGTTGGCCAGGCTGGTCTAGAACTCCTGACCTCAGGTGATCCGCCCACCTTGGCCTCCCAAAGTGCTGGGATTACAGGTGTGAGCCACCGTACCTGGCCTGCCTAATTTAATTTTAAAAGAATAGAAACCAGTTATTGTACAATTAAGTCTTGTATTGGTGAACTATATAAAAAACTAAAAGTCTAGTTTATGCCTTGAATGCAACTCATTATCACAGTATGTTTTTAAGCAGGTTGAGAGATGCCACCTGGCGTGGGGAAGGGCACATGGGAAGAGGGAAGGAAAGAAGTAGAGAAAATAGAGATTTTGTGGGATTTAAAAATAAATGCTATGATCATTATAGTTGTAGTTTGCTAGTGTAAACTAGTGTTGTTCCTGTTGTTATTATTTTAGGCTCCTCTTAAGCTTTCCTGGAACTCTATAGCCATAAAAAAGCAAAGGAGGCTTTTTCTGCTCCTCCTCCTCTTCCTCTTTCTTCCACTTCTTTCTCTGCCTCTATATCCTCTTTAACCTTAGCCTTGCCTTCCTTTTTTTCACTTACCTGGTCATTAAAATTATAAATATGTATATATTATATTTCCCCTACGTGGAAGACTTAGCTCGATAGCTTAAAATGCCTACCAAAGCATTTCACCTCTGCATTTTATTTTTTCTAAATACAAATTACTTTTCTGATAAAGACAATACTTGCTTAATGTGAAAATAAACTAAACAAAATGAAGGCCTATACCACAGAAAGTGAACGCTCTTCAATGATGTTTACAGGCTGTATAGAAGCAGCACTCAGTGGTGAACCCCACTGCTCTGCCTTCCTTCCACCTGGGTCTATTTCTCAACTTTACCACTTTCCCCGTGTGACTTTGGGAAAGTCACTTAACTTCTTGAGACTCAGTTTCCTTAGGTGAAAAAATTGGGACTCAACCTCATAACCTGCCTCTCAGGATTACTTGTGAAGATTAAGTACAATAAGACACGTTAGCACAATGGCTGACAAATGGTGGAAACTCTCACATGTTAGCTACTCCAGTGAATCCCTCCAGATATGCAAATGCATGTGAGCAATAGGCTAATTTTAAGTATTGTATGCAATGAATGCTTTTTCCTCCTAAAATATTACATGGCCTCTCCCGATGTCTGTAGACAGGTCTCATTTTAAAAAATATTTAGTTCATTTTGTAGCTATACCTACTCAGTTCCTCAATGACAGTAATGGAGAAGATATGCTTTGTAACTTGGTTTTCTTTTGTAAGCAATGTTGCAGAAAACGTGCTAACTCAAGCATCTGAAAACTACTCAATTCTATCACTTAATTGGTCTGGTTGTTGTATGAGGCCTGCTGGGTTGCATAATCCCTTTTGAAAGGGGAAAAGATTTCCACAGTTCTTTTGCTTGGACTTTCCCTGACTGGGCCTCCCAAGACAACTCATTCAGCAAACATTTATCAGGACATCCCATGTATTTGAAGACAAACCCAGAACAGTTCTGGGTGTGGAGACTCACAGTCTGATGGAGGAATGAGATGAGATACTATAGAGACACTGAGAAATTAAACAGCAAAAACAAACTTGAAGTTATCTCCCAATTCTGATAGAAAATGGTCAGAATTTACATTATGATTGTTCTATAACTATCTCCCAGATTTTTGGCTACTCTTGAGGTTCTTTGAAAAGGATAATTTGGCCTCAGGATCCCTGGGGCCTGAGGATGACCTGGGTCTCAGAAGAGTCTGGCTGGGTTTATCTAATTCTTGTCTTTGTCCTGTTTCCTTGGTCCCCATTACAACCACAACCAAAGGGCGCTATTAGAGACCTCTGATTTTCTACTTCTCAGCAGCTAAACTCTGCTGTGCTTAGGGAAATATTTCCTTCAAACTTTTCTATTTCAAAATACCGCAGGCAAAACCTCTGAGACTTGGGTCTGTAGCAGTGACTGGAAGGAAAACCAGAGAAAACAATAACTAGGGAGAGGAAAGGGAAGAGCTGACATTTTCTTTGAGACTGAATAATGCATTTGAATGTTTCATTTTGCTGTAGATTGAAAGGGGCTTAAGGGGGAAAGAGGTGACAGGGGGAAAGAATGAGAAAGACAGAGAGATGCAAAAGCCCCAAGAGATGGGCATTGCAATCTAGAAAGTTATTTCTCAGCTGTGCTTAGTTCTAAAGTTCACCACTGAATTATGTGTTGGATGTTTGGAGACTTATCCCTGGTGTACTTGCAACACCTGTAATAGAATATTCTGGGTGTGGAATGATTCTTCCACTTCAGGACATATTGCAACTTGTTCAGTTTCCTTCTGTGGGTTTTGTTTCTTTTTTTGTAACTCTTATTTAATTTCCCGTCTCTTTTTTTATCATTATAGTTATTTTTAAGTTATAGCATAGAGGCTTAGAAAATGTTTTCTTACAAACATTTGAACATCCCCTTTCTGTAATAGAAATTATTATTATTATTATTATTATTATTTTTTTTTTTTTGAGACGAGTCTCGTTCTGTCGCCCAGGCGGGAGTGCTGTGGCGCGATCTCCGCTCCCTGCAAGCTCCGCCTTCCGGGTTCACGCCATTCTCCTGCCTCAGCCTCCCGAGTAGCTGGGACTACAGGCGCCCACCACTGAGCCCGGCTAATTTTTTGTATTTTTAGTAGAGACGGGGTTTCACCGTGGTCTCGATCTCCTGACCTCGTGATCCGCCCGCCTTGGCCTCCCAAAGTGCTGTGTAATAGAAATTATTTAAAACAATAAGACTAGATTTCCATTATACTAAAAATACTTCAGACAACGTGTAATCCCTGTGGAACAAAATATGCTTTAATTTATCCCAAATGATTATTTTTAAAAGGTATATGAAGAAAGTCTTCATTTACTTAGTCAGAGTCTCTCATATATTATGAAAATGTTCTTTCGGGAAAATAAGAGGTCAGAGGTGGATGAAAATTACAGTTACTTCTGTAAACCTTCTTAAGTAGGTTATAATATAAAGAAAAATATTAATTTATCAATTTGATTTTAACGACACAAAATCAGTTACAAAATATAAATGCAAGGTAGAAGAAAACATTTCTTAATTCTGGCACAATGGCTTAAAGACTTGAAAGGGGAAAAATGCAATGGCAACTTAAGCAAAATATAGTGAGAATGAAGACCCTATTTCAGCTTCTAGCAAAACTTAGCTCATCATGGATGCTCTAAATTTGTGGTGAGGAGGGAAAGAAGAAGGACAGAAAGGAGTAAAGAAGAAAAGGCATAAAATGAAGAAAGGGAGAGAATGAAGGATTGGGAAGGGAAAGAAAGACAAGAGTGCAGAACAAGTAGATGAAAGTAAATAATTGCCTTGACTTCCTTATTTGGATTGAAAAAGCAAAGGAGAAAATATTCATTGTGAATTGGTGCTAGGAGAAACCGCTAAAGAGAGTCCAAAGGAAAATTACTTGAAAATCTGTAAGATTATGGCCACGTCAACAGCAGGAAGTAAAGGGGAGTGTTTCAGGGCCTGGCTTAATTAACCACCTTCAATATCAGACTAGACTGTGGTTCCTTTCCCAGTTTTTCTATTTACTAAATGCAGGGACTTGGACCAGTTATTCAACTTCCCTGTGCCTCAGTTTCCTCAAATATAAAATGGGACTCATAATACTTAGTGCCATAGAAAGAATGAAATGCTGAGAGTTTAGTACAACATCTGTGCAGATTAAGTGTCCCTTCTTGATATTATTATTTATTTATTATTATTACCCTTTTGGAAAGCAATGGCTCAATATGTAGAAAAAGCCCTTCATGTATTTATTCACTTCGCCCCAGGAATCCCCTTCCTGGAAATAAATCCCAAGAAAATAATACAACACAAAGATAAAGTGCTGAGTGACGATCACTATACCATTAGCATAATTGCCTCCCAAAATGAAACAACTTAAATGTCCATCAATAAGGGAATAATTTATAGTAAATTATGATATATCAACATTATAGGATATTATGTGACCATTACGATGATAATTATGATGACAATGTAGTGTCACGAGCAAATGCTTATAATTTAATGGTAAGTGAAAAAATGACATATATCATACAATTGTAGCTTTGTAAAAATATGCATACATATGGGCAAATACTGGCATCTTACAAGCAAAAATTGAAATAATTATGTATGTGTGTACACTTAAATTTTTTTTCTCTTTACAGATTGTTTTTTAATATTGTTTGGAAATCATCTATTCAATAATAAAAACATGCAGCAGGAGATGACTAAATAGAGAGGCATACTTGTTTTAACTCACATCAGCGAATTAATGGTAAAAACAGATTTGCTTAGAGAGACACATACAAGGGCTTTGGGACATTTGCGTGGAAATATGAATAAATAATAAGCAAATAGCTAACACATATAATTTTTACTCTGTGCCAGGCACTAGTCTGAGTGCTTAATTCATTTTACACTCTGAATTTTCCCAAAGATGCTATTTTACAGATAAGAAAACTAAGACACAGTGTGGTTGAGAAACTGGCTAGAAGTCGCATAGCTATTAAATAATGGCCTGGGATTTGAATACAGGCAGTCATATTCCAATATCCATGCTCCTAAGGTTGCACACACAGCCTTCAGCTATGGCTAGCTTCACGGGTGTGCAGCACAGGGCTCTGCACTCACAAGGTTTGCATACATGGGGTTTCATGCTCTGCTGTTGCTGTCCTCAAATTGTTAATTTTGTCTTTGAAATTGCTTTTTGGAAGTGAAGTGTGATGGGACAGTAGAGCACATGCTGAGCTCTGAGAGCCACTGCTCACATGTGGCTCTGCTTCCTTGGGATGTACTCAGCTCCTAGTCTCCATTCCTGGCGACCTGGGCCCTGCCCAGCCTCCATCTCCCTACCTCCACACCATGGCTACTGCCATTTTCAATCCAGAGTGGCAACCAGATCACACTGGTAGGATGGAGACTGAGTTCCACCATCAGCCTCTTTCTCAGTGGAGCTCTGGCATATTCCCTGGGCACCTTGGGGTGGGGTGAGGTGGTGGGCATCTTTGCCTCCACCTGGCATCACTGTGATGCATTTAGTGGGTAACTCAGCAGCAGCCTCTTGCCTACGTCTTATCTAGATACTGAAAGTGTGCTGTTGTATTCAGAGGTTGTAATACCTGGGGTGTTGCCTGTCTGCAGTGGGTTAGGATAGTGAACCTGTGTGAACTTGGTATTCTCACCCCTCATCAAGACCTAATAGAACTTTGTTGCACTGGTTCCTACAAATTGCAGAGCTCTTCCTACTTCCATCATTATTTTATGAAAAAAACAAAAACAAAAACGTGAATATGGTTCAAAGGTCGACTCCTAGGCTTGGCCTACCACAAATCAGAGGGCACAAAAGAGGGGAGAATTACAGAAATGACACTTCCGCCAGTGCCCTGAAATCACATGTTTGCATAACTTTATTCTGATGATATGACTTAACCCATGGCTAGAAGTTATATTATCTTAGCTGTCTCAAAAGCCAGAAGTTGGCAGTAAGTTTTGGCAGCCACTGTGTCATCAGGAGGCAATACTGCTCCATGGTTAACACCTATGCTTCTCACCATTGTCTTTGTGTTGACATCCCAGGTATATCATAACTGTGTTACCTGAGTGACATTTAATTTGCCACTTTATTCATACAAAAGGGATAAGATTACCTTCTCACAGACTAGTTCTGAGGAGCAAAGCAGATAATGACTGTAGAGGAGCTCTTAGCATAGTGCCTGACACAGAGTGACCACTCAGCAAATGTGACTTTTTATCCAGAGCTGAAGCTTATACAGCACTGCAAGCATGAAAGGAATAACACTGTGCTTCAGATGTCACATGAAGGAGGGGACAGTGGTGGTTGGCATGCTGCTAGGAAAGTTTAAGAACCAGATAACCAGATATTTCAATGTTCCCATAAGTTAAACACAGATGAACAGCAGGTTCTAACAGGTATACATACATACATATGTGCATATATATACACACACACATATATACCTGTTAGAACATATATAATGTATATATATACACACACAAACACATATATATATACACATATATATGTGTATATATACCTGTTAGAACATATATACATACACACACACACACACACATGCACACACACTCACACACATGCACACACACACAAACTTTTTTCCTTCAGAAATATGTTTTGAATGCTTTCAGGTACTTTTGAACAATTGCTTCAAAGAGAATAAAATACCTAGGAATCCAACTTACAAGGGACGTGAAGGACCTCTTCAAGGAGAACTACAAACCACTGCTCAATGAAATAAAAGAGGATACAAATGAATGGAAGAACATTCCATGCTCATGGGTAGGAAGAATCAATATCGTCAAAAAGGCCATACTGCCCAAGGTAAATTATAGATTCAATGCCATCCCAATCAAGCTACCAATGACTTTCTTCACAGAATTGGAAAAAATGACTTTAAAGTTCGTATGGAACCAAAAAAGAGCCCGCATTGCCAAGTCAATCCTACGCCAAAAGAACAAAGCTGGAGGCATCACACTACCTGACTTCAAACTATACTACAAGGCTACAGTAACCAAAACAGCATGGTACTGGTACCAAAACAGAGATATAGACCAATGGAACAGAACAGAGCCCTCAGAAATAATGCCACATATCTACAACTATCTGATCTTTGAGAAACCTGACAAAAACAAGAAATGGGGAAAGGATTCCCTATTTAATAAATGGTGCTGAGAAAACTGACTAGCCATATGTAGAAAGCTGAAACTGGATCCCTTCCTTACACCTTACACAAAAATTAATTCAAGATGGATTAAAGACTTACATGTTAGACCTAAAACCATAAAAACCCTAGAAGAAAACCTAGGCAATACCATTCAGGACATAGGCATGGGCAAGGTCTTCATGTCTAAAACACCAAAAGCAATGGCAACAAAAGCCAAAAGTGACAAATGGGATCTAATTAAACTAAAGAGCTTCTGCACAGCAAAAGAAACTACCATCAGAGTGAACAGGCAACCTACAGAATGGGAGAAAATTTTTGCAATCTACTCATCTGACAAAGGACTAATATCCAGAATCTACAATGAAATTTTACAATTTCATTTACAAACAAATTTACAAGAAAAAAACAAACAACCCCATCAAAAAGTGGGCAAATGATATGAACAGACACTTCTCAAAAGAAGACATTTATGCAGCCAAAAGACACATGAAAAAATGCTCATCATCACTGGACATCAGAGAAATGCAAATCAAAACCATAATGAGATACCATCTCACACCAGTTAGAATGGCGATCATTAAAAAGTCAGGAAACAACAGGTGCTGGAGAGGATGTGGAGAAATAGGAACACTTTTACACTGTTGGTGGGACTGTAAACTTGTTCAACCATTGTGGAAGGCAGTGTGGCAATTCCTCAGGGATCTAGAACTAGAAATACCATTTGACCCAGCCATCCCATTACTGGGCATATACCCAAAGGACTATAAATCATGCTGCTATAAAGACACATGCACACATATGTTTATTGCAGCACTATTCACAATAGCAAAGACTTGGAACCAAGCCAAATGTCCAACAATGATAGACTGGATTAAGAAAATGTGGCACATATACACCATGGAATACTATGCAGCCATAAAAAAGGATGAGTTCATGTCCTTTGTAGGGACATGGATGAAGCTGGAAACCATCATTCTCAGCAAACTATCACAAGGACAAAAAACCAAACACCGCATGTTCTCACTCATAGGTGGGAATTGAACAATGAGAACACACAGACACAGGAAGGGGAACATCACACACCAGGGCCTGTTATGGGGTAGGGGGAAGGGGGAGGAATAGCATTGGGAGATATACCTAATGTTAAATGACGAGTTACTGGGTGCAGCACACCAACATGGCACATGTATACATATGTAACAAACCTGCACATTGTGCACATGTACCCTAAAACTTAAAGTATAATAAAAACAAAATAATAAAAAAATAAAAGGCTTGGTTGAATTCCCAGTCATATGAAATGCCACATCAGGGGGCAATTTTGATTTGACAAATCAGAGCAAATGCTTGGTCATCCTTTTGTCCATTAAAAAAACCAAAAACTTAGCATTTCCACATGGATTTGGACAGTTTCATAATTTCACGTAGATTATTAAACTCACAATCGCGGGAGGCTTTTTCTAGCCCCTTCTAATGAGTAAGTAAACAATGAGATAGCTAAGACTATGAGGGAAGAAAGGGGATGTTGTTGACAACATTTAATGTGATAAAATCTTTGTATATGCTTTAAAATCAGTTTTATTGAGGCATAATTTACACACAGTAAGATAAATGTGTTCATTTTAAGTACTCTATACAATTCAATGAGTTTTAATTATGTGTACATACCTATGATCACCACCTTGGTTAAAATAGAGACTACATCCATCATCCCCGAAAGATCCATTGTGTCCTTTGCCACTGAATTCCCCACCCCTGACTCCAGGCAATCAGTAATCTGATTTCTATTACTCTAGATTAATTTACCTATTCTAAAACTACGTGTAAGTAGAGTCATACAGCATCTCCTCCTAAGTCTAGTAACTCTTGTTCAGTGTAATGTCTCTGAGATGCACTGACACTGCAGATACTAATAGTTTATTAGTATTGCTGAGTAGTACTGCGTAGTAGGGATATATCATATTTTGTTCCTTCATTCTACTGTTGATGGACATGTTTCCAGTCTTTAGTGATTTAAGATAAAGGTGCATGAACATTCCTATATAAGTCTTTTTTGTGCATACATATTTTCATTTCTTTGGGGCAAAGAGACATTTTCATTTCTATTGAGGAGATTGTTGAGTCATGGCATAGGTGTATATTTGTACACACCTCTATGAGAATCTTTATAAGGGCTTGCCCCACTGCTTTTCAAAGTACTTATACCATTTGATACTTCTACCAGCAATGCTCAATAAAGATTTGTTAAATTAATACATTATTTCTTAATTAAATACTTTATTAATAATGAGGAAAGGAATCAGAGGACTTCAATTTTCCACCCAGCATCTCTGTGAGAAATTGTTTCCTTTTTCTTAATAGTGTAACAAGAATCACCATACATATCAAATTTATACCTGCACCAGTTAGGGCTATTCCAGAAAAGTACCATAGACCAGGTGGTAGATAAACAATAGAATTTATTTATCCCAGTGCTGAAGGCTGGGAGCCCCAGATCAGGGTGCTAGCATGGTCTGTTCTAAGAGGGCCCTCTTCTGGGTACAGACTGCCATCTTCTAGTTGTATCCTCATATGGTGGAAAGAGGATGAGAGAGAGCACTCTGGGGTCCTTTTTGTAAGGCATTAATCCCATTCACGAGGGCTCTACACTCAAGACTTAATTACCTCCCAAAGGCCCTGTGTTCTACTACCGTCACATTGGGAGTTAGAATTTCAACATATGAATTTTGGGGGGACAAAAACATTTGGTCCACAATAATAACCAAACTGTTTTTAGAAATAAGAAGTCCTCAGATGTTATGCATGCTTTAAACATTGATTTTGGCATAATGCTATATATAGACAGTTTAGCATATCAGTTTGACAAAAAAGATTCAGAGTGAGCAATACAGGTAGTATATTATTAAGCAAGAGAAGCTGTTTATATTTCAACTGCAAATAACCAACTTTGGATATATACCGCTTTTGTCCTCTGTGATGTGTTAGTAGGATCTTATTCTCTGTTACAGAAAATCATACCCCCTCTCATGGGGGCTGGCTATATCACATATTGTAGTTGTGTTTGCACTGTCCATGAAACGCAAAAAAAAAAAAAAATAGAGAATGATTATAGAAATGCAACCAGTGCTAATTAACATTTTAATATTTGCCGTCATAGTTTTCTTGCATAGACCCAAAGAGGCAGAAAGCCCTCAGAGAATGATTGTATTCACCTTTGCATCTTCCATATTCAGGAGACCTAGGTGCTCAATACTCAGTAGGAGCATAGCATATGAAATTAAACTGATTTTTATATCCAGCAGGTCATCATGAGCTCAAGTCATAGTGGCATGCAAATACTAACCTTTGCATAACACTTTATGGGCCCCCTTTGTTCCTTATGGTCTGATGTGATTGTACAAACCTTCTGGAAAGTCTGCAGAACAGAAATTCTTATTATCTTTACTTCCAGATCTATTGCACTGCATGGTGACGACACTTAATAATAATGTATTGTATTTTTCAAAATTGCTAAAAGAATAGATTTTTAATGTTCTTGCCACAAAGAAGTTGGTGAGGTGAGGAATATGTTAATTAGCTTCCTTGAATCTTTCTACAATGTAGGCATAGATCAAGACATCACATTGTACCCCATACATATACACAATTATTATTTTTCAGTTAAAAATAAATTGATAAGAAGTTGATGTTTAGGGAGTTTAACATGCTTGCCCAAGGCCACACGGACAACAGCACTGCTGTAACTTGGTGTCAATGGCAGGTCGAAGACCTTTATCTTCTGTCCTCAACTCCAGCACTCCTTGGGTGACCATCACTCTACAAACTGAATTCTGTATGTCAAGAATATTTCCCTTTTTGCTCCATAGGAGAAAATTCATGATCTGAATCATAATATCATCCTTTTTTATCTTTCTGATAGCCTTTGTACCAGTAGCCTGAGGTCCATTGTGAAGGTGTGAATTGAACTTACAACTTCTGATGACAAAATTCCCTGGGCCACGCACAAGGCTGTGTTTATACTTAATAATCTCATCAGGGGTTGTAAGGCCTAATTAATTACTGTTGGTACAGCAGCCTGATATATGAAACTGAAAGATTTTACCAGAGTGCACAATATTCATAGTATAACTGTAGCATGTATAGAACTAACACAAATGTCACATAGTCAGTGAGGCAGAGAGAGTCAGTGGGAGGACCTAATCAGTGGAGCGCATGTAACATCCTGTGAGATTCCTGGGAACCACAAGTTTAAATCCCAGAAGCTAAACTCTAGTCTCTTCATCTTCTGATTATAGTCAGATGAATGAACTAATGATGGAACTTAGTGGTAGCTTGGATTTGACCTTGGAGTCTGACTGCCTATGTCTTTCATTTTGACGGACTGTGTTTGTAGAAGACAGATCAATGGGATAATAGTTTCATGGTCATTTTCATTTATAAGATCACACTTGGAGATGTCTTTTATCTTTTAAGAAGAATGAGTACTCTCTTGAAAAGAATATTTAAACTGTTGTAAGGAATTGTGGTTGAGACGTAGGCTTGGGGTCAGATCTGGGTTTAAATTCCTACTCCTTGCTAGTTGGATTAACTTGGCCTAGTTACTTAACCTCTTGAGCCCTCATTTACCTCATCCGTAAAAGTGTCTGTTGCAAATGAGAAAGTTAAATTAACACTTACTGGAATTTCTGGCACATTGAGACTATTCTACCAATGAGAGCTTTAATAATTCAGAACAAAGACCTCCTAACACCCCCTAACACTTTCTAACTTCACTGTTTAGAAGATGAGGAGTCTCAGAGAAAGAAAGTTGTTTACTGGAGAGAGAGACAAGTCTAAATCTTGGGAAACTATATTTCTCAACCCAAGCTTTGCCTCCTACACTATGAAAACACCAAGATGTATTAAGAGGAAGTGGGCTTCTCATGATTATAAGAGTTTACAGAGAGCTTGAATTATTTTATTATATAATTTTTTATTTTTTAAAAATCAGTCTTGAAATGTATCTGGACTTCTAAGCCAGAAAGACTGGGGTCTATAACTCACTCTACTCACTCACTGTGTAACCTTGGGCTATGTCAGAGCCTTAGTATCCTCTTCTGTAAGAATCAGGATTGCATATTGTTATGGACTGAATGTTTGTGTCTTACCCCAAATTCATATGTTGAAACTTTAAGCCCCAATATGGTGGTATGATGAGGCGGGGCCTTTAGGAGACAATTAGGTTTAGATGAGGTCACAAGGATGGGGCCCCACCATAGGATTAGTGTCCTCATAAGAAGAAGAAGAGACTAGAACTCTCTCACTCTGCATCATGTGAAGACACAGGGAGAGGATGGTTGCCTGTAAGCCAGGAAGAGATTCCTTGTCAGAACTAGACTATTCTAGCACTGTGATCTGGGACTTCCTTCCACTAACCTTTGCATAACACTTTATGGGCCCCCAAACACTTTGTTCCTTATGGTCTGATGTGATTGAACAAACCTTCTGGAAAGTCTGCAGAACAGAAATTCTTATTATCTTTACTTCCAGATCTATTGCACTGCATGGTGACGACAGTTAATAATAATGCGTCGTATATTTCAAAATTGCTAAAAGAATAGATGAGTGAGAAATCAATTTCTGTTGAACAGTGAGAAATCAATTTCTGTTGTTAATGCTACCCATTCTATGGGATTTTGTTATGGTAGCCTGAGATGCCATATTATTAGTACTATTTTATAAATAGTATGCATAAATTATGTGTGTGGGTATATACACGCAATCATTTTGAAGGTCAGATAAGTCTAATAACCTAACTCAGTGTTAATGTGATGAAGTCACAATAGACACTACTTCTCATCTTCTCTTTACTTTTATTGTAAAAGTCAGTAACTTAGCTCTAGTTCTTGGCTGAATGACCTTCCTGGTTCTTGGATAACAGAATTGGATGCTTGACAATCGTTCCAGATGCTAACGTGTTTTAGTATTAAGGAGGGAAACCTCCAAATGAAAAGTGTATTTGTATCTGCAATTCCATTATTATTATTGTTTCCCTGCAATCAGAGAGCTGCTGGTAAGACAGAATTGCCAGCAGGTTAGCAGGGTTGTGATTTATTGGTCTCTTCCCTTTAGTAGGAGTTGAAGTGAACTCTTATTTTTTGGAACAAAACTGCAAGAGACTATGATTTCCTCTAACTGGCAAGCTGAGACAATAGGAGGGGTTAATGTATTTCACAATGAATTCTGATTTATAAAATATGCCTAGCAGCTTATGAATATGGATATGATTTCTGCAAACAAAAGGTCACATGGCTAACAACTGGTGGAAACAATATTTATGAATGCAATGCCATAGCAAGGACTAAGGTTAGAAAAGAAAGACATTTAAGAAGGGAGATACAGGAGTCCAAGAGGATGTGCAGGTTGGCAAAGATAGATAGATAAAAATCCAAAAGAAGGCAGCAAACAGAGGCTGCACTAATGCAATAGAGAGATTGGCCAAGGAAAGTATGAAAGGTCAATCAAGAGAAGTATGAAGAGGTGAGAAAGGTAACGTGGGGGCTCAAAGCAGTTAGGGTAGAGTAGAGAAGAAACAGGTCAAGGCCACCTTGAAGTATTAATGTCTTCAGAGCGAATGAAAAAAATCTTAATAATGGATTGGGGAAAATTTTTTGAAAGTCTTTCTCCTATGGCATTTAAACTAATAAATATGTAAAACTCTGAGGAACTGTATGGTGTGTGGTATATGGAAGCACAGCTATTTTTGATGTATTCAATTAAAGAATACTCAGTAGAATATAGTTAGGCATCCTATAGTACTGAGTTCATGACCATGCTTAAAGAACTTTTTTGAGTGCTTGGGGATTTGATTTAGATTCTAAGAATTGATACCTGGATTGATATTTAGGTGTTAACAGGGCTTCCCAAATTGTTTGATTGGCTCACTAAGACACTAAAATAGCATAGAAGGAGTGACAAAGGAAAGGAGTTGACATTTCATGAGGATCTCTTATGGCCAGGACCCTGTACACAACCATCTAACTTACATTTTCCAAAAAGTGTTGTGTCTTTGTTTCATTTGAAGTTCAATCCAAAAGGAGAGGGTATGATTCTATAGCATACATCCTGTAATTCCTAACTTATGTGTTTCCATTTTGAAAACAGGATGCCAAAATTATTCAATTCCTACTCTTAATTGATGTAGGTAATATGGAAATTATTTTATCTTTTTTTTTTTGAAAAAAAAAAACAAAAAACAAAAAAACTCGCTCTGTCGCCCAGGCTGGAGTGCAGTGGTGCCATCTCGGCTCACTGCAAGCTCTGCCTCCCAGGTACACGCCATTCTCCTGCCTCAGCCTCCCGAGTAGCTGGCACTACAGGCGCCCACCACCACGCCCGACTAATTTTTTGTGTTTTTTTTAGTAGAGACGGGGTTTCACCGTGTTAGCCAGGATGGTCTCCATCTCCTGACCTCGTGATCTGCCTGCCTCGGCCTCCCAAAGTGCTGGGATTACAGGCATGAGCCACCGCACCCGGCCCTGGAAATGATTTTATCTTAAGGTCCAGAGATAGATATATTTAATCAGAGCATTGTATCAATCTGACTATAATCATCATTGGTTAGTTCAGAGATGGGTAAAGGACCCAATACTGTAATAACAGAATAAAAACTTGACAATAATTAGAACCCAGAAATAAACAGGGACTCAGTCTTAATGACTGTGTTTGAACTTCTGAATCTAGGCCCTTCTTTAAAAGAAAAAAATACATATATATTCATTCATTCTCTCTCTCTCTGTCTCTCTCTGTCTCTCTCTCTCTGTCTCTCTCTCTCTCTCTCTCTCTCTCTCTCTCCTGCTTCCACCCTGCCTCCCTATTCTGAGTTTGGCTCTATTGCCTGTAAATAAGAACCTGGCTACCAATGATTTCATTATCAATATTTTTGGAAGACATTGGATCCACATATTTCTTTGATTAATGTTTTTGGGAGACATTAAATCTTACATATCTTCTCTAGAGATTCATAATTTATATTAACATATAGAAGTTTTACAAAGTTCTACCTGAAATAAATCTGTTTAATTTTGTTTAATACAGCAATTCCCAAATACATTTGACCATGACATTTTTTTCCCCAGAATACTTATTATATTTTCTGTAATAAACATTTTACAGAATATTCTTAAGAATCTGCTGGTCTAGATGAATCCTCACAAAAATTATAAGGAAGATATTCTTCTTTTTATATAATAAACTAAGGCTTAAAGAGCTGACTTACTTGATCTAAGTCTCAGAGTAAATGGCAAAGTTGAGAGATGGAACAGGAACTCAGTTCTCATAGAAACTCAACTCTAAAGAGCCTTGAAGCCAAAGGGAGCCTAAGGAAATAGGTAAGAGATCAGAGCCCACGCCTCATTTATTTGTAGTGTCCAGAGGTTAAACAAAGAATATTTGATAAGGTTTCCGTGGAATCGCTACCAAATATTCAATCCTATTGAAGCTGGACCCAATGAATGCACAGAGGGTCCTTCTTCATTTAGTATCCATTGGATATATGTTGGTAACTTCTGGCCACATCCTGTTGCCTGCTTTCCAGAAGTTTAAACTCTAGCTTTTTCATTATCACTCAGAAAACAGGTAAAGAAGTTGGGGTTCTAATTTATACATGTCTGAAAAAGTATATATATATATATACATATACTTTGAATAACTCTCATCTATTTCCTCCTTGAAACTGAGGTAAGAAATATATAGCTATAGCTTTTTTTCTAATGAGTCATGTGAAGAGGTGTTAATGGAAGATGGTCAAAAGATGTGCAGAGGAGTTCAGAGGAGGAAGTGCTTAGTTTAGGCTGAAAAGGATCACAAATAATTTCACACAGAGGTAGCTTTTGAGTTGGGTTTTAAGAGATGGGTGGAATGTTGACTGAGATCATCTCCATATACTGCTTTATTTATCTTGGGCAATGAAGAACTGACATCAAGTTTGGAATCTGTTAACCGGTGAGCATCTTTTCCTAAAGGAATGGCTGGCAGAGACTAATGCTCAGTTACATTCTTAAAAGGGTTTCTCAGTTAAACTACCCTTGACCCAAGGACGCTTACAATTCTAAGAGAGAAGATTGACAGATGCACAAAAATTATAGAAAAGTATCATTTTGGATGGTCCTGGTCAGGAGGAAGGACCTGCCCCGGAGGATAAGAGTCTCACAAACTGTCTAGGGAATGGGTCCCAGCTTCGAGTATCATTTCACTCAATAAACAACACCTAAATGAATATAGGAGAACTCGGATGTCCACATTAGGATGTAGGTAAAGGTGCTTTTGTAATAATTGCTGGTATTTACTTAGTCCTTATGAGTCAGTTACATTGTGCACATGATATCCATCCATTATCTCAATGAATCTCATAAAACATATGCCACTATCAACTCCCATTTTCCAGATAAGTAAATTAAGCTTCAAAGATTAATTACCATACCCAAAACTACACAGTTAAATGCAGATCTTGGATTTGAACTCAGGGTCTCCAAATCCAATTTGTTTTGAATTTTTCTGCTTTATTTCCTTCCAAATGCCTCCTCCTCTCCATATGTCACTGCAGCTGATAGGCACAGAGGCTTCGAGCCGCACAGTGAGTCACAAACTTTCCAACTAGTGCTTATGCTGAGTAACGTGGAACAAATTTTCCTTAGTATTTCAGATCACATTGGAGGTGGCTAGAAAGTAGGAATTAATGACAAGTCAGTTTTATAGTACTTTAAAAAAACAGAATTGTATCAAATACGGGTACATCTTACGTCCCTTTAAAGAGTGTAGAGAAACAATAAAAGGCAGTTATTTGAATTGAGTTGAAAAATTGCTACTTTAACTAGGTCTATGAAGGACCTGCTTTAATAATTATCTAAAATTATGTGTAACTATCATATAGATTCAGAAACACTGCATCTGCCTCAGGGGTTGGTTCCATAGCCAGTGTGTAAAGCAAAAATTGTCTATGTTCTAAACTACCTTTGAAAATTTCTCAAATAATAACAATTACAACCACTACATATATAGTACTTACTATGTGCCAAATACTTTATATAGTAATGCATTCAATCTTATGAGGAAGTCCAACGATCAGCCCCATTTTGTAGATGAGTAAAGTGAGTCACTGAAATGTTAAGTCCCTTCTCTAGTGTCCTATTGTTAACAAGTGGCAGTTACAGGAGTTGAAACTGATCCATTTGGCTCCAAAATGCCATGTTCTTCATTACTATGCTCCATTGCCTGCTATAGGTAATAACACAATGCCATTCCTTATCTCCTTTGCTGACTTGATTTAGGAGCCATGGTGTACAGTTATTTATTTCTTTAAACATCAGAAACACCTCATCATGGCAAGGTGCTCAAACCATGCTTCAAGAACAGCTGATTCAGACTTTTCATACATAGCATAGGCCCTCTGGAGTGTACACACATGAATGGACTGTTGAGACAATTTCCTAAAGTAAATATATTTTTATAATCTCTTTCTTGCTCTCTTATAAAGTTAGTATTTGAGTAAATTTAATGCGTTTAGTTGTACACTTATTATTGCAGAAAGGACTCATCATCCTCTTCACACCATCACTAGAATTCTCTCCAAGTCAAGTATGTTTAGGTTGCAGCTTACTCTATTTTGTGAATTTTTCTCATCCTACTGAAGACTAATAATAAACTGATTCCAAAATTCTTCTTAAAACATTCTATTTTCCTCCTCGGTTTAAAAACCCTGGCTTTATCTTTGAATATGATTAGCTTTCCTATAAACAGACTTGAGCTACTGATATCTCCACTAGAAACTGCAAGCTACTGACGTCTGAATTACAGAGTTAACTTTACTACTGTCTCCTGAATCAATCCATCAAATATCTGCAACACCCTGTCCACTCAGGTGAGTGCAGCCAGTGATAAAATGGATCCATATGACAGTCCTTACCCTTAAGGAGGGACAAGATTTACAAACATGGATTAATTAGTGAATAACAAAATACATGCATTTTGTTGTACTGACTTCAACATGCATAATGCAGGTGATTTGTCGGAAAAAGAGGGGATTACCAATCAACTTTTGCAGGAAATTCTCTTTAGACGGGGTGAGAAACGGGACAAAGTAGAAGCCGACATTTTTGAATATCTACAATAACAGTGATAATTGCATCAGTAATGATAATAGATTTTTCTGAGCACCTATTATGCTCAGTCAGCATTGTGCCAGTCCATGCTTTACCTGCATTGCCCTTATCAGATATGTGATCTCATTTGTCTCATCCATGTATATTTTGAATAGGCAGAAAAATAATCTTAGCTCAATTTTGTAGATAACAAAAGATTGAGAAAATAAATACAAACTGCCCAAATTCACGTTCATTCATTCAAAACTATTCACGCAATGTACTCCGTGAAAAGCCAGGACTATGTGTTCAGCAAACATATAATGGTTGCCCTCTCAGAACACAGAATCCTTCATATATTAATTATGTTATAATAGAAATAAGAATATAGAGGCAAGCTGGGATAAGTGCTACACAGGAAAAGTTGAAGTGTCATGAACATGTAATAGTAACAGAGACTAACCCACTTTGAGAAACTGAGGCAGATGCCCCTGGTGGAGGGTCCTGTGAACTGCTGTCTGCAGGAAGGGGATAGAATTAATTAGTTGGGAGTGGGGTAAGGTAAGCAGGGAAGAATGGGGTTTCTTGAGACTTTCCTGGCAGAGGGAAGACATTGTATGAATAGACTGAAGTTAGGAGAAAATGTTTCCCAAAGACAGAAAGCATCTTTGGAGCTCAGGGGCAAAAGGGAGTATTGTAAAGACTAGACAAAAAAGTCCAGATTATGCAGAGTTCTATGAGTTGTGTTAAGACATTTGTTTTTTTACTGTAGAGAAATGAGGAGCCCTAGATAAGTTTTAAGCAGAGGAATGACTTTTGCATTAAAAAAATCCCTTTGGTTGTAGAGTGGAGAACATATTAATGAGAGCTGGAGTAGAGACAGGGTGCTGGAAGGAGGATCTTCCAGGAGTGAAGAGGGGCGTGGTGGTCTGACCTAGGTGGTGTCAAAGGGACTGGAAAGAAGTCAGTGGGTATGAGAGATTTTTAAGACATAAAGTTAACAAAGCTTGAAGATTGATTGGCATGGGGGTGGAGAAGAGGCTAAGAAATGGCAGAGCCAGTCATCTCAGATTCAAGTCTAGGGCTCTACACAATGTGACAAGGCCTGCTGGAGCCAGGGACCTGTTCTTAATTTAGATCTTAACTATATCTGGGCAATGAACAGTGAGTGTCGGAACTAGGGATACAGAGACTGGTTAGGAAATGAGGCCACTTCCCAAGCTCTGCTGTGGTATTTTGGATGCTGGAGTTGTGGGAATCTGTGGAGGAGGGGTGTGTGTGTGTGTGTGTGTGTGTGTGTGTGTGTGTGTGTGTCAGAGAGAGAGAGAGTTAAGTTTTCTCTCCTGCCCCAGTTTCTATGAGCTGCTCTGTCTTTTGTGTTCTTTGCCAAGAGGAAAGAAAACAGATTGTTCTTGCTTAGAGCATTCAGCTGACTCAACTGATGCCAAACCAAAAAAAGCCCTAAGAACATAATAATAATTGCTCATGTGTACACATCACTTTACAGTTTACCAAGGGCTCCACATTACACTTATAAAACTGCAAAGCCTATGAGGCAAGCACTCTGCCATTAATTCTACTTCAATTTGAAAGAGACAAAGAATGTTCAGAGAGGTTAAAATGACTGGTTTCAGCCATGTAGCATATTTTCATAATCCAGATCTTCTGACTTTACACTGAGGTCTTCTTCCATTAGCTGTAGCAGGCTTGGGTTCACTGTGAAGGGGCCACCAATGACATGAAGGATTCTGTGTAGTCCTTTCTCATTTACAAAGTCCTTCTATATTGGACATTTTACTTTTATTATCACAACAAGACTCAGGTTTTTGGTCTCATCCTATATGAGAAAACAAGGTACCCAAGGTCAAACACAGATACCCAAGGTCAAATAGTCAGCAAGTAGTACAGCTGGAAATTGAGCCCAGTTCTTCTTATTTCATTGCCCATTTTTGCCTCCCAGAACTACTGTTAAGCTAAGGTGCATGAGATCTTAGGTTCAGAGAGAGAGACTTAAATAATTCAGATAAGATGTGTGTTGGGGATGCTCTCACAAATCCAGAGTCCAGGTTAAAGCTCTCCACTGAATGAGGCCAGGTTAGCAGCAGTGAGGAGTGGTTGGGTTAAGAGCAGCTGTCGCTGCTATCTCCTAATTGGAAATAATTGGGATTCTGTCTCAAACCACAGAGCCCTGATTTAGCCAACTCAGCCTCAACCAGGAAGCATCTGTTGCCATCTCCAATGGCAACAGTTCAATCCCCACTCCAGCGCACCATTCTTCCCTGCCAACTGGCAGGCAGTGACTACTCACAGCCTGCCGGCTTCTAGACCCAGCCCTGAGGCCCCGGGAAGAATCAAGTTAGGTCAACATCTCAAGTTAGGATAAAGTGAAGAGGTGGAGGCTGGGAAAGGCTTAGTAGCACAATGCTAAATGACTATCTTGGGAAAAGGGAACTAAGATTTCTGAGGATGTATCAGACACTGTTCTGGGAGACTGACACATGCAAATCTATGTCATGTATAGATTCACAGGATAATGCCATTTTACAGAGGAAGAGACAGACTCACAGAGGTTATACTGTTGGTCCAAGGTCACAGAGCTGGTGAGTGGTAGAGCTAGGATTAGATCTCTTGTCCCTCCTGTGCTAATGGTCTTTCCACATTTCTACTCAAGTTCTTGTTTTGTCGTTTCTATTGCTTTTAGACTCTATCTGGAGTGTTCCTGGTCTCATTTCTACCTCTATCTCAAAGCAGAGATTAAGAGCCACCTGCTTTTTGAAAATGTCCCTTTCCCCTCAGATAAAGGCATGGGCAGCAAGTAGAATCCCAACACTAAAAAAGCTAGGAGAGGACCTTGGGAAAAGAACCCACAAGTTGCTGAGCAGCAAATGATGTTTGTTGTTATCATTACCTTGCTTGTGTGATACTGGAAACAGACTTCTGTTTATTATGTTAATGAATCCTCTGTGATTCTCCATTGCTTGTGCATAATTAAGATGGCCTTTTAAAAAATACCTTCCTCTGAAGTTTGGGAAAACTAAAGTGTTTGTTTGGATTGGTAATAACTAGTAACAAAAAAATATGGCAACTGCTTCCAAAGGAACTGCAGGAAATGAGCTATCTGCTAGCAGAAGGAGGATGCTGAGGAGGACCCAATGACCATAACTCTGTAGGGGTGCAGGATTAGGGAGGCAATTACCTATTCTTCTCCAGTCAACCAACTTTAAGGGATTCTTGTGCCACATTTTAGGAAAAAATTGATAATTGGAATGGGTCCAAACAAGAGTCTCCAGATGGCAAAAAGGCTTGGGATACTTCCACATAGGGCTTGGTAAGATGGATAAACTCCTCTGAAGCTCATTTTTCTCATTTTAAAGATGAGCAAATTTGAGGCAATTGGTGTTTCTCAGTTTTACTTTTTTGTTTGCTGTTTATCGTTTGTTGTTTGTTTAATGTGGATGGAGTGGAGTAATGGATCACAGATCACTCTGAGAATCTACCTAGCAAATATATATTGAGCACCTACAATATGCCTGCTACAATCCCAACTACTCAGAATACATCCATAAACACAGGCCTGTGTGGGATGAAAGAAGCAAATAAACCAACATATGGAGAAGATAATTCTAGACTATGATAGGGGATGTCAAGAAAACAAAACAGAATAATGAGGGTAATGTAACCAACAAGGAATGGAAAAGTTAATACTTTGGATGTGAAGAAGGTACTAGTTAGTTCAAGTTTAGGATTGAATGGTCAGACAGAATCAACCAGGCACAGATCTGGAAGCAAGGTGTTTCAGCAGGGGTAACAGCTAATGCAGATTCCCTGCAGCAGAAGTCAGTTTGCTGTCTTTTTGGAATACAAATAGGCCTGGAGTAGCTGTGGTTCAGTGACTAAGAGGGAGAGGAGAAAAGATGAGGGCAGAGAATAACCAGCGGTCAGATCACATAGGACCCACCATAAGAATGTGTTCTCTTTCAAGTACAATGTGAGGAAGTCTTTTGAGGGTTTCTGTAAAGTAGTGCATGATATTTATGTAATGATATATATGGACTCTCTCCATAATTAAATGTGCATAATCACAAATTCAATTATTGTTTTAGAGGTTCCCTGCTCTCCCTAAATCCCATTCATGCTCCCCCCTATTTGAGAAGATTCTTAGGCTCTTTCTAGTTCTTACATGATGTGAGTCTATATAATGCACATTTGAAGGAATTAGCATTGCCTAGCTAAAAGGCAGTAATTGACAACAATGTTTGATAATATAAAGAATGCTGAGCAAGAGAGGGTTTGTATTTATTAAATGGAATGCTGCAGTAGTTTGCACTGCTGGCTCCCATTTCACACTCCTCCCTGCGTGCCCTTTTCCACTCACTGCTGCATTGCTGTGTTGAGAGTTAACTACTGGATGAAAAGACACAAGTCCTAACTGGGACCAATATTTAGAAAAGACAGGAAAGGAGCGTGTACCTCCTTTTATTCAAATCCTAACATTCTTACTATCTCTTTCACGAAATCTTTCCAAATACTTACATATTTATTTGTAAATATGTTTTGTTTCTTCAGCTTGAATGTAAGCTCCTAGAGTGCTGTATGCTGCATGATTTATATTTAGATAGGGTCTTGCCTCTCCCACTAGCCTGAAAAGATTTCAAAAATAGAGACCGTATTTTCATATTTTTTAAAAATATGCAACACAGTGTATTGTGGGCTGAATAAATTGTGTCTCCCTGCCCCCAGATTCCAAATTCATAAGTTGAAGTTCTAGCCCCAGTATCTCAGAATGTGACTGTATTTGGAGATAGGGCATTCAAAGAGGTTATTAAGGTAAAATGAGGTCATATGAGTGAGCCCTTATCTAATATTACTGGTGCTCCTGTAAGAAAAGTTGGGCAGATCGCCTGAAGTCGGGAGTTTGAGACCAGCCTGGCCAACATGGTGAAACCCAATCTCTACTAAAAATATAAAAATATTAGCTGGGCATGGTTGTGGGTGCCTATAATCCCAGCTACTTGGGAGGCTGAGGCAGGAGAATCACTTGAACCCAGGAGGTAGAGGTTGCAGTGAGCCAAGATTGCACCACTGCACTCTAGCCTGGGTGACAGAGCGAGACTCTGTCTCAAAAAAAAACCCAAAAAACAAAAAAACAAAACAAAAAACAAAAAAAAGGTGGTGGTGGGATTAGGACACAGACATGCACATACACAGAGAAAAGACATCTGAGGACACAGCAAGCCAAGAAGAGAGGTCTCAAAAGAAACCAAACCTGCTTGATATTGGACTCCTAGCCTCCGGAACAGTGAGAAAATAAATTTCTGTTGTTTAAACTACCCAGTCTGTGGTATTTTGTTATGGCAGCCCTGGAAAACTAATACAGCCTGCCATAGTGTGTGTGTGTGTGTGTTTGTGTGTGTGTGTGTGTGTGTACATAGGTGAAACCACTCGCTATTCCAGAAGTTAAATGCCCTAATATTATTGTAAGCTTTGTGAGGGAGACTGTATTTCTTCCTTTCATCGCTACATCTAGTTTAGCACTTAGCACATTGCAGGCATTCAAAGGTATGTTTGTTTAGTCATCAAATGAACCGAGATTTCCTGAAGCTAGAAGGGATCTTCAAGGTCATTTAGGCCAGTAGTTATTAAACTGCTTTGTTCCGGTAGTATCTTTCTGAAAAACAAAATCTTATATGAAGGGCTACTATATAAGGTGGTTAAGAATAGAGCTGCTGTGGTTGAAGAGAGAGTTGATAGACCAGGAGGCCTGGCCTCTCCTCAGCTGACTTGTGGACATTCTTGGGTAACTACGATTGATCTAGAGGCAAGATCAGCTAACTTTTCCCATAAAGGGCCCATAAAGGGCCAGTGAGTAAATACATAGGATTTCTTTATAACTATTCAATGTTACCATTTACCAGAGGTACAGTCATGAGCAGTGTATATAAAAGTGATAGTGACTACATTCCAATAACACTTCATTAACAAAAACAGGAAGGAGGTCAGATTTGGCCCATGGACCATAATGTGCCAACCTCTGATCTAGAGCAACCTAACTATTTCACAAGTGAGGAAATGAGCCCCAGAAAGGACATTGGATGGCTGCATTTATTAAGGCTCTGCTACCAGTTTAATTTCCTGCATTCTATAATAAGAGGTATCATTTTTTTAGGACATACATGATCATATCTCTCCTTAGTTTGTTCAAACTCTGCAAGACTCCCCAACTCCAACGGGAAAAAGTCTCAATTCCATAGACAGGCAAGAAAGTTATTTGTGGGTTGACTGCTAATTCTTCGCATCTCCTCTTCTCTCACTTCTCTATACCATCAGCGGCCTCCACTCCCATTCACATCAGGAGCATTCTGAATTATCCTTTTTCATGTCTCTGGATCTTTTAATAAGCTATTTTCTTTATCTGGAATTATTTTCCTATTTCTCATCATCCTGGATATTCTTTCCTATTATTCAAGACTTTGTGCAAATGTTAATCCCTTCTCTAACATGAAACCATGTATTAGTTAGGGTACAGGATAAGGGCTATAATAACAGAGAGAACCCAAGACAATAGTTCAAACATTTGCTTTCCTGTCCAGAGATAAGTGGTCTAGTCTCAGTTCTATGAGGTCATACAATGGCCCAGGTTACCTCCAAATTATTGCCCCACTGTTCCCTGGGAGTATTTATCTCCCCCAAGCAATTAAGCCTGGCTCACCAGCATCTTGTATTCATTAGGACATGATGGGGTAGGAGGAAGACAGTTCATTGAGGACAGAAATTGTATTTTTAAAGATCACGACCCCACAGTTGGATATATCACTTCCATTCACATCTGTTAATCAGAACTAAGCCCCATGCCTATGACAAGGGGCAGGGGTCATGCAGCCAGCGAAATCTTGGCAGCTTCCATTGTTAAAAAGAAGGGAAGACTGGATGAATCCTGAGGGAATATTAGCTATCTCCACTACATTACCTGTTTAGCCTTAATCTCTTCTTCTCCCACATCATAGACATGCCTTTATTCCCAACCTTATCACCTTGTTTCACAATGAATTCTAAATTTGTCTAGATTGTAAGAACTTCAAGGGCAGCTGTTTTCCCTTACTCAGCTTTGTGACCAAGGTTTTTATCACTAGGCTTAGCACCAAGTGAATGAATCCAAACAATAAAAATGGCAGGCCCAGAGAGCTTAAGTGATGCTTCCAGTTGAGTCAGTACCAGCAGAAGAGCCTGGCTCTTTCCTGCCCTGATTTGTAGAGATCATAAAGAGATGGTTATAAAAGTCAGATTTCAGGTAACAGAGCTAAGGTTTTAGGAAGCACCAATAACAGCTACCAGGAGAGGCTCAAGTCAGTTCACAGGGACAAATGAGGCTCACCCACGCTGCAATGTGTGTACTTGAGGGAGATTGCTCAGTCCCCATATGGCAGATGGGGACAGTTGTGTCCCTCTCTCCATGCCAGCTAGCCACTCTGTGCCCACTTCCTAGCTCTCTTCAAAGGCAGGAAGTTGTTTATCTAACTGGTCAAGTCTGAATGATTAATTGGGCCACAGAAGGAGAGTCGACAGGCTTACTATGCCTGGAAAATCAGAAATCAGATATTAGCACTTTTCTTGCATGTCCTCTACCTCCTCTAGAGGCAGAAAGCACAAGCTAAACCAGCGTCCCCATGGGGAAAAAGCAAAGTCTTTCTCCCTTGGGCAGGCTTGAGTGTGCTAGGGCAAGTTAGACTTCAGGAGCAGGAGAATATACATTTAAGCTTTAACGCTAAGCATCAGCTCCAACCAAGCTCTTTACCAAAGAGCTCAGCATTGTTTTCCTAGACACTTGCACAAGTATTCACACAAAGTGGGACATTTGATTTTCACGGAATCATTGTTCCTTTATCTTCAAAACATAATGCATGGATTAGTGCAGGCTTCAGGTCCCTCTTCATCCAAACCCTCTCTTCAGCTATCCTATCACCTCACAGCCCCAAAGGCTCTCAACATCACCCGAGCTCCGTGATGTTTGCACAGAGACAGTTGGGCTGCAAGTCTGTGGGCGGTTTAAGATCCTGTGAATTACGCAAATCCTGGCTTTTATATCATCAATTATTCTGGTCCTTCGTGTGGGCCTGCGTGGGCTGCAATAGTGCGATTTCTGGTTCTCGCCCTGCAGGGACACTTAGCAGCCTGACCTTTTGAGTCACTTCTTTACTGAATTGCTTTCCTTATTTGTAATGCCCCCGCTCCCACCTTTCTCTACTTGACACCCTTTTTGACTAGCACACTGATTCCTAACTTGCACAATTGTTGTTCTCAGGTTCTCTTTCTCCCTTTTGGGTGTAGAGTTCATTATCTACCTGAAAAAAAAAATGAAGTGCAAATGTTTCCCCTTTAGTTTCCTGATCATTTTAAAGCAATGGTTTGTTTCCAAAAATAATGAGGACAGGGCGATGTTCTACAAGGTTAATAGGGAAAATAAAACAAAACAAAAAACCTTTCTTGTCTTGAGCACTGAATTCGCTTTTGCTTTTAAAATTATATGTATGTGTATATATATACACAATACATATATATATAGAGAGAGAGGCATAAACATATATATCTTACTTAAAGAATAGTTTTCACATCAGAAAAAAATAGTTATCGGAGATAAAATAAAATATATAAATAATATAAATGTGTATATGGGTATAGATGCAATTTTATACCACAGTCTACTGGCAGAAATAGCCTCCTGAGGGTGGCTGCTCTGGGCATTTCATACCCACTTTTTTTGTTGGTTGGTTGGTTTGTTTTTTTAGACAGGGTCTTGCTCTGTCTCCCAGGCTGGAGTGCAGTGGTGGCATGATCTTGACTCACTGCAACCTCTGGCTCCTGGGTTCAAGTGATTCGCCTGTCTTAGCCTCCTGAGTAGCTGGGATTACAGTCACGTGCTACCACACCTGGCTATTTTTTTTTTTTTTGATTTTAGTAGAGACGGGTTTTCACCAAAATGGCCAGTCTGGTCTCAAATTCCTGACCTCAAGCAATCCCTCCTGCCTTGGCCTCACAAAGTGCTGGGATTACAGGGGTGGGTCACTGTGCCCAGCATCATTCTCATTCTAATAGAGATCCAGTGGTACTTACACAGCAATGTGCCACCAGATAACTGCTGCTGTTGCTTCATTTCTATAGTTCTCTGAAGCCAGAATAATGTTACCATCTCTAAAAGCTAGAATCCGGGAGTAGGGGTACACAGGTTGCTAAGTACCCCTTCTCCCAAAACCCTGGATGAGATAGCTGCTGAAACCATGGGGATGAGCAAGTCCCACAACACACATTGGCTTCCCAGCCTGTCCATGTGTGGAAGGATCATACTGCCTAGCTGGTCAGCTGAAATGTGGTCTGGCCCACACTTAACCACACTCACCAATAAAAATCTTTGCAAATCATGGGGTTAAACTTCTGCATCTATATAGATTTAATCATAATTGGCATTCTTTACTTGTAAGTTTCTCTCCTGAATATGCAGATATCAAATAATAATGAAATGCATTAAAATAACGTTTCTCTCCAAAAACCCCCTGAGTATATCACACTGTGGAGAAATCTATATTTAGAATTTGTCTATAAGGCCACCTCCTTGGCTAATACACTGTTTACTCCAGTAGCAGTTTAACCGATATATAATTGGGGCTTTTCTAGATTACTGATTTCTTATATAATTCAATTTATTTAAAGTCTGTACTCTGTAAGATATTGATTTTGTAAAATTTATTGAGACTAATTTAATAATCCAGCATATGGTCTATCTTGGCGCACATCCCATAAACACTAGAAAAGTTTCTATTCTTGGTAGTTTCTAGGTGTAAGGTGGCAAAATTGTCAATTACATCAATAGATCTAAAAGTGTTACTCATGTCTATATCATTACTGATTTTTTTTAGTTATCTATTAATCATTGAAGAGGGGCATTATGATATTCAATTACGATTATGGATTTGTCTTTTTTTGCCTTTAATTCTGTCGGTTTTGCTTCATGTTTTTTCAATAAGGCATGTATATATTTATGATTACTATGTCTTCCCAATGAATTGGCCATTTTTCAGTCTCAATTGTTGTTCTTTATACCTGGTTCTTTATACCTCTTGGCTTTCATTTGGCAACCACCATAGTAATAATTGCTTCAGTAAGCATCATCTATGATTGCTAAAACAGGTAGGTGAAAGTTTAATGAGAACTAGGATATTTTCCTGTTGTCAAAGTATCTCCCAATAAGATACTTCTTATTGACAAAACAAAAATAGTAACCTTAGAGAAAAAACTTGGCAGGAAACACCTTAATCAAGTGACTAAAGTTAATGACCAGAAATAGGACAAATTGATACAATTTTCTTCTGGATGTTTTGCAGTGAAAAAGACACAGTATTACTCCCAAGGTACTCCTGCCAAAAATGCATAACCTCAGACTAATCATAAGGAAACATCGCGTAGGCCTAATTTGAGGAATATTCTACCAAAGAAGGCCTGTGATTTCCCCAAACCTTAAGGCCATGAAAGACAGGCTGAGGGAACCATTCCACAATAAAGGAAAATAAAAGGGCATGACAACTAAGAGCAACATTTAATCTGGGATTAAATTCTGAACTAGAAGAATTATTTTTACTATAAAAAAAGCTTAGTGATATAATTGGGAAAAATTAAATGGGATCTGTAGGTTAGACACTACTATGTTATCAATGTTAATTTCCTGATTTTGATTTTTGTATTGGTGTCTATGTAATGTCCTGGTTTTTCAGAAACATATAATGAAATATTTAAGCATGAAAAGGAATTATGTATGCAGCATATTCTCAAATGGCACAGAAAAAAATCTGCCGGCATATGTGTGTGTTTGTGTGTGTGTGTGTATGTGTGTATGTATGTGTACAGATCTACACAGATAAAGACAGAAAAGGAGAGGGAATTGGAGGGAGGCAGAGATATGCAGTGAGAAATGCGGAGAAATGTGGTAAATGTTAATATTTGGTGAACCTGAGTAGACAGCATATGAAAATTATTGCAACTCTTTTGCAGCTTTTCTGTATATTTGGAATATTTTAAAAATAACATTAAATACTCTTGTCTTAAAGTCTATTTTGTCTGATATTAATACAGTTATTCAGCTTTGTTAATCTTATTGTTCACATGGTATTTTTTTTTTTTTTTTTGAGATGGAGTCTCGCTCTTTCACCCAGGCTGGAGTGCAGCGGTGTGATCGCGGTTCACTGCAACCTCCACCTCCCAGGTTCAAGCGATTCTCATGCCTCAGCCTCCTGAGTAGCTGGGATTGCAGGCAGGCACCACCATGCCTGGCTAACTTTTTTTTGTATTTTTATTAGAGACGGGTTTTCACCATGTTGGTCAGCCTGGTCTCGAACTCCTGACCTCATGATCCACCCATCTCAGCCTCCCAAAGTGTTGGGATTACAGGCGTTAGCCACTGCGCCCAGCCCACATGGTATTTTTAATTCCATCCTTTCACTTTCAAACTGTTACTTCATATTTAAAGTACCATGCAGTGACATTACACCTTACTGTTTTTTTTCTCTTAATCTATCTTAACCTTTTAATTGTAGGGTTGAGTTTATTTAGATTTAATATTATTATTCACATAGTTGGATTTAGGTCTACAATTTTCTTATTATTCTGCAGTTTGTCTTTCTGTCTTCATTTGGGTTAATCAAATATTTTCCAGCATTTCATTTTAATTCCTCTATTGGCTTTTCAGCTGTACTTCATATTTTTTTAATGGTTGCCTTAGGGATTCCAATATGCATCCTTGTTATTACAGGCTACTTAGTGTTAATGTCAGTATTTCTATTTCTAGAAAGTAAAAGAGCTTTGCAACCTTACAGTTCTATTTATCATCCTCTTTTTTATGGTGTCATGTCTTCTATATCTGCAATATATATGCAATATTGTAATTTTTGCTCTAATCAAATGCATTTTAAGTAAAATAATAAAATATAAATATACATTTTATATATACTCCTATGCTTACCACTTCTGGTGCTTGTTTTTTTTTTAACTTTTATATTAAGTTCGGGGGTACAAATGCAGGTTAGTTACATAGATAAACTTGTGTCATGGGGGTTTGTTGTACTGATTATTTAATCACTCAGGTATTAAGCCTAGTACCCATTAGTTATTTTTCCTGAACTTCTCCCTCCTTCCACTCTCCATCCTCTGAAAGGCTTCAGTGTGTGTTATTCCCCTCTATGTCTCCATGTGTTCTCATCATTTAGCTTCCACTTACAAGTGAGAACACAAAGACTTAAGTGTAAAACCCAAAACTGTAAAAATCCTGGAAGATGATCTAGGCAGTGCCATTCGGGACACAAGTACAGGCAAAGATTTCATGATCAGGACACCAAAAGCAATTGCAACAAAAGCAAAAATTGACCAATGGGATCTAGTTAAATTAAAGAGCTTCTGCACAGCTAAATAAACTATCAAGAGAATAAACAGACAACCTACAGAGTGGGAGAAAATTTTTGCCAACTATGTATCTGACAAAGGTCTAATATCCAGCATCTATAAGGAACTTAAACAAATTTACAAGAAAAAAGCAAACAACCCCATTATAAAGTGGGCAAAGCCACTTTTCAAAAGAAAACATACATGTGGCCGACAATCATATAAAAAAAAGTTCAACATCACTGATCATCAAAGAAATACAAATGAAACCTACAATGAGATACCATCTAACACCAGTGAGAATGGCTATTATTAAAAAGGTAAACAATAACAGATACTGGCGAGGTTGTGGAGAAAAAGGAACGCTTATACACTGTTGGTGCGAGTATAAATTAGTTCAGCCATTGTGGAAATCAGTGTGGTGATTCCTAGGCGCTTGTGATTATCTTTCTGCAGATCTGTGAATACCTTTTAGCATGAAGAATTACCTTCTGTATTTCCTATAATTCCAGTCTTTTGGAAACAAATTTTCTTATTTTTACAAATCTAAAAATGTTTTGATTTGTATTTATTTGTCTATGTACATTTTTGTTGGATATGGAATTCTAGGTTGACAGATTTTTGTATGCCCACCCCACAGTACTTAAAAAATGTCATTTATTTGTCTTCTATCATCCACTGATTTTAAGAAATCAGCCATCACATACCATTGTTTTATTGATGTAAGGTATCATTTTCTTTGGCTTTATTCAACATTTTCTTCTAATTTTTGATTGACTATGATGTCTCTAAGTATAGTTGTCTTTGTTTTTCTCTTTCTTGAAGCTCACTACTGATGTTCTTGGACGTGTAAATTTTGTTTTCTACAAAATTTTTGGAGAATTTTATCATTATTTCTTTAATTATTTTTCTGTCCTCATTATCTGTCTCCTCTGTTTTTTGGACTCCAGTTATATGGATATTGTAGAGCTTGATACTGTCCCACAAGTCATCGAGGCTTTGCTATATTTTTTTCACCCTTTTATTTTCTCTGTACTTTATTTTGAATTGTTTCTTTTATTATAGCTTTTATCTGCTGACTTGTATCTGCTATTAAGTAAAATCAGTTAAATTTTCATTTTGGATATTATATTTTTCATTTCTAAAACTTTGGTGTTTATAGTTTTTTGTGCTATAGATTAACTTATTATGAACATACATTCCTTAAAGTCCTTGAAAATATTCATAATAACTTTTTTAAGATAGCTTTTTGCTAATCTCTATATCTGGGTTATCTCAGGGTCAGTTTACTGATTTGTGGCCACATTTTTGAGCTTCTTTACATGTCTAGGTATAGTATCATTATTATTATTGCTATAGTATGCTGAACATTATGGATTCTACATTATTGAGACTGGATTTTCTCGGCCTCCATTTATGGACAATTAATTTATTATAGAAAATGTCATCATCAGCATCCCTGTGAGATTGCCTCCCATCATTTGCTTGAACATGTCTTGCAATGGGGAGCTCACTACCTCCTTGAAGAAGCCTAAATCACTATTTGATGACTCTATTAAAAAGGTATATTTTTGTGTTTAATCGTAATGTGCTGTCTTTTTAATTTCACCAAAGACATGTCCGTTGCCTTTAAAAAAATGAAAGCACTTCTTATATCTAAAAACAGTGATCATATTTCCCATCACTCATTTTTGTAGCTTTTCATTTAGTCAACTGCTTTCCAGTTTCTTTTTTAACAGAGATTTCATGAAAAAACTTTTGAATATTGTTCAGCCCCTGAAATTGTGTGCCAAATTGAGATTGTTTACATACATGTGAGAAATTTTCTGGGAAAGGCTTTCACAACTTTCATCAGATTCTCAAAAACCTCAGTATAGTCTAGAACTTCATAGAATGCAGTTATTCAAATCTTTGCTCATCTTTGGATTATTTGAGACACTATACATAGAGCTTAAGAGAAAAGACTCTGGAGCCAAACTGTCTGGCTTCAAATCCAGCTCTGCTATGTTTCCTTAGACAAATTACATAATTTCTCTGTGCCTTAGTTTCCACACCTAAAATGATAATAATATTAATTACCTACTAATTGGACTGCTGTGAGGATTAAATAAATGGATATATGTAAAACTAATTAATAGTTCCTGGCATATAGTGTTTCATGAAGATCTATTATTATAGAATTAAAATTTCTTTTGGAAACATTTTGCAATATCAAGATAAGTGGATTGATCATGATCTACTTAACACAGAAATTATTTTTTCAACTGCTATGGAGAACAAGTGGATGACACACATTTTAAGGAGAAATCTGGGGCGATACCTGGGGTGGGGGGAAGGAGTGGGGTAGAGGCAGAAGGGGCAGATGTTGAAAAGCTCCCTATAACCTGTAAAAAGGCAAAGATCAGAACAGAGCTTGACCCGCTGTGGGTCCCAAACTGATTACATCAGAATGATCTGGGAAGTGTTTAAAAACTTTGTATTTCAGAGTCCCATCTCAGACCCACTAAATTAGAATCACTAGGATGGGCCCCTGGGAATCCACATTTTTAAACAAACATTCTCTTCCATTCCCCATCCCTCATGATTCTGAAACATCCTAGTGACACATGCCCATGAAGCAGTGTTCAGAGAACTGTAGGCAGATGATTCCTAAGGGCCATGTCAGCATGAGAGTGGATGCTTCTAGGTAAAGGCAGTGATTAGCAGCTCCTTTGTTTTACTGATGAATGCATGAAGAACGAGAAAGAAAAAGTGACTTGATTCTATTCACTCAAAAAATGGAAAGGTCAGTCCAAAAACTTAGGTCTACTGACTTCACAGCAGGTGCTTTCAGTGACACACAATTTTATCTAATGATTGTTTCAGTCGACCCAGAAGCTAGGCTTCTATCATCTGCCAAATGATCCGTCTTGATTTTCTGCTTTATGAGAGTCATTATTATATCAGTTTATCTCTCTCTAAAATTGGTACAGTCCTGACCTCCAGGAATTAGGATGCTGTGAAGTTTAATTAATGTCTTCTGAGCCCCCAGATGCCTGAGATGAAAGGTGCTGTACTGATGCAAAGTATTAGGATTATTATAGTTTACCAGTTGTCAGGGCCAGATCACCTGCTTGGCTGTGCATTGTGTCACATCTGAAAGAACAAGACAGAAACGCTCACATATCAGCCGCTGCCTGGAAATCCAACCTGACCTTGAGCTTGCCAATTCCTTATATTCCTTATACCTGAGCATGGAACCCATGTCATACCAACAGGGGGATGTGCAGCTTTCTATAGCTCCTAGAGAAAGCTTGTTGGGAAGCAATGGGATAAAAAGAAATGAGCTCCAGCTGCAGGGACAGAAGAGTACAGGTTTGGATCCTGGTCTCCTGCTCAGTAACTGAGTAACTACCAGGAACTCTTCACCTCCTCTTGATGTAATAAAGATAATGCCTAACTTTGACAGGCTACTTTAGGTGTGTAAATAAGGTAACATACGCAAACCACTTTAGGTAGCATGTGACGCTTACTAAAGGCTGCCTGCATGATGGATTCTAGAGGAAGAAACTAATGTAAAGATATCAGGAGAGAAAATAATAATGAAAGAGAAGAGCGGAATGCCAGACCATAGCCATTCTGTAAAGATTATATAGCTACATTGAGGCAACCAAGAAAATAATGTTAAGCTGATATTTTCAGACAAAATAAAGGCAGGTATAAGTTGATAAAATTATTCTGTTCTTATATCAACCCTGATAGGTGACTTTTACTGTCTTCATTTTACTGATGTGGTAATTGAAGTTCATAGACAGACCTGAGGTCACAGAAGTCAGGAATGGTGGAGATGTGCTACGAGCTGCATTCTTTTTGCTACATGACAGCTGCCTCTCACTCATATCCACATAGTGGACACAATGTGTGTGATTCATGGTCACATGTTTTGTTTTGATTTTATCCCAATACACGATTTAGTATTTGACAAAGTTACTTTTGCAAATCTTAATAAAACAAACGTAAGGGGTCATTTTAACATCTGAACATTAATTTTACTTTTCTCTCACAACTCAGCAAGGGAAACAGAATGGACATCATTTTTCCCATTTTACTCAACTGGAAACTGAGTCCCAGAGAGCATGAAGACCCAGGGAATTACCAATTAGCATAATTTATACAGAGATCAAACATCTCTAGGGAGCTTACATACATTTTGCTTCCCTATTTTGTTCCTAATCATATCATAAGATGAAATCAGCATTTCCTAAGGATTATTAGGCAGGGCATACATGTGAAAACAAACTCTCCTTTTTATCTCCCAAGAGTAGAAGCAGTCACCTTCTGCCTAAACTGAAAGAGGCTCTAGGAAATAAACACTTTCCCTCAACACAGGCACGGGAGCTCCCAAGTGGGATATTTCGTGTTCAAGATATTCAGCCCTCAGTTCCCCTGTCCCCCTGCTGTGTCCCTGAGCAGCAGTAACACACTATCTGCCATGGTGAATAACAGCCTTCTTCACTGTGCCCCTTAGGGTGGAAATGATTCAAGGGATCCTCAGAGGGCTTGATCCTGCAGGGTAGTTGCAGCTGAGCCTGAGACACGGCAAGGTTTACTGAGGTCTGGGGTTTTATTCTGCTTTTGCTCCCATCCTGATTAATATCACAGCTAATGACTCTCCAGACTTGGTGATATATGATGCTCCACTGAGGACAGAAAAAAATTTTGAGCTTTTACTAATTAAATAGAACATCTTCATATGCTGAAAGGTTTTGCAAACGAACGTAACTCACACAGAATTATGTTGGCAGGAGAGTCCCATGGAAAAAACTTTTAAGACCAGGGAGCAGTGAAACGAAGACCTAGCGTAGAAGAGAGGGAGGGAGACTTTTTTCTAAGGCAGAGGTAAAAAGCTAATGACATGTGTATATTTAGAGAAAAAGAGACACATAAAGGAAACATGTAGCTTAACATAAAGGGATAAAAGGCAAAGTAGAAATCTATACAAAGTCTGATATATATTAATGGCACACTTAATTATTTTAGTGAGTAGACTCATAGAGGTATTCAATAATATTCTGCTGACATTTTGAATACTTATGTCGTATCAAGATGTCTGCTAAACTTCTGTTTGTTCAACAAATGTTTATATCGAGCACCTTCTTTATGTAAGGTACTGTGCTAGAACCTGGAGATACAATGATAAGCCAAACAAACGCAAAACCTCCTCACTGAAGTTTTCACTGAAGTGAAAGACATTGATTAAGCAGAAGAATAGAAATAAATAAATAATTTTGAGGTTGCAGTTACAGTGATGGATAGATGTATGGGTGTAGAAAGACATGTCCAACAACTAAGTTCCATTAAAGTGTAATATAAGAAGGAAAGTAATAACAGAACATAAAATCTATTTTTCTCTTTATACAATTTTAAGGTTCAGATAAGTAGAAGGTTGATCAAATTCATTGAGAAATGTATCTATTACATCCATTTTAAGCAAATTAAACATTTTTGTTTAGAAATTAAATAATTGCGGAATAGCTCAAACATGTAGAAATGCATGGAACATGATACTTGAAATGGCCATTCATCACTGACTGCCATAATTTGGGCTATAATCTGTATATTCACGTCCTCCTGAAATTCATATGTTGAAATCTCAACACCAAAGGCAATAGGATTAGGAGGTGGAGTAAGAATTAGGAGGTGGAGTCTTTGCGAGGTGATTAGATTATGAAGGTAGAGAGTCCTCATGAACAGGATTACTGCCCTTATAAAAGAGGCCCCAGAGAGCTCGCCTAACCTGCCACCTACATGAGGACACAGCTTAAAGGCCTCATGTATGAGGAAACATGTTCTCACCAGATACTGAATCTGCTGGTGGCTTGAGCATGGACTTCTCAGCCTCCAGGATTATGAAAAATGATTTTTTGTCATTTATAAGCTACCAGCTTCCAATATTTTGTTATAGCAGCCCAAACAAAGACATTTCATAATTCTAAATTTCAATCACTTAGAAAAAGGAAAGAGGAAAACTGAGAGCCTTCTATCAGATACCTTACTTGCATTGTTTGATCTTCACAATCTCAAGATGCAAATATCACACCCTTTGTACAGATGAGATAACTGAGACTCAAAAGGTTAAGAAATTTTCCAAGCATGAAACCGTATAAGTGGTATAGTAAATAAAATTCTGCCCGGGCACGGTGGCTCACGCCTATAATCCCAGCACTTTGGCAAGGTGAAGTGGGTGGATCACCTGAGGTCAGGAGTTCGAGACCAGCCTGGCCAACATGGCAAAACCCCATCTCTACTGAAAATACAAAAATTATCCGGCTATGGTGGCGGGCGCCTGTAATCCCAGCTACTTGGGAGGCTGAGGCAGAAGAATCGCTTGAACCCGGGAGGTGGAAGTTGCAGTGAGCCGAGATCGCGCCACTGCACTCCAGCCTGGGTGACCAAGTGAGACTCCATCTCAAAAAAAAAAAAAAAATTCCACCTAGGGTTTGTTAATTTCATGCTCTTTCAGAAATGGCACACTGCTCTGAGTAAAGGGCAAAGAAAGACTAAAGAACGTTCAACCCTGATATTTGGAAACAGGACACCAGAATGCTTTCACTTTCTCTTCTGTCCTGCTTCCCCTCTTCTCATTTTATTGGCTAGGCGATTAGGAGACTTATTTCTGTTCCTTAAGGATTATTCACATGTTCACTCCCACTTCATCTCAGGCCTAAGGAATGTTGGCAGAAAAAGCAGCACACCTGTTCCTCCTTTTCCACTTCTTCCCTTCCTGTTCACATCAACATCTGAAGCTGCCATCCTTTGTTAACTCATTGCCATGATCCCTCACTGAAGGCAATATGCTGCCAACTCACGGGTGTTGCTATGGTGACTATGATGTCATAAGGTGAGGCTATGTGTTCCGGTGAGTGCAAGGATGAATTTTTTCTTAATCTAAGATATTAACTTCACAAATATAGAATGCTAGATATTAAAGTAGAAAGGAAACTGGGTTTTGCAGAAACCCAACATTAGTGTCTATTTTTCTTCTGAGTAATCAAGTTGGACTCAACAACCTCCATATGGTCTTTGCCTGCTCTAAGATTTTGTAATTATGGAAGTTGATGAATAATTACTTCTCTCAGACAGAAGCAGCCTCACTGGCCTAAGGTTGCAAGGGTTACGATTTAAATAGGATTCTCAGTTGAAGAGCAAGATTGTCTTCCGGAAAATCTTTAAGATCTGGGCTCACTTCCACATAGCATCCGCGAGGTCTTTCTTCCTCCTAGCCTCAGTTCTACCATCTGTTAAATAGAAATGAAAGCATCTAGTCTCAGGGAGCTACTGTAAAGACTGCATGAGAAAACATGGTCAAAGCACTTAGCACATAGTGGCTCTACATTGATGTTATTTTCTTTGCTTTAAATTCATTCAAGGCTATGTTACTTCACAGCATTAACTCACGCAAGTCATTCTATTTCTTTTAGGCATAACTATTTTATTGTTGTTTATAAAAATGAGGAAAGTTGGAGAAAATAAAGATAGAGGAGATACAAAAGGTGAAAAAAGAGAGTTATAATTTTATTAAAGTCCTCCTGATTCTAGACTCCACGATCTAGAATCTAAAGCAAATGATTCGAGGAAAAGAATAAATACATGTGTATTGTTCCTTTCATTTATGCAAACAAATCCAATTATTGCCAAATATAACAACTGATAAATGGAGTAAAATACTTGTCTTCTTAGTGAGTACTGATGAGTAGGATAATGCCCAGAAAAGGTGGCTGGGAACTTCAAACCTACTAGAATTATTGGTTGGACTGGGGATGTTGAAATTGAAGAGAGAGACGTTCCAGGGAGAGGCATGATTCTCATTCTCAACTCTTTGAAGGCATTTTATATCCTAAAGGTAGAAGACTTGCTTCATTTGGCCACAGAAGTTAGGAAAAGTGCCCCTGGATGAAAGTTAAAGATTATCAACTATAGGTAGAAATTCCTTATGATCAGACTTCAGCAGTTGATTACGAAAAATTCAGAGAGGCTGAATTCTCCCTTGCTGGAAATGTTTTTTTCAAGGTTAAGAAACATGTTGAGGTGATTTGAGGGACCTAATGCATTAGATGGAAGTGTACATGGCAGGAAGAAAGCTTAGGAAGCAGTGGACCAGAGACCTTCAAGACCAGTAGTCAATTATCTGATCTTAGAAGGACATTTTACTATGAATACATTGCATTTGTCTCAGGAAACAAATTTGGAATTGATACATAGACCATACATGCCTGCAATGGAAATTGCTGTATAAACGCATGTTTTTTTTTCCTCCAGCTTCAATTCAACTGCTAATGTCTTACATTTTGGGGGCATCTTTAAGAGATGAAATCTCTGGTTGACTATGAGAGATGGTTATTTATGAATGATGTAGGGGATAGTCAAGGAAGCAGCTGGACAATGCAAAAGTGAAATATAGTTCATCTTTGAGTAAAAGTAGTTCCATACAAATTCAGTAACTAGCCATGAACATGTAAGTCTCTATCTGTGGCTACCTCAAAGTATTCTGGTGATACTGGAGGCTAAACATGGGACATAAAATAAAATCATTCTAAAAAGAAACATCACAAATATCTTAGTCTAGAGGGATGGGCCTTATAAAGGGGGTTGATATGGTTTGGTTGTGTCCCCACCCAAATCTCATCTTATATTGTAGTTCCCATAATCCCCATGTGTTGTGGGAGAAAACTGGTGGGAGGTAACTGAATCATGGAGGAAGTTTCCCCCATATTGTTCTCATCGTAGTGAGTAAGTCTCACGAGATCTGATGGTTTTATAAACAGAAGCTCTTCTGCACAAGCTCTCTTGCCTGCCACCAGGTAAGATGTGCCTTTGCTTTTCTTTTGCCTTCCACCATGATTGTGAGACCTCCCCAGCATTGTGAACAGTGAGTCAATTAAACCTCTTTCCTTTATAAACTACCCAGTCTCAGGTATGTCTTTATTAGCAGCATGAGAACAGACTAATACAGGGGTTCAGGGTAGAGAGTAATGTTGGCCAAATGTGGTTGAATGGGAATTTTATGCATCATCAGTCATAGCCTTGCTCATCTGTGAAATGCCGTAATGTGTTTTTAAATTTTTATGAATAGTCATTACAAAAATAAGCACACTATTAAGGTGATCATCTCAAACTATAGGTCAGAAAAATACTGGTGGGCAAATAAAAGATAAGCATTTCAGGGTATTAGAAGTTCTGTTGTGATGATCCAATTTTGGGGGTGATTTTTTCATTTCAGGCTTCCTCTCTGTCAGGTGCATGTGTGACTGCAAGGATCAAAATTGCAGACTGTCAACAACTCAATGCTTCATCACGTATATGGGCTTGGGCAAACTTTTCTCTTCTTTGGGCTTTAGTTTCCTCTTCTGGCCATGGCCAGGTTGCTCACCATTTAGCAGGGAGCGTAAAACAGAAGCCAGAAGGAAATATTCTTTACCCTAAGATCAAGGATCACAATCTTTTACTCCGTGACCATTGTTGCTGGTTCTCTATCCTCTATGAATCTCCCTAGATGTAAGACCCCTGCTTCTTTCATCTCCTTTCACCAAATCTTGCAATGTCCTAAGACCAGATTGTTGATGCTGGCTATTTCTTCATTCATTTAACAAACATGTGCCAATAATCATTGAGCTAGGCTGGCCAACTTTTTCTGGAAAGGGCCAGATAGTAAATGTTTTAGGTTTTGTAGGCCTATGGTCTCTGCATCTACTACTCAGTTCTGCCATTGCAGGGCAAAAGCAGCCACAGACAATGCATAAGCCAGTGGGAATGACTGTGTTCCAATAAAACTTTATTTTCAAAAACAGGCAGAGGGCCAGTTTTGTGCCATGTGTTATAGTTGCACCCCTAAGTTAGATGCTGAGCGTTCTATGTTGAATAAAATCTGGTATTTGACAACAGAGTTCAAACTGTCTAGCCCATTCACTTTTGTATTATCCATAGCTGTTTTTTTTTTTTTTTTTTTTTTTTTTTTTTTGAGACGGAGTCTCGCTCTGTCGCCCAGGCTGGAGTGCAGTGGCGGGATCTCGGCTCACTGCAAGCTCCGCCTCCCGGGTTCACGCCATTCTCCTGCCTCAGCCTCCCAAGTAGCTGGGACTACAGGCGCCCGCCACTACGCCCGGCTAATTTTTTGTATTTTTAGTAGAGACGGGGTTTCACCGTTTTAGCCGGGACCATAGCTGTTTTTATGCAACATTGGCAGAGTTGAGTAGTTATGACAAAGGTCTTATGGCCCACAACGCCTAGAATATTTATTATCTTGTCCCTTGCAGAAAAATAGTTTGCCAACTTCTGGTTTAGAATACTAGAAGTGTTATTATTGGATAATAATTAAGAATAAGGAATTAAGAGTGAGATAGATACTGTTTCAAATTCAATAAAAATGCTATTAAAATAACAAAAATAACCATGTGTCAACTATGTGATAAGCATTTTACTAATAATTTCAAAAATTTCATTTAATGTGCTAATCACAGCAATTATATAACATAATTATTGTTGTACTCAATTTACAAATTCAGAGATAGTTTACCTGAGTCACACACCAATTAGAATGTAAGAATTCAAACCCAGCTCAATGTGTCTCCAAAGCTCAAGCTTAATTAATTTGGATCAGGAAGGATGAATAGGGAATTTGCCAAGCTGAGGGAGAGCATCTGAGGCAGAGAAAACAGCCCCTGCAAATGTGCTGAGGCATGAATGCATGTTCAAGAAACAGGAAGGAGCATTGGAATGCAGGAGGAGACTAGACTAGGAAGGGCAATGGACTGGGTAATGGAGAGGCTGGAATGCCAGGAGAGAGTTTGTCCTTGCAGTTTCTTTAGCCAGGACTGGCTGGTGTCGATAAGCTACTTAGTGATGGTGGAGAGTATTAAAGCCCTGGGACATGGATTTCTCCCACTTATGAAACTTTTTTTGTTGCATTATGACACTCTCTAGGAGGTCAAAGGTGACTCTTTACGGCATAACCATCCCTAGCTTATTGTTTAGATCTTTATCCTTTATTGGAGAGAACAGTGCCTCATCCTACTCAGGATGCTGCTCGTACATAGTTGCTCAATTCTGAAATTTACTCACAACAATTAAACAGAAAAAATATTAGCCTGCAGGAGATATAATGGAATTGGAGGCCTGGCTCATTTCAGAGATTGCAGATGCTATATTATTTTAAAAGAGGCGCAGGAATGCTGTAGGACACTGACTTCCAGGGCAAGGTCAAGTGCTCTAAAATGTCATAGCTCTGGGCTTCTGTTCACCAACTAGAACAGTCAACATTAGATATGACCAGTTTGCATTTTTCATGCTGTCCAGAAAAGGAGACTGGGGCACCATAAAAGGAATGGCCTTCCCTGGGTCACAGAACTGGTGGAATGCTGGCTTTGTGCCAGGAAGGTTGTGTAATTTGGATTCTACATGGTTCAGAGTAGCGAGTTGCACTGGTCAAATGATCTGAATATGACTGAGGAACCACTTGACTGCCCAGATAAAATCTGCTTCAAGACTTTGGCTGGACAAAGAGAGAATTATATCCTATTCTGAAAATTATGTTTAGTAAAAGGATTGGGCATTTACAACAGAGGGACTTTCAATATTTAGAGATGGAAGGAAAGGCAGATCTCAACTCAAAATATGGAAACACATTCTGTGAATTAGAAATGATAGTGAAATAATTTTAGTCAGATGATATTTGAGAGCTTGCTCATCACTTCTCCTCTCCCACAAAATTTTATGACACAAGGCCCTAAGTATGTATGCATAGGAATCTAAGGAAGTGTAGCTCGAAATGAATTCTAAAGGTACAAAATGGATTTAAAGTCCTGTTTTATGTTAACATCCCATGCAAACTTTGCATTAAATTGAGCAATATGTCTCTTTTTGTTTTAACACAGCTTTTGGAATACTTATTATCCTGTAACATTGATTCTTGGCACACCCCTGGAGGTATAGATGCTGTAATCTGAAAAGGAGCAACTGATATCATGTAATAATTAAGATAATAACATCCCACAGTTGAAATAGGCTCTTGGAATCACCCTTTCTGATTACTGTCCAGTGCAGATATTTGTGTGCAGGGTAATTTAAGGTCATCTGATGTCCCTTGTAATTCCGAGAGTCTATGAGCTCAGACTTCAATGAATCCCTACACCAATATATTCCCAAAAAGCTGATGTTCTCACCTCTTACATATTTCATATATTTTATATTAATAGTACTATACACATACACACACACATATCATGTTTCATAAAAAGACAAAACTTTAGATTATAGGCTTTGAAGTCAGGGAAATCTGGTTTCAAATTGTAATTCCATAGATTTGGTTAGTGCTGTGATTTCGGGTATGTTTCTTAACCCTGCTTGCCTCAGTTTCTTTATGGTAGAGTGGGAATAAAAACACCTTCCTCCCAGAGTTGGTGTATGTATTAAGAGGTAAGGAACAAAAACATTTTACCACAGTGCCTAGAATATACAACCTGTACAGCAAATGAAAGCTGGAGTTTGTGTGTGTGTGGGCAGGGGAGGTGGGTGTGTGAGTGTGTATGTGTCTACATGCATACCCATGCCTGTTTATGTGTGTGCTGTTTCTTATGGTGATGGGTAAAAACCAAATGATACACTTAATAAAAATGTGTGGACTTGAGCAGAGTTGAGTCACAGTTTGGGAATAGAGGGGTTTATGGATTCCAAGCCTAACATGTAAACTGAAAGAACAGTCCACTGAAAACATTTGTTCCTTTACTTCTTGGCTCCAGGAAGCTCCTGACATAAAAAATTCTGGAATTCAGTTCTGTAAAACTGAGAGTCTGAATTTCTTCTATGCTCAGACATATGCACTGCATCCCCAGACACAACAGATGGCCAGCTCTTTGCACACAAACCAGCTTTGTAGAAAGGCACTGGGCATAACAGGGAGGAGAGAATCTCTACACCAACATTACTCTCCTTGAATTGAAGAATACGTCTCTGTTACTTGTCTTCGTTGACGATGAGGAATTAACTGGACTTTTGGGATACCCTCTAAACCAAGAATTACCGGTGGATAGCACTGATGTCATTCAGTTTCTTCATTAAAATGTCTGCTCCCTAGCTCTAAATGTGAGCTTCAGATCAAGAAGACAGAGCTAATTATTTATTTTTCACTGGGAGAAGGATGGTGCCTGCAAGGTAGTGAATTTCAAAAGTCCTTTATCCACTCTAGGCAAAGGGAACTTCAAGTTATTGAGCTTGTGTGTAGTTCAACTCCCAAGAAAAACACTGTCTCTGGGCAGCTCACAGCAGGTACTCAGTCATCAAAGTGCTGGAAAAAATCTGTACTCCACATAAACTTGATGATATACACTAATAGGAGCTGTGTTATATACAGTGAATGTACATAAAAAATACAACTCTATTTATAAAATCTTTTTTCTGCTTTTTTTCCCCCAAGATGTTCCTTTTTCCAAATTGAGCAGATGGGGTCCTGTTTTTTACTTTGGCAGCTCTGAGACCCTTGGGAATTTCAAGGCATTTGCATATATGTGAATCCTTGTTATATACGTGTTTATTACTTAAGTTCAGTTAGTTATGATTGTGCTAATGTCTTCATTACACAAAAATATTCAATAAAACTATTGTTATAAAATTAACCTCTGCCGGCCGGGCGCGGTGGCTCACACCTGTAATCCCAGCACTTTGGGAGGCTGAGGCGTGCGGATCGTGAGATCAGGAGATCGAGACCATCCTGGCTAACACGGTGAAATCCTGTCTCTACTAAAAATATAAAAAATTAGCCGGGCATGGTGGCAGGCACCTGTAGTCGCAGCTACTTGGGAGGCTGAGGCAGGAGAATGGCGTGAACCCGGGAGGCAGAGATTGTAGTGAGCGGAGATCGCGCCATTGCACTCCAGCCTGGGCGACAGAGCGAGACTCCGTCTCAAAACAAAAACCAAAAAAAAAAAAAAAAAAAAATTAACCTCTGCCTAGGCGTCTACTCCATTTCTTCCCATCTGATAAAAAAACTTTTTGTTGTCGTTTAGGCTGTCATGATTTTATAAAATATTTTGAGCACTAGCATCATAATGAGAATACAATGCATTTCACTTGTAAAGTGAAATTGTAGTCCTGTGAAAGCTATACAATATCATGAAGTTGATGAAAGTGATGCTAAGATTTGCTAAAATCACATCCTAAGCCATTCGCAAATAAGGATTTGGCTGAGTTAAACCAATTAACAATTGAAAAAAAGAAAATCAACATGGAAGATGATTAGAAGCTTCAAAAGAGAAATATTTGAATATCAAAAGCTTAGGAGAAGGCTCAGAAGAAAAATGATGAATCTCTCAAATATTTTTACAAAAATTACCTTTTCTCCTAATTATGATATGAAAGTTAAATGCAAAGTGAAGGATTTCATTTCATTTGATCATACAATTTTGTCAGAAAAATTACTGTCAAAAAATCAAGGCCTGGTTCATTTTCTCATCATTTTATGAATTAGCTTTCAGTTAAAATTATTAAATAAATTCTGACTATATAAGTTAAATATATTAATGCATTTTAGTTTCAAATGCCAAACTGAACTTTTTGCATGCTTTTCGCTGGAATTATGTTTCTATGTAAGGTAGACTCACTTTCTAGTGGTTTTGATTTCAGAGAAGCATGCTGCGTGGTAATTAAGGTAGTTAAGACTGTGCACAGAATCTGGAGTCAGGATGCGAGGTTTTGAATTTAAGGTCTCGTACTTATTACACAACATGGGAAGGTTGTTCAACTTCCCTGTTCGACTTCCCCGTGTCTGGTATTCTTTGTCTTGAAGGTTGAATTAATAGCAGTCTTATTTGAGCAGAGGATTGGGAGTAAGGCAGACAGTATTATATTAAAATGCATCTGGACAGCCTTTGCAGTTGAGTGTGTCTGACTTCTCTGACTGTGGGGTCCATGCTTTCTATGAAGGAATGACTGATTTCATTCCTTTTTGCATCCCTCTCTGGAAACAATGTCCTGTTCCTCTTCTCCTAGTTACACCTTTTCTTCTTAGCTTTGTCATCAACTATTTCCCGAGGCCTTTCCTGACCATTTCTAATGCCATACAGATTAGGTGCCCCTTCACTGCAATCCTTATAAAATTAGTGAATATTTCTATACCTTCTCTGGTTCAATCCTTTTTTACTTCCCCAGTTTGCTGAGGGGTATATGTCTTTCTCAGCTATGAGTAAACATATACCACACAGACACTCACTCACACACAGATTTTCATCTCTGTTTTCCTAGTGCTTATCACAGGCCACCCCTAATCATTATCAATGAAAGAATGATTGTCTCAATGGGACAGGCTAGGGCAGCAAACAAACGAACACGAAAAACAACTCTAGAGTGAGAAGCACTGACCAGGTCTCCCTTGAGTTGCCCTGGAACTTTGAACAATTCATTTATTTATAAGCCTCAGTTTCCATGTACTCTAGAGTGAAGGAGCTAGATTAGTTAAATTCTGTGGGCTCATTCAGCTACAATGCCCTACGGTTTGGAGACATCCATAAAACTAAAGTGACAAACCTGAAAGGGGCTATGTTGATTTTTTTTCTCAACCTGTAAAAGGGAGTTGTCTTGAAATAGTGAATGAGGTCTCATTGCTGTGCTCTGTCTTTACCCATTGATGAATAGTTGAGCCCGGCAGTCTCTCAATTTAGATCAATCTGGGTATTCTCTGCTCTATTAGCAGAACTTCAGCTAAGGTAACGGGAGTCATTAATCCTTGCTTGGGGGCTTGTGCCTCTTGTCTGTGTATCCTAGTCATCCCCACCACCAACACCCCACCACTGGTACCCTTTGTTGTGAGCTACTGTCTTCCAGAAAATGTACTAAAAAAATGCTTTTTATACAATATCTCATTTAATCCATGCACAAACTCAGTGAGACTGACACTATTGTCCCTGCTTAATGATTTAGATCATTGAAGCTAGGAGGGATTAGAAAACATCTTGGAGGTTTCCTTGGCAGTAAATTACAAGGAGTCAAACCATCTCTCTAGCTTCAGAGCCCTTGCTTTTTACCACCACATTTCACAATCCCTTGAGTTGTATTCTATTGTGCCATTCTCTGACAACACCTTGTCATATGAATGTCTCTTCTTCCAGTTGACAAACCATTTGTTGCCTACATGTGTGCATTGTGGGTGCAACTGAATACATGTTGAATTTTTTGGTAAGTCTCCTAAAGGCCTATAGACATGAAAGATAGCAGATACAAGAGAGGCAGAACTTACCCAAGATCACCACTGACACAGCCATTGACAGCATAGGCTTTGAACTGCCAGCTTTGAAACCTAGGTCTGGCACTTGCTAGCTGGGTGGTCTTGGGAAAGTTACGTAACTGTTCATGCTTCAGTTTCCTCATCTGTAAAATGTGAATGTATTTCCTACCTCAAAAGGTTATTGTAAGAATTTAATGAGTCAATGTATGTGAAGTACTCAGAATCGTGTCTGGCATATACTAAATACAATATTTGTTAATACCATTACCTTATACAATTTTCTTTTTAAAATGGCCAGCACAGAGCTGATTTCCTTATCTTGTTGGCCTGATCTCGTGTCTCCTCCCCAGTCCTTTTAGTGAGGGGCAGGTGTAAATCTCTGGGTCATTTCTAATTTTTTTTCTCACAATAGCCTACCACTTTCTAGCTTTCCTGTTTCTAGGTGTTGTTCTTTAGGTATCACAGGCTTTTTAATACACTTTTGAGAGTACAATCAAATGATACTTTCCCCACATTTTTTCCTCTAAAACCCTCACATTTGATCCTCATTCTCTGGTATCTCATCTGAAAATTAAAAATGAACAAACAAATAAATATGAAAAACACCACCACAACCAAAATAACAACAAAATGCTACTAGATGATTTCATGTCCTGGTACTAAAAGTATTTTTTAATTCAATCTATCCCTCATTTCCATGTGTTACTCAGACCTCTGTGCCATAAATCTTCTTTTTGTAGGCTTTTTACTTATGTGCAAAACCAGTATTCTTTTTACTTCTACCTTGTCTTGGCTGCTAGAATGCTCAGAGTCATATTTTGTATCCATTTTAATAACTGGTAAGAACATAGGGTTCTTGCCTGATCTTGAATTTCCATACAAGTTTTAGATTCTCTTATTTTAATCAATTTGTATTTTTTCATTTTATTATGAATATTTTGATAAGCCTGTTCACATTCTCAAGGGAATAAAATAGAATATAATAATATAATAAAGACTATATTCATCTTTGAAATTGCAGTGACTAGCACTGCTTTATATACATAGTTTTAGGTTAAAGCATGTGAACATTCCAAAATATCCAACTATTTTTGACCTATATAAATAGTAGTTCGTGATGATTCAACCTAATTTTTGCCTTAATAAGTGTTTGTCTTATTGAAAATCAGCATAATTCTGATGTATTCGTAATAGAGGGTAAATGAATATATTTTCTTTACTTTTTAAAAAATCAAAATGACATTTCTTGATTGTTTGCCCTCCCCCTTTTCTGCTTGTCAATAGTAACTGTTTATTCAACAAATATTACGCTGTCTGCCTTGGCTCTAATGGGACATGTAGCTGATGCCTGGAACCACTGTTACTTCCAACTACATTCATATTTAATTTATTACACAACTCTCCATTACTGCTTTTATTGATGAACTGTATAGTGTAAAATGATTATATGTTAAATATTTCACAGTGTGTTTTTCTAACTTTATAGCTACCAAAAAATCCATCTCTCTGCAAAGGCATTTGAGAGGAAAAAAAATGCAAGATAAAGAACTTTGCAGATTAAGGATCTTCCCTGCTTACTCTCTTCATCCCCTGCTTCACATAAACAGAGTGGCCTTATTTTTCAAATAGACTTTCACTTAGGAAACAGATAAGAGGGATTCAGTTCATTTCCACCAATATTGGGAATCCATCATCAGTCAGGCTGATGATAAAGTGTTAAAAAATAATCCTGCTTCCTTACTACCAGTGAGGAGCAGGCTGTAGGTTTATGCAAGAGAAAGACACAAACATTTTTCAATGTGATGTCGTATGTGCTCAGTTTCTGATTTTTAACTGAAGTTTGTGTTTTCTTTTGATAAATACATGCTGTGACTAAACACAAAATTAATGACAATTTTATTAAAATGTATTTTTCCAACTAGCTCTGCCCAAGTCTCTGACGGGGTCCCTAAGAGGCAAGCCCCTTCTTCCTGGCCCATACCTTTTAACAATCACTGTAAGTGAGATAAACACAGAGGCCCTTTCAGAAGCTAGAAAAATATACGAATGTCACATTAAAAATAACTAAGAAAGAGTTAACTTTAGAGTGACTGGACTGCAACTCTTTGCATCCACTTATTCTATCTCAAATTCGAGATAGAATTTGAGATGTTGTGGTCACCAAAAACATGTGGTGTTTGTTGTCACAAATTTATGGACAGAATCATGGCCTTTGAGGCTTGAATGAAATCTTAGAGCCCACCTTGTATTAAACTTTGAGTTTACAGATAAAAGAAACTGAGGTTCAAAGAGCTATGAAGTCTTACCCAAGGTTAGGATCCAGGACTCTAAAAATCTAGTGCTCTTTTCATAGTCTCAGATATTTCCTTCCTACCACTGAGGAGCAGCCCATGGGTCTCAGATATCCCCTGAAAGCCTCCATAATTCCCCAGTTGTGACTTCATTGTCTGTATCCTACTCTAGCTTTATTTAATACATAAATAACTTTATTATTAATTATTATTATTTTAGACCTTTTTCTCTGTTTCGATGTCAGTTTAGTGCCCATTAGATTGCATAGTGATGTAAGAAAACATGTCTTGGGTGCTTTTGTCTTTGTGTGTCTCTCTCGCCTTCTCCCTCGTCACCATCTCCCCTGCTTCCATACTCCCCCAAATGGGAAGAAATTGATGGCATATGACAATGAAAGAGAAATGTTGCATGCTTCCTTCAACCAAAGGGCATAACAGACTCAATGTAGCTGTAGAGCTGAAGCAATGTAACAGCAGGACTCATATTTGTAAGCATCTTCGGCTTTCACTGAACCAGTCTAGGGTGGAGCTGACCTGGATGTAGAAGGCCTCCTTGTACAGGTGTGCTTTAATCAGTGAACTTTCAGAACATTCTTGCACATTGCTCCAAAAACAGCTCTAGAGGACAATATCTTGAGTCTGTTTTCAGAATACAACCATGAGTTATGATGATAAGACAATGTTAGAGATGAGGAAGAAGAGGAAGCCAAAGAGGAAGAGGATTCTTTCTCATGCACGTCCACATCTACAATGTTTCATAATTCACTGCAGCTTTTTATGGCCATCATCTTACCCAGTTTTTGCAACCAACTTGTAAAGCATGTAATTTCAAGCCCATAGCATGATTGAGATTGTTTGGCCAGAGTGGCCAGGAATCTCCCTGACAGTGACAAAGATGTAGACTGAACACTTATTCTGTCACTCAGTAAATATTTATTGGCCACTATGATGAAAACCCACAGGAAACAGCAGCAAACACTAGGGATAGGGTTTAACACTTAACTGATCTGAATTCAAGTTTAGAGTAGCTCCCTAGAGTTGCTGAACTAATGACAATCAGAAATGTAGTTGCATTTTAGAAGTTGTGACCAACATGAAGATTATCAAAGGGAATACCAACTTAAAGCTAGGGAAGTTTCACGGCACTTTAAATCTTTAGCTCAATCGTGTATCATTAAATATAGTTGGTGATTCTAGTAAATATAATATTGCTATATCTAAAAAAAGATGTATATTGTTATAGAAAAAAAGCATAACTCAGTAGAAAGACTCTTCAATGCAGATAACCACAATTCAGGAAAGCAAAATTATCAGGATCAAAGAGCAAAACCCAGGCACCCCCATCCATGTGGAAGCAGCTTAACATAGTCTTTGTACATAGAGTGATTAACAATAGCATCTGAAGGGCTAATCTTTCAAACTCAAACTTATAATTATGCAAACATCTCCCCAGGACACTAGTTCACTTAAAAAACAAAGATATTTTAAATATATCCTTTGACTTCTTTTGAAATAGCTTAAGGTGACTTAGCAGTTAAGGCAAGTAAGGAGAAATAACATATAAGGTTATTTGAAAATGCATTTGAGAAAAAGCAGATAGAATTGGCACTTTCAGACACTTCAGTTGACAAGATTATAGTACAACGACAATTAGTTTATTTTCTAGCAGCTAAGCTATAAAAAGAAACATTTGAAATTACACAATAACAGAAAACATACAAATTCATCAACAGAGACAATTCTTTCTGGATCTTAACCCAACCAGAAATTTAGCATGTACACCTATATGTAAAGGAAATACAAAGATAATTCAGTGCACTTTATCTACAACCAGAATTTTACAAAAGATATAGAAATATTCTTCTCTTGGGTGACTCACATACTAACCCTCCATAAAGGCAGAGGGTATGACATTAAATCATAACTCAGGCAGGCAATTTTGTGCAAAGCTGATATAATGGTGTCCAAGCACCGACTTTTTGATGCCCCAACTTAATGCTTGAATAAAACTTGGGAACTTGAGATGAATGGCTAGTTAGCATGTCTATTAGACTGCCTTTCTCAAAAAGAAGGTCTTTAAAGCAAGCTTCGGAAAAGGACTGTATCTCTTAAACTCTTCTGGAGCTATTTAGCAAGTGCTTGTTTTGCCACTATCCCATAACATTCATATAAGGGGATGTTGTGTCCGCTCTTTTGCTCACACATTCCAAGTATGGTTTAAAAATGAAAAGCCAGAGGATGGTAACAATTAATATTCGTATCATCATTTACTGTTTTAAACGTATGTTTTTGGTCCCAAGATAGACAAGCCAGTGACTATGATACCTGTTTAGTGTGATAAGAAAGACTGTTTATCCTAAAGCCTGCAATTCATTCATACCCTTTGCAATTCACCTTCATTCATTCACAACCTGTGCAATGTGGCTTTGTAGCCTCTCCCATCAAGAAATGTAATTCCTTCTACTGCATGAAAACTGTGTTGGCCTTGGGATTTGCTCTGGACAAATGTTTTATAGTTGAAATGACTGTGTTGGTTTTAAGCCTAGACCTCAAGAGGTCTTTTCCACTTCAGCTGGTCTCTTGGAACCCTGCTGCTACCCTGGGAATACAAAGTGGGGCTGTCCTTCTGGATCTAGATAGGCACTAGTCCTAGGCATCCCCATTGCTGCAGCCAATAGCCAGCCAACCTGCAGGAGCAGAGCTGCCTGAATGACCAGTCGCTTACCGCAGGTCTGTGAGGGAGCCTGGCCAATCCCAGAACTGCTCAGCTGAACCCACATCAATTTGCCGACCAACAGAATGGTGAGCTAAACTAATGGTTATTGTTTTAAGTCATTAGCTTTGGGTAGTTTATTTCACAACAATTGCTAACTGCTATATACGGCATTAAGAAATTACTAATACCTGAAATAACATCTTATATTTGTATAGAACTTTATTGCTAAAAGGTATTTGGCACATATTATCTGAGTTGCCTCCTATCCTGAATCTCGTATTAAATAAAGACACTTATCCACAGCTCCCTTACAGCGTTGTTGTGAGGCTTAATGGTAGCATCAGGGCTGCAACACAGTAGGTGCTCAAAGAATATTCCATCCCTGTTCTGTTTCATGGTTTCTCAACTTTTTTCATTACTATACCTCCTGAGGAGAAATTTTAGACTTTTTTTTCCTAATTGCCCCCCCTTTCTATAAAATTTTAATATCACAGATATGCTGAATATCTGTTTCTATGCATTATGCAAGTCCATGCTTTGTATATAAAAAGAGGAAGATTTTTTTTTCTTTTTATAAGAACCAATCATCACCCCCTTGGGGAAGCAGACTGTCTCACTGTCATTGAGAATGCATGCTCTGTTGGTGTCACAACGTGCTTTTTTTTTTTTTTTTTTGACCCTGAATCATGAACTGATTTGTAGTAGGTCATGTCGCTTAAAGACTGCAGGCCCCAAAGATTAACCCAGGGCATTTGACACCAAGCCGAGCACTCTAGGTACTCTATCAGAGTGCTTGGGTTCAAATGCGCATTTAATCTAAGAGGGGATAAATTGAATCATCTATCTTTACAACACTGGGGTGAAAACCAACTAATTAAACTGCTTGTAACTGTTATAGTGAAAGAGGGAAAAGCTCTATACATGCTTAATAATCACATTGACAGAATTGGAAGATGCTATTTGCTTCTCTGTGTATAGAGACTGTTCTTCAGATGAAGAGAATTCATTCTCTGGAGCCATCCATCCAGCCTCTCACTAAATTCACTCATACTACATTTCTTTAAGGATTTATAAGACAGAAAAGAAAATAGCAGTGAGACAGATGAAAACATTTCCTTGATACAGGCATAAAACTCGAAGGACTAAAAGCACGGAGGGGAGCCACAGACAGGGAAAGACTGGAGAAGATTAAGTGTGTATGTGTCACTAATCACCATATTCAACCTTTAGAAATGCTCTTTGTGAGGAAAGGCATTTGCAGAAAGAGCGCTCATAAAGAAATGTGAAACCGACCTCAGTCACAAAGTTCACAGGACGAAATGCAATAGTTATTGAGCTCTGAGTGGCTTGCAGCCAAATGCAGAGCTGTCCACGTCCAGTCCATTTAACCTGACCTTGGTTAAAGAAGCAGTTTTGCCTATGCATACGAGGAAGGGGCCTTGCCAGGAACTAAAATGTAAAAGCATCCAGAATCATCTCAACATCATCGTGTTTTTGTTTTAAGGACCTCAGAGTCTGACTAATTATTAAGCAATAACCAACACGTGTCTAAACTGGTTTCCTCCCAGAGCTCCTGGTTCTCTTTTTGAAGAGCCTCGCCCTTATTACCCAGGTAAAAGTAATTAAAAAAGAAGTGATTTTTCTACCCCCAGTGATTTCCCACAGTAAGAAGGAATGAAAGATGTTGTAAATATTTACAAAGGAGAAATAGAGACAAAATAAAGTAGGTTACGACTTCAAAAATCTTATAAAGCACTAGTATTTTATAGATAGGAAAACTGAGGCTTCAAGGCAGAAAGTGATTTCTCGCAAATCCACGGATAGAACTAAAAGCACAGCATATTCATCTAATGCACTTTGTACCACACCAGATCATACCTCCTATAAAACAGTGATGTGCTGCCCTCTCAAGTATGGATTTAATTCTTCTACAGTTACTTTAGGGAAACAAACAAAAGCTCTTCTGGAATTACCTGTTGCCGTTTTTCACTGAGGTTGATTTTCAAGAAGATCCCTCTTGCTACAGAGATAATTCCAGCCCTTCCCAGTTCTACCGTGAGCTCTTACTCAAGCTCAGAGATAATTCAGGGGAAGAAGCACCTGTGTGTTCTCTGTTCTCATTGGGCCAGAAGAGCAGGTCAGCCCACTAGACCACCCTTTCCTTTGCACCCTTTTAAAGGAAAACTCCTCTTCAAATAGCGCTTCTGATATCAACTGCTCTTTCTAAATTATCTTTCTTTCATATTATTTCTCGTGATTGCCTAGCGCACATGCTGCTGGTCTCACTGGCAATTTCTTTGTGAGATTCATTGATTCTGGAAGAACCCACAATTTCTCTCATTTTTCTCTCCCTTTCATTATCCTGCTTCATTTTTCCTGTCCTTGATATCCTTTCCTGTTTTTGGCTCTTTTGGAAATTCAGCTTGGCAATTTCATAGGGTTGACTTTCTTGCAGCATACATGGAGCTTTCTTGCTTAGTGGAACCTACAACTCCCTCTACACACCTGACCCTGCCTCACCTTGTGAGCATGGACCTCTTATGGTGGATCCAAGGAGTTCATGCACTCATGTACTTTCCTGCCTCTGGGGCTTTCTCATGCCTGGATTTTCCTCTTGATTTACTTCTGAACTCACTAGCATAGATTGAGCCTGAGGGATTTAGATCAAACATTACCTTCATGGTTTATTATGGCATAGCTGTGTCATGACCCCATCCCTGCTCCCTGAGCTTCTTCAGAAGACCTGCTTCTAGTTTTGGCACTATCATTCACTTGCAAAACATTTGGAAAATCTTTTCACTTATTGGCCTTAAGTGTTCTCACTTATAAATTAAAGAGAAGTGCTTCAATCTTTAGTCATTCATTTATTCATTCATCCATTCATTGACTCAGCAAACATATATTGAGCCCCAGCTGCTGGGAAGCTTAAAGATATTAGTTTGAGTGATCTCCAGGGTGCCTTCACAGAAAGCTCATATGAGGTTGCCTCCTTACCTTTTCCTACATAAGCCAGAGTGACTCATCCAAGACAGGCAGCACATCATCCCAGATCAGCCTGTGAAGGGTTGGAGCACCCTTATCTACAGGAATAAGCCAGAGTTGGAGTTGTGGTTTGCAGAAGGGGAGACCGAATTGGGGAAGGAAAGAATGAAGGAACAGCAAAGCTGCTGTTTCACAAGTCCTTCCTACGGCATCCTGTGGTTGAAAATAGACAGGGAGCAGAACAGAAATAGCAGCACCTGCTTAAACCCACAGTCTCTTACAACCTGAGCTTCCTGAATGGGCTCTGCCTGCGGTGAATGCCCCTGCCATGGGGAACTGCAGAAGAACAAGCTGGCCCTTAACATTCTTTCAATTATCCAGCTGCCTGCATTCCCTGGGCCTCTTGTTCCCCTTCCTCTCACAGATAGGGTGGCAGAGAGCACACTGGGAGAAGTATGGAATGGGGTTTGGCTTTGGCCTCAATTTGCTGAGAGACCTAGAGCAGGACTTCTGTTCTTCCTGAGCCTCAGTTTTCCCATCTATAAAATAAAAGATTGGTCTTGAAAATTCTCTGTAATTCTACAGCCTGGACCCAGTGGCTCCCCTCTGACCTACATTCTTTTCTTCTTTTCTTTCTCCTTAGTGTTATGCAATCCTTTCCACTGTTTTTGTTTTTTTTTTTTTTTTTTTTTTTTTTCAGGAAAGGCAGAGCTTTGTGTTCGCAGTGCTGATGTTGGCTAGACAGACCAACAGTGACGCCTCAGCTCACATCTCAGGCCTTGTATTACCTCTCTGTCTTGGGGACTTCAAGGGCCAGAGATGATGTTGGCTTCTGTGGAGAGGCCAGAGTCAGAGAAATCCAAGTTAAGTGCCTAAGTGGGCCAGTTTTGTAAAATCCACTGGGGCTCTTCATGGTTGCTATTTGATCCTGGGATCTCTCAACTGTGCTGCTTCTCCTTCCCTTTCTCATGGTCTCTTTGCATCTACTGTATCCGTTTCTTCCATAGCATACACTCAGACCTTTTAGTTCACCTGCAACTTTCTTACGTCTGCACGACCTTATCATCCTTGCCCACGCTGCTCATTAACTCACTGCCTCCATTCCTCACCTGGGGCCTGCCTTCTCCTAAGAACCAACTTCATTCTTCATTATGTTTCTTTCCTCTCTTCTCTTGCACACTTCCCATCCTCTCACCTTCTATTGATCTTCCCTCCCTTCTCCTCTTAGCAACATAGTGTAATGGAAAGACCATAGTCTTAGATGCAAGATGAACATGGATGGGTTCACATTCTGTGAATTTGAGAAAATTATCTAACTCAAATATGGAATTTACTCACATTCAGAATGTGTCAATAATAGCTATTACTCAATACTGCTGTGTTAATATGAGATAATATCTGTGAGAACCTAGATCAGGAGAGAGAACACTAAAGGCAGTGCCTTAAAAACAGACATTAGCTGTTATAATTATCATCATCATTTTCCTTATCTACATAAACCATGAGGAAATGTTAGTCTGCTCTTGCTTTGTTGTCTTTCCATTTCCTTAGTCTCTATCCCAACTCTAGTTTCTCCTGGAGGAGGTTAAGTGCCCCTATTGTGTGTTCTTGTAACCCCGAGTACCTCCTCTCAAAGGTTGTATCACACTGGCTTATAATTGCCTACTGACCTTCCTTCTGTTTTCTCCATTTGGAACGAGGGTTGTGTCTTGTTAAGCACTATGTCACCAGGGCCTGGGACAGTGCCAGAACATATTAGATACTAGGGCCAGGGCTACAGTGGATCATAACTCTCAAGGAGGTGCTCAGTCTCAGAGTCCTGCACCTATAATAGGTATTCAGTAAAAATGTATCAAAAGCCTGTAGTCCCAGCTCCTTGGGAGGTTGAAATGGGAGAATTGCTTGAGCCCAGGGGTTTGAGGCCATAGTGTGTTATTATGGCACCTGAGAATAGCCATAGCACTCCACCCTGGGCAACATAGTAAGACCCCCATCTCTAATATCTAACTAAATATAGAGAGTAGCAAACAGCCTAGTGGATTTTTTTTTTCTGTCTCCACTTACCCTACATTTTCTCAATCCCATCAGTCTTCTTTTTGTTCTGTCTCTCTTCACTCTGTCTCCCTTCTGTTAACTGCTGTCCTCACCCATGCTTTACATGGCCCAACTCTGTCCCTTGAATAGCATCAGTATTTTATCTCCTTTTCTCCCCCTACACTCCTGCCATCAGACCTTCCCCAGCCCTTGCTCCTTCTACTTGCTTGAATCTGGCAAACTCTCTTCTCACTGCCTCTTCCTTTATTGATTTATGTGAGGTTATTTTGTCCATGGAGGAAAAGGATTTCTTTGATGCTCTAAAGGATAAGACCAGGCACAAAAGCTACGGACAGCTTTTGTTTGATGTGGACAATTTTATTCCTATTCAGTTCGCTGGGTTTTCAAACGGCTGCAGATCTCTGAACTCAAAACATCTGAGCCAGTACATTCTCTCTCTCTCCTGAAAGTGCACAGGCATTTTAAAGTCTTTAACAACCTTTCCTGTATCTCACTGAACGGAGGTCATATCATTAGTTAGGCCTTGAGTTCATACTGAAAAGGTAAAATTGTCAAATTAAGAACAGATCTACGTATTTTAGAATAAAAGAGAAAGGCACCAGTACATATCTAACTACTTCCTTCTTCTTGTCATGCGTTTGTTGCACCCTCCACTTTCTAAGGTCAAAACCTTTTTGAACACTTACTTCTACCATTTAAGTGTTATTCACAATTAGCTGTGCAATTATGTCTCTAATTAGAATATTCCCCCAAATAAAATCACCTTAGAAAGTTTCAAAGGGTGTATATCAAATAGGGCACAGGTGGCTTTACAAATTCTGAGAGCTGATACGTAAGTTTGCAAAAAAAGTTTTTAGGAAAACTGAACAATACATGAGAGAGGGTATGCTTTATTCTCTGTGATATCTCCCACCCCAAATTCCTGTGACTCTCTAGAAGTTTACCATATATTGGCTAGCATACCCTATTTGTAATGCACAATACTGGATTCAATATTTGCTCTAGTAACTCAGGTATAAGGGATTAAATTCAAGGAGGTGAAAATGTAGATTCATGGGAAGCTCCACACTTTGGAGAAATTCTGTCTCCCTGCGGAAGAATAGACAGTGCTGAGCTGGGTGAAACCCAAGCAAAGAAGGAAAAAGGACCATCTTGAGCATAAGGAATGCCTAAGATTTGGTGGAAGGACAAGCTCCTGCATCCTCTCTGAAGAGAAATTTAGCAATATTTGGCAAAATTTTTAAATGCATATATGATTTGACTTCACATTCCCACTTCTAATAATACTGTTTACAAATATATTGGTACATCTAAGAAAGACACATATAAGGTAAATATTGAGGCATTGTTGGAAGTGAGAAAATGACTGGAAATAACATAAATGTCCATCACTAAAAGCAGTTATTACACATATGCCTTGAAATATCGTGTAGCTGCTAAAAAGAGTTTTTTATTTAATAGTATGATAAATCTTTCTGACACAAGACCAAGTACTAACATCACGTACAGCATGGCATCACTGGGATGCTTTTTGATGTAGCAACTTGGCTAGGCTAAGCCATGGTCCCAGGATGTACTTCATAATACATTTCTTATTAGGGACAACTGTAAGGAATATTCTATCAGGAGAGTCGGGAAATATAAAGAAAGCTGTGGCCACTTTTTGTAGCATACCCACACTTTCTTCCAACTATTCAATCAAACACTAATGTAGATGCTACTGTGAAGCGATTTCACAGGTGTGATTTTAGTCCCTAAGCAGCTGACTTTTAGTTAACTAAAAGGAAGATTACCCAGTGTGGCCCTGATTCAGTCACCTGGAAGGCCTTTAGAAAGAGTCTCATGAACTTCCTGAGGCAGATACTCCAAACAGCTGGGTCTATAGTTGTTCTTTCTTGATCTTCCTTCCTGACCACTGCCTGTGCACAATGGGTTTCATCTTGTGTTTGTGAAATTCCAGTTTGCATGTGATCTTCCCTTCCTACCTGTCCTACAGACTTCTGACTTGTTTAGTGAGCCCCCACAATTGGATAAACTAGTTTTGCCTAATAAATCTCTGCATATGCATGTCTGTGTGTATGCATGTATTAGTGTATGTGTGCATAAAAGTGTATGTGTGTCTCATACTGGTTCTCCTCTGATTGAATCCTGATACATCTTCAATGTAAAAAGACAAGAAACAAATATACACACACACACACACATACATGTTTTAGACTCTCTGAGAGGAAACACAGAAATCATTAACAGCTATTGTCTCTGTGGAGGAAATCTATGGATTTAGGAGACAGAAACAATGGTGGAGGATCAATGTATTTGTAAACTTTTATATTTAACCTTGTGCTCTAAGTTTTTGAAAAGGTCATGCTTATTTTTTTCTTTACTGTGGTTAACAAAACACGTTTTATAACATTTACCATCTTAAGCATTTTAAGTGTACAGTTCTCTAGTGTTAAGTGTATTCACACTGCTACGAAATAGCTCTCCAGAACTTTTTTAATCTTGTGAAACCGAAACTCTATACCCTTTAAATAGCAACTGTCCTTTTCCTCAACCTCCAATGACCTATCCCACTTTCTGTTTCTACAAATTGAACTACTTTAAATACCACATATAAGTTTAATCAGAACGCTTGTTGTCATATTTAATTTTAATACAATGTTTGAAAGTGCTGCAAAAGTACAGGGTTTATCCAGTAATAACTTTTCTCTCCAGGGTAAGACTCTCATGAGTATTGGTTGACTGCTTGATTAAATGTTGTCTGTCACTTAAACACAAAACTTACTTTATAGTTAACTTCCATTTATTCCACAAATATTCAATAACTGCCAAAAAGTCATTACCAATAAGCCACTGAGTCGGATAGCTCAGGATATGAAGATGAATAAGGGGAAATAATAAAAGTTTTATTGATCTTATGGGTTGTCTTTGGAGCTACTGAGATAATGGATGTAATGTGACCACCACAGTTGTGGTATTATTAGTAACAAGAGCTAAGGTAGAGACCAAGGAGGAAAATTTTTATACTCTACTGCAAATCTGCTGATTGAATCTGAGGAAGTCATTCACCACTCGTCTGGATGCTTGTAGAGATAGACATTAGAGCTATACACACATTGGGTTGCATTGATTGATAAGTCATGTGCTCTTGTATATAAACAATTGAGGTATGCATTTTACCTTCCTTTAGATAAAGGAAAAGACAGGACGAGAGTGCATAATGCACTAGAGGCTGGTTTATTCTTTGTTGTGTTTAATCCTGATTCTTTGGACAACTGAATATTTTAAAAATTCCCTTTGTTCTTCTTCTTTCATCGAAACAGGCTATTATTACTATTATCAAAATGATCATCTTATGAATGATAATTTTAGCCACTCATTGTGAATATACTCTGTTACAGATACTAGTCAAAGTCTTTACATGATATATTTATTTAGCCTTAACAAAACTCCTATAAAGTAGGTTAGTGTTATTGTACCCATTTTTTCCAATAAAGAAACCAAGGCTTAGAAATGTCATTAAATGTGCATTATGGTCATGCACAGTCCAGATCCTTTGTTACTGTATGTGCTGCTCTACCAGGTCATGTGTTATGGTGGGCAAGGGTGTATGGAGATGAGGAAGATCCAGCCTCTAACCTTGGAGATAAGTGGGAGGCAGCAAATATAAACAATGAATTATAAATCAAAGCAAGACGGCATCAGGGTCTCAAGAAACATGCAAGCAAAGGAAAGCACAACAGAGAAATGTCAGCTCTTGCTGACCTCCTATATGGGAAGCCACATGTGCTTATAACAAAGCTGTCATCATTCAAAACAGATGTCCTTTTGGCAAACACTTTTAGAATCAGTTTAAATTACACTGAATGCATACACACATGTGCAAATAAACACATTATTTGGTAACCTCCTGACCCTTCCAGTTCTATACTAGGATTACTTAGTTTTTCCACTCTCTGGTTCATATTGAGAGGTTATTCAATTAAAATTAAAGAATATATCTTAACAAATAGTATGGATTTTGGATTTCAGAAGATCTGAAATCAAATACTACTGCATGAGGAAGTTATTTAACTTCTTCAGTACTTAAGAGTCCTTGTTTATTAAAAAGGGAAATTACAGTGTGATACCAACCTTATGAAATAAGATAACTCAAACAACATTATTAGCATCATGGCTGGCACATAGCAAGTGCCCAGTAAATATATGCTATGTTTGAGTCCTTAATAAATGACCCAAGCACCTTTTGAAGGATTAAGCCAGTAGAGGTTAAAAAAAAAGCCTGTTATATAAAACCTTACTCCATTTTGTGTGTGTGTGTGTGTGTGTGTGTGTATGTGTGTGTGTAGAGAGAGAGAGAGAGAGGTGCTAAGCCATGTTTCTTTAAAATCTTACTCTGCAAAGTATAAGATACATGGGCTATGTAAATTTTGGATAAAAGCAAAGTAAGTCTGGTTTGTGTAATCCCTTTGTACATTCAGTGGGAAAGTGAGCTAAAAAATGAAACGGTATGTTGGTAAACTCTGAACTAAGTACCAAAGCTGAACTAATCCAAGTCTTCTATATACTCACAGCTTGGAGTTAACCTTGTCAGACCTCAGGATTTCAGCACTGACAAGTTTATTCCTATCTTTCATCAGCTATACCATACTCTCCAGCTGTGGGCATTGTATTCCTCCAAACTTCTCCTTCAGTCACTGATACAGAAGCGGGCTGCCAGGTTGTCAGTGGATGGCTTCTGAATTGGGATGAGGATCAGACATGCACATTCAAATCAACTTGCTTTTCGAAGCAATTTTCTCTCTGCCTTCCCCTCCCAGATGCAAGCTGGAGTCTGGAAACCGCTTGCATATTACGGCTGTTATAGAACCAAGCTATAATTTTCAGGCTAATGGAAGATGTATTGGCAAAAGTTGACATTAAGTGGAACTAATTGCACTGTAACTGCTAAATAACTAAGAAATAACTACCCTGTAATTTATGGTGCAGTGTGGACTATTCAGTAACTTTGGAGCTCTTCATATAGCAAGGAGCTCAGTGATGCATGAGCTGCCCAACTTTCCACCATTCAGAGGGCCTCAGAAGCTGAAGATTGTGTGTTGTGCAAACATGCAAGGCTGCAGTTTATAAAGACAGCCTGCCTTACTTAGGGATAATGGCTTCACTCCAGTACTTAGTGAATGAGAATTGTGCCTGAGAGAGTCTTAGTTGCAGGTCTATAGTAGGTTGAAATCCCAAGCCTAGTGCATACGTATACAGTATGCCTTTTATGCTGTGATTCTGCTAATGGATGGACATTCTTCCATGGACAAAATAAATTAAAGGAGAAAATAAGGGCAAGCGATGAGGCATAAAGGGTGTTACTCTCATCTAAACATGACAGCCCTCACGTCTAGTTCACAACCGTCTTCTAACCATAGCCCTAATACGTGACTCCATTAATTTTAACATTAACTATTGTGATAACCTTCTAACCGGTCCCTCATGACTCATTTGTCTTTCCCACTGCAGGTGTGTCCCCAGTCCATTTCTGCACAGTTACTACTTACCCTCTAAAATCGGACATATGCTCAGACCACTTCCTCTGTTTAACGTCCTTAAATGATCTCCTACTGTCTAAAATGTCATTTTTCAAAGCTGTGATCCATGTAACACTAATCACAAGAGATGCATTTCTAAAACAATATATATCTGGTTAAATATATTTTTAAAACGCTGAATACTATATTCTCCTCTTGGAAAATTACATCTTAAAGTTATAATAAGTCATGTAGTGAAGAATCTTGTTTAATTTTGGTAAGTTTGCTTTGCTCAAAGTCTGACCTCAGGAATCTGTGTGTATGCATAACTGCACACATGTGTGTGTGTCTGTGAGAGACAGTTTGTATATGTGTCTCCTCTAAATCTAATGTTGAAATCTGATTCCCATTGTTGGAGGTAGGGTCTGGTGGAAGGTGTTTGGGTCATGGAGGCAGATTCCTTATGAATGGCTTGGTGCCATCCCCAAGGTAAAGAGTGAGTTCTTTATTAGTTCACATGAGAGCTGGTGGTTTAAAGAAATCTGGCATCTCTCTTGCTCTCTCTCTTGCCAGCGTGACACGCCTGCTCCCCCTTCATCTTCTGCCATGAGCAAAAGCTTCCTGAGGGCCTCACCAGAAGCAGATGCTGGTGCTGTGCTTCTTGTACAGACGGCATAATTGTGAGCCAAATAAACCTCTTTTATTTATAAATTATCCAGCCTCAGGTGTTCTTCTATAACAATGTAAAACGGGTTAACAGTGTGTGTGTGTGTGTGTGTGTGTGTGTGCGCGCGCGCGCGCATGTGTGTTTAATACCTTTATAATCCTATGCCCCTATATACCTTGGTATTCCCTGGAAAGAACTTTCAAGAAATGCTGTCCCTATTTTAGATCCCAGCTTTTTAATGTACATTTTTCTTTGATGACTTTATTTGAATCTGTTCTTTCAGACACAGCCCATGGACACTGTCCCCATGAAACTTCTTCTTTCCTGCCCAGCCAGAGTTTGTTGCTCCTTTGGGTTCTAATAGGGATTTGTCTTGATCCATGCACTTGTTTTGTAATTATTTGCCCTCTTGAAGTAAGCCAAGATTTTACAATTTTGGTACTGTTGACATTTTGGACCTGAACATTTTTTATTGAAGGGAGCTATTCTTTGCATTCTATAATGTTTAACAACATCCCTGGTCTGTACTTTCTAGATGCCAATAACTCCAACACCAGCTCACCATCCCAGTATGACAATAACAAATATCTCCAGATATTGACAAATGTCCTCTGGTGGAGGTTGGGGGGAGCAAAATAACCCCTTGTTGAGAACCACTGGTGTCAGTTGTGAGCTCCTAGAGGCCAGAAGTTTTATCTTCCTCGTTCATGTATCTTTACACCTTATATGCACGGTTGGTTATATATAAATATTTAATGAACAGTTATTTTTCCCTAAATCTTTGCTAACTACAGAAACACTGACAATGAATTAAAAAATTACTTCATTACAATTGATGTCTGCATATAGCATTATAATAATCATTAAATTACTGTCATCCAGCCTCATTTTCAGAAGTTTACTTATTTTTGAGAGATTTATTGGAAAAAAACAAAAAGAAAAAGTGAAAGTATATTGTTGATATGGTAATAGTTGGAGCAAAATATTATGTAATAATAGCTCCTATGTTTAGTGCTTTTGCATTGATCAATTTACCTTCTTATCCTCAATTTCTTCATTTATAAAATTGATATTCTGCTACCTTCTCCATCAATCACAAATAGTTTCTCGGGAGATCAATTAAGACACATGTTTTAGAAAGACTTTGAATATTTTAGAATACTCAAGAAAAGAGATGATAATCTTTGTTTTATTCAACATGTCTGAGGACAAGAAGATGCTATCCTTCATAAGTTCATTTTTCTCCAGATAACTCAAATATAACTCCCTACAGACCAAAAATGGTTTTTAAATTTTAATTTAACAATTTTAGATAGAAGCTTCTGTGAGTTACTTTACTAATTTTCTATTTTTTAGTAATTGCATCATGTTACATGTAATTGAAGTATTATTTTATGAAATGGAATCATCATTACAAACATTCATGTGCATGCTGAATCATTTCAACCTCTTTCTAGAAGGCTCAGAATGCTGTAACTTCTACTATTATTCCTTAGTTCTATTTGTTTTGTATTTGTTTTGTATCATTCTTACTTTCACCCATTAGTTGCATACCTGGAGCAGTCCCTCTTATTGTTTTCATTGTGTATTTGCCTAAAACTTATCTTAAATAGTGCTGATTCTGCCTGTCTTCTATAACGATAAAAAACAAGTAACACAGATATGTTCCATTTACTTAAAAGTAAAGTGAAAATAAATAGGGTCTGAGGATATTTTCTAAAGAATATACATGAACATTACTGCACAGATACTAGGTACCAATTTTTAACTGCTCATAAGTCTTTTACTATTTCACCTTTTAAACTTTCAAGTAGTATTATTATAAGGAAATGACATTGTTGTTTGGGTGGGTAGCACAGGCAAAGTAGGGATTGTGTAATATTTCCTGTAGAGCCAGAAGCAGTGAGAGTAGGGAAGGATGGAAAAGAAGAAGACAAGAAAGGATTTAAAAAAGAATCAATGGAATATCAAAGTCAAATGAAAGGGAGGAGATTTTGGAAATGGATTTGCTCCTTTAGACGATTTATTCCACCTATATTATTATCATGTGGTAGAAAAATATTCTTCAAAGGAGGATTCTTTGAGAATGTGTAAGAACGTTTCTCAGGTGAAGAGGTTCTTTCTGTTTTTACTATTTTTAGCCAGACTAACATCTGGTATATCAAATAACGGTTATCTTGAAAAACAGAATGCCTGCATCCACATGTAACAGCACTTTCCTGGTATCAGAGACCCTCTCTGGAAGGAACTAATTGATTTTCTCTAGGGAGAAAAAAAAATGTAGACTCCAGTTCTTAGTTTTCCCATTGTTCTAGGTTAGGCTTCTGATAAGAAAGCCTTATCAGATACAGTTGTCCCTTGGTAGCTACAGGGGATAAGTTCTAAGACCCACTCCAGGATACCAAAATCTGGGGATGCTCAGGTCCCTTATATAAAATGACATAGTATTTGCATATGACCCATGCACATCATCTTGTACATTTAAATTATATCCAGATTACTTACAATACCTAATATAAATGCTATGTAAATAATTGTTAAGCTTTATTGTTTTTAAGATTTGTGTTGTTTTTTATTGTCATGTTTTTTTTTAAATTTTTGATCCAAAGTTGATTGAATCCACGAATGTGGAACCCATGGGTATGGGGGGCTGATTATATTCTCTTCTCCAGTATTCTCCATCTACTGTTGCAATGAGCTCAATGAAGCAGACAGTTAGTAATCATTAATACCCGCCTCTACCTTTGCTATACTTACTGTCCCAATTGCTTGACAAAACTTGAGAAGATCTTCACAATCTGAGCTGGAAAACTTTTTGTTTCTGAGGATTTTGATCTGTAACATAAGGGTAATCTTATCTAACTCAGTGTTTCTCATTTTAATATAAATAGGGATTAACTAGACATTTTGTTAAAATGTAGATTCTCATTTAACATCCCTGAGATGTGGCCAGATGCTGCATTCCTATCATTCTATTTAGTTCCTCTGTGTCACACACACACACAGAGGCAGAGAGAGAGAGAGAGAGAATTACTGTTATTTTCTAATAACATATACTAAAATAGAACACACAGAGTATAGATGAATTTTTTTTTAAGTATAAAGATGTTGGGATCTGAAAGTCTGGGTCCAGTCCTGTAATTTTAGGCAAATTACTTCCTTTCTTGAGTCACCACTTCCTGACCGATAGAATCAAAATGACTGCCCATATTACAAAAGTTAAATCAGAAAATGTATGTAAATGTCCTGGTATTGATTCCGGCAATCAATATATGACAATTTTATTATATTGTTACAAAAGGCACAAGATGCAGATAGTGGTATCTCATTTTATACAACATGTGTGTTCCAAGATGGTTTCCAATTAGATTCAGAAGACTCAAAGAGGAAAAAAAGCATAATGAGATAATTAGTATGATAAAATGGAAATGTTTTACTTGCAATCAGTACAAAAGACATTTGTGTCAAAGATGATATGGGAAGGAATTTGAGGATGTATAGCCCAACCTTCATTTACTTTCAATAAAAATAATAAAAGGAATATATTTTCATGCTTGTTAGAATTATGAAGTTAAAGTTTATAAATCCATATGTATTTTATTTATTCAGAATAGTTCAGACTGAATTGGGTGGAGGTCTTCCTTGGTGCTATTTATGAAAAAAAAAAAAAAAAAAAAACACGTTTTGCTGTGAAATTAAGAGTGTGAAGCACATCATACAGAGGAACAGGAGTACAGAGAGGGTGCAGAGAGAGAAATAGTTAACTGTTAGATTGAGTCATAGTTTACTGCTCACTCTTTTTATCCACATTAAACCATTTTCCTAGCAGCACATCCAAGCCACTGGATCAGAAGCTTTAAATGTAGCCTTTGCTATAGCAGGTAATATGTAAATGTATGCTCTAGAGCAGGGATTGATAAAGTATGACTGTAGGGCTAAATTTGGCCCTCTTTATCTTGTCATGAATTAGGTTTTATTGTAATATAGCCATGCTCATTAATTAATATATTGTCTATGGCTGCTTACACACTGCAACAGCAGAGTGGAATAGTTTCAATAGAGACTGTATAGACTGCAAAGTCTAAAATATTTGCTATCTAGCCCTTTTCAGAAAATGTTTGTTCAACTCTGCTCCAGAGCAAAATAAATCTAACATCTGTGAACTTCCTACTATATGCCGTGTACGTCATCCATGTAATTTTAATCAAGACCATTCTATAAAAATGTCCTGAATGACTTCTGTTTGCCAGGAAACATTGTGAATGCAGCAATAATCAGTAAGACACAGTTGTTGCTATCATGCATTTTGGAGGTGGGTAAAAGTAATGGCTCTTATTAATGTGAATTGTAGGGTGTTACGGACTCACATAGTTAGGATATGTAACTGATGTGGTCATGGAACACAATACAACTTGAGATAAATATTATCATCTCCATTTTAACAACAAAGAAACTGAGACTCAGAGAAGTTAGAAAATTGCCCAAAGCTAAGTAGCTAATATGTGTCAAAGCTATGTTTTCTTTTTTTTTAAGAAAAAATGTATATAACTAGAGACCCATGCTAATTGCCCAACTGATACCGTGCTTCTGGAGTTTGTCTCAGAATTGTTTTCTCCTTGGTGTCTTATGCCTCACCTTTTCTGCCTTGTTCTATTCTATGGTTTCAGGAAAATGGATTTAATTCTGACCATATTTCTGACATATTGTGATTCCTTAACTCCATTTTCTCTTTTGCATCTATGCTTTCCTAGTGCCCGACCCAACTGCCTTGACATTCTCACTGATATCTCATTTATGTGCCTCGATCTGAAGTTTGTGGTGATCCCTGGTTCTGCTTTGATCACATTTTTTTTTCTCTACTCAGGTTTTCCCTCCATATTTCAGAGCCAAAGGATCTGTGAGCCCCAGCTGTCAATCACTTTGGAACTAATAAATAAGTATTGAATATGTTGAGTCAATTTATCTTTGGGATACAGATGGAAACTACTGATTATAAAAGTCTTGCCTGTTTCTTTTGTAATTCCATAAGAAGTGATATTCTAAAATCATTACAGGGAAGATCCCCGGGCATGGAATTAGTAGATCTGAGTTTAGGTTCTACCTCTAGCATTGAGTGTTATTTTCTCATTTGTAAAATTTAGATAATTATAGGTATCTTACAACTTACTATGAAGTTAAAATAAGCCAACTTTTGTGATGAAACTTTGTATAAATACAGGTAATTGCACATATATAGGACAATGATAATAACATTCATTTTACCATTAGGTATTGTGTAAATGCATTTAAACTGTCATGCTAATTCTTTAATATTGCAATGTGATGAAGAGAAAAAAAATAAGAACATGGAAGATTAGAAGCAAGACTTGAATACAAAATTCTGTTTTAGGAGAAAGCAGTAGCTCTTGGAAGAGCCAAAAGACACAATGTCAGCAAACCTCTAATCCATGGGAAAATCAGGCACAAAGGAGAACATATCCCCTCATGCCCAACTCTTTCTTGAAGACCTAGAAGTCGTTTCTATAGCTCAAAGGAACTAAATGTTTCCTCTTTCCTAATGCATATGTTATTGTTTGTAAAATCAAATGTGTTTTATAAATAAAATAATGTTTTCTTTTTTTATCTGATTAGTTTTCATTAAATCAAAAGTGTAGACAATGACAATTAATGGGTATGGGTTTCTTTTGGGGGTGATAAAAATATTCTAAAATTGACTGTGATTATGGTGGCACAGCTCTGCAAATATGCTAAAAACCACTGAGTTGTATATTTTACACTGATTCACTGTGACACTCACCATGCTATTCACCACATATGTGCTGTAGTTCATTCATCTAGGCACATGGAAGAATTGCATTTTTTTACCACTTTGAAATTAGGCATGCCAGGTGACTTTCTTTGGCCAATGAACTATGAACGAGAGTGCACATGTCACTTAAAGATGGAGGCTTTCATAAGCCAGCATGTGATTTAATGTGTTTTATTTTTCTGCTTTGGTAATCATAGTTGAGAATGTTAAGATTAAGTCTCCATCAGGCTGTGTCTCTACTCACACTTGTTGGACAAGCAGTATAAGCAGAAGCAGAAGTTAAACCTTTATTTAAAATCTACTAGAATGTTGGTGTTGTTTGTTACCCAGCATAACCTAGCCAATCTGGACTGATAAATCTAGTCAGTTATAAACTAAACTGAAAGATCCCAAGCCTTTCTTGCAGAAGAGTTTGCAAGGCAAGTTTACCACCTACCAAAGAGCAGGTCAACATGTTAGGCACCTCTAAAAATAGTAGTAGTTTCAGGAGGGATGAAAAGTAGCAGACATTCTCAATTTCTTCTCTAAAATTCACCAATTAAATAAGCCACTCTTCCCTGAAAGAATAAAGAGAAAGGTCATGAGTTAGTCAAGTGAGAGTTCCATCATAGACACATGATTCCAGAGGAATTCTTCTGACATGGAGGTAATTCACCTGCACTCACTCAAGGGATGTGAGATATCTCAAGTGAGAAGTGTTACGACTCCCCCCACTCCTCTTCATTTCTACCATTCCTTATCCTCTCCTCTTTCGCCTCATGTTGTGAGGATTAAGTGAGGTGACATATAAAAACATGCTTTGTCAATTGCACAGTATTATATTACTATGAGTTATGACTTTCTGTTTTGTGAAATAAAAACAGTGTTCCCTGCCCTGTTAACCTTCCAGAATTACACAGAATCCCATTTGGATTGGTGCATGCAAACACAATAACCTCATAAATTTTAAATGACTACACATATCTAAACCATTAGTATTATTTTAATGTTTTCTTATTAATAATGTATGAATTTATTTGCTACCACACTGTACAAGTTACTAAATCTCTAATATTAAACTAGTGGCTCCTCTTTTGAGGAGTTTCTCTTTTCTGAAAAATGGGGAGAATATGGCATCTACATGTTAAGAACTAAATGAGAAGTTACATGTAAATTGCTCCACAGTGTCTAGAATTTTATCCTTAGTAAGTTATAGCTGTTACTGCTAGGCTTATCTTTATAAAAACTATACAACATTTTGAGTCAACACTCTGTAGATGTAACGTTATTTGCCATTGGCTGAAAGGTTATCTCATTAGCTGAGATAAGGCAGGGTTACACGTGAAGAAGACCACTGTGCATACACATGAAAGCCAATACCTCAATCCATCTTCTGTCTGTAGTAACAATGGTGTGTTCACCTTCTCTTGAATCGTGTTTCCACCTATCAATTTGTCTTCAAATTTCAAAATCAGGCTGGACCTTTTAGGGTCCAAAGTGAAGATTCCCTCTTCCAGTCCTTGTTGGATATGCAATATCAGCAGAAATTAAACTTTTTCTTTAGCCCACTGAATTGTTGTCATTGTTGCCCAATATAACCTATCACATCCTGAAAAATAAATTTAGCCAGTTATAGAGCAAGCTGGACAACTCAAAACCTCCTCTGCAGAAAAGTTTGTTTTGGAGAGGGTGGAAAAAAGAAATGTTACTTATTGACTTCCCAAATTTCCAATTCTTGGTTAATAGAGATGACTAAGATAACTTGAGGTTTGTATGTTTGGATCTTCTCAATTTGCCCATTGCTATTTGTAATACAAAATTCTGGTTAGACTTCTTGGTAGAGGCAATGATAAGAAAAAGGAAATGAATAACAATAGGATGAAGAAAATTAATTAACCTAGGGAATTTTAAGTCTGGAAACTACATGAGGTAGTGTTCAGTTTCATATGTCATACTTGGCAGCCACAGGTAGTGCTGTAACTGAGCTTAGATTTCTTTGCAACAAAGGGAAATAAAACCAATGCTACAAAAAATGTAGCTGCCCCCTCTTGCCACCAAATAAAAGAAATGGAGCTGACTAATCCAAATTCTTTTTGGATTTAACATCACTAGTTTGGTTTTTAATTTAAATTGTGACAAAGGTCAAAAACGTTGCATTTTTATATTCGTTTTTTGAAGTTCTCAGGCAAAAAAACCCTACAATTTTAAAGAAGGAACAACAACAAAAAAAGAACTCTAAGACATGAAGGGAGATTCATTACCTATAGAAAGAAACACAGGTGGGCTTGGGAAAACAAAGACAGAATTTGAACATTAAAACCAGAAAGGCAATAAAACAACTCCCATAAGAATGCATTTACTCAATGTGAAAAGTAAAGAAGATAGTAGAGGCTTTCAGAAATTAAAGTCAATCTACAATTTGTGACATGGCAAGGTAGAGGAGTCTAACATTTACTGAGCACCTACTGTGAGACAGTAATTGCACTACATTACTGTGAGCCTCATTTCCCCAGGAACATGTATTAAACACTTATTTGATGAGTACTTACCAATAATTTTACATACATAGCTTCATTTAATCTATTTTTTAAATTGCCAATCTGCTGACTTAATTTTTTCAGCTTTATTGATGTATAATTGAGAAATAAAAATAACATATTTTTTTAAGGTGTACAAAATAATTTGTTTTTTAAATTTTGTTTTTGGGGCATTTTCTTTGTGTTTTTGGATGTTTTTCTTTGAGACAGTGTCTCATTCTGTCATCCAGGCTGTAGTGCAGTGACAGGAGGATCATTGCTCACTGCAGAGTAGACCTCCTGGGTACAAGTGATCCTCTGGCCTCAGCCTCCAGAGTATCTGGGACTACAGGTGTGCACCACCACGCCTGACTAATTTTTGTATTTTTTGTACAGATGGAGTTTCACCATGTTGCCTGGTCTCGAACTCCTGGACTCAAGTGATCCTCCTGCCTTAGCTCCCAAAGTGCTGGGATTATAGGTATAAGCCACCATACCTGGCCCTTGATATACATATACACTGTGAAATGATTACTATGATCAAGCTAGCTAGCCTCACACAAATAATCTGTGTGTGTGTGTGTGTGTGTGTGTGTGTGTGTGTGTAGTAAGAATACTTAACATCTACTCTCTTAGAAAATTTCAAGTATATAACACATTCTTATTAACCGTAGCCACCATGCTATGCAATAGGTCTCCTGAACTTATTATTTACCTTTTATTAACCTCCCATTTCTCTTTCCTCCTGGCCCCTGGTAACCACCCTTCTATGAATTTGAATTTTTAGATCCCACATATAAATGAGATCATGTGTTATTTTTCTTTCTGTGTCTGGCTTATTTTACTTATCATAATGTCCTCCAGATTAATCCCTATTAAAATTCTAATAAAATTTTTATAGAAATAGAAAAAAATTAAATTATATGGAACTACAAAAGACCTCAAATAGCTAAAGCAATTTTGAGAAAAAACAAAGCTGAAGGCATCACACTTCCTGATTTCAAATTATATAACAAAACTATAGTAATGAAAACAGTATGATACAGGCATAAAAACAGACACATAGATCAATGAAACAGAAAAGAAAGCCCAGAAATAGGTCTATGCATATACCTCAACTAATCTTCAACAAAGATGCCAAGGAAAGGGAGAAAGGATGGTTTCTTTGATAATGGTGTTTTTAGTAAACTGAATATTCAGATGCAAAAAAAAGAAAATTGGATCATTACCTTATACCATACACAAAATTAAAATCAAAATGGATTAAAGATTTAAATGTAATACTCCAAATTGCAACACTTCTAGAAAAGATAGAGGAAAATCTTCATGACATTTGTCTTGGCAATGATTTTTTGGATATGACACCAAAAACAGAGGCAACAAAAGCAAAATTAAGCAACTAGGATCACATCAAATTAAAAGTTTGTTCATAGCAAAAGAAATAATTAACAAAATTAAAAGGCAACCTATGGAATAAGAGAAAATACTTGCAAACTGTGTATTCACTAAGGCTTACTATCCAAAATATACAAGGACTCATACAACTCAATAGTAAAAACACAAATTTTTTAAAAAAGAAAAACAGACAAAGAACCTGAATAGACATTTTTTAAAAAGATATAAAAAGGTATACAAATGGCTAACAGATATATTCAAAGGTGATCAATTTCTCTAATCATCAGAAAGACGTAAATCAAAACTACAATGAGATATGATTTCACACTGTTAGGATGGCTATTATCAAAAAGTCAAAAGCTAACAAGTGTTGGCAAGAATGTAGAGAAAAGGGAATCCTTTTATATTATTGTTGAGATCTAAAATTAGTACCAACCATTATAGGAAACCATATAGAAGTTTCTTAAAAAATTAAAAATAAAAATACCATATGATCCAGCAGTCTCACTATTGGGTATATATCCAAAGGGATGAAATCAATGTGTTGGAGAGTTATCTACTCTCCCATGTTCATTGCAGCAGTAATCACAATGGGCCAAAATATGTACACAACCTAAGTATCTACACACACACACACACACATATACACAAACACACACACACACGTGCAGGAATATTATCCATCCTTAAAAAACAGTAAATCATATCATTTAATCTTAACTACAACTCTAACTAGGCTGTTTTTATTTTCAGATGAGGAAAGATAAAGTTAAGTAAACTCCAATAGTCAGCCAGCCAATAACTTGGTGATGTTAAGATTTGAACCCTAATCTGATTAACCCCAAAGTTCAGGCAGTTTCCACAATGCAGAAGTGTCCCCCGAGCCTCTCTCGTCTCTTGTCCTCCATGGTTTATGAAGCTTATCCACAGCAGCCCTCTGCTGACATACCACTAAGACCAAGGCTAGCAATTTGTCCTGTAAAGCTGGATTCCACAGAATGTTTCCCCTTGAGCTGGAAGAGAATCAGATGCTTTGCAACTTCCATTCATTGGTATTAAAAGAGTCTTCTAAAACAACACAGAACAATAGTCATTTCTAGATTGAAAATAGCAATTTAGGCACTATTCAGTCTTCACTATAATATTTCTTGATCCTTCAAATCATTAGTTCAATGCTCCTTTAAATGTGATGGTTGTAAAGGGACTGTTCTCTGTTTTGTATAGAGAAAATGTGCTTATTTTCTTCTCATTCCCTGAGTACAGCATACAAATTTAAAAGTTTCACTATAAGATTCATAAAACAAATTCTCTATCACTTAAGACTCCTCTATTTATAATTATTTGCATTTCCCAATTGCGAAAGAAGTGATACAAGCTATAGTGAAAAAATGGCATTTAATTGACACACAGTGGAGGATAAAATGACATAATTATGTCCAACATGCATGAATATTTTAGAACTTTGCCCAGAGAATGTTAAATAAATCTCTTAACATTCTGCAACTGCAGCAAGCTTTTGGTTCCTCTCTCAATCTACTTTTGGCTCAGTGGCTTTTTAAGAGAATTTTGTCACTAGACTCATGAGGGCTATTCCTTATATTTAGTCATCTACTCCATTTCTATCATTCTCAAAGTAGCTTAATATATCTATTCCTTTGACTCTCATGGATTATTTATTAAACACAATTTTTAACTTGTGAATTTTAAAATTCATAATTTTGCTGTCTCCTACTTAGAGAAAGTAAAATTATTGTTTGAAGGGTAAACACAAATAGAATCATTTTTATTTTTCAAAAACACTCTTATTCTCATTGCACACCACATGACCACTGTAACTTAAGAGATATGTCCATACCTCCAGCTCTTTTGCAGAATGTTTAACATCCAAAAGACCCTCAATAAATATCTAATAATCAAACATAGTTATGAGAATTTCAAGGGAATTCCAATTGGCTATTTGCATGATGGGAAGGATGGGGCACGGACATGAACTTTTGAACCTTTGCATTTCTAACATTCAGTGATTTTCTTTTTTTTTTTAGATTTTTATTTTTTTATATATATTTTTATTATACTTTAAGTTCTAGGGTACATGTGCACAACGTGCAGGTTTGTTACATATGTATACATGTGCCATGTTGGTGTGCTGCACCCATTAACTCATCATTTACATTAGGTATATCTCCCAATGCTATCCCTCCCCCCTCCCCCCACCCCACAACAGGTCCCAGTGTGTGATGTTCCCTGCCCTGTGTCCAAGTGTTCTCATTGTCCGATTCCCACCTATGAGTGAGAACACGTGGTGTTTCGTTTTTTGTCCTTGCGGTAGTTTGCTGAGAATGATGGTTTCCAGCTTCATCCATGTCCATACAAAGGACATGAACTCATCATTTTTTATGGCTGCAAAGTATTCCACGGTGTATATATGCCACATCTTCTTACTCCAGTCTATCATTGATGGACATTTGGGTTGGTTCCAAGTCTTTGCTATTGTGAGTAGTGCATGTGTCTTTATAGCAGCATGATTTATAATCCTTTGGGTATATACACAGTAATGGGATGGCTGGGTCAAATGGTATTTCTAGTTCTAGATCCCTGAGGAATCGCCACACTGTCTTCCACAATGGTTGAACTAGTTTACAGTCCCACCAACAGTGTAAAAGTGTTCCTATTTCCCCACATCCTCTCCAGCACCTGTTGTTTCCTGACTTTTTAATGATCGCCATTCTAACTGGTGTGAGATGGTATCTCATTGTGGTTTTGATTTGCATTTCTCTGATGGCCAGTGATGATGAGCATTTTTTCATGTGTCTGTTGGCTGAAGGAACTTTGGCACTGTAAGTTTAGCCAATGGCTCTCTGTTGTTCTTCAGATACAATTTTAAAACTTTCGCAAAGCTTACAAGGCCTGGCATAAACTGGCTTCTGACTGTGTCTTCACCCCAACTCCTTTCATACTTGCTTCTGTTATATCCTCCCCTCTAGCCTTGTTTGAGGTTTACAAATAAGTTGAAGTAGTATACACCAGAGCTTTTGCACAGGCTGCTCTCTTCCTGCTTAGAATGCTTTTCCCCTCCCTTGGCTAACTCCCTCACTTCAATGTCACTTTCCTAGAGAGGCCTTCCCTGTATACTCCCAGCATAAGACCAAGCATATAGTGGATCCTCAATAGCAAAGGTCTGAATTATTAAATGTCCATTATCAAATATACCACCCACAACGTGTATTATCTTTACTTGACTGAGAGACATAAGAAATACCCTTGAAGAAGTTTTACATTAAGACTAAATTCAAAAGGATCTTTGCTTGTTTTGATGAAATAATTAGTATTGGGTATGTTCACACAGCACCTTTTCTTGAGGAGGAGCTAAGTTGTTTTTTTTTTTTTTTTTTTGAGATGGAGTCTTACTCTGTTGCCCAGGCTGGAGTGCAGTGGCATGATCTCGGCTCACTGCACCTTTCGCCTTCCCAGTTCAAGCGATTCTCCTGCCTCAGCCTCCCAAGTAGCTGGGACTACAGGCGTGTGCCACCATGCCCAGCTAATTTTTGTGCTTTTAGTAGAGATGGGGTTTCACCATATTGATCAGGCTGGTCTTGAACTCTTGACCTCGTGATCCACCCGCCTTGGCCTCCCAAAGTACTAGGATTACATGCGTGAGCCACCGCGCCTGGCAGGAGGAGCTAACTTCTTTTTTGAAGTCTTAGGATAGCAAATGAGGTTTGGACTACATGTAAATGAGCATGAGAACATATGACTTCTCATCCAAGTTACTTAGAGAACATTAGGGTTTATGTTTTGCTTGGAATAGCACCATGAGGTATGCAAGTCTTTTCTCATTATCCATCTTAATGGATGAGGGAACAAAGAAGTAATGAGGGAGATTACAAAGAAGTAATGAGGGAGAAATGGGATACAGAGGAGTCAGATAAGACGCAATTCTGCTGAATTTTTGGTTTCTGACTTTTTTAAAAAATATAATTATTATTACTCGTAAATAACTCAAGAAGGAGGACAGTGCCAGCTGCCTATAGCAACAAGGAAGCATGAAAGTGTTGCATTCTTCTTGTCTTCATGATGGAAATGGCTATAATCTCAATGAATAGCTGCCAGTCCAGGGTTTGAATTCAGTTTCAGGTGATGGATCACATTGATCAACCAGAGGAGCCCTACCTTATACCTTAAAGTAAAGGCCATTCTATCGTTATAGGAAAAGCATACCTGGAGTTAGGTAACACTAACTCATACCCATGATCAATGCAGAATAGGCAGGTTATGCTGAATTATTAACAACCCCCTAATTTCAGAGGCTGAAAACAACAGAACTTTATTTCTTTTGGAAAATACGTGTCCCTTGCAGGTCAGCAGAGTGCTCTGCTTATTATAGTTAATTAGGGAATCTGGTTGATAGAGGGTACATCCCTACACATATTTCTAGGATCACCAGAGCGCTACAGTGTTTCACCCTGACACTCTAATGTTTCCTCATCAAAATGACACACAGCATGTCTGTTCATATTTTTTGATCAAATCCAGTCGCATGACAATGTCTAACTTGAAGAAGGCAGGAAAATGTGATATTTTTCATGTGCCAGGAACGGAGAAAATCGAGAGTAGTTTTGAACAGTCCTAAAAACTATGGCAGTGTGCCTTTCTGGTGGCAAATATTTCTTTATTTCTTCTTCCTACTTGTAAAACAAATTCATTCCCAAGCCAAGAGTAACCACTTCAGAGACAGCTCATATAGCCAGGGTGACCAACTTGAAGTCCAGATCCCTGAATGGTTTCCTGTTGCTTCTTCATCATTTCCAGAGGTAGTTCCTTTTGGTTCAGAGATTTGAACAAAAAAAATTGAACCAAGAAGTTATATGATAAGCCAGGAAAACGTGCACAGGTTTACTGCAATGAACACTCCCAACCATAAATAGAGGTAATACAATCATTGGTCTATAAGCAATTCTGAAATCCTATGGAGAGATGTAACAAGGTCCTCCTGGGAGTAGAAATGTTCCCATAACTGTGCTCCATTCTGCTCCCTGGTTGGAGCTCCTGATTCTTCATTTCCTAGAGCCCATGATCCTGTCCTCTGGAGTTCTTCCATTTCCATTAGCATCCTTGGTCACATCAAAAGTTGGCATTAGAGAATATGCTCTCAGAGTGGCTGAGCATTGGTTTCAGCCTCTTTTCTGCTTAGGAGTTTGACAGCCCTAGTGTTATTTTAAATCACAAATAGTCACAGACTGTTTGTGATTTATTTGCAGCGCCACTCAACATGTTAGTAGGCTTCATATCTCTTTGGATCGAGTCATTTCTGTGTGCCAATACCACCCTCACTGTTCTTTCCTAGATTTGTTTCTTAGATTTGCTGTGTCTTTGTTTGCTTGCTTCCTTTCGCTCCACCCCTTGTAACCTAAATTACAGCAACTTTAACCTGCAAGGCTTCCATAGGCAAGCCGAGATTTTTGTCTGTCTTTCCCCGGCAGCATTTTGTGCAATTGAATGCATGTATTGGATATCAAGCTCTTAATTATACCTTTTCTCTGAAACACCTTAATTGACTGAGAAACTTAACAGTGGTTTTGATGGCCATTTCTTTCATTTGATTCTTGCTGCAAGTCTAACGGTTTTTTTTTTCTTTGGCTTTTGTTAAATTCAATAACATTCTCAATGATACCTTTTCATAGACTGGGTTTGAAAAAGTTACCTCTCTCAGTCCTACAAATTCCTGAACTTCTTAAATCTAGTCCCTTCTGCTTTTAGTCAATTATTTTCAGAACTCATTCTTTTCTAGTAATATATGGCCAAATGTTGCCAAAAACATCTACATCACATACCAAATCACATTAGAATGATGACGATGATGATGATGATGATGATGATGATGATGATGATGATGATAACAGCAAAAGCTCTTAAATCTCAATGCTTTAATACAAGTCCAGCTTGGGTAAGCAGAAATTCTCTGCTCATTGTCATCTCTTGGCCCAGGTAGTTAGAGTTACCACCTGGACACAGGCTTCCACTGTCACTGCAGAAACGCGAAGAGAACATAAGAGAGGATGTGCTGTCTTATAAAAGCTTCTGCAAAAAGAAAATACAGAATGCTTCTGTTCACATTTTATTAACACATCCCATGACCATGTCCAACTTCATATCAGTGAGGAAGCACAATACTAAGACATAGCTCACGGAAGGGGGAACCCAAAATATTTAGTGACCAGCATGAATAACCACAACACTCCATGCAGCTGAAGGATATTCTGGAATATGCTTTTTTTTTTTTCCTTTCTTCCTTTTTTTTTTTTTGGCTCAATGTACCAGGCAAGAATAATGAATTTAGAAGATCACTAGATGCTTCATTAAATTCATGCTTATAAATATAAAGAAATACGTTTAGAACAATGTAAGTGTTAGGTTAAATATTGCACAGCTGTGTTTGATTGTTCAAGTGAAATGGAGAGTGAATCAGTCGTATACAACCTTAGTAACTGATAAGGAACACTGCTATACTGAGTTAGCTTCACAAAATGGGAGAATCTGCCTTACCTCTGGGGCAGTCTGACACTATGGAATACTCTGGTCAGGCTGAACTGCCACAAAGGTTGGGTGGAACTTATTCTTTGATAGGCTGAGGGAAGATGACCCAGCACCTTTGGAGTAACTGATGAGGGATTTTTCTTTTTCTTTTTTTTACATATTGTTCATTCTGTTGGAATGCATTAGTTCTTTCTCTGTCCAGATGAGATTGTTTGGGGTTGGCCCACTAGCTAGATTTATTCTCCTTACTCCCACCTGAAACCTTGGAATTAGGGAGCACTGACATTTGGCAAATAAAAGTGCTCAATTGTGGATCCTGTCACAAAGCATAGTCTAAAATGAGGATGTTGAGACAGATCTATAACTATGGCTATTACCTGGCTAACGTTTTTTTGGCCATGACTGTAACTGTGACATTGGTAATTATGTGATCTTTAAAATACTATTAAATCATCTCCTGACTCTGTGGCCCCATCTTTAAGATAGTATGATTAATTACATCTACCTTGTAGAGTTTTTATGAAGATATTTATAACATACTAGTTGTATCAATTGCTGTACTAACATTAACACTTAGCATTGATTTCAGTAGTAATACTAATGTTGTTGTTGTTTATTGACTTTGCAGATCCACAAGGGAAACTCTCATGCATAGATGGAAGGAGAAATTAATATCACCATTCAAATTATTTCACCACTTCCATTTATGAATCAGTACAAACTGTACCAAGAATCAGCAATCTTGGGGGGATCACTTTGCTTGTGCACACTGCTAGAATTCACCTTTACCCTCCTGGTAGGGGTGGTGGTATCCATTTATTCTGGCCCAAATTCTAACATAAATATTTAGTATATAGGAGGATTTTCTGAAAATGATGACTGGTCATTATAATATGAAAGAGATTTTTGGAAAGCATTCTAGGTCTGGATAAAGTTGGTTATAGCCATCTGCCTGGAATGGTTTAAGTTCAAGCTTTAAGAAACAAAGTGAGTGGATATCTGTCAGAGCCCAGCAACAGATGGTACAAGTGATTCAAAACATTCCATGATTTTAAAATTATCACATTCTTATTTATCAGGGAAGCAAGATAAACTAGTGGTTTGGAGCATGGCAGCTGTATGAGGCTACCTCGGCTCACCTGACAACCTTATCAGTCACTAGCTGTGTGCTCTTGGGCACATTACTTAACTTCTGTTCCTGCATTTTTCTATTTCTACCATTTAGCATCATATCACCTGACTCATAGGGTTGTTGTAAGAATTAAATACCATTGTACATGTATAGTACTTAGAACAATACTGACACGGGACATAAATTTAAAAACTATTAACTACTTTTAATAGGATGGCACCTCAAATAGAGTATACTTTATGTGACTACATATTTGCTTTCTATATTTAGATAGCGAACAGCTTGGCGTTGGCTCAAGGTGTCACTTAGCACTGTTATAAAATAATATCAACAATGATAGTAGTAACAATGATAACGAGCATTGATTGAACATATACTATATCCTAAGAATTTTTAAGGTGATGCCTAAACATTATCTCATCTATTCTTGTTTTACCCTTGAAAAAATTGAGGTTTAGTCCATTTAAGAATTTTGTTTAGATGGGAAATCATAGGGCTTGACGGTTAACTTGGGTCTGTATGGTTGTAAATTCAATGCTGTTAACCAACAGGCTGTATTTATTCCATGACATACTCTACTGCTTCTTTTGAATTCTCAGCCCCCGCCGTAGCATCTACTTATTGAATGCTCCTTAAATGTTTGTAGAATTAAATGGGCTCTTAGTTTTGGGGAATGATGATTAAATATGATTGCTTAAGATTAAATTACCTGGGTACACTGAGCATATTTTAAAGAGTTCTTCATCCACTTGCCTCTCACTCTGTATTTCTTGTATTTTTTTTTTCTGAAATTTAATTCTGATCCTGTCTGTTCTTTCCTTGAAATCTTCCATAGCTCTCCATTTATTATAAGATAAAAGCCAATCTCTTAGTTTTGAGTGTTTTTTTTTCACAGTCTTTTTCCCTCTATTTCAGCTTCACAACAAAGCTGGTTAAGAAGAATAATGGTAACATGCATTCAATGTCAGCCAATGCTTTTATCTTGTTAAATTGCCCATTTAATTCTAAAATACCTAGTATGTAATCCAAGGGCTAGATGCTAATATTATTTCTGTTTCACAAGTGGGGCAAGTGAGGCACAGAGATATGGGTTAACTTGAAAGATGTCACATAACTAGTAAATGGTAAAGTGAAGTTCTAAACTCAGGGAATCTGGCTTCAGAGCCTGCAAACAGGACATTAGGTAACATTCTACAGTGTGGGATGGGAGCATATACAAATAAACCAATTCTTAATCTAGAAGCCAGAAAACTTGGCTGATGAAGTGTATCCAAAGAAGAATCTGTCATGAGTAGGCATTCATCAGTCAGAAAACACAGGAAATATCATTTTTGCTAGAGAGAACCACATTTGTGAAGACCTGGGAGAAAGAGAACAGGGAGAGATAGAGAACACAAGAAGAGAGAGACAGAGAGACCGCGAGTGTACACACATCTTTTTTAGAGAGCTTTGCAAACTATGTTAATGATAATGAAAAGACCCTGAGTTTTTAAGCAGAGAAAAGTAAGTGACATGTTGAGATTTGCAATGTTGGTAGCAATTCACCATGGCTGGAGAGAGGTTACAAGGACAGAAAGCCTGGAGGAAGGAAAATCAATTAGAAATGTGTGAAAGAAGGTGAGATGGATAGTGCCCTGGTCTTCAATAGTGATGGTGGAGATAAAAAATAGTGCTAGTGCAGATTTTAATGATATTTACAAAGTAGACTGACAAGACTGAATGTGGCAAGGAAGAGTTTAGAATTCAAGATGATTATGTGATATGGGTTGATCGTGTCCCCACTCAAATCTCATCCTGAATTGAGGTTCCCATAATCCCCGCCTGTCATGGGAGGGACCCGGTGGGAGGTAATTTAATCACGGGGTGGTTACCCTCATGCTGTTCATGCTGTTCTCATGATAGCGAGTGAGTTCTCAGAAGATCTGATGGTTTTATAAGGGGTGTCCCCCTTTATTCAGCTCTCATTCTTCTCCTTCCTGCTGCCATGTGAAGAAGGACATATTTGCTCCCCCTTCTGCCATAAGTGTAAATTTCCGGAGGCTTCCCCCGCCCTGTGAAACTGTGAATCAATTTAACCTCTTTCCTATATAAATTATGCAGTCTTGGCTATGTCCTTATAGCAGGGAGAGAATGGACTAATACATCATATTTGTTGGTTTTTACTTGAGCAACTATTTATTGAAAGGGTCATCAGGTTGAGGAGGAAGGTGGAAAATATGATGTGCAATAAATACGGTTTTGAACAAGTTGAGTTTGAGGAACTCTTAAAATGTCCATATGGAAAAATCTAACTAGGATTTATTCAGCATTCTCCCTCTCTCTATGTGAACAGGTTTCTTGTCTGTCTAATTCAGTCAATACTCAGATGCTAGAATTGGAGTGGTATCAGTCAGGTAGGCCACAGATATCTCAGAGGCTTTTACCAATGAAGTCTTTTGTTATGTTCATTTTCATATTCAGTGTGGGTGAGTGGGGCTCTGCTCTCTGTAACCACAGTAGTACTTCGACTAATGGAAGCTCCATTAAAACATAATTGTTCATAACCACTAAGCTGGCAAAAACTGACTCAAACACTATCTATTATTATTTGCACCTGAAAGTGACACATTTCATTTACCATAGCCGGTCACATGGCCACACCTAATTTTGACAGACAGGGAAGAAGGATCTTTGTTTAATATTACATTACTTGTTTTACAGTACTAATGATAATCATCAGTTACCAGTCTTAGTTGATAGCAAGATATATAAGTTGAATTATAAATATGAATATATTTACATTGATGTCTGGAGTTCAGAAGGCCAATCTGAGGTAGAGAGATTTTCGAGACTACTGAAATACCACATCTATGGTATTCACTTTGCTCGTCCTGTATCACCAAACCTGCCCCAGATTTAGCTCATGTGACCAGCTTTAGTGTCCACTATCTTTATAGCCTTATATTTAACTAACCTCATTATGTTTAATTACATGCTTTCATATGTAATTTTGCTATGTGACTGTAAGATCTGTGAAAGCAAGGTCCTTTCTCAGGCATCAATATATCCCAAGTCTTTGGAATAACAGCTAACTCAAGGCATCAAATTTCCATTTTTTTCTTTTCTTTTTTTAAGAGACAGATTTTGCTCTGTTGCCTAGGCTGGAGAGCAGTGGCACAATCATAGCTAATTACAGCCTCAACCTACTGGGCTCAAGGGATCCTCTTGCCTCAGCCTCCTGAGTGACTGGGAATATAGGAGCATGCCACCATGCCTAGTTAATTTTTGCAGAGATGGGGTCTTGCTATGTTTCCCAGGCTAGTCTCAAACTGCTGACTTCCAGCAATCCTCCCATCTTGGCCTCCAAAAGTGCTGGAACTACAGGAATGAGCCATTGTGCCCAGCCTAATACCTTTTTTTTTGGTAATTGAGGTATTTTTTTTTCTCTCCCTAATATTTCTCCCTTGATCAAAATGTGTACATGCACAGAGAAAATACATGCCCACGTAAATAATACCCCAACAACCTCACTGGGCCATCAAAATGGTCTGCTGAATTCGTATTGCATGTAAGTGGAAATCACCATGATAGTTCACAAGGGGGTATTGTGTACTCATTTTCATTTGAATAATCTGAATCATCTTTCTCTGTATCTTTCCAACACTTCAGCCTCTGCAATCTCCCAGCCACCGCTTCACCTCTTTTGCCTTCCAGATCTGGCTTCCTTCCTGACATTCCTTACGTTTATGCTCCACTGAGACAGAAAGACACAAATCCAGTTCCAGCAGAAAGCACAGATATGGAACAAGAGAAACATTTCAGTTAAACAGATTGAGTGTTACAGGGCCCAGAACCTATAAATGCATCTGTTCAACTGGTCTTTTTGTTGAATTAAAATTTGGTGAAGCTAGGTCAGCAAAATATAATGATGTCAGGACTTTCACAGAGATGAGGAAACTGCATTTCTAAACAAAAGCCTTCATTAGGTGATTTTTATTGAAGGGTTTATTTCTGCCTTTATGAACAAAAACATGTATATATCATATAGATATATTTAGTATCATTAATATTTCAATGTTGATCAGCCAAACTTATCAATAGCAACTATTGCCTCATAATAATAGGTACCACTCAATCAGTTGCTTTCTATGCATCAGACACTGTGCTGTTTTAAAATAAAGCCTTTATCCCTGGACTTCTCTATTTTCCGTGTGGATGAATTTCTACTCCAGTAACACTCCTGGCTTCCCATAGCAACCCTCATTCTAAGCTTCTCTCATAGCAGATAAGTGAGTCATCAACTGCTGGGTGACAGACATTGGTCTGTGTTTCCCAATTTGGTAGAGAGAGTTTATTACAACTCAGTGAATGCTAGGAATTCAGTCTCTTCCTTCCCTCTCCATCCAGTGATTCTGTAGGACATTGATTATGGATCACTTGACTGAGGACTTCACTTGTCCTTTTGATGCTATTGCAAGGCCTGAGGAGTATAGCAATGGGCTTTAGCCAGTCCATGTAGCCTCACACTAAACTAAACTGCACTGTTTGACAACTTTAAAAGTAATAAATGTAACATGTGATTTCAAACTGACTGGCTCCTTGATCTATTTCTGCCTGTGTCAGATTTAAGACAGACCTTCCTACACTATATATATATATATATATATATATATATATTTATGTGCTACATAAACATAGACATAGATATATAGGCATAGATATATTATATACTATATATACAACATCTTATATATTATATATACAATATATCCTATATATACATACTATGTATGCATATATACATTTATATATATATATATATATATCTCCTAAATTTATTATGGAGAATCAAATTATACATATCTGTTAGATATACATAATATATAGGTAATATCATGAATATATATCATCAGCTATAATAATAATCTTAAGAGGTATATATTGTTATCATTTTACAAATAGCCCTGCTTAAGCTAAGGGACCCGTAAGATCTTGTTTACAATTGTGCAACCATTTAGCTAATGTTTAAACTAAAGTTCATCTTAAATTAAAACTTAAGCTCGTAACCAAAAAAAATCACCTCTTAAAAATTATTTGGCATAGTTGGAGACCAGCCTGACCAACATGGAGAAACCCTGTCTCTACTAAAAACACAAAAATTAGCTGGGCGTGGTGGCACATGCCTGTAATCCCAGCTACTGGGGAAGCTGAAGCAGGAGAATCGCAGCCGGGCGCAGTGGCTCATGCCTGTAATCCCAGCACTTTGGGAGGCCGAGGCGGGCAGATCACGAGGTCAGGAGATCGAGACCAACCTGACTAACACGGTGAAACCCCGTCTCTACTAAAAATACAAAAAATCAGCCAGGTGTGGTGGTGGGTGCCTGTAGTCACAGCTACTTGGGAGACTGAGGCAGGAGAATGGTGTGAACCCAGGAGGCGGAGCTTGCAGTGAGCTGAGATCGCAGCACTGCACTCCAGCCTGGGTGACAGAGCGAGACTCCGTCTCAAAGAAAAAAAAAAAAAAAAAGAAGAATCGCTTGAACCCGGGAGGCGGAGGTTGCAGTGAGCCAAGACCGGGCCACTGCACTCCAGCCTGGGCAAGAAGAGTAAAACACCGCCTCAAAAAAAAAAAAAGTTATTTGACATCTTTTAGAATCCTGGATAAACTGTTTATGGATCTAGGAAACTAATTTAAATTCTGACTTTGTTATATTGCCTATATGTTTTGAGAACCATGAGAACTTAGACATACATTATGCAAAGAAAAAGAGAGGAAGGTTAAGACAACTGTGTAGGTTCTCAGTAATGAAAGTGCATAATGTTTATACAATAGTGAAAGATATAGTTTAATAGAACACACAGTTTTGGAGGATTGGGGACAGAGTTACTCCCGAGAAAGTGGCAGAGTTTAAGACTAGAAACTAAGGCTGGAACTTGACTATGAAAAATTTTGAATTCGACGCGAAGAACTTTGGACATTATATTTCCTTGTCAGTAGGAATAATAACCAAACAAATGACATTTGTTGAACATTATCCATCAAGTACTGTGTTAGGTTTTTTATATGTTATCTCTATTTTTTCAATAAACACTGAAATATAGCTTTAATTATTGGTGGGGAAACTGAGAATTAGAGGGATTCAGAACTTTTCTAGGAATTACAGAAGATCTGACAGGACAGCAATCACATCCTACTTTCAGAAAATGAGGTATCTTCATGGAAAATGAGACATTAGAGGTCAACCCTGAACAACTGGAAGTATTTGAACATAAGAATATGAGAAGACATAATTCTAGGCTAAGGGAACAACCTAAAAGAAACATAGACATAGAGAATTAATGAGGCACCTAAGAGTTTGGGGAGGACAGTAACCTAATATGTAACCCTGAAATTTCTTTGTAAGGTGAACTGCAAGATGAAAACTTGCTCAAATATATTCTTCTGAGTCTATATGCATTTCTTTTTTCCATCTTGCTGTATAGGCTTCATAGAGGAATTTAAACAAGATTTCCTATTACTGAATTGGATTAACATCTTTAAAAACAGCTGTATCTTTATCAAAAGACAACATAATATTAATTTCTCACTGGTCTTGGGAACTCATGTAAAATGTATAGGCTGATTTTTAATTTTCTCGAGTGCAGGTGGCATGCTGTGGTGGGGGTGGCAGTGTGGAAGGGGAGGAAATTTGTAGCAAAATCAGTTAAGTCACGCAGACCCATGCATGGAATGACCTTGCTTGTGTGCCAAACTTCAGGCAGAACGGTAATGAGAAGGTAGCAGAACTAATCAATTTGGAACAGGGCCCATTCCCTCCATCAGTCGGGCCACTTAGAATGCAGGCAGTGTCCTGAGATTTTCCCCAATCTTGCCCTTTGAACACAAACACAATGCCTTCTCTTACATAACTCAACAGAAAATGTAGATTTGCCATCTAAAATATAAGCAGAATTTGTGTCCATGCTAACGCAGCTATTTTTTTTTTTTTTTTTGTCATTACCCTTTTTCTTCTTCAACTTTCCCCCTTTTCAGACCTTATGGAAGATTTAGTGCATTGTGCTAAACCTAACTCCATGTCTTTGATGACCCCCAGAAACCAAGAGTACTTCAGGTATCCTTCTCATAGAATATTTGCATGTTTTCTCTGAAAAAGTATCAACTTTCCCTGATCCTCATTGTACTCATCTATGAAATGGAGACAAAACAGAGCTTTTATGCAGATTGAAAAAGAAAATGTATATAAGGTACCTATTAAGATTATTTATGAGTGTGTTTTAACCCTTCTCCCCAGATAGATCTGCATTTGAAACATAGTTTTAGCACTAACTTGCTAATCTTAGGCAAGTTTCCTCATCTTTTTGAGCCTTGATTTTTGCCCTTTATAAAATAACGATCATTATATCAATCTTGTGAAATTGCTGTATAGATTAAATGATATGATATTTATGACATAAATATTTAGTTGTTACTCACCTCTGTAATTTCTACAGCTCTTTTGAAAGTACATATGACTTGTACAATAGTGGGATATTAAGGAATGAAAACCAATTCAATAATTCCAAATTAAGGCCAAAGGCCTGAAGTCTGGAGTTTCTTTTAATATGTGCTGCTCCATCTCTCTTGTAGGTGAATATATATTTTCACTTTCATGAGTGCTTTTGTCATTGGTTCCATTGACAAAAGCCCAATAGAGCCCTCCTCCCTAGAATTTGCTTGAATCAGGGGCTTAAAGGATTCAGAATCTCTTATATTTAGATGGTATCAAGCATCTTCGGTTAATGGTTCTGTTCTGTCATGCCCAGACAGCTATAGCAAAGATTATAATTGTTCCCAAGATCAGCTAAGAAAATGCATTAGATTACAAATAGAGAAGCTCCTCTGCTTAAGGACTTTCTTTTTATTATGATTATTTTTCATTTCAACTATTTTTTTTTTTTTTTTTGGTTCAGGAGGTACACGTACAGGTTCATTCCATGGGTATATTGTGTGATGCTGAGGTTTGGGGTATGAATGATACTGTTATCTAGGCAGTGAGCATTGTACCCAACAGGTAGTTTTTCAACCCTCTCTCCTCTGGTAGTCCCCAATGTCTATTGTTCCCATTTTTATGGTGCTTAAGGACTCCCAAACTAGATAGGGAAAAAGTTTTGAATCAAAGTAAAAACAGATAATGTATTTGTCCACCACTAACGGTTGGAGTGTTAGCCTACACAGCATCAAATAAGGCTATGAACAAAAGAATGTTCTTTCAAACACAACACAGCTTTTGAGAGAGAAGTCTCAGTGCTTGTAAATTCTCTGGAAACACACAAACATACACATTTTCTGGATTTTCGTCAAGACAGTTGTGTCTCAATCATGCAGAAAATGACACTAACGTGCTTTTTTCATTTGCAGTTTTTTTCTGGACTACTTTCGAGCTAATGATAGAGAGGCTGATAAACTTTAAGAGACTGAGATGTCCCCTAAACACTAACACAGAAAGAAGTTATGGAACAAATGAATCATCATGTGTAGTTAATTAAGGAGAAATAAACCAGTACGCACTAAGTTTCTACCAGGCTCCTCTCTTTTGGGTTCTATGCCAGGTTCTTTTCACATTTATTCCATGTGATCATCACAACTCCATGAGGTCAGAATCTTTGTGGACATCTTATAAATGATGATTCAAATGCTTGAACCTTAGGTTAATGATGATTTGACTCATTGGGATTTGTTGTCCAAGCATAGAGATACAATGTGTACATCATTTTCTAAGGTTGATAAGTTCCGCTCATTAGAGGACCTTTTATTTAGCTGAATAACTGTGATGACTTTGGATGAGCACTATTGGAAACAAGAGATCATTCAGAGTTGAATTATGGCATCTAGTACAGGAAAGAATAATATAAAATGCCTAGAGAAAAATATTGGAGAGATGAGCTCTAAGTAAATTAGAATGATATTTTCTTGCATTCAAAAAGGAAAAAGAAAGCCCCAGTGATAACGAGTAGAAAAGAACTTCAGAGAAGTTGTATCTTTACATGGGGATATTTTTAAGTTGTCTGCTTAAAGATGTGTGATGTAATCTCATCCCTGTTCATTTTTCATACAATTTTTTTAGTTAAATATGTGCTGTTCACCAAATCTCTGGTACAAGTGAATCAGTTAAAGGATTTCAGGAGGGTCCAGTTTCTGAATACAATTGTGTTGCAAGATAAAACAGTATCTTCTGTGAAACATGCAGCCATGAAATAACACTTGTAGTTATGAAGCTAGGGTTCCAGGGGAAGACCTAACATGTGTGTGTCAGGGTTATATATTTTCAACATCTAGCACGTGGTTAAAAAATACAGCTCTCAAGATATATTGAGTTTAATTGAATTAAACAGATTTAAAAAACCTAGAAAGTGATGAAAATCAAGAATTCCATTCAAGAACAAAGAGGATGTTATTTAAACAACCATTAGAGTTCTTGCTTTCTTCATCAGTGAGATTAGATTTTTGGAAGATATGCTTTCAAAGACCCCCTTAGTTCTTACATCCTTTATTTCTATAGACATGTCAGTTTGTCTTCAGACGCAGGCAAGGTCATTAATCGCAGGGCCTTTTCCAATGTGGTAAGCAAGACACCAGAATTCCTTATTTTGCAGAAAGCACTATATTCTATATTTCCAGTATGAGTTGGAATTCTTATCTTGGCAGATCTGTTCATTGGTCCCAAAGACTATCCAAGGAGAAAGTGATATCTGTCAATGATTTCTTAATGCCAAATGTTATATCCCAGATATGGTTTGGCTGTGTCCCCAAGCAAATCTCATCTTGAATTGTAACTCTCACAATTTCCATGTGTCATGTGAGGAACCAGTAGGAGGTGATTAGATTATGGGGGCAGGTCTTTTCTGTGCTGTTCTCGTGATAGTGAATGAGTCTTACGAGATCTGATGGCCTTCCCTGCACAAGCTCTCTTCTCTTGTCTGTCACCTTGTGAGACATGCCTTTCACCTTCCACCATGATTCTGAGGCCTCCCTAGCCAAGTGGAACTGTATGCCCATTAAACCTCTTTTTTTTTTGTAAATTGCCCAATCTCGGGTATGTCTTTATCAGCAGCATGAAAATGGACTAATACAATCCCTCTCTTTTCCCCATAGTCAAATAAATATGCTGGTATCTTCAGCCATTCCTTTATTATTTTACTCAAACGTTTATTTTTTGAGTATGTATTATGTGCTAGGATCTAATCAAGACATAGAAGACTTAATAGTGAAGTGATAAAGACATTGTGCTCACAAAGCTTACAGTTCATGAGTATTGAAGACAAAAACAAAGTAAAGGAATGAATGAAAAAAAAATAGGCTCAGATCATTTTAAGTGCCCTCACACAGGGTGGTAAGATAGAGAGTGAGTAGAAGGGATTACTTCACATTGGGAGATCAGAGAAGGTCCCTCAAAGAGTTGACATCTGAGTTGAGACCTGAGTTTTGAGAAACTCATGAAAATACCTAGGTGATGGGTGTTCCTGGAGAGGGAACAGTAAGAGTAAATGCCTTAAAGTGAGACGTTATCCCTGACTCCTCTATTGACTTTCAAAACCCAGTACTGTCTACCACTTATTTTTGACCCTATTTATACTACTCTACTTTTTCCTTTCTGTTTCATAAAGGAATTGTCACTTTCTAACATGCTATACTCTTTATATTTCCATTTTCTTTATTGTTTCTCTCTCTCCCCTTTCTGGGATTTAAGTTCCAAGAAGATAGGAAGCTTGATCAGTTATGTTCACCGATCTATCTTCAACACCTAGGAGAGTTCCTAGACACACGTGTTGCTTAACTTTTTTTTTAGTGAATGCATGAAAAAATCAATAATAAGTGGTTAGTAATGGAAACTGTTTAGGAACAAAAAGAAAGGCAGTGTGACTGACACATTGTGAGTACAGGGAAATATGGTATGATAGGAAATAGAGATGGTAGAATAAATCATGCACAGCTGTGTAGACCATATCAAGGAGTCTGGTTCTTATTTTAAATGTGTTCATCCTCTACCAGAGAGTTTTGAGTGGGAGAATAAAGAGATTGAATTTACATTTTTAAAAGATCACTATGGGCACTGTATGAAGGATGAATTTTAAGGCATGAGGGGAGAAGCAGAGAGATCTTCTAGGGAGTGAAGACATCGTGATGCATAAGCCCATATCCTCAGGCTTAACGGATTGCTCACTGTGAGCTATTCTTCAAGTACAATTTGCATTAGCTTTACAGTAATGCATTATGGGGGATCTGCCAACTTCCCTTCTCCTGGCATGGTCAAAGGTAACAGCCTGGGGCTCAGTACAGAGCTAATCTGATAGAGCATCTTTTATGCCAAGAAAACATAAACATATGTCAGAGATGCAGCCTTGATTAAAAATACATGGACACTCTGTGGTTTTAAGCTGATAACATATGGCCTTTGATTGCCTGGCATTTTCAATTCATACAAGAACATTATGGTGCTGCATTATGGATTAGAAGACACATTTCACTATCTTAAACAGAGGGGCTTTATAAGTTTTTGTTCTTCCCATCCCCATCCTCCATCACTTCCCCCCACCATTTCTTGCTGGGAGATTGAACTGTTCAATTAAGTCCTGATTAACTGTACTTCCAATTTTGTCATGAGAGTGAGTTCCACAGCCTTGGCTGCTGCCTTTTTTAGTGAAAATGAGGGCTGGCTATGCAGTAAAGATGAAGTGTCCATGCCATCCAGCTCTGTTTGGTGGAAAGTTCTCTTCCATGTTTCCCTCACTATTCTCCACTGCAGCTTTAACATCCTCACTCCAATCAAGAAAAAGTGAATTAACCAAGTTTTATAAAAAGCATCTGCTATATGCATTTTCTGTTTTTGCTTAACACTCACCAAAATATTTATCTGCCTTTCTGATTATCAAAGGCAAGACAGGGTAGTGATCATGAATATGGACTCCATCATAAACACACACACACATATGCATACATAAACCACACACAAACATTGGAATTGTGGGTCTATCACAAACTAGCTCTGAGATCCTAGCTCAAGTAAATGGATACCTTTGATTCTCAATTCTCTTTTCAGTGATGGGAAGAATTATAGTTCCTTCTTGTTGAGAGGATACCAGGAGACCATGCCATGAGGTAATATTGTATAAAGGGCTTAGCACAGTGCCAGCGAAATAGTAACTCCATTAAAAGTTCTGGCTGCTATTATTCTTCAATATTTCTGTATGTGCTCTACACATATTAGGTGCTTAACTAACATTTTTTAAGTTAACCACTTAAGGGAAGTCATGATTCATTATTAGCTGTAGGTATGCCAATTCAATTCCTTCTCATCTGTGATTGCTTTCCATAACACACCAATCAAAAACAGTGTTTCTGTCCTTCTCTGGCTTATATTTCTGCATTCGTTGTGCACCCAAAATGGCATAGGAATTAACACCACCAGTGTGGAAGCCAAACTGCCTATGTTTGCATTTGGGCCAAAACACATTCTAGCTATGTGATGTGTTCTGAATGTTGGCATCCCCACAGCATTCATCTGTTGAAAATCAATTTCCAATGCAACAGTATTAAGAGGTGATGCCTCTGGGAGGTGATTAGGTCATGAGGGCTGTGCCCTCACGAATGGGATTTGTGCCCTAGTAAAAGAGGTTTTATAGAGCTTGTTTGTTCCCTGTGCTTGTGAGGCTACGTAGAAGGCACCGTCTCTAAAGCAGTCAGCCCTCATCAAACCCCAAATCTGCTGAAACCTTGATCTTGGACTTCCCCACTTCCCAAATGGTGATCCATACATTTCTATTGTTTATAAATTACCTCGTTTAAGGTAATATTTTATAGTAGCCCAAACAGAGATATTGTGAGACCTTGCAGAACTCCCATAACCTGCTTGAACTGTGATTTTTTCATCTAGAAAATGAAGGTAGGCCGGGCGCGGTGGCTCACGCCTGTAATCCCAGCACTTTGGGAGGCCGAGGCGGGTGGATCATGAGGTCAGGAGATCGAGACCATCCTGGCTAACAAGGTGAAACCCCGTCTCTACTAAAAATACAAAAAATTAGCCGGGCGCGGTGGCGGGCGCCTGTAGTCCCAGCTACTCGGGAGGCTGAGGCAGGAGAATGGCGTGAACCCGGGAAGCGGAGCTTGCAGTGAGCCAAGATTGCACCACTGCAGTCCGCAGTCTGGCCTGGGCGACAGAGCGAGACTCCGTCTCAAAAAAAAAAAAAAAAGAAAAGAAAATGAAGGTAATAGTGCCATTCACCATATATGCTTGCTGTGAGGATTAACTAGATAATAGCTGTAAAAGCCTTTGAACAGAAACTGGATTAAAGTAAGTGATCAATAAATATTCTCATTATTGTCATCATTATTATTTTCTATTTTTCCCTCTGATAGCTCCTATACAGACTTGAAGATGAGTATCATACTTTAAATGGGTTCTATTTCCTCTAAAAGAAGCTTGCACTTCTAATATATGTAATATTCTTGTGGTAACAGTAGGCATGTTCTGTTACCAGGGGCGACTGGGAAAAAGAGCGACCACCATGCTGGTTTGCTTATGTCTAAGTATTATCACTGAAAGTCCTACATTTCGGAAAATCCCTCCGTCCTGGGACAGCTACCCTGGTTAGTCATCTTGGCAGGCTGGAGGAGATTAGGGTTTATAAGTTGACCTATTTTACAAAGAAAAAATGGAACATGGGAAGAGGATGGCAATTGGACTCAAATGTGGAAGAGATAATAAATATTTGTTTATCAGGAAAGCAGAATGTGTGAGAGCTATGGTAATGGCAAACCATCTACTAGGTGAAACCTTGATTCTAGAAATGTAAGGAAGATAATCAGAGTAGTCCAAATAAAGGCAGAATAAGGGGATTAATGCTAATTGAACACTGCATCTTTACATATGTGAAATTAGGTCCATATGCTTCTAAACCAATCAAGATAAACCAATCAACAAGAAAATACTAATTGACCACATGTTATGTACCAGGCTTTTGCTGGGCTCTTCACATCATCTTAATAATTTTTCCTAACAATCCAGTGTACTTGTTAGAATACCAATATTACAGATCAGAATTTTTAAGGGTGAGACCCAAGCTTTAGTTTATTTTAAAGCTCCCCAAGTGATTCCAATATGTACCCTCGTAGGTTTCTAATTTAATTTATCTGAGGTGCAGCATGGGCACTGGGATTTTAAAAATATTCCCAGATGTAGTCAGTTGAATAATATTTCTCAAAAATTTATGTGCTCCTAGAACCCAGAAATTGACCTTATTTGGAAATAGGGTCTTTGCAGATGGAAACTTAAGATGTAGATGTTTTGCCTCGTAGATATTAATGTTAAGATAAGGTCATATTGAGTTAGAGTGGGTCCTAAATCCAATGACTGGTGTCTTTATAAGACAAACAGAGGACAAAGAAATACATACACAGGAAGGAGGCCATGTGACAATGGAGGCAGAGATTGGGGTGGTGTAGCTACCAGTAAAAAACAGCTAAGGATTGCCAGGAGCCACAAGAAGCTAGGGGCAAGGAAGGATTATTTTCTACAGTCTTTACAGAGAAAGCATAGCCCAGCTAACACTTCAAATTCAAATTTCTGGCCTTCCGAAGTGTGAAAGAATAGATTCCTGTTGTTTTAAGACAACCAGTTTGGGATAATTGGTTATGGCAACCATAGGAAACTAATAATATCAGGTAATTCTAATAACGACTGTTGTAGGTGGCTCACCTGAATCACATTAAGTTTGCCTTTTCCTCCTTCATCAGGGCATAAATTCCCTCTACAATGTCTCTCACAGCTGCCCTCAAACAGGGCACAACAGCTACTTTTAAAAGACCCCATATGACCCTTGTAGGGCAACATGGACACTTGCATTTCAGGAATCATGCACCCAATCCACATCTGCCCCTATAGATTTGTTCCCCTTTCTTTTAAAATACTCCCTCTATAAGTATTCCGAAGAGAAAATTTTCAAAGAGAAAAGCACAATCATTACAGTTGAGAAACTGCTCTTGAAACTTATTAGCTCGTGACTCATACTCATGAAAGGAGCTAATACCTTAATTTTATATTTCTCTGCTCAAATGCAGACCAAGGCGTAAACTGAAATGAAACTTTACACTAATGGCTTCTTAATTATACCCATCTAAAAGCAATTACCTGAGTTTTAGCAGATACAAAGTTAGGGTTGATGGGACCAGCAGATGAGAAATAAGATGAAAGGTCATCTGCAAAAAAAAAAAAAAAATCAGCGGAAAGGAGATAAAACACAATGAGGAGAAAAAAAAAATTGGAGATAAGTAAAGGTTGATAAATTCCTAACAATAGTTTTGCCTCTTTTCTGAAACAAGTTTGCCCCTCTGTCCCCTAACTCAGAAATGAGACAAAAGAAGAAATGTATTATTTCAAGGGAGAAACTGACTAGATAGGAGACCTTGATCTCTGAACTATGATTACTTCATGCCATATTTTGAACCAAAATTTACTAAATTGTAGAACCGGGATTTTAAGACTACAGTGATTGAATATACATTCTTAGTAATTTATTCATTAAAAAGGAGCACACATAACATGAGCCTAGTTTGCAAAATCATACGTAGCATTCATTGTGTGTTTATCATGTGTGTGCGTATGCACAGGCATAGAAGAATTTCACTAAAATTTTCAATTGTATTCTGAGTGGCAGATTTTGATGGTACTCTACTTTATGCCATATGCTCTTCTGTTTGAATTATTTACAATGAGCATACATTTATTGTGGATGAAAAGAAAATTCTAAAAATAACAATCAGATATAAGTAAGCCCAATGTAGTAGAAAGAAGTCAAGTTAAATTGATTTTATTTCTCTCCATTAAAAACTGAACTGACTCATCGATTTGAATCTAGGAGCAGGCTTGACACATTTCTCAACATAGAGCAGGGTCTCAAACTGAGGCCTGGGGGCCAGAATCCATTCCATAGGGCACATGTTTTATTTCAGTCTGCAAAGTCATCAAGCATTTTAAAATGTTAATGCTTTTGGATGTCCTCTTTAGTCTAATTTGTCCCCTTCCTTCCTTTTGTTCTATCTTCCTTCCTCCTTTCCATTTCTCTCTGTCTTTTACAAACACACTGAGTTCATTTCACTTACTTCTTTTCAGTTGCCTGACTCTTACTACTTGGGTTTGCAGCCCTCTACAGTAAGATGGAGTCTGACTGTCTATTCTCCTTTTGAGGAATAAAATCAATATAGGCATAAATGAAGCAGTCTTCAATAAGAGTGATAGGTCTTCCAGCCCTTCATAATTTTTCTACTTTTTCTCTCATACTTTAGTCATTTGAGCCATCTCTTCATTATTTTTATTTCAAAAGCTGACATTATACCTTCTCTGTAGCCAGAAACCAGTTATAGATGAAGCATCATGACCACGATACCAACTTCTAATTAATGATGCCCATTCAAAAACCTGCATTTTTTGCAATGTTTCTAGATTTAGAGTCAATAGTAAGAGTTGGTTTACAGTCAGATAAGATCCCATGTCCTATTGCAGCATTTAGATATTTTTCAACTTTGTGACAGAATTCAAAAGACACGAAAACTTTTCTATCAACACCAACAAAATTAAAAACAAAGCTAACATATGTTAGTTGCTTTCTATCCTCCCTATTCTATTAGTTGCTTTGTAAGTGATCATTAATTTTAATTTTCATAAGAATCCTCTGGAGCAAGTTTTATTCCTACTTTACAGATGAGGACATTGACACTTATCGAAATAAATAAAATTCTGACAACAGCACATCTTTAAGTGCTAGCAAAAAAAAAATCAACAACCTAAGTTAGTCTGATACCAAGGCATGAACAATTTCCCTAGGTAGACTCCTGAAACAGATCTTTGGAAAGTGGTGTGCTGGAGCTGGCTGGCCTTGGCTTACAAAATCTGATTATGTGCATCCATTCCCCAGTCCTCAGTTCAGTGATGTCATGTTGGTAGCTTGAAATTAGCCACGATGGGAGTATTTACAGCCTGGAAATTGGCACATGCTAAAAATCAGATTTTGCGGGGGAGAGGACTTGTCAAACACTTACTGGCATACCACTGCTTCTAAACTAGAATAAAGTTCCTTTCATTCACTGAGTTTTTTGCTAAGGCTCTACTGTTTGTCAGGCATATGATTGACACCAGAGAGATAAATGGTACTAAGATGACTCCCGATTTCAGAAATGCACAGGTTAGTAAAATTTGACATCAAAGAAAACCAAAGATCATGATATCAAACAAGCATCAAAGCAAGAAGTTAAAAGTAACCTCACTATGCCATAAAGAAAATAAGGATTAGAGATTTTTTAAAGTAAATTACAGATCGTAAGTAAAACTCTAATAAGAATTGTTAAGATGAATTCTACTTATTTACCTCTTTAACTTTCAAATTATATCATATCCAGTTCAAATTGACTGAAGCCATAAGGCTTTAGTCTTTTGTATTAAGACTTTTTTATTGCTGCTTTTTTGACTGTTTTTGTTGTTGTTTCTTAGTATGTAACATGTAGAAATATACACTAACTTTTTTCTTTGAAATGTTTTTTCTCTCTAAATAGATCTATTCTTTTATTTTCATCTTCTCTTTTAGTTATAAGAGTGAATATCATGTCCTCAGGAAGGAATTTTATGATCTTCCACATTAAGACATTCCCATAGTCACCTATTCTCATTTTGCTGTGTTATGGATAGAATTATATTACTTTCCCATCCTCTACCCCAAAATATGTTGAAGTTGGAACCTTCAGGGCCTCCAAATATGATCTTATTTGGAAATAATATTTTTGAAGATGTAATTAGTTAAGTTAAAATGAGCTCATTAGAGTGGGCCCTAATTCAATATGATGTTTTCTTTTTAAAGGGGAAGTTGGACCCAAAGACACATACACACAGAGGGAAGACAATGTGAAGACAAAGAGAAGACTGTCATGAAGGCAAAAACTGTGGTGATGAATTTACAAGCCAAGGAGTGCCGAAGATTGCCAGCAAACCACCAGCATCTAGGAGAGAGGCACGAAATAGATTCTCCCTCACAGCGCTCAGAAGGAAGCAAGTCTCCTGACACCTTGAACTCGGCCTTCTATCCTTCAGAACTGTGAGGCAATAAATGCCTGTTGTTTAAGATACCTACTTGGGGGTCCTTAGTTATGGCAGCCCTAGTAAACGCACATACTCTGTTTTAATTTTATCTTTCTGTCTACTTTCTTGTTTACTTACAGTCATGTGTCACTTAACAACCTGGATATGTCCTGAGAAATGCATCACTAGACAATTTTGTCATTGTAGGAACATCATAGAGCTTACTTTCACAAACCAACATGGTACGGCCTACTACACACTTAGGCTATATGGTACAGCCTATTGTTCCCTAGGCCACTAACCTGTACAGCATGTTATGATACTGAATACCGTAGGCAGTTGTAACACAATGATATTTGTATATCTAAACATCTGTAAACATAGAAAGAATGCTGTAGAAATATGGCATAAAGGATAAAAAATGATACAGTATATGGGACATTTATCACAAATGGAACCTGCAGGACTGGGAGTTGCTCTGCAAGAATAAATTATTAAGTTCTGAGTGAATATGAAGGCCTAGGACATTGCTGTACACTACTGCAGACTTTATACATGCTGTTCACTTAGGTTGCACTAAGTTTATTTAAAAATTAAGTAATTGCACTATAATGTGGGTATGGCTACACACTAGGCCAGAGGAATTTTTTTTAGCTCCATTATAGTCCTATGGGACCACCATTGTGTAGTTGACTGAAACGTTGTTATGCTGCTCATGACGATTTATTTTACTCTCTCCTCACCTTGGGTCGGGGGGACTTCTTGTTTAATGCCACACCTGGTCCTTGATCATTGTCTGCCACATGATTAATATTCAGAAAATGTTCTTGGAACCAATAAAAGGGAGTTTATTGATATAGCTTAAGGAAAAGCTAGAAATATATTTTTAGATTTGTAGGTAAGTTTTGATGAAGCAACTTGATGATGTCACCAAAATCTACTCTCTTTCTCTCTCTCTCTCTCTCTCTCTCTCTCTCTCCCTCTCAGTCTCCTGGATAGTGATATCAGCTTTGTCCTATGTCTGGCTTCTCTAGTGGAAACCAGATTGCTCCAACTGCTCCAGATTTTATTAGTCAGGATTTTTAGTTATAAGCAAAAGTGGCTAACTCTAAAATAAATCTTCTAAAATTAGAAAAGATTTCACACGATTTTTGGGGGAACCAAATACAATAGATAGTTGCTCCCTTGGGCTGCTTGCGTCCATGTTCAAATTCAGCAGAAGAGAAAACATGGACTTCTCTGCTAACACAAATGAAGATCTGGACCTCATTCTCACTTGCCTTCATTGGCTAGAATGAGGATGTCATGGGTTCATCCTGGGTCCAGTGACCATATTACTGTGGCCAGGCGCAAGGGGTAGAGCCTGAAGATGGGGTCATTGCCACCAAACTCAAAGACTTACACAGGCTAACTGGGGAGTTTCAGCCTGAAGACAAAACCGAAAATACTCTCCACATTTTCCAAATATAGAAAGACATTTAAAATGTTTTGAGCCACCAGCCACCACCAGCATTACATGCACCAAACAAACACTTACCAAGTCTGAACTGGTGTATTTTCTCTGCTTTTCTTCCAAGTTCTACTCTTCCAGATTAACTAACTACTTTGTTTACCCTGCAGAACCCAAATTCAAATTAAACTGACACTTGCATTACTTACATTCCTTTTTCAAAGTGTGGTGACTCAATAAATGGATTTGAATGGTTTGAAAAGATTTTCCACCTCTCAAAAGCACCCAACTGACCCTTTAAAGATACAAACCTCTGTTCAAAATGGATAGATACCTGAATGTGGGTCTTAATATATAAACCAACCATTAAACATGGTTCTATCTACAATTCAGAAGAGAGAAGACAGAACATTTCTCAATTTATTTTTTCTTATTGTTGTGGAGGGAGGATTATTCCCTTCACCAATTGGTTTCATGTTTTTAAGTTTTCTTGATTGATGCTCTGGGTAAAAGCTTCAAATGAACAAAATTTCTGCTAAAAGCTGTACTTATGTGATTCTCTCAAACCACTAGCATTTAAAGGCTAGAAAGCACTGGTTTCTGGGGTATAGAATAAAAGGATTTAAGAACACAATTAGTAACTTGTTCCAGCAATTAGAGCTGAGTTTAATTACAAACTAACCTCTTGATAGACCATTTGACAGTCAGTGTGAAGTGAGAAAGAGATCAGAAAACTGCTAGAAGCAGCAGCAAAAAAACTTTCCCACATATTTATTTTTGCTCACATTATCTCCAGGCCTGGTGTTGCTTTTATGAGAGAAAGGTAACAGATTTTGTTCTTTAAAATGTGTTTCTTTTTATTTTTTAAAAAAACTTGGCAACAGTGTTTTATTTTTGCATGCTTTCTCTTCCACCAATCCAAGAGCCAAGTCAGGACCCTGGATTTACTGCTCATCTCACACTAGTGGTACCCAATGTGTCCCCTCTCCATCCCCAGAGACATGTCTCCTTAGTGGGGAAGAGGGCAACAAGCCTACTCAGAGCTTAAGGTATTAAAGTTTAATGGGGCTTAGAGATTATCTGGCCCAACTGAGACATATTACAGATGTGCACTAATGAGTTCTGGAGAGGATGCACCCGGCTCAAGATCATGGGGCAGAGCTTGGGCTAAGTCCTCAACACATGATTCTATAGGCTAAGTGGGGCAAGGGCCACTCTTTGGAACAAAGATAGGGTTTATAGTTCCTGCGGCTGCTTTGGAGCTATTTATTTTCTTCCCGTTAGCATTTCCCAAAATGGGGCCCTCAAAAAGATAAATAGGAGGTCAATTGTACAACGGTGCACTTTTTTTTTCCCTTAAGTACCAGGACTCAGATCCATTTACTGAGCATGTTGCATTGCTACAGCTCTATGCAGAGCCGTGCTGGCTCTGTGCACACAGCCAGTTACATCAGAGGCAGAACCGAGCTAAGTGGGAGACAGCATGTGGTTAGAAATTAGGAGAATTGACATGATGTCCTATTCTGCTATTTTTTAGCCATAAGCAAGCCCTGTCACCTCACTTATATCATTTCCCTTGACTTCTGAATGGGAAAAAAATAATTTCTTACTCAACATTGCATGTGTTAAGCAAATATTACTGGGCACATACAATGTGCTAGATACTGTACTAGATTCTAGAAATATGATACAAATGAAACAAAGGCCCTGAACTCACAGAGCTTATCTTACAACCTGAGAAGGCCTCTGACAAGGTGACTGTTTCAGTAGAAGGATAAAGAAAGTAAGGGAATGTGTCATGTGACAAGTCAAAAGAGAAGCATTCAAAGCTGAGGGATTAGATTGTGCTAAGTTCCTGATGCTGGACACAGCAGGCATGACTGATGCAGAGCAAGAAATCCATAATTTTACATGAATCAAAGGCTGAGTGTATAAAATAAAAATGAAAAGTTTGTAAAAATCTATGCTAATAATATACAGTATAATTCTTATTAATGAAATCTATGTTCTGTTAAGATTATATACAAATGAGTCGTAGTTTTCTGATTTTTCTAATTCTCTGAAATGAATGCATAATACTTATATTATTTATTTATTTATTTTTGAGAATGAGTCTTGCTCTTTCACCAGGCTGGAGTACAGTGGCGCGATCTCAGCTCATTGCAACCTCTGCCTCCCAGGTTCAAGCAATTCTCCTGCCTCAGCCTCCCGAGTAACTGGGACTACAGGCACCCACCACCACGCCCGGCTAATTTTTGTATTTTTAGTAGAGATCGGGTTTCACCTGATCTACAGGATAGTCTGTATCTTTTGACTGTGTGATTAGCCTGCCTTGGCCTCCCAAAGTGCTGGGATTACAGTTGTAGCCACTGCGCCCGGCCTATATAATTTATTTCTTTAAGCAGTTGTTAAAATTGCAAAATATGAAACCAGTAAACACTGTGCTGGTTTGAACACTTTGAACACCAGCACTTTGGGATTTCAGGTGGAGGTGAGAGGATCGCTTAAGGTTCAAGACCAGTCTGGGAGATATACTGAGACCTCACCTGTACAAAAAATTAAAAAAAAAAATTCTCCAAGCATGTTGGCATGTGCCTGTAGTCTGAGCTACTTGGGAGAGTGAGGTGGGAGGATTGCCTGAGCCCAGGAGAGAGGATCACTTGAGCCCAGGAGGCTTCAGTGAGCCGAGATGGTGCCACCACACTCTACCCTGGCTAACAGGGCAAGACTCTTCCTCGAAACAAAGAAACAACAAACATTGGCCCCTAGTGTACTAATTTTATGTTTGGCAGAATCTTAGTTCCCTGTTCTCTTTGGCTAATTTACTGTTTATAGGATGGTTTAGCCTAATCTTCCCAGTGCTTGGGTTACTTTTAGCTAGGAGATTCTTTGAGCAAAGAAAGAGTTGGGAAGATCCTCCCTTACCTGCCCCCATCTCCTTTCCTAACTCTTAGTAGTTTCTGCCAAGGTTCCTGAGTTCCCAAAGGTTCTCCTGGGTCACACAGCCTGAAAAGATTTCTTGGGCTAAGCCTAGAGGCATTAGCTTGGTACATAGGCAGCAGAAAGCTGCACAGCTTATTTCCCTTTATTGTAATGACATTGTGATGGAATTACATATACAACTTCCACCAAATATTGTTTTTTGTTGTTGTTGTTGTTGACAGGGTCCTCCTCTGTTGCCTAGGTTGAGGGGCAATGGTGTGATCCCAGCTCACTGCAGACTTGACATCTCAGACCCAAGAAGTCCTCCCATCTCAGCCTCCCAAGTAGCTGGGACTACAGGTGTGCATTACCACATGCAGCTAATTTTTTAAATGTTCTGTAGAGAGAGAGAGAGTCTAGCTATGATGGCCAGGCTGGTCTCAAACTCTGGGTTCAAGTGATCCTCCTACCTCAGCCTCCCAAAGTGCTGGGATTACAAGTGTGAGCCACTACTCAGGACTGCTTGCTTGTTTTAATCTACTGCACATTATGTACTCTTTTTATTTTATTTTGTTACGTTTATATATCATCTGGTGGACACAAAATATCAAGATTTAGCTGCTACCCTCAATAAGTTTACAAGTAAATAAAATGATGCCTTATTAGCAGTAATGATATTATTTGCATTAATTACCATATTGATAATTTATAATCAAAGATGTCAAACATTTATTGAGAAATCAGGTTCCCTTTACATTCTTTAACTGAATTATCAAAGTAACTCCATGATGGGCATTGTAATGCTTAGATCACAGATGAGAATAATGAGGAAGAAACAGGGTAAGTAACTTGTCCAAAGTCACACACCTTCTAAGTGTAAATTTTCATAAATAAGAAAGTGTATTCTGGAACAGTTAAGTGACTTAAACACAAATTTACCCAGCAACAAGTGATAGACCCAGGATTCAAACACCAAAATCATGGCTTTAATTCAAGGGCGCACACACACACACACATACACACAAGCCTGGGGAAAAATGTGCAAAGAAAAATATAAATTAGAAAATTATGACTCAAGATATATAACGGAATAGTAATAAATTTTCCAGGTAGCTGAGAGATTATGGGAAGCACTTGGAACTCCAGAGATCTGAGATCTAATCAAGCCCCTGTCACTACGACTGTAACTACTTTCTTAAGCAGAAGGTTTGGGACATAACGGTACCTTATCTTAGCACCTCAGAGTCATGGTTATGAAAACTGACAATTGCTCTTGCTGTGATGCAGTGAAAACCTCAGGATCCACCAGTTTGTAGAAAGGTGTATATTCCTGTATTGAGTGGACTAAAATTTACCTGTTTTCTATGTTTTTTGCCTATTGGTTTTGTTTGCCTCAGTGTCCATCCTAGTTGCCAAATATTCTATAGTCACTTTTCATCTGTCAGAGCCAGGAGGGAAAGGAGACATTCCCCAGAGAACCTGAGGAAAAACTCTGTGTGTGTGTGTGTGTGTGTGTGTGTGTGCGTGCGTGTGTGTGTGTCAGAGAGAGAGAGATAGTTTGAAAAAAAGGATAAAAAATTGCCATTTTTATGATTTGTTGTCTCTTTGTTAAATTTTTTTGTTCCTTTAATTTTTTCCTGTGAAAGTATTTACTTTGACATTTGAAGTGCTATTAACCAAGATTATGAAATTTTTATGTCTATCCAAAGGGTAATATGGGTTTCAGGAAGACTGAGAAATATTGTTCCAAGATGGCATCCTTGTTTTTGTGCTAAATGTGTGGCTTGACTTTGTTGTGTGCTTCTCCCCGTCCTCTTGGTTCTCAGGAAATTGTGTGACCAGGAATGGGCCACAAGAACACCATTAAAAACAAGCTGCTTACGATATCAAAAATTCCTTCAGGGTTGAGAGTGGTGGCTCATACCTGTAATCCCAGCACTTTGGGAGGCTGAGGTGGGAGAATCACTTTAGTCCAGGAATTTGAGACCGGTCTGGGAAACATAGTAAGACCTTATCTCTACAAAACATTAATTTTTTTTTTAATTAGCCAGGCACAGTGGTGCACACCTGTAGTCACACACACACACACACGCGCACACACACACAGCTTCCTAGGAGTAGCTGAGGGACGATGGCTTGAGCCCAGGAGGTCGAGGCTGCAGTGAGCCTTGATTGCTCCACTGCACTCCAGCCTAGACAACAACACCCTATATCAAACAAACACAGACAGAAATCCTTCAGGTCTATTTGTGTTTATGTCTTGGTTCTTGACTGTTACTAAAGGTACTGAACCTTGGATTGAGTAAGGTTAACAATAGTAGAAGCCATAACAATCCCTTTAATATATGCTATTGCTAGGTTTCTGTTATCCAGGTGATCGTACTTGATCCTCATGGAAAACCTGGTAAAATACAACACACCTGATTTATCTTTCTACATTTGGTCTATTACTCCTTTGGGCAGATGTTTTTATTCACAAACTGATTTAAGGGACAGTTGTCAGGTCGATTGAAGAGTTGGCTCAACACCCATATGGTTTTTTATCATCTATGTAAATGCATTATGTAGGCTACTGTGCATTTAGATATGCTGTTTCCACAATCTTCTGGGATGCATTGCAGGGATTTTCTTTCACCTATGTAAAGGGTAAATGTACACATTTATCCTAAGTCTATCTCCTCACAACATTTTTATTCATTTTCAAGTGGGGAATGGACTAGGAATGGGGAGTATTATAGAATATATCCTACTTTATTTTCTAGTAGAGCTTATATTATTCCTTTTTTAAAAAAAAATGCCCTGTGATCATCACATTTTTTGCTACAGTGTGGAAATGAATATCTTTTCTCCTAAATCTATAGTACCTCATAAGGTTCATTTGTAAATATGCATTGGGTCATTGGGAATGACACACATGCCACTTCCTTTAGTAGATATAAAGTTCTTTGAGGGCAGGGAGCATTTACTTCCCCAACTTCTCTTGAGGGCAGATCATTTACTTCTCTTGCTTATTCCTTTATCCCAAGCCATGTACACCAATGGGCTCAAAGTTGGTTCTCTCATGATGACATATAGTCACTTTATTCACATCTTGCATTGTCATGCTAACCTGACTTTTATCCTCCCCTTGCTCTTCTCAGACTGCAGAGGCCATATTTGTTTCCCGTGTCAGGGAGGGATCTGGTGAATGAAATTAACATTACAAATCAGCTAAGCCTAGTGAACCATGCCAGATGCTTGCAGTTCTGCTATTTCATGGGGCAAGTGGAGTAGGGAGATTGAAATAGGCTCCAGAGCTTCAGTACATAGGTTTGAATGTTAATACCACTTATTAGCTCTGTGGTCTTGTCAAATTATTTAACCTGTTTGTACCTAACTCTTCCCATTTATAAAATAAGGGCACTAATTATGCCTACTTCATTAATAGTTAAGAGTATTAAAATAAATAAACCACATAAATTGCTTAGAATTCGTGCTGGGCATATAAAAAAGACTCAATAAGTATTAGCTCACGTAATTTTGTCCTAATACAACATTGCAAGATAAATGTTTACATATTAATACTGTTTACAAATGATAAAACTTAACACACATTAAGAAATGTAGTTAATAACTGATAGAAAAACACCATATGAACTCATTTCTAGAGGATGATAATAATAATATGAAAGAATTGAGAATAGCCATACAATTTAGTGTGTTTCATATGTGCCTTGCGGTGTGCTAAAAGCTTTGTAGACACCATCTCATTTAAACTGCAATAACACAGAGGCAGTTTCTATTACTGTCCAAATTTTACAAACGGTGATCTCTTGCCTTGTAAAGGTGACAATAAGTGTCCTAGACAAAACAGCCAGTTAGTGGCAGAGCCAGGTCTGTCTGATCCCAAAGCTCATATACTTTGCTTCAACTCTACCAAGGTGCCTGCCAAAATGGAAAGCCACTCTTTGCTCTAAAAGGTAAAGGTTCAAATAGTAGAGAGTGTGCATGTGTGTGTTGACAGGGAGTGGGGCGTGATGAATGAAGAGTGAGAGCTGGACGCTGGTAAAAGAATGAATATAAACAGCATTTTGAAAGCCATTTAGAAGCAAGATTACAGAATCTCTTTGAAGATTTTCCTAGAGGACACGTTAAAAAGATGGCTTGCACGCAACTTAACGAGAGGTTAGCTGAAACACACTGGGCTCTGTGTAGGCGAGATGCGCACCGAAAATTAAATCCACGTTGGAAATGTTAATAAATGCATACACATGTTCTTGTTTGTAATGTGCTCCTTGTTTTTCTCATTTTATTCATGCTAGAACAACGTGAGGACATCTCTGTTGGGTCTCCTGGGACCTGCCTTCCCCCCTCTGGTTGTTTTGCTTTCTCTCTCTGTCTCTCCCCATCCCACACCCATACCCCCTGAATGTGATTTCACAGACTGAGACATCCAGGACCCAAGAGGGTGTCTATGCAGCAGGAATGAAGAATGTGAGAGCAGATTCTTCGGTCTTCTAGACGACACATCACATGGTAGTCACAGTGATGTTAAAACCAACAATATCACATTACTCTCTCGATTAAAGATGTCTAAGGGTTTCCTGTGGCTTATACAACAAAGTTCAAAGGCTTCTGCAAGACGTTTAAGGCCTGAGGGAGTTGAACACACTCCAGCCCTACCTGGCTGTCCGGACCGTTCATGCCCTCTACATTTTCCCTGGCAGTCCCTTTCTACGCCAATCTTCTTCAGTCATATCTAATTCAAATTGTGGTCTTCTTTATCAAGCCTTCCATGCAGTTTCCCAGGGAAAGTCAGTGGCTCTGGGTTCTTGGTTTCTCTTGTACTTCATGTTCACCTTTTATGAGCCATTAATGTTAGTATTAATAACTAGCTTTCATTTATTAAATGCTTAACATGTAAGGATTGTTCCTAAACATGGTATATAACTTTTCTCATTTAGTTTACCTAATAAATGTGTTAGATACATTTAGCACATGCTTAAGGTCCTGTCACCAAGGGTGGCAGAGCCAGGATGAGTGCTCTAATTCCTTTGACTTCAACATCTGTACCATTAATAATTACCTTTGGCCAGTATTTTACAACAGTGAACAGTGATTACTCACATGTGAGACTCACTTTACCACTAGTCCTTAAAATACTTGAAAGTGGCACTGATTTCTTCATTTTCTGGAGGCAGCAGGGTGGAGTTAGTGAGAAGAACATATTTAATATTTTAGAGTTACTCCCACCTGGTTGAAACTGTAGCTCCTTTATTAGCTTTGTGAGTTTAAACAAGTTACTGAATCTTTGAAAATCAATCTCTACCTCTGTCTCTGAGAAATAGCAGTACCAATTATATAGAGCTGTGAAAAAGAGAGGTCACATTTTCATAATACTGATATTATTGCAGCCACTCACTATAAGCTAGTTCCTTTTTTCTTTTTTTTCATGTACCTGCCCAATATCCTGGCCTAGAGTAGACACCCAGTAAAGAATACAGCTAACCAGGGAGGTGAAAGATCTCTACAATAAAAATTACAAAACACTGCTCAAAGAAATGAGAGAAGATACCAACAAATGGAAAAACATCCCATGCTCATGGAAAGACTCAATATCATTAAAATGCCATACTGCCCAAAGCAATTTATAGGTACAATGCTATACCTATCAAACTACCAATGACATTCTTCACAGAACTAGAAAAAAATATTTTAAAATCAATATGGAACCAAAATCCCCAAATAAGGAAGGCAATCTTAAGCAAAAAGAATTAAGCCGAAGACATCTCGTCACCCAACTTCAAACTACACTACAGGGCTACAGAATTCAAAACAGCATGGTACTGGCACAAAAACAGGCACGTAGACCAATAGAACAGAATAGAGAGCCCAGAAACAAGGCAATACACCTACAATCATATGATCTTTGACAAAGCTTACAAAAACATGTAATGGTAAAAGACTTCCTATTCAATAAATGGTGCTGGGATAACTGGCTAGCCATATGCAAAAGATTGAAGCTGGATCTCTTACTTATGCCATATACAAAAATCAACTCAAGATGAGTTAAAGCCTTAAATGTAAAACTCAAAACTATAAACAAACAACCTAGAAGACAACCTAGACTATACAATCCTGGACATAGGAACAGGCAAAGATTTCATGACAAAGACATCAAAAGCAATCACAACAAAAGCAAAAATTGACAAATGCAATCTAGTTAAACTGAAGAGCCTCTGCACAGCAAAAGAAACTATCAACAGAGTAAACAGACAAGCTACAGAATGGGAGAAAGTTTTTGCAAACTAAGCATCTGACAAAGACCTAATATTCAGCATCTATAAGGAACTTAAACAAATTTGCAAGAGAAAAATAAACAGCCCCATTAAAAAGTGGGCAAAGAACATGAACAGACATTTTTCAAAAGAAGACATACATACAGCCAACAAGCATATGAAAAAAGCTCAACATCACTGACCATTAGGAAAATGCAAATCAAAACCACAATGAGATACCATCACATATCAGACAGGATAGCCATTATTATAAAGTAAAAAAACAACAGATGCTAGTGATGTTGCAGAGAAAAAGGAACACATACACTTTTGATGGGAGTGTAAATTAGTTCAGCCATTGTGGAAGACAGTGTGGTGATTCCTCAAATTGCTAAAAGCAGAACTTCCATTTGACCCAGCAATTCCATTACTGGGCATATCATCATAGGAATATAAATCATTCTACCATAAAGACACATGCATGCAAATGTTCATTGTAACACTATCTACAAGAAGAAAGACATGGAATCAACCTAAATGCCCATCAATGACAGATTGGATCAAGAAAATGTGGTACATATACACCATGGAATACTATGTAGCCATTAAAAAATGAGATTATGTCTTTTGATGGAACATGGATGGAGCTGAAGGCTATTACCCTTAGAAAACAAATGCAGGAAAGAAAAACAAATACTGCATGTTCTCACTTAAAAGTGGGAACTAAATAATGAGAATACATGGACATAAAAAAGGGAATGACAGACACCAGGCTCTAATTCAGGGTGGATGGTGGGAAGAGGGAGAGGAGCAGAAAAAAATAACTATTGGGCACTAGGCTTAATACCTGGGTGATGAAATAATCTGTACATGAAACCCCCATGTCATGAGCTTACTTATATAACAAACCTTCATATGTACCCTCAAATCTAAAATAAAAGTTAAAAAAATTTTGGGAAAAAGGGGGGTAGGGGAGAAAGTTAATTTTATTCTTAAAACTATGTCAAAAGTAAAATACTGCCACTGCTCTGATTCATCAACTGAATTATCTAAAAGCCCTGGCAAAGATTTGTCATTCAAGTAAGGGAGTAGAGAGGAATAGGAGATCCAAATGTTTTCAATAGGAAATATAAGAAGAGCTTAGACAGATGGGAAGGAAGGGAGGCAGAACATTCCTTAGGGAGAGTAGAAAGAAGTTAAACTAATTCCCAGAAAGCCATTCTTAGTGTTCCACACCACAATCTTGGTCCAAAAGACACTAGAGTGAAGATTTGCGTGTTGGTTCATCGTTGTGCAATGGCATTATCACTATGCAAAAGGTAAAGAGGAAGAGGGAAGTTATGAACTAGATTTCTGGAGCTTCAGTGAGATAGAGAGGAAAGTAAAATCTTTTAGTCCTGGATGTTAATCTTCACTCTGCCACTTGCCAGCTTCATGAATTTTTTTTCCTCCAGATAACGGGAGAAATAATACCTGCCTTGTCAGGCTCAAACGTCACACACACACACACACACACACACACACACACACCCTGTACCAAACACCTCACAAATCTTAAAGTATAAGGCTTAAATACAATGGGCACTCAATAGATATTTATTTCATTTTGCTTGTTTTGGTTTAGTTTTCCCACATACCTCACCACCTTTTTATATTTTCTTTTTAATCTCTTTCTTTCTTTCCTTCTTTCTTTCTTTCTCTCTCTCTCTCTCTCTCTGTGTCTCTCTCTCTCTTTCTTTCTTTCTGTCTTTCTTTCTTTCTTTCGAGACAGGGTCTTTCTCTGTCGTCCAGGCTGGAGTACAGTGATGTAATCATGGCTCACTGCAGCCTTGACCTCCCAGGGCTCTAGCTATCCTTCCACCTCAGCCTCCTGAGTAGCAGGGACTACAGGTGCATGCCACCACACCCAGATAATTTTTGTATTTTTTGTAGAGACAAGGTTTCACCATGTTGCCCAGGCTGGTCTCGAAATCGTGGGCTCAAGTAATCCTCCCGCCTTGGCCACTTAAAGTGTTAGAATTGCAGGTGTAAACCACTATACCTGGCCCACTTCCTTTCTTTAGAGAAAACTAAATGCACTAGTTTAGAGAATATAAATGCACTCGTTTAGAGAAATAACTAAATGCACTTGTTGTTCTATTTGAACTTATCCAGTTACCAACATACTCTCTGCCATCCTGCCCTCTCATGACACTTTCAGGAGTTGTGGACAACTTCAAGTCACCACTGTCCTACTCAAGGACAAAATACCCAAGTCTAGCTTCTCTTCCATTCCTGTTTCTTTTTTTTGGGTGTCAGCCAAGCACGGTACCACTCATAGCAGAGAACCAGTGAGGAAAAACAAAGAAACAGATACATCAGCAGCGTGACATATGCACTGGTTAACATTTATCTGCCCATTTTTAAATTCACCTATCATACCTACTCCATGAAAGGCCACACTGGGCCTTGTGGAGGAACATGATTCAAGTAAGATGTTTCTTATTTTTAAGCAGAAACAAGAAACAAGCTGTTTATACCCAGCTTGAAACCTTTCTCAGTAAACCTTTTCAATAAAATAAATGTCAGTTGTTGGCACAGTTTTTGGCACATAGTAACATTTAATAAATCAAAGTTGAAATAATGGGGTGTTGATAATAATTACAATAGAAGTAGTGGTGCTAGGATGATGATGATAATAATTACGGCCGGGCCCGGTGGCTCATGCCTGTAATCCCAGCACTTTGGGAGGCCAAGGTGGGCAGATCATGAGGTTGGGAGTGCGAGACAAGCCTGGCCAATCTGGCGAAACCCCGTCTCTAATAAAAATATAAAAATTAGCTGGACATGGTGGCACGTGCCTGTAGTTCCAGCTATTCAGGAGGCTGAGGCAGAAGAATTGCTTGAAACTGGCAGGCGGAGGTTGCAGTGAGCCGAGACCGCACCACTGCACTCCAGCCTGGGTGACAGAGCAAGACTCCATCTCAAATAATAATAATAATAATAATAATAATAACAACAACAACAACAACAACAATAGAAGTAGTGGTGCTAGTGATAATATAGATTGTCATTATGATTCTCCCCCATGTCTGTTGCTAATTTTGCTAGGCCTTCTTTTCTGGAAGTTTCAATGAGACAAGTAGCCTACTACTTAAAAGTATCACAGTAGATTGGAAAAGGAGTTACCATACATGACAGTCCTTCATTAAAAAAACAGAAGCCATCTGATTGGAGCCTCTTCACTTTATATTCACAAATCCACAAATCCACCTGCTTCTTTACCCATATTCTTCTATCAAAAGTCAGTCCCTGTATATGAACTTTAGATCCTAACAATTTTCATTTTTTCAAGGGCTTTTCCTTTACACATATTCCTTCTTTCCTCTCTTTTGCATCATCAGTCTCTCCCTTTCTGCTGAATCAGTCTCATGAGCATACATAACATATACTATTGCCCATTAAATCAAAGAAACTTTATTCTGACCTCATTTTTCCCTCTAGTTATCTTCACGTTTTCCCCCTCCTCAACATTGTTAACTTGATAGTTCAACTTCCTCATCTTTCATTTGTTCTTCAACTTGCTCCATTTCGATTTGTATCACCACCATGCTAGAATATATGTCATCAAAATCACCAATAACCTGATGTATGTTGTTCTTACCATCCTCAGGATCTTTTAACACAATCAATGACTCTCTCTGCTTTAGACACACTCTGTGTCTTCCATTTCCATAAACATCTCAAGGTTAAAGTGGATAAAACTGAACTTAACCGAATGTTTGGGGGAAACTGAGTAAGTTTTTCCCAAAATTGTTTTGTTTGTTTTTCCCCTCAGCCATCCTCTTTTGGAAAAATGAGTTCAGTACAGATCTGGGTTCTTAAGCCAAAAAAATAAAATCTCCTGTGATTCTAATTATCTTCTGTGTCTCTTTCCCCCTCTCTATCTCTGTCTTTCTGTTTTTTTTCTCCCTCTCTCATCACTAATAACCAATCCCTTATAAATCTATCTGTAAGTGTAGACTCTTTTCCAAAATGAATCATGAATCCTTTCATTTTTTTTTTTTTACCTACACTACCACTATCTTCATCTAGACCACCTTCAACTTTTGGTGGAATACTGCAACAATTCCTAACTGGTCTCCCATTTCTTTGCTAGTCTCTTTCTACCCGTTAACTACTTCCACTAAAATTTAGGTAAGTATGGTGGGGTCTTTTTGTATATTATTTAAAGTTTAACCTATTAGCCAGAATACAAGTACAAGCTCCTTAAAAAAGCATAGATTGGTTTTCATGATCTTTCTTCTTGACCGCTTTTTAAATCTCCTCTCTTGACACTTTTTGTTTACTACTTTATGTTCAGGCAACATGGATATGCTTAGGGTTCTTGAAATGTTCACCCTTTCTTCTTCATTAAATAAAACCTAGCTTCTCTCCAAAGAAATCCTCTGAGACCCTTTCCAAAAGCAGAGTACATCATTATTTTGCCTCTGCTACCTCTGTACTTTGTGCACATTTCTATTATTAATAATTTCTAGATATGTTTGTGTCCCGTAATAGAGTATTTCTCCAACTTGGCTGCACATTGGAATCACCTGAGAAGTTAAAACAAAACAAAACAAACAAACAAAGAAAAAACAAAACTATGGTCTGGGATTTTCCTACTCAGAGCTTCTGATTTAATTGGTGTGGAGTGTAGCCTGCGCTTTAAGAATTCATATATATTCCCAAGAATATATATAAATATGTGTGTGTATATATATATATATATATATATACACACACACATCCCAGTGATTCTAATATGCAGTGAAGTTAGAGACTCGCTCCTTGAGGCTAGGGATGATCTATTTTTATTTTTAATCCCTGTATCCCAGGTGTTCTAAATTCTGTTTGGCACATAGTTGGAATTAAATTTTATGTTGGTAAAAATGTACTCACCAATGAATAAAGAGCTTATGAAGCAATATAATTCCCAAGTGAAACAGGTAAAGTTAAGTTAAAGGAATGTGAATTTTCAGTAAGGTTTAAAAAATGTTAAATGCCTGGGATAGACTTGTAGTAGATAAGTAAAATGCTAAAATCAAAAAGAGGCAAATAGAAATAAATGCAATATATAAATAGAAACAGTCATCGTTGAGATTAAGTCTGAGATCATTTGCAAAGTGAATAGAAGAAACTGGAGAGGGAGAATTTGACAGCGAGATATTAAAAGTATGGTAGTGGTAACAAGAGGCCAAGGCAGGTATTCATGGAAGTTTTTTAGAGAAGGCGGCACTAAATTGACACAAGTATTTAAGAGAAAGACACGTTCTAATTGTGCAGCCCACTTTTCTAACTTCCAACAATTAATGAGGCTTTGAATTCAAGTGAACAAATAGAGTATTTTTTGTTACCAACTATTATGGTAATGATAACATCACAGTTGAAGAAGCTGAGATTATGTCCCAGTAAATAACATGAATTTTAGAGAAACATTACATGGTTTTGCCAACAGCTGTGTGGCTTTTGGCAAGTCACTTAACCTCTGTGACTCAAGTTTCATATGGGTAAAATGAGGATAACAATTATAACTTTTTCTTGTGGCAATTATTACCAATAAAGGTGATAATTTATGTAAAGTGCTCAGAAAAGCCTAGCACAGAGTAAGTAACAAAAAATGTTAGTTTTATCATTATAGATGTAGAAGTATCCATAATGTAGATAGATGTACACACTTATGTATAGATGTTTAAATTGCCCATGACTTAAACAATGTCAAGGCTAATATATAGTGTTAAAAAGGGAAAGTGAGATTGTGTTCATGTGTTTTATAAATGTAAAAGTTGATTTCTATTTTAGAACTAAATCCATATATACATGTATACAGAAGATGTATTTAATCTCACTCTGTTTATCTTTTAGACACATAGGCACACATGTACCACCTTACAATTGCAGTAAAATCGCCACATCAATGAACATTAAAATGATTCTCTCAAAACTCTTAGTTAATATCAAATTTGTATATAATCTATACATATATAATCTATACATAATATCAAATTTATATATAATCTATACATGGTCAGCATGAAAATGGGTTCATCTAAATTTCTTGAAGTGTTCTTGAGGTTACTATTCTCTTAGGTAGTTAATAGTCATATGATTCTGTTCATATGATTAATTAATTTGATTGAAAAACTTAAATATCTCAAGTTTTTATTTCTTTCTTATATTAGAAATTTTCTGTCCAAGTGATTACAAATTATCCTTAAAACAGGCCAAAATTACTAACTGTAAGTTTGAAGCTCAAACTTTTCTATAAGTCTCAATATTCCACTGATTCCACAAATTATCAGAGGCAACATATATATGTATTATTACCAAAGTCTCTGTTTTTAACTCTACCTTTTCTTCTCTATGTCTCCAAACGTACTTCAAGGCTGCCGTATGTCTCATCCTCTGTGGAGTTCATGGAATATTTCTCTTATTGGAGCTTCAGAAACACTCATGGTCTGAATCATATAGCTAAGTTTACAGAAAATAATAATAATAATAATAATAATTGATCTTGAAATACACAAAGAAATGCTTTAACTTAATTAAGCGTGGTTGAGGGCTCAGCTTTAGAGGATTCATTTTATGGATACATAAGAATGAGTTGTGATTAGTCTATATATATAGACTAATACATATATACATATATACTTATATATCTAAGACTATTAGATATATTAGCATATACACTAATATATATTTGTATGTATATTATTAATATGTACAAATACTAGTACAGTATATATATTAGTAATATATGTTAGTGGTCTCAAATTCATATGAGTCTGCAGCAACCTCAGTTCTACCTCCTCAGAAGAAAGAATTCAACCTAGGAGGCAGAAGGCAGAAGGAGAGACTGAGTCAAGTTTTAGAGCAGAAAGAAAATTTTATTAAAAAGCTTTAGAGTAGGAACAAAAGGAAGGAAAGCCCACTTGGAAGAGGACAAGGTGGTGGGCTTGAAAGACAAGTGCCTCATTTGACCTTTGACTTGGGATTTTATATGTTGGCATTCTTCTGGTGTCTTGCATTATTGTTACTTCTCCCCTGATTCTTCCCTTGGGGTGGGCTGTCTGCCTGCACAGTGGCCTGCCAGCACTTGGGAGGGGCCGCGTGCTCAGTGTGTTCACTGAAGTTGTATGCACACTCACTTGAGGCGTTCTTCCCTTACCAGTTGAATGTCCCTGAAAGCTCATATGCCAATTAAATGCCACAATTTTGCCTCTTAATGCACATGCTTGAGCCCACTTGTCAGATTCCTGAGATCTTATCAGGAAGCTGCTGCTCACCAGTTTCAAGATTTTTCCATCTATTGGGAGACTGTCTTTCACGGGCACCTGCTGGGACCAATTATTACTTTAGATAAACAGTGTAACAACCACCTTACCATCACCTGATGGTTGGCTCATATTCCTGGTGTCACAGGTGGAGCCCTCTCCTGCCCTGCTCATGCCTGACTAGCTATCTACTGTAATATATAAATACTAATATATACACTATATAAACCAATATATGCTAATGTAATATATACATTACAGTTTATTACATAAACACATTATTTATTATATAACACATATATACTATTGTTGCTGAGTTAAAATAAATGGATACTCTTCATTTATCTTTTTAGTCTCCCCAACCTGCACATTTATCCAGACCATGCCAACATTATTTTTCACCTCGAACTTAGTCAAAATATAACCTCATAATTAAAAACAGAGAAGGGCCGAGTGGTGTATCAGGGACAGCCTGTACTGGTTCACAAGCAGATTTATACATTTTCAGGAATTTTGCAAGCCAGCTGTTAATCTGAATCCTTAGTAAACATTAACTTATATAACTTATATACAGTTACAATTAAATAAATTATATTAAAAACAAAGTTAATAAATCCTTAAAACTCATTACTTGTTCATTATTTTCTACATTTTGCCATCATCTATGTTCTTGACTTTATTTATGTCTATTTTTATCTTTATGTGCAAGTACTACATAATCATGTGCTATTGTGCATGTCTTCTGACTCCAGTGTTCAGTGCTGTCTTGTCGGTAGATTGTAATGAGCCATGGTAGGAGTATTTATACCACAGAATTTAGCCAATGACTCAGGCTTAAGTCAGGGCCTTTTTTCTCCGCTGCAGTCAGATGTTAAACACTTGCCATCATACCCCTGGAAGAATCTATTACCTAGTATGCTGCATACTTTTCTTGGATACTTGAAGACTAGTAGCTAAATTAGATAGTTTTGAAAGAAAAGCAGAATTGGTATGTACATTACATATATATATATGTAATGAAGAAACTTTATATATATATAAAATATGTCTGACAACCCACATAAACCTAGTTAAATTACATCCAATAAAGAAAGAACAGAGAGTAGAGGGAAGATTTCCCTGGAAACTTCACAGAACACACGCATACATGCTTTTGAATAATGAATTTAATTTCCAAGTTTCACATAAAGCTCTTTCCTGCCTTTGCTCTCCCTTGCTCTCCCTTAACCTTTTCCTACTTCTTTTCCTTCATCCCTTTATCTGAACTTCTTAACGAGATGCAATTCTAACCTGTTCCCTCCCTCTCTATTATTCCACTAATCTGTCTCCACCCACCTAATTAAGGTGATCACCTCCTTCTTTCTCCTGCAAAGCAGCATTAATCACCCCTCAGTACTCTGGCAGAGTGACCTTCAGCCTACATGATCTGGGTAACAATCTTAGAGAGCCTTCCTGCACTGTCCCTGTGACTGCCCTCTTCTCTCTTCCCTCCTGGGAAGAGGTCAGGTCTGCTGCTTGGAAACCATTCTCCAACCTCTTAGCTATTCTCCACCCACTAAAGCTGTTTATCAGCTTCGGTCAGAAAATCAAATTTTTTTCTACCCATATTTTTCTCTAATTACTTTCTCCAGTCCTCTTATAGACTCCCAGAATACTGAATTAATCTTATCAAAAATCATTCCAGGAATAGCTGAAGGAGTTGTGGGTGTTAGCACATGCTAAAACAACTCGAACTCTTCAATTTCCCCAAAAATGGAAGAGAATTTGCTCTGTGAAACCCATGGAAGACAGAGCCAGGAACTGTAGATTTTATTTTTTTAAGTAAAATATAATTTCAGATTAAGACAGGACATTTCACTTTAAGCTGCCCTAAATAAGTATAGGCTGACGATCATGAGTGAGCTCCAGGTCTCAGGGATTATTTAAGAGCCATCACAGAAATGATGCCTGAGTAGAGTAGACGGTTGGATTAAAGCGTCTGTAAGTTTCCTTCTATTCTAAAACCAACTGGTTCCATGAACCTCTGAGTTGTAGCCTGAAACACTGGCCACGGGACCAATATTTTTGACTTGCATTCATCTCTTGCTCCTCACCCACCACCCCACCACCTCCTGATGCCTTGTACAATTTATAGCATAATTTCATATCCCTGCTTGAAAACAAAGCAAAGTTTCTTCATTACCAGATTCCCAATGGGTTTTGATCAGCTCCTCTTTGAAGTAAGCCTGCATTGCTTTCTTTCTTCAAATGGAACAAAAGGCTAAATTGTCTCCAGTGATATAGTGAAGTATTTCTCAAAGTAGAAAAAAATAAGACAAAGTAAAATAAACTGTTAAAGAGCCTTAATAAAGCATTTCAGAAACAGGATAAAACAGAAAAGGAAGAATGGGGACTTGAATATGCAGAGTTAATAGCGGTTCTTACAATGCCTTTCATCTCTGGCTCTTAAACATCATTCGAAGCAATATTATTGCCCTCATTTTTCATCTTATTATTATTTAGCATTTATATTTGCAAGGAGTTTAGGGTTCATTCTTATTATCAATCCCTCACAATCCCATGGTGGGAAAGGCAGAGACTTGAGTTCCCTCTGGTTCTGATAAGATAAATGGTCACAGAAGAATTAGAGGCTTTGATCTAGTACTGGCAGTGGATAGGGGCCAGGAAGAAACTGAAGAACTTGACCACCAAGTCCACATTCTGAACAGGGGACATTTAAGCTGCACATGTGGAAGGAAGCATACTGTGGTGGAAAGAATACTACTTTGGCCATGATTGATCTTACGAAATTTTTTTTTTCACTGAACCTTGGTTGTCTTTTCAGTAATATGCAGGAAGAATAAAACCTACACAACTAAATAGAATCACTTTGAGAATACATTAAGGTTAAACATTTGAAGCAGTAGTTGGTATTCTGTAAAACTCAGTTGCCTTTTACATCTCTTTTGATGTATGCTTAGAGTGTGATTGTGATTCTACAAGCTTGTCGTAACTTGCTGATTGAAACCCAGGCAGTAGGTTAAGTGGTTTGTACTGGGAAAGCAGAGATGTATACTGCCAGGTCCCTTCCTCTAAAAACCTGATTCCATAGATCCCAGAAACAGGGCATTAAAGATGGATGCATGTTTGTGCTACTTGTTTCATTGAGAGGTGGGCGTCTGATACCATTAAGAGGTAAAATCTCGTAGCATTAATGACTTGCTGAAACAAAAATGGAAGAAGTGATGCATTGCCAGTTCCAGTACTAGCCTGTAAGTAAACTGCCGATTTCCACCTTGCCTATTGCAGTTCTGACCTTAGAATTGTATATCTGCACACCAACTGACAGCCCCAGCTTAGCCCACACTTAGTAATTGACATAGGAGTAAAGCCATCTTGAATCTTCTGTAACAGCCCATCTGACAACCAAATACAGCCAAGTGATCTTTGTTGATGCCACATGGAAGAGAAGATTCAACCAACTGAGTCCTGCCCAAATTTCTGGACCAAGAAAAGAGTAGAGTAGAGTAGAATAGAGTAGAATAGAGTAGAGTAGAGTAGAGTAGAGTACAGTAGAGTAGAGTACAGTAGAGTAGAGTACAGTAGAGTAGAATAGAGTAGAGTAGAGTAGAGTAGAATAGAATATAGAATAGAATATAGAATAGAATAGAATAGAGAATAGAATAGAATAGAATAGAGAATAGAATAGAATAGAATAGAATAGAATTAGAATAGAATAGAATAGAATAGAATAGAATAGAATAGAATAGAATAGAATAGAAGGATTAATGTTTTATGTCATTATACTTTGGGTAGTTCATTATACAATAATGGATAACCAGAACACCAAGTAACTTCTTAATGTTTAACTGGAGCTCCAATCTGAGCCACTGTCTACATTTCCAACCCCAATTCCCTGAATACTGTGCACAACATGTGCTTCTCAGTAAATGAGTCCCCTCTCTAGAAGACATACCTCTGTATCCTCCCGGCCCTATGGAAATCTCACATCTTCACTGACTACCTTTTGATAATCTCTGTCAGGCAAGAGAAGTAATGCTGTCTGTTCTAAAATACAAAAATCTCAATGACATTGCATGAAAAACACTTTTATTTTTCTTATATTGCAGACTGACAAGGACTAGACTTTTCTCAGAGATGGCTCCTCTCCAAGAAGTATGACAGGTTTCAAATATTTTTACCATTTAGGGTTTCACTGTTTCCTTGGGTCTTCTTGATGGTCTCTGCTAGATCCCCTACATCAGGCCTGGTGAAAGAATATTATGCTTGGGCGAAGAATCTCATGAGAGATTGCAGAGGCTGCAACTGAGAGTGACATGTATGTTTTCGCCATATGCCATGATATAATACTAGTTACATGGCTCCAACCTAACTTTTATAAAAAGTAAAAAATATAGGCCTACTGTGCAACCAGAAAAATGAAAGTAACTGGTAAAATCCAATAGCAGGTGCCATTTTACAGGTGTCTTTTCCTCTACGCATAAAGAACGTTTAGCTGTTTAAGTCCAGATGTTACACTTGATTCAACATTAAGTAATTACTGTATACCAGGAGCTAGTCTACAGGCAGAGAGTTTTCTGGATCAAGTCCTGTTTTTGTGGATATAAAATAAACACTAAATAAAAATTGAAAACGACTAAGATTTACTCAGTCTCTGCTATACCACTCTTGTCAAACAATGCAGAACTATGATGATTATGAGTGTTTAAATCCATATTGGTTTCAGATTTATTCCATGTCATTTTTCTAGCTGTGTGAGCTGGACATATTATTTAACTTCTCTGAGTTTCAGTTGCAGTTGTAATGAGAATAACAATATCCATGCCATATAGTGAATAACATTAGTAAAATATAGTTTTCATAAAGATACTAAAAAATGCATTTTATTCTTTGTTCCAACACGCCACCTAAAATACTCTCTGATGGACAGTCTCTCCTCTGTTTTCTTGGCAGATATTGTTAATCAGTTATGACATTTTATTTTCTACTCATTCTGTTATTACCCTCAGAATTCTTCCTAGCATGTCTTTCCAAGCAGCCAAGGCCAATATATTAGAGTTAGTTTTTAAAACAGAATCTCATTTGTGATCTTTCATCTAACACATTCACTTGACAGAAAATCGTGCTGTTTGGTTTTTATGACTGTTATGTTTTTATATAGGCATGTTTGCTTCTCCAAAGGGCTGTTAACTCTTTGAGGAGCGCGATCCTGATTTTGTTGTCTTCTCCATGGTACCCAACCATAACACTCAGTACTTAACAGATTGTCTCTGAATTGAATATATAATACAGAAAATAATACTCTTTATTCCAAGTCTACTATGAGTTAAATGTGTGACATGCATAATTTTATTTAATGTTAATTAAAAAAAACCCTATGTGGAAAGAAATATTATTGTGCTGATTTTACTGATGAAGGAACAGAAGCTTAAAAAGCTTAAGCATTTAATAAAATTCAACATCCTTTCATGATAAAATCTTTAAATACACTGGATACAGAAGAAAAATACCTTAATATAATAAAGGTCATATATGACAAACCCACAGTTAACATCATCATACTGAATGAGGACAAATTGAAAGCCATTCCTGTAAGATCTACAACAAGACAAGGATGCCCACTCTCACCACTCATATGCAACAAAATACTGGAAGTACTAGCCAGAGCAATTAGGTAAGACAGAGAAATAAAGGACATCCAATTTGGAAAGGAGGATATAAAATTGTTCTTTTTTGATTACAAGATCTTATATTTAGAAAAACCTAAAGACACCACCATAACAATTTTCAGAGTTGATAAATGAATTCAATAAAATTTTAAGACACAAAATTAACATACAAAATTAGTAGAATATCTACACAGTGGCAGTGAATAATATGAAAAAGGAATCAAGAAAGCAATTCCACTTATAATAACTAGAAAAAAATAAAATACCTAGGAATAAATGTAAGCAGAGGTGAAAAATATTCACAACAAAAACTATAAAACATTACTCTAAAAAACTGAAGAGGACACAATAAATGGAAGCATATTTCATGTTCATTAGTTGGAAGAAATAATATTATTAAAATGTCCATACTACCCAAAGTGATTTACAGATTCAATGCAAACCCTATGACAATCTTCACAGAAATTGAAAAAAAGAAATTTTAAATTCATATGGAATCACAAAAGACCCTGAATAGCTAAAGGGATCCTGAGCAAAAGGAACCAAGCTGGAGACATCACAATACCTAACTTCAAAATACGCTACCAGAGGGTGGAGCAAGATGGTCAAATAGAAGCCTACACCATTCATTTCCCTGCAGGAATACCAAATTTTTACGAGTAACTAAACACAAAAAAAGCACCATCACAAGAACCAAAAATCAAGTGAACAATCAAAGTGCTTGTTTTTGTTTTGTTTTTTTTTATTATACTTTAAGTTTTAGGGTACATGTGAACAATGTGCAGGTTAGTTACATATGTATACATGTGCCATGTTGGTGTGCTGCACCCAGTAACTCGTCATTTAGCATTAGGTATATCTCCTAATGCTATCCCTCTCCCCTCCCCCACCCCACAACAGTCCCCAGAATGTGATGTTCCCCTTCCTGTGTCCATGTGTTCTCATTGTTCAATTCCCACCTATGAGTGAGAATATGCAGTGTTTGGTTTTTTGTCCTTGCAACAGTTTACTGAGAATGATGATTTCCAATTTCATCCATGTCCCTACAAAGGACATGAACTCATCATTTCTTATGGCTGCATAGTATTCCATGGTGTATATGTGCCACATTTTCTTAATCCTGTCTATCATTGTTGGACATTTGGGTTGGTTCCAAGTCTTTGCTATTGTGAGTAGTGCCGCAATAAACATATGTGTGCATGTGTCTTTATAGAAGCATGATTTATAGTCCTTTGGGTATATACCCAGCGATGGGATGGCTGGGTCAAATGGTATTTCTAGTTCTAGATCCCTGAGGAATCGCCACACTGACTTCCACAATGGTTGAACTAGTTTACAGTCCCACCAACAGTGTAAAAGTGTTCCTATTTCTCCACATCCTCTCCAGCACCTGTTGTTTCCTGACTTTTTAATGACTGCCATTCTAACTGGTGTGAGATGGTATCTCATTGTGGTTTTGATTTGCATTTCTCTGATGGCCAGTGATGGTAAGCATTTTTTCATGTGTTTTTTGGCTGCATAAATGTCTTCTTTTGAGAAGTGTCTGTTCATGTCCTTCGCCCACTTGTTGATGGGGTTGTTTTTTTCTTGTAAATTTGTTTGAGTTCATTGTAGATTCTGGATATTAGTCCTTTGTCAGATGAGTAGGTTGCAAAAATTTTCTCTCATTTTGTAGGTTGCCTGTTCACTCTGATGGTAGTTTCTTGTGCTGTGCAGAAGCTCTTTAGTTTAATTAGATCCCATTTGTCAATTTTGGCTTTTGTTGCCATTGCTTTTGGTGTTTTAGACATGAAGTCCTTGCCCATGCCTATGTCCTGAATGGTAATGCCTAGGTTTTCTTCTAGGGTTTTTATGGTTTTAGGTCTAACGTTTAAGTCTTTAATCCATCTTGAATTAATTTTCGTATAAGGTGTAAGGAAGGGATCCAGTTTCAGCTTTCTACATATGGCTAGCCAGTTTTCCCAGCACCATTTATTAAATAGGGAATCCTTTCCCCATTTCTTGTTTTTCTCAGGTTTGTCAAAGATCAGATAGTTGTAGATATGCAGCATTATTTCTGAGGGCTCTGTTCTGTTCCATTGATCTATATCTCTGTTTTGGTACCAGTACCATGCTGTTTTGGTTACTGTAGCCTTGTAGTATAGTTTGAAGTCAGGTAGCATGATGTCTCCAGCTTTGTTCTTTCAATGGAAGAACATTCCATGCTCATGGGTAGGAAGAATCAATATCGTGAAAATGGCCATACTGCCCAAGGTAATTTATAGATTCAATGCCATCCCCATCAAGCCACCAATGACTTTCTTCACAGAATTGGAAAAAACTACTTTAAAGTTCATATGGAACCAAAAAAGAGCCCGCATCGCCAAGTCAATCCTAAGCCAAAAGTGCTTGTTTTTAACTTCCTGTGGTGAAAGAGGCACTGAACAGGGTAGGAAAGATAGTACTGAATCACGGATACCATCCCACCCCCATCCCCCAGCAGCATGGAGACAGAATCTCTGTGCTTGGGGGAGGGCAAGCACAGTAACTGGTGAGCTTTACATTGGACTCAATGCTGTCCTGTCATAGTGGAGAGCAAAGCCATGCTGTGCTCAGCTGATGCCCACACATGCAGGGAGAATTTGGACCAGATCTAGCCAGAGAGGAATTACCCATCATAGCAGTTGGAACTTGTGTTTCTTGGCAGGCCTCACCACTGTGAGCCAAAGTGCTGTGAAGTTCTAGATAAACTTGAAAGGCAGTCTAGGACACAAGGACTCCAATTCCTAGGCAACTCCTAGTGCTGGGCTAGGCTTAGAGCTAGTGGACTAGGGTGGCATGTGACCTAGGGAGAAATCAGATGAGGTGGGTAAGGGAGTGCTTGCACCACTTCTTCCCCAACCCCAGCCAGTGGAGTGCACAACAACAAAAGTGACTCCTTTCTTCTGCCTGAGCAGAGGCAAGCAAAGAATAAAGAGAACTTTGTGTTGCACCTTTGATACCAGCTCAGCCACAGTAGGATAGGGTGCCAGGCAGAGTCAAGAGGCCCGCATTCCAAGCCCTAGCTCATGGACAACACTTCTAGACACAACTTGGGCCAAAAGGGAACCCACTGCCTTGAAGGGAAGGAACCATTCCTGACAAGATTCATTACCCACTGACTAAAGAACCCTTGGGCCCCAAATAACCAAGAGCAAAATCCCCGTAGTATGCCATGGGCCTTGGGCTCTCAGATATGCTGGCTTCAGGTGTGATCCAGCTCATTTCCAGCTGTGGTGGCTATGGTGAAAAACTCCTTCTGTTTGAAAAAAGGAGGAAAAATTAAAGGGGACTTTGTCTTGCATCCTATGCAAAAGCTCAGCCACCACAGTGGGGTGGAGCACCAAGCAGGTTCTTGGGGTCCCTGAGCCAAGGTCTAGGCTCTTGGATGACAGTTCTGGACCTGCCCTGGGCCAGAGATGAGCCCACTGCCCTGAAGGGTGAGTCCCAAGTGTGGCATCATTCACCACAAGCTGACTGAAGAGCCCTTGGGGTCTATGTGAACATCAGTTCACATGTGATGTGATAGAACTGATGTGACACATCACTTAGGGTGGCCTGGTGAATACCCTGTGGGCTGGTGGTGGTGGTGGCTACAGAAAGAGCCTCTTATGCCTGTGGAAATGGGAGGAAAGAGTAGGAAGTATTTTGTCTTGTAGTTTGAATGCCAGCTTAGCTGCAGTAGAATGGAACATCAAGTAAATTTCTAAGGTTTTTTTACTCTAACCCCTGCCTTCCAGATAGCATCTCTGGGCCCACCCAGGCCCTGGGAGAACTCACTTTCCTGAAGGGAGGGACACAAACGAGGCTGGCTTTGCCACTTGCTGATCACAGAGCCCTAGGGCCTTGAGTGAACATAGACGGTAGTTAGGTAGTGGTTATAGCAGGCCTTGGCTGGGACCTAGGGCTGTGCTCACTTCAGATCTGAACCAGTGGTGATGGCCTTGTGTCCTCCTCCCCAGTTCTAGGTGGTTCTTGTGTCCCCCTCCCCAGAGGTGCTTGTGTCCCCCTCCCCAGTTCTGGGTGGTTCAAACAGAGAGAGACAGACTATTTTGGGGGGAGGATGTAAAAGAAAATAACAAGAGTATCCGCCTGGTAATCCAAAGAATTCTACCATATCTTATCCAAGACAGTCAAGATAGTACCTCTTTGAGTCTGCAAAAACCATCTTCTCTGGAATTCCATCTTCTCTGGAATAAAACTAGAAATCAATAACAAGAGAAATAACAGCTTTATTGGGCTTGGGGCCCAAATCCCTTCGAATACTTGGAAAGCTTTCCCAAGAAGGATAGGCACAAACAAGTTTAGACTGTGAAAATCACAATAAATGCCCATCTCGTCAATGCCCAGACACTGACAAAGATCTACAAGCATCAAGAACAACCAGGAAAACAAGACCTCACCAAATGAACTAAATAAGTCACTAGAGACCAATTACAGAGACATACAGATATGTGTCATTTCAGACAATTACTTCAAAATAGTTGTGTTGAGGAAACTCAAAGAAATTCAAAATAACACAGAAAAGGAATCCAGCATTCTATCAAATAAATTCACCAAAAATTGAAATAATTAAAAAGACTCAAACAGAAATTCTAGAGGTGAAAAATGCAGTTGACCTGCTGAAGAATGCATCAATGTCTTAATAGCAAAATTGATCAAGCAGAGGAAAGAATTAGTGAGCTTGAAGACAGACTGTTTGAAAATGCATGGTCAGAGGAGGCAAAAAAAAAAAAAGGTTTTTTTTTTTTTTGAAAAGAAGCACATCTACAAGATCTAGAAAATAGCCTTAAAGGGGCAAATCTGAGTTATTGGCCTTAAACAGGAGATAGAAAAAGAGATAGGTTTAGAAAGTTTATCGAAAGGATAATATCAGAGAACTTTCCAAACCTAGAGAAAGATATCAATATTCAACTAGAAGAGGTTATAGAATACAAAACAGATTTAACCCAAAGAAGACTACTTCAAAGCATTTAATAATCAGACTCCTAAAGATCAAATATAAAGAAAGAATTCTAAAAGCAGCAGAAGAAAAAAAATAAATTACAAACAATGGAGCTCCAGTAATCTGGCAGCAGACTTATCAGTGGAAATCTTACAGGCCAGGAAAGAATGGTATGACATATTTAAAGTGCTTAAGAAAAAAAAACCTTTTACCTTAGAATAGTATATCTGGTGGTAATAACCTTCAAACATGAAGGAGAAAGAAGTGTCTTGACAGACTAACAAAAGTTGAGGGATTTCATCAACACCAAATATGTCCTACAAGAAATGCTAGAAGTTCTTCAATATGGAAAAAAAGGATGTTAATGAGCAATAAAATATCATCTGAAGGTACAAAACTCACTGGTAAAGCACACAGAAAAACAGAGATTATTAAAACCTGTAATTTGGTGTGTAAACTACTCTTAAGTAGAAAGGCTAAACTATGAACTAATAAAAATAATACCTGCAACTTTTCAAGACATAGTAAACTAAGACATAAAGTGAAACAACAAAAAGTTAAAAAGCAGGGGTACAAAGGTAGAGCACAGTTTTTATTAGTTTTCATTTTGCTTAGAAAGAAATAACGTGTTAGAAAACAACACTGTTTTCTATTTAAAACAGTGTTGTTATCAATTTAAAATAATATGTTATAAGATAGATTTTTAAGCTTCATGGTAACCTCAAATTGAAAAACATACAATAGATACATGAAAAATGAAAAGGAAGAAATTAAATCCTATGACCAGAGAAAATTATCTTCACTAAAAGGAAGAGAGGAAGGAAGGAAAGAAAAAGAGAAGACCACAAAACAACCAGAAAACAAATGACAAAATGGCATGACTAAGTCCTTATCAATAATAACATTGAATGTAGGGGACAAAACTCTTCAATCTAAAGATATAGAGTGGCCAAATAGATTAAAAAGCAAGACCCAGTGAGCGTTTGCCTACAAGAGATGTAATTCGCCTATAAAAATACGCATAGAGTAAAAATAAAGGAATTGAAAAAGATATTCCATGTCGATGAAAACCTAAAAGGAGCAGGAGTAGCTATACTTAGACAAAATATATTTAAAGACAAAAATGGTAAGAAGATACAAGGAAGATCATTATATAATGATAAAGGGGTCAATTCAGCAAGAGATTATAATAATTGTAAATATATATGCACCCAATGCTGAAGCACCTGGATGTATGAATCAAAAACCATTAGAGCTAAAGAGAGAAATAGGCAACAATAGCTGGAGACTTCAACATCCCACTTTCAGCACTGGACAGATCTTCCAGATAGAAAATCAACAAAGAAACATCAGACTTAACATGCATTATGGACCAAATGGACCTAATGGATATTTATAGAACATTTTATCCAATGGCTACAGAATACACATTCTTCTCAGTACATGGAACACTCTCAAGGATAAATCATATGTTAGGTCAAAAAACAAGTCTTAAAACATGTGAAATAAATGAAATAATATCAAACATCTTATCTGGAGTAAAATTAGAAATTAATAACAAGATACATTTTAGAAATTATACAAATGCATGGAATTAAACAATATGCTCCTGAATAACGTGTGTCAAGGAAGAAATTAAGAAGGTAATTGAAAAATTTTTTGAAACAAATACTGATGGAAACACAACATACCAAAACCTATGGAATACAGCAAAAGCAGTAAAGAGAGGGAAGCTTATAGCTGTAAGTGCCTACGTCAAAAAATAAAACTTCAAATAAATAACCTAATGATTTACCTTAAAGAACTAGAAAAGCAAGATCAAACCAAACCCAAAATTAGAAGAAAAAAAATAAAAAAGATCAGAAGAGAAATAAATGAAATAAATGAAGAAAACAATACAGAAGTTCAATAAAATGAAAAGATAAATAAAATTAACAAATCTTTAGCCATGCTAAGAAAAACAGAGAGTACACTCAAATAAGTAAAATTAGAGATTAAAAAGGAGACATTACAACTGATACTGCAGAAATTCAGAGTATCATTAGTGGCTACTATAAGCAAAGATATTTCAATAAATTGGAAACTCTAGAGGAAATGTATAAATTTCTAGACACATACAACCAAACAAGATTGAACCATGAAGAAATTGAAAACCTGAAAAGACCAATAACGAGTAATGAGATCAAAGCCATAATAAAATTTCTCCCAGTAAAGAAAAGCCCACGGACCTGATGGCTTCACTGCTGAATTCTACCAAACATTTAAAAAATAACTAATACCAATTCTCCTCAAAATACTCTGAAAATGGGGGAGAAAACTTATGAACTCATTCTACAAAGCCAGTATTAACCTATCAAAACCAGAAAAAGACATATCAAAAAAAGGAAACTACCGGCCAGTATCTCTGACGAATATTGATGTAAAAATCCCCAACAAATTACTAGCAAACTGAATTCAACACCACCATTAAAAAGACCATTCACAATGATTAAGTGGGGTTTATCCTAGGGATATAAGCATGGTACAACATTTGCAAATCAATCAGTATGTTACATCATATTAACAAACTGAAGGACAAAAAAAACACGTGATCATTTCAATCGCTGCCGAAAAAGCATTTGATAAAGTTCAACACCCCTTCATGATAAAAAAAACTCTTAAAAAACTGAGTATAGAAGGAACATACCTCAATGTAATAAAAGTCATATATGACAGACACACAGCTAGTATCACACTGAGTGGGGAAAAATTGAAAGTCTTTTCTCTAAGATCTGGAACACAACAAGGATGTCCACTTTCACCCCGTTATTCAACAGAGTACTAGTAGTCTTACTAGAGTAACCAGACAAGAAAAAGACATAAAGGACATCCAAATTGGAAAGGAAGAAGTCAAATTATCCTTGTTTACAGATAATATGATCCTATATTTGGAAAAACCTAAAGACTACACAGAAAAAATATTAGAACTGAAAAGCAAATTCAATGAAGTTTCAGTATATGATATCGACATACAAAGATTAGTAACATTTCTATATGGCAACAGTGATAAATCTGAAAAAGGAATAAAAACGTAATCAAATTTACAATAGCCACAAGTAAAATTAAATACCTAGAAATTAACCAAATAAGTGAAACATCTCTATAATGAAAACTATAAAACACTGATGAAATGAAAAAGGAGAACAAAAAATGGAAAGATATTCTACATTAATGGATTAGAAGAATCAACACAGTTAAGCTGTCCAAACTACCCAAAGCAATCTACAGAATCAATGCAATCTCTGCCAAAATACCAATGGCACTCTTAAGAGAAATAGAAAAATAATCCTCAAATTTTTATGATACCACAAAGACCCAGAATAGCAAAGCTATCCAGAGCAAAAACAAACAAACAACAACAGCAACAACAACAACAACAAAACTGGAGGAATCATTACCTGAATTCAAATTAGACTACAGAGCTATAACCAAAACCCAAAACAGCATGATATTGGCATAACAACAGACATATAGACCAATGGAACAGAATAGAGAGCCCAGAAACAAGTCCATGCACCTGCAGTGAACTCATTTTCTTTCCTTCTTTCTCTCTTTCTTTTTCTTTCTTTCTCTCTCTCTCTTCCTTCCTTCCTTTTCTCTCTCTCTCTGTCTTTCTCTTTCTTTCTTTCTTTCTTTCTTTCTTTCTTTCTTTCTTTCTTTCTTTCTGTCTTTCTCTCTCTCTCTTTCTTTTTTTTTTTAAGATGGGAGTCTCACTCTGTCACCCATGCTGGAGTGCAGTGGTGTGATCTTGGCTCACTGCAACCTCCACCTCCTGGGTTCACGTAATTCTCTTGTCTCAGCCTCCTGAGTAGCTGGGACTACAGGTGGGTACCACCACGTCCGGCTAATTTTTGTATTTTTGGTAGAGACTGGGTTGCTCTGTTGGCCAGGCTGGTCTTGAACTCCTGACCTCAGGTAATCCACCCGCCTCGGCCTCCCAAACTGCTGGGATTTCAGGCATGAGACAGGGTGCCAGGCCTAGTGAATTAATTTTCAACAAAAGTGCCAAGAAGATACATGGGGGAAAAGGTAGTATTTTCAATAAATGGTGCTGGAAAGATTGGGTATCTATATGCAGAAAAATAAATCTGACTCCTGTATCTCACCATATACAAAAAAACAACAACACATCAAAATTGGTTAAAGACTTAAATCTAAGAACTCACACCTTGAAACTACTACAAGAAAACATTGGGGAAACTCTCCAGGATATTGATCTGGGCAAAGATTTCCTGAGTTATACTGCACAAGCAGAGGCAACCAAAGCAAACATAGACAAATGGTATCACATCAAGTTAAAAGGCTTCTTCTGTACAGCAAAAGAAGTAGTCAACAAAGTGAAGAGACACCACACAGAATGGGAGAAAATATTTGCAAACTACTCATATGACAAGGGATTAATAACTACAATATGTAAGGAGCTCATACAAGTTTATAGGAAATAATAAAATAATCTAATTTAAAAAATGGGCAAAAGATTTGAATAGACGTTTATCAAAAGAAGACATACAAATGGCAAATAAGCATATGAAAAGGTGTGCAACATCGTTAATCATCAGAGAAATGCAGATCAAAACTATAATGAGATAGTGTCTCATCCCAGCTAAAATCGCTTATATTCAAAAGACAGGCAATAACAAATGCCAGGGAGGATGTGGAGAAAAGAACCTTCATATATTTTTGCAATATTGATGGGAATTAGTACAACCACTATGGAGAATAGTTTGGAGGTTCCTTAAAGAACTAAAAATTGAGCTACCATATGATCCAGCAATCCCACTGCTGGGTATGTACCCGAAAGAGACGAAATTAGTATATTGAAAAGGTATCTGCACTCCCATGTTTGTTGCAGCACTGTTCACAATAGCTAAGATTTGGACCCAACCTACATGTGCAGCAACAGATGAATGGATTAAAAAATGTGGAACACATGCATAATGAAGTACTATTTAGCTATAAAAAAGAAGATTCTGTCATTTGCAACAACATGGATGGACCTGGAGGTCATTATTTTAAGTGATAAAAGTCAGGCACAGAAAGACAAACTTCACATGTTTTTCACATGTTATTTGTGGGAGCTAAAAATCAAAACAATTGAACTTATGGAGATAGAGAGTAGAAGGATGGTTAACAGAGGCTGGGAACAGAAGTAGGTGAGAAAGAAGGAAAGTGGGGATGGTTAGTGGGTACAAAAGAAACAGAAAGAATGAATAAGACCTAGCATTTGATGACACAAGAGTCCATAATAATTGTACATTTTACAATAACTAAAAGAGTAAAATTGGATTGTTTGTAACACAAAGGATAAATGCTTGAGGGGATAAATACTCCATTTTCCATGATGTGATTATTACACATTGCATGCCTGTATCAAAGTATCTCATGTACCCCATAAATATATACACTTACTATGTACCCAGAACAAATAAAAATTAAAAATTAAAAAATATATACACTACAAAACTATAGTAACCACAACAGCATGGTACTGGCATAAAAACAGACACATATCCAAAAGAAAGTAAATCACTATGTCAAAAAGATATCTGCACTTCTATGTTTATTGTAGCACTGTTCACCATAACCAAGAAATGGAATAAATCTAAATGTCCATTTATGGATGAATGGATAAAGAAAATATGGAATAGATATACACAAAGGAATATTATTCACTCAAAAAAAGAATGAAACCTTTTGTTTGCCGCAACATGGATGAGTCTGAAGGACACAGTGTTAAGTGAAATAAGCCAGGCACAGAAAGACAAATATCACATGTTCTCACTCATATTGGAGCTAAAAGCATTGATCCCATGGAAGAAGAGAGTAGTTTGGTGATTAGCACTGTTTGGGAAGAAAGGGAGGAGTGTGGATAAAGAGAAACTGGATAAGTGGTACAAAAATATCATTAGAAGGAATAAAGTATAGTGTTCAATAGCAAAGTAGGGGAACTAAAATTAACAATAATGTATTTTATATTTCAAAGTTTCTCAAAAGAAAGATTTGGAATGTTCCCAACACAAAAAAATGATAAATGATTGAGGTGATGGATCTTCCACTTACCCTGTGTATTAGTCTGTTCTCGCACTGCTATAAAGAACTACCTAAGACTGAATAATTAATAAAGAAAAGAGGTTTAATTGACTCACAGTTCTGCAGGCTGTACAGGAAGCATGGCTGGGAGGCCTTAGGAAACTTACAATCATGGTGGAAGGCAAAGGGGAAGCAAGTCTATCTTACGTGGCCAGAGAAGGAGGAAGAGAAAGCAGTGGAAGGTGCTACACGTTTGAACAACCAGATCTCGTGAGAACTCATTCACTATCACGAGAACAGCAAGGAGAGATCCACCTCCATGATTCAATCACACCCCACCAAGCTTTCCTCCAACACTGGGAATTAACAGTTCAACATGAGATTTGCACAGGGACATAAATCTAAACCATGTCACCCTGATTTGATCATTATACATTGTATGCATGTTCTAAAATATCACATGTACCACATAAATATGTACAATTATCATTTTTTAAATGTTAAGTACCTTTCCAATATTATTAGCTAATAAATAAGAGAAACTGGATTGAAATCCAGAGCTCTCTGGTTCCAAAGCCTATGTCCCTGATCACAGTCCTACACCATCATCAACTCTACCTGTGTTTTTTTCCACCTTTCAAGATCACTCTTGATTGTTGAGAGAGAAAAACTGATTCAAAGGACAGGAAGAAAAAAAAAAGAAACGTAGTGGTGGAAATAGGTTAGACAGGGAAAATGAGGAAACGAGGGCAGATAAGGGAGACAGATTATTATGAATAAACAGAAGAGGAAGTTTGCATAAAAAAAGGCAGAATAAAAGAGGAGAAGGTGAAAAGGAGACATTTGATTACAGTTTGGGGCCTGCATAGTTTGCCTTAGACTAATAGAAATGGATTATTAAAGGAAGAAGAAATGTTACAAACAAGTGTTTGTTAACAAACTTGAGTACTCTATTTGAAAAGGCTTTCTGCCACTATGATTTCTTTACTTGATATTTCTTCTTTGTGCTTGCAAAACAATGACAGGAAACGAAAGTGGTTTTTTGAGTGTTAGGTGTCAGACACAGAGGTAAATACTTTTTGTATATTGGTTTATTTAGTTTCCAAGAAAACTCTGAAGGGCTATTGGCCCTATCCAGTTCCACAAATGATAAAACCTGAGGCTCAAGGAGAGTTCACTCATGCAATATTCACAGCTAGTTAGTGGGAGATTCATGTTTTGTGTAAGACCAAAGGTGTTTTTTGCTTTTTTCCCATACATGACTGTTTTCTTTAATATCGGTATCCATAGCCATTATATGATTATACATTATTTGTTTACTGCTTACTTTGTATTTGCAGAAGCAGGACTTCAACTGGAATGCTGTGTATAGAACAACTGGTATATGGTAAGTATTTGATGTTGATTCAAGTGAACACAACATCCAGACATAAATGGCTAAACCTTTGTTATGCATAGAGAAATACCTGTAAAATGCCACCTGCTATTGGCTCTGAAGATGATACTAGAAGTGGGACTGCTAGTAGGGAGTAAAGAGAAATTTCCTGTAGTTTACTACTTCTAACTGTTCAAATATATATATATATATATATATATATATATATATACACACACTGTCCTTTATCAGTTAGTTTGTAGTGTAGGTTCATGCTGTTTCCGCATATTACTTTAGGACTTTCTGTTTCCTCCTGTGCTTCTGCATGCTTCAAAAATGGAAGGGCAGTGCAATAAGAAATGATTAAAGAACTGGAAATGGAAACTTGGGATGCAAGATTAAAGGGATTCAGCCTGGAGAAGAGAAAGATGCCGAGCTGATTTAACAGTCTTCAAGTGCCTAAGAGGATAGTATAAGAAGGAAGGTGACCAAGTTCACATCAGAAAAGAAGAACCTGGCTTAGATTACAGTTTTCAAAACTAAGAGGGAAATTAACGCAGAACTGTTCGGCTACAGGTCCTTAGGCACAAAAGCAAGCTACATGGAGGAAACTGTCTTTTTTCCTTCCTAGATGGAATCATTAAGTGAATAAATGTTTTTATGCCTTCTATTGAAGTAGTCTGTAATAAATTCATTAATTACTTGTGCCTCTGCTATATGTCAGACATCGTGATAAACACTTCTTCTTGCTATTCACTCAGAAAGGGAAGGCCATACCCATTTTTACAAATGAAAAAACTGAGACTCAGAAGTGGAAAGTAATTTTCTCTAAGTCAGACCACTAATAAATGGCAGGGTCAGGATTGCAGGCTGGGTCGATTTGGCTACAAAAAATAAAACAATGAAAACAATTGTAACAATAAACATACATAGATGACTTCATCTTTGGAAGGCACACTGTATTAAGAACCTTTGTACATTATATTATTTGAACCTTCCAACAACCTGACTTAGAAAGATTTTAAGTTAGCCTGGCGTGGTGGCTCACACCTGTAATCCCAGCCCTTTGGGAGGCCAAGGCAGGTGGATCACGAGGTCAGGAGTTCATGACCAGCCTGGCCAACATGGTGAAACCCCGTCTCTACTAAAAATACAAAAAACTAGCCAGGCGTGGTGACAGGCACCTGTAATCTCAGCTACTCGGGAGGCTGAGGCAGGAGAATTGCTTGAACCCAGGGCACGGAGGTTGCAGTGAACCGAGACTGTGCCACTGCACTCCAGCCTGGGCAACAGAATGAGACTCGGTCTCAAAAAAAAAAAAAAAAAAAAAAAGGGTTTTAAGTCCCTGATTCTCAAGTGAAGAAGCACTGCAGAGTGGTAATGTTACCTGGCCAAAGTAATATATTTAGTAAGTGATAAAGCCAGGATGTAAACTAAGATGTGTCTCATTCTGAAGACCCTGGCCTTCCCTCTATATCATGACACAATTGCCTCCCAAAATTTTATATTAAGAGAGTTAAGAGTATCCAATAAATCTTAAATTAGTATTTGTCATATAATAGAGAGATTATAAATGTCATAGGAAGAAGACAAGTTGAAACAAGTATGATAGGATGAGCAGATAGGGTATCATGGTAGAAGTGACATTTTAATGGGGTCTTTTAGGATGGTTAGGGTTCCCTCTCAGACATAAGTAGAAAAAAAGTGAGATAGGTTAAAGAAGAAGAAAAAATGTGCAAAATTAACAATTAAGAAATGCAGGAAACATAAGGAAATGGAAAGAATATAAAATATGTTGCCATGAACCATTTCCAGCAATTTTGGGCACAGAGTATAGAAAGCTTCCAAGTGACTGCTGTGCATAAGACAGTGGTGTATATGTTTTATTTTATTCCTAGGCATAAAGAAAGCCCATATTTTCCAACCCCCTTTGTGTCTCAGTATGATAAGGTGACTGTGTTCTGGTGGGTGGAATGGTGGGAAGAAGTGCCCGAGCGATTCACCCAACTAAGAACTTTCATGAGTGAGAAAGCAGCCATTAAGTTATCAGTGCTGGCAGTGAAAGAAGTACTCCTAGCTTGGGACTATACCTTTTAGACGGGCATCTTCCAAAGCGTATTTGTCATAACATTTATCCATAGAAATGCTCCATTATAATGGATTTTTGTTAAATATGCCTGAATATTCATATTCTGCATATTATATCCCCTCTGAGAGACTCGTAATAAATACCAGGTTATTGAGGACTGTGAGAAGTCATGTAGTACAGCAACCTAGTAAAGTGTTTAACTTGATATTTTTCAAACACATTTTCCCCGGGTAACTTATCCTAGTAACATCTACAATATCTTGGGAAACTCATGATTTATAAAACACAGCGTGGGAAATCATGCTGTTGTCAATGTGGATCCACTGAAAATGTTTCACCAGAGAAGCAACAGTTCGTTCTTTCTCCCTAAGTCATGAAATTTCACCCTGTGATTGCTTTTACATTAACTCATCAACTTTTCTTTAAGGTAAGAGGAACTGCTAATCTGAGTCAGAGTTCAACATCTTGTTTGGGCTATACTCACTTATAACTGTCACTGTGCATTTAAAGTCCACATGAACTGGCTCTTCCCATACAGTTCTTGCTTCTTACACTAACATGGTTTCACTTCTGGGTCAAATGACAAAACTAACTCTCTCTCTCTCTTTTTCTCTCTTTCTTTCTCTCTTTCCACTTTCTCATTTTGGCATAATTCCCTAGAATCCTAATTTTGAGATTTGTATTTTGAAAGAAATTGAATAGGTGAAAGCAGGAAGTACTTCCCAGGCTTCAAATTTATGCTACTTCTTCCAACTCTATTTCACCTCAGGGTATAACATTCGCCTTAATTCTCTGCATGTAGCTTCCTCAAACCTTGCAAGGAAGGATTCTTTTGCAGGTAAAGGGGGCCAATTGCTTCCAGTCCCCTGCATGAGACATCACTGCATTTGAATTACACTTGAATCTCCATCTCAGAGCAACCCAGAGTTGAGAGTAAAATCATAGCAATTAAGCAGTACTTAATGTATCTTTAGTACTTTGAAGAATCAATTTTTCATGAAATAATTATAATCTTAAGGGAGATATATCTGAATATTAAATATGATCCTTTTGTTAAAAAAAAAGGAAGTTGTGGTCCAGAGAAGTAAAATATCTGCTCCAAAGAAACTGAGTAAGTTGATGAACTCCGTCATCCTAACCCTACTCCTCTAAAGTTCCCTCCAAGGGCAACCACTATGACTCTGTACATGGTCACAATAATACAATGTTTCCCTCAGGGACTAAACAAGCTATCAGTTTCCTCCTTTAGCAATACTAATTCCCATAAGATTATAGTAGCCATCAAATAAAAGATTATTTTATCATTATTATTTTTATCATTAATGTTTTCAGATATTCAACTCACAATGTTCTTGCCTGCTTTGAAATAAAGCAAGTTTTCCTTTTGAGATATGTCCAATGATAAAGTAAATTGGAAGAATCATAGTCTACATATCAGTCCCTTGAGTTACATGTTTACAAGAGGTACATGTTTACAAGACGTGATATAATGTTTTCAGTTTTACAGTTTTAAAGTACAAGCTATTATGAGGTATATTAAGAAATATTATGGAGATTTATGTATTAGTAGAGACTAAACTATCTAACAATAATAGCTTACATTTGCAAAGCACTTTCACCTACGTTATTTCCTCTGAGCCTAAGATTAACCTCTGAAACTGGAAGAGCAGGGAATCCTATCCCTTTTTCTACAAATGAGAACATCTATACACTGTAAGATACAATAATTTTCCCAAGGTCACAAAGTCAGTAAGGGGTTGAGCAAAAACACACAGTCAGGCCCTTTCTTAGATTCATGCTCTTATTTCACCATCATATCTTTGATGTGATGAGGACAGTAGAGAAAAAACAGATTTTGGTGTATAATAGGTCTGCGTATAAACTCTCTGGCTCCAGTTATTCTAGCTCTGTGCCCAAAAAGAAGTCATTTCACCTCTCTGAGCCCTCACTCACTTAATGTAAAATCAGGTAAAGCATACTTACTTTCATTGTTTCCAGTATTGAGACATCATCTGTCAACTCTTTGGAACATAGAAAGTTCTCAGCACATATTAGTTCTCTTGAAATGCTATGAGTCTAAGATTGTCTTTTGGAGAATTCTGATTTCAATTTTAAAGGGAAATGAGCCTCACTATCTCAGGTTGGTGCTATGAGGACAAAGATATTCTGTTACCTAACATCTTTATCTTCATTGCCTGCTATTGAGCATGATGCATATGAGGTGTTTGGCAAATATTATTTTTGAAGAATGAATAAAGAAATAGTGGTCGTCTCTTCTTTAATATTTGTTTGGCTTTCTACACATATAATGCATGGTCCAAGGAGCATTGTGAATTTCTGGTATGAAACAAGGTCCTTGGCCTCAGAGCCCTCCCAAAGAGCACATGATGAGTTGCAGTATAAAGGTACTCAAAGGCATGTACCCAAGAGAAAGAGACTGACCCAACAGGAACCCAGGGCATGGCAATTCAGCAGTTTAGCCATTTCTGTTCCTGGATGCACCAGAAAAATTTGCCTTTCAAGAGACCTTGTCTGTCAAAATTTTTGGCCTATTACCCTGGCAGCTATTTCTACGACCCAGCCTCTTATTCCAAAAGTAAGTTAAGGACCTCAGCATTCCAGTCCTTGATAAATAAGCCCCTCTCTCTGAGAGCCTCAGTGACAGATAAATCTGTCCACCCAAGGGCATTTCCCAAGCAGGATGGGCTGTTTAAACTCCTTACCAGATTGCAGCTGGCACCCGCCACGTTGATTTTTCTCTCTCCTTATAATCATAATGGGATCTCAGCAATAAAGATGGATTTGTTAATTTCCATCCCCTTCTCACTTTCTCTTTTAATCACTGTCGAGCATAAATTAATTTCAGCTTAAAGAGCTTTCAACGAGATTCCGTCATTGTCTAGGGCACCTAAAGGTCAAAAAACAGGAGCCTCTGAAAACACTCATCAGCTGTTAGCCAGGAATAAACTTTTAGTTATTGACACTTCATTATTTCTATTTTGTCCATGGCAAGCTGGAGTCAGGAGAGAGAGAGAGAGAGAAACCAATCTGATCACCCACCTGCTATGTTGAGTGTCACGTTTTTTTCCAAAGTCTGATGAAGTGGACTAAAGTTTCAATATCAGGCTTGATATCACTTGCATATTTCTTCAGGGTAAGATATAGAGTCAAGTTTTTGGGTCACCAGGCCTGTTTAAATTCCAATTCTGCTATTTATCAACTGGGGTGCCTGGGGAAAAATACATAACTTCTGAATTTTTGTCAGCTAAGATGTCAATAATTGTGTTCATCTTATGGAATCATTGTGTGAAATTGATGAGAGAGACTGTAAAGAATGGAGTGTTGGCCTAGAATGTCATAGGTATCTCACAAAATGTAGCCACAATCAATAGCATTTCCCTTACATGTCTACCATATGAAAGTTTATTGTGAGACAGACACTTTGATAAAGGGAAAAAAATTAGAGAAACATATAGTATCACTAAGGAATGCTTCTTGTGTCTTACCATGGACAAGGGTCAGTAATGTGGTATGGAAAAACCTTTCTAAGTGACTTGTAAATATAAACAATCTTCCATGCTCTTTGCTGGACACTGGAGTAAAGTTTGGTGTTACTCAGATCAAGCTTATGTCTCACTTCTGCTACTTACTAACTATGTGTGATCTTGGCAAATTAATTCCATCTGTGAGCCTTAGTTATCTCAACTGTACAATGGGTAAAGCACTTCCCGTATTTGATTATTCATGAACATCAAATGACATGATATATGCAATTAATAAACAGACAGATTTAGGAATATCAATAATAGGTCTGCTTTGTAATCTACATGTCACTAAACAAAATGATAAAAACACTAGTAGTAATATTTAATACATATAGCACATTCTACATGCTAGCAACTTTTCTAAACTCTTTATATAATTTATCTAACTCTCACTCAAAACCACATAATGGAAGTGTCAGTGTTGTCTTCGTCTTACACATGTGAAAACAGAGGTCAGAGGAATCATTTAACTTTCCCGCTGTTAAATATTTAATAAGTAGTGAAATCGGGATTGAAAATCTGTGTAATCTGCATTCAGAATCTGAGCTCTTAAGGATTTTGTACCCTGCTTTGGTTGGATCAGGGAAGAAGATGCTAGTCTACCTAACTAGCTACTAATAACGTGGTATGTCATTACCATTCTGGTTTTTCTTTTATAGCATTCATTTATTCTACATGTATTTATTGAATGTCTACTGTGTTCTAGGTATTAGTTAAGTTGTTGGAAGTACAGTAGGAAACTAAACAGACAAACCCCTCTGTTTTTGCAGAGTTTATATCCACTGGTGTTAATGGCTAGAAAAGGCAGACGTGGAATAATAATAAAAAGGCATGGATTAGGAACTTCTGGGGCCTGATCATAATAGCAGTGCAACACTCTGGAGACACTTCAGTTCTCAAAACCTTATATAGACCTCTTACAACTGCAGGCTAAGAATTGTGTGATTTCATGCTCATGACAACCCTGGGAGACAGGTACTGCTAATACCTGCATTTTGCGTATAAGGAAATAGCTGCATAAAGGGATCAAGTCACTTGTATAAGAACATACACAGGAAGTATTAAAGCCAGACTTTGGATGCAGGTTTGCATAAGACAGGACCTGAAAGTTCTATCCCAAAGTCCTGGCTAAATGGACTCTGATTTAAATGCAGTATTTATTTAAACAAAAGCAGCGCAGACAAGAGGATTCTTTTAGAATAATTTTTCTCAAGCCTTTAAAAACACATTTTGTCTTTCTAACATTTTGTCTCCTTTTCCTCCTCAACCTTAGCTCCATTCTAACCACTGCACACACCCCAAATTTGTAAATTCCGGAGTAAGCCATTTCAAAACTATTTCTAATTGTGCTCTCAACTAAAAAATGTCAGCTATATGCATGATTTCTCCCAAGGACTTGTAAATAAGGATATGAGGTGTGGTATATATTACTCTGAAGCTGGTGGGGCTGCAGAGGTCAAAATAAAGTGAAGACAAAGGGTTCAGAAAATGAAATTTAATTACTATTTGGTCATTTTGAGTGTGATGTATTTTGATTCTGGACTTGGGCTGCTTTCATTAAACCAGCATCCACAAGAGAAGTCTTTAACCTTTCGTTTGTTTGTTTGCTTTTTCTTTTTTGAGACAGTCTCACTCTGTCGCCCAGACTGGAGTGCAGTGGTGCGATCTGAGCTCACTGCAACCTCCGCCTCCTGGGTTCAAGTGATTCTCCTGCCTCAGCCTCCCAAGTAGCTGCGATTACAGGCACATGCTACCACACCCAGCTAATTTTTGTATTTCTTGTAGAGGCGGGGTTTCACCATGTTGCCCAGGTTGGTCTCGAACTCCTGGGCTCAAGTGACCCACCCATCTCAGCCTCCCAAAGTGCTGGGATTACAGGCATGAGCCACCGTGCCCACCCGCCTTTAATATTTTTAACACATATTATAGAAATTACATTTGGCTCAGTCCAGTATGTCCAGGCTTCTATTCCGGATATTAAAGGAGAGTTTGGGTGATAGCCATGTCTTAGATTTCTAAAGATGGCAAATACTGGTAAAAATTTTTAAGGTTTAAAACCCATGTTTACATACATTATCTTATATTGGATCATCCTTAAGACAATCTTGTTGGTCGTTCATTATCACCTCTGCTTTGTCAATGAAGAATGAGAAAATTGAGTTTTTTATGGACTTTTGTTTTTCCCCAAAATATACTCTGATGAACATTAGACATTGTGCTAAGCCACTCCAGGGGCCACTGAGGAAGAACAGGAGGGACTTAGCTGGAAGTCTCCCACTCCAGTCTCAACCAGAGCAAACTTGCTTTAGGACTCATGCAATATTTATTGAGTGTCTACCATATCATAGCCACTGTGTAGGGTGGTTCAGACAGACTTTTGACCAAGACAGACTTGTAGGCCCTTTCCTCTTGACTTCTTTGTAGCAGGGCGTCAGATAAATGCACTAACCATTATTTAATTATATTTCTGACAAGTGCTACAAAGAAACAGATCAAGCTGTATAATAAGAGCTGATCTGTATAGCATGGGGGCATCGATCATCAATGAGATTTAACTTTCACAGAGTGGTTCATGTCTTTAACGAGTTTGAAAGCCATTATATTAAGAAAACAACCCCACATTTATTTACTTATTATTATTTTTAAAAATAATCCCACATTTAATGAGATCTCAGGTAATTCCCAGAAAAATAGAAACTTTGTTGAATCTCATTTTAGCACCTACAGTGGACTGCTTATAAACAACAGAGATTTATTTTTCACAGTTTTGGAGGCTGGGAAGTTCAAGATCAAGGAAACAGCAGATTTAGCATCTGGAAAAAGACTGTGTTCGAATTCATAGGTGGTGCCTTCTAGCAGTGTCCTCATATAGCAAAAGAGGCCACTGAGCTCCCTCAGACCTTTTCTTATAAGGGCTCTAATTCTATTCATGAGGGTTCCTCCATGACGTAGTCACCTCCTAAAGACCTCTCTTACTGCCCATCACCTTGGCAGGGGGGTGGGGGGGCCGGTGGTAGGATTTTAACATATGAATTTTGAGAGGATGCAAACATTCATATCATAGCAGATACCAAATGTGCAATAAAGGTTTTTTTTTCCTCAATCATGATTTTTTTTAAATTGTGTAAGGATTCCTTTTAAAATAAATTTTGTTGTGTATAATTAAGGTATACACCATGTTATAGGATACACATGGATAGTAAAATGGTTACTATAGTGAAGCAAATTAACGTATTTCACATAGTTACACATTTTGTTTGTTTTGGTGGCAAGAGCAGGTAAAATCTATTTATTCAGTATGAATCCCATACACAGCACAGCTTTATTACCTAGAGTCCTCATGTTGTATATTAGATCTCCACACTTATTCTTTCCACATATCTGCTACTTGGATTCTATTCTATTTATTTGGTCTGTCAAAATAACAGGACATTAAAAAAATTAGAGTTTTTAAAAACTACTAATAATGACAATGACTCGATTTATTATATCAAAATATAAAACAATAAAAGTCTATTTAAAAAGTAGAACTTATCACACAAGCACTTCCTTCTACTATTAAATTCTATATTGATAATAAGATTTCAAGAGGAACAACTTAGTATTGACAATTGTTTTGGTTTTGGTTTCAGTATGTTTTTTGTGTTTCGTTAATAAGTTTGGTTCGGTGGTATACATGTACAAGCACTATTTTAAGAAGTACGTACTTAGATTTACACTTGAGTAATGTTATAATGAAAATAATTAAAACCTTCATGGGTGGTCCACAAACGATTGTTTACTCTTTAAATGAGAACTTTGTATTACATTAATTTGCAGTTGATGAAGGAAACACTGAAGCGGTTTTGACTGAGAAAAGGGCAAAATAAGATCTATATTGAAAAAATATTTATCCACCACAGACAGAATGGATTGGAAAGGAACTAGGCGGGCAGGGAGACCAGACAGGAATTTTATTTCATGGGAGAGACAGTACGAAAGCCTGAATCAATATAGATATATTTTGGTGCAATAATAAACTCTTGTTATTGGTAATGATGATGATCATTTAGCAGCACAGAAGTTGCACCTCTGTGCCAAATACTTACAAGGTCTGTAGATTTCAGGCCAGAAATTAGTAAAGGGGCATTTTGTCAAGCTTATTTCCTTGTAATAGTTGTCCTCAACGGCCATTTGTGGATTTGACTTGATTACTTTGTGTGCATTACAACCCAATTAAATCCAAGCCATGTCTTCACAGAGAGCCAGGTCTACAAAGACAACATAACAAGGACAATCTTTAGAACATCCCTACCCTACTTCATCCTCATAATTCCAGGCAAGACATCTGATTCAGAAAACTGCAGTTAGGAAGGTGACAGAAAGGATTGCTTAGTAGGAAATCCTTAGTAGGAAAATGACCAGCCAGAATTTTATTTCTTCTAATGCTATCAGGTCTGAGAACTACAAAGGGAGAGAAATGACCAAAGGGAGAGATTGTTCCCTCTTCACAAATATAAATGAGTAAATGGCAATTCCTGTTCATTAAAATTCTATGCAGATAAAGAATGAAAATTTGTAGATAATTAGCCGATTTCTCTATTTGCAGAAACTCGGTTGAGCATAAATAAAGAATGGCCCGCCTATCCATGCATGTGGTCATCGTCTACAAATGGAAAAATCTGCTCATCACCATTATATAAAATTTTTCATGTCATTTGCTTTGAAGCATTAACAAAAAGAAATATACAATTAGAAGAATGAATGCTGCTTCTCTATTCATTGCCCCTGACTTTTGCCTCAAATACAGCACAATCAGAAATGATGCCATTGTCTCCAATTCTGAAAACACAGTGGCAAGAGTACCGAGATCCCCACCTTGATATCTTCTAAAGACCATATGCTTATTACTAGGTCTCAGGACCAGCATGAACCCCACAACAAAGTGAGATCTCATTAATTTCTATCTAATCTCAGATTTGTAAAATGTCATGCACATTTCCCATCATACCATAATCATGCCATGTATCATAATCAAATCTTCAAAGCCAAGAGGGGCTTTTTTAATTCTGTGAGGGTCCACGCTCTTTGTGTCTTGCTTTTGTTTCTCCTCTAGCCATGAATGACTCAAATTGATATTGGGCTCCTCCTGAGTCTTTAGCCTCAATCACATCAAAATGATGTATTTTATTCAAAAACACCTATTATATACCTTTTAGGGTTAATCATTACTTTCTCTGCACTCTCAAAACTTCCAGATTTGTTCAGATTACTTCTAATTTATTGTCATCATTATAATTAATCTTGTCTGATAAGAGACTGAAGATCATGATTGTACTTTGTCTTTTTTTTTTTTTATCCTTTTCTTGGACTCTTCCAGTACACTGGACAAAGTAAGTCTCCAAAAACTTAAAAAGTTTTCCAGCTAACACGAGCCTTTCATATAGCCTTTGCTTCCTTTGATTTTCTCAAGTACTTTATGATTTATTCTAACTTAATAATTGAGGCATAGGAGTCTTGAAATAATGTTACAGAGATCCTCAATCACACAATGTATGGGTGATATGGTTGAATAACAATTAAATTTATATGAGGCCAAGATACCAGGACTCTTTGCTCTACACCATTTGTGGAAAGTTGAAAACATGAGTTCCAAAACACCACAAATTTGGGACTCAGTTTATCTTTCATCAAGTGTTTTCCAGCTCTACTACTCAGAAAGTTCAGAGGTCTTTTTGTTATGCAAAAGGAGATATTTAATCCATGTGTGTCGGCGACACTTTCTTTACCTTAGAGTAAGAGGTGGCATGTGTGTATTTAAGAATACAAGGGGCTGGCCGGGCGTGGTGGCTCACGCCTGTAATCCTAGCACTTTGGGACGCCGAGGCGGGCGGATCACGAGGTCAGGCGACCGAGACCATCCTGGCTAACATGGTGAAACCCCGTCTCTACTAAAAATACAAAAAATTAGCCGGGCGTGGTGGCGGACGCCTGTAGTCCCAGCTACTCCGGAGGCTGAGGCAGGAGAATGGCGTGAACCCAGGAGGCGGAGCTTGCAGTGAGCTGAGATCGTGCCATGCGCTCCAGCCTGGGCGATAGAGCGAGATTCCGTTTCAAAAAATGCAGAACATCCATCCACATTGTAAAGGCGTTTTCAGAATCGATTGGGATAACATTGATAAAGTACTTTTCCTGTTATCTGCACATAGTGGGCACTTTATACAGCTCATTGTGTAGTCTCCGTGCTCTTGTTTTAGTAATGGTGGCAATGGGTGTCTCCTCTACTTTCTCTTCCTTCTCTACTTATTCTTTACACCTTTCACTTCTTAAAACTTAATCAGGAAATATACTTTCTTTGATGAGAATTGTAGCATCAAAGACCGAGTGAGGCATCCAATTAGGTGTTCAAGAATTTCTTAGTAAATTTTAATTGGATTTTCCATCAGTAGCAATTGTCATTACCACTCCCTTTCACCTCAGAGTAGACACTAGCCAATATGCCCAGAACTTTAGTAATTTTACACTCAATTGGTTAAATATTGCCACCTTTACTAGGATTATATGGGCTGGTTCTTCTATACATGTTAAAAAGAAACAAATCAACCTTAAAATTCAGCAAGGTGCAAGGAACAGAAGGAGACAGTGAGTTGTACATTTTTCCCTTCTTTTTCCCTCCATTCACTCGCTGCTCACTTCTGCAATGTATAATCATTCTGGGTTCTTCTTTTTCTCCTATCTAAACCCATCACATACACACACACAAAATTTATTAACTATTTTAAGTTAACTTAGTATCTCTTGTGTAGTTTTATCTATTATTCCCAAGAAGGCAAATTCTGACCAGTGTCCATACCATCTTCTAGATGTCTCTTTTATTCCTTTCTATTTAGGACTAATGGCATGTTTAACTAGAATGAACCTCTTCTCTCTCACTCTTTTTTTTTTTTGTTCTCTTCATAGCAGCTTTCAACTTTATACAGTAAGTGTAGTGTCATGGAATACTAGGTAAAATTTAGATTAAGGTAAAGAGAACTGGAATCTTACTCTAGTATTTGAAGTCTAGAGCTTATGAATTTTCAAGGGCTCTGCTATGGCCTGAATGCTTGTGTTCCCCCACAGTTCACATGTTGGAATCCTAATCCCCAATGTGACAGTATTAGAGTGTGAGGGCTTTTGAAGGTAGTTAAGTCATGAGGATGGAGCCCTCATGAATGGGAGACTGTCATTATAAAAGAGACACAAGAGAGACTTGTAACCCATGTGAGAACATAGCAAGAAAGTACTGTCCAAGAACCAGTAAGTAAGCCCTCAGCTGGCAGATGCTGAATCTGCTGGTGTCTTGATCTTGGACTTCCAAGCTTCCAGAACTTTAAGAAGTAAATTTCTGTTATTTATAAGCCACCCATGTTACGGTAGTTCATTACAGCAGCCCAATAAACTAAGACAATCTCTGTAAGTAATTTATTTTCAGGGCCATCCATTTGCAAGTACATTTGGCCCTTAAACAACACAGGTTTGAACTGTGAAAGCGTACTTCTACTTGGATTTTCTTCTGCCTCTGCTACTCCTGAGACAGCAAGACCAATCCCTTCTCTTCCTTCTCTTCCTCTGTCTAATCAGTATAAAGACAATGAGGATGAAGATCTTTAGGATGACCCACTTCCACTTAAAAAATAATAAATGTATTTTCTCTTCCTTGTGATTTTCTTAATAACATTTTATATTCTCTAGCTTACTTTATTGTAAGATTTCAGTATATAATAAATATATATAACAGAATATTTATTGACTGTTTATGTTGTTAGTATGGCTTCCAGTCAACAATACCTTATTAGTAGTTGTTTTGGGGAAATCAATTATATATGGATTTTTCAACTACACAGGGGAGTCCATTCCCCAAACCCCTGCGTTGTTCAAAGGCCAATTGTACATATTTCTGTTAACTCACTTCCTCTATGCCATAATGTCAAGGCTTCATTTATTTCACACTGCAAGATAATAACTATCTGCCTTGTGATATTTAAAATAGTTTGATTCCAAGAGACCCCATATGCCAATTAAGGGCATCTTCAATCAATTAATGATTGTCATCTTTCCCATACATTTTCTCTTTTCCATAATCTACAGCAAAACAATTGACAAAGAGTAGGTTTCTAATAAAAGTTTCATAATGAATGTATATATAAATTAATATATATTGTGGACAAGAAAATTCAACAAGCTGCATGCCTCCATGGTTCTCTTGCAGTGGTGTGGGTATGGAAGGATCTCCCAAAACAAAGTGATCAAACTGAGATTAGAGAATCATCTCCCAGAAAACGCATATAATCCTGTCATATTTAATTCTCAAATTATAGAGCACAACTCATTGGTAGGTTACCAAAGTACTTTGGTGGGTTGTGAATTAAAATTTAAAAATTGCATTTATTTTGCCATTGTTTAGTATTTCAAGGTGAATTATGAAGAAATTTATATTTTTATAAAATTTATTTATGAATTATCTTCTAAGAAAGATACTGGTTGTCACCAACATCAGATATCAATAAATTAAAAATTAATACCAAGCTAAAATTTACTGAGGACTCTATTTCCTTGCTGTAATAAAGTTTCTGGTGTCATTTCACTTTTGGCAATGGTGAAAATCTCCCATGTATATTTGCAAACCTGAGAGCTGGAGTCTCCAGAGTTTTAAAGCGAGATATCTTTGTATCATTTGTGCCATCTTAGATCAGCTGTGTTTTCCAACTGCTGCTATATGTACATTTCAATTTGAGTTATTTTTTGGTTTATCCCAACAATGATGAAAGTAATTGCTGTGAGTTTTTGGCTATCATTACATGGTACACATTGATACCACCATCTATTTAGTCATGCATTCATTGTGATTTAAATAAGATTGTTCATTTAATTCTTAAAATAATTGGTATATTCTTTGCATAATCTTTCACCCCCTACATATTTTCTATGCAACTGACCTTCCAGCTGGTTCCCTGGTGTGGATTTCCCAAAGATGGGATGAGAAAATTTTACCTGACATAAGTAGATATAATCGAGTATCTGTGAGAACTTTCTCTATCACTAGGTATTTAGCTTTCTTGGAGCAATCATATTGTCTATTTCTTGATGCATCCTTAGTGTTTAGAACAGCATTTAGCCCATAGTAGGTGTTCAAAAAATTTTTATTACATAAATTAATATATAGTTTTAAAAAATCATACAGATTAAATAATCATACATATTTAAATACACATTTTAAAATTATATGTTATTACATAATATTTTCACACTTAAAACTTCTTCCAATCCTCCCAGTAATATTAGGTAGTAAGCAAGGCAGCTAATGCTATGATTTTATATGTTTGCAGGTGATGAAATTGAGGGCTGAGAATACTTCCCCAACATTAAGAATCCACAGGGAGAACTTTTTTAAAGGATATAAAGTTACAGATAGTGAAGAGGAATAAGTTCTAATACTCTATGCCCTTGTAGGATGACTATAGTTAATAATAGTATATTATATAGTTTCAGACAGCTAGAATATTGAGTGTTCCCAACACAAAGAAGTGATAACTATTTGAAATGATGGATATGCTAATTACCATGATCTAATTATTATACATTACATATATTTAAATATCACTATGTACTCCATAAATATATACAATTATTTTTGTTATATAAAAAATTAAAATTAAAATAAAATTATAATTACAAAATTAAAAATTTATAAAATTAAATTTTATAAATTAAAAAATATTAAAATTTTTAAATTTATAAAAATTAAAAGATTAAAATTTTTAAATTTTATAAAAATTAAAAAATAAAATGAGTTTATTTATTTAAAAAATCTATTTAGTGACAGAACTGGTGTTCAAACTCATACTGCCCCATTCTTACTCTGGTGGCTTTTTTCTATAGCTTCCTCCCAACTCTTAGATTTCACGATTCAAAGTGAAAGCCATGATGGCCATACTTCCCTCTCTCTGGTTCCCTTCAGAGACATCCTAGGCTACTGCATAGCTTTCTCTCACCAAAGCATCCCTAAGTGCTGAAAACACAGCACCGCTGAGCCTACTCATCAGCCAGTTGGCACTTTTCCAAATGAGCCACTGAATGGCAAATGCACAGATAACACTGGGATAAAATGAGCTCCTCTTATTGATTTTCCAAACCAATATGGCACGGGTGCTCCCTCTTTGTGCCATCTCCTCCCTCTGCCCAGAGGCATTCTCTGCCCGTCCATCATTTTAATTAGACATTACACCTGGCACAAATGCTGAGTTGATTAACCTTAAAGGAGCTGAATAGGTTCTCTGATCGTTAACACGAGGCCCCTGACATATTATAACTCATGTTAACATGTGCTGCTGCACAAACTCAGTTTCTTCAGCCCACTTTCCAAAGCCGCCGTGCCGGGTAATAGCATCTACAGAGAGCTCTTTGTGAAGCGCGCTCCCATAATGATGCCGTGAAAAGCAAGATTTAAAAGATGGATTGGTGTGGACTCTGCAGATACCACTTTTTAATGTTTATATAAATGCACCTTCAGTGTCAAGGGGGTTCTCAGGGATGGTACTTCGTGGTAGGATGTCGTAAAAAAAGCGAACACTACTTTTGGAACCGGAAGGCGCAGGATTTCATCCTGTGCTGACTGTGATCTTAGAACAGTCTTAATTTCTCTAGGTTTCGAACTGCTCCTATGGAAAATAGAGATCCAAAAGAACGTGAAGGTTTCCTTGCCTTGTCCATTACTACCACCCACCAACTTACCTCTCACCTAGCATGGTACACAGAGAACATTTCAGTGAACCCTTATTCTTTTTTTTTTTTTTTTTTTTTTTTAGAAGGAATCTCCCTCTGTCTCCCAGGCTGGAGTGCAGTGGCGCGATCTGGGCTCACTGAAAGCTCCGCCTCGTGGGTTTACGCCATTCTCTTGCCTCAGCCTCCGGAGCAGCTGGGACTACAGGCGCCCGCCACCACGCCCGGCTAATTTTTGGTATTTTTAGTAGAGACGGGGTTTCACGGTGTTAGCCAGGATGGTCTCGATCTCCTAACCTCGTGATCCGCCCGCCTCGGCCTCCGAAAGTGCTGGGATTACAGGCGTGAGCCACCGCGCCCGGCCGAATCTTTATTCTTTAATGCTTGTTAAATAGACTTTCTGCCTCAAATAATTTATCCTTTGTTGATGAGGTAGGCTGTCTTAGAGATGTCAAAGAACCCTCTTTTGCCCTCCGTAAGCCCCCAGATAAATCACTCAAATCAGTTGTTATGTATTTTTCCCGTAGGCCTCAACTTAATGTTCTGTCTCCTCCAGAGTTAAAAAGAAAAAAAAAACAAAAACAAAAAAAAACAAACCTTTTTAAATAATATCTTCATAAAGAAAGCTGCCTCTGGACCTGACATGCTATTATAACCCAATGGGGAGAGAGAAAAAAATTAAGGCAATGAAAATGAAGAAGAGAATTTTAGTTATCATTTCCCTTTTTCACAGAAGCTTCCTCCTTTTGGTTTAAGGAAAGGATCATTTTTCTTTTTTTTCCTTTTTTTTTAAATTATACTTTAAGTTATGGGGTATATGTGCAGAACTTGCAGGTTTGTTACATAGGTATACATGTGCCATGGTGGTTTGCTGCACCCATCAACCTGTCACCTACATTAGGTATTTCTCCTAATGCTATCCCTCCCCTAGCCCCCCAACCGCTGACAGGCCCCAGTGTGTGATGTTCCCCTCCCTGTGTCCATGTGTTCTCATTGTTCAACTCCCACTTATGAGTGAGAACATGTGATGTTTGGTTTTTTGTTCTAGTGTTTGTTTGCTGAGAATGATGGTTTCCAGCTTCATCCATGTCCCTGCAAAGGACATGAACTCATCCTTTTTTATAGCTGCACAGTATTCCATGGTGTATATGTGCCACATTTCTTTATCCAGTCTATCATTGATGGATATTTGGGTTGGTTCCAAGACTTTGCTATTGTGAATAGTGCTGCAATAAACATACATGTGCATGTGTCTTTATAGGAGAATGATTTATAATCCTTTGGGTACATACCCAGTAAAGATATTGCTGGGTCAAATGGTATTTCTAGTTCTACATCCTTGAGGAATTGCCACACTGTCTTCCACAATGGTCGAACTAATTTACATTCCCACCAACAGTGTAAGTGTTCCTATTTCTCCACATCCTCTCCAGCATCTGTTGTTTCCTGACTTTTTAATGATTGCCATTCTAACTGGCGTGAGATGGTATCTCATTGTGGTTTTGATTTGCATTTCTCTAATGACCAGTGATGATGAACTTTTTTTCCTGTGTTTGTTGGCTGCATAAATGTCTTCTTTTGAGAAGTGTCTGTTCATAGGAAAGGATGATTTTTCCACAGCAGGTCTGGAATTGAAGTCATGGATCTATTCCTCTGCTCTCCCCTGAAGATGAAAATAACTGGTAAATTAGACTTTGAGCTTCGTGATAGTAGAGACCAAAATTAACCGATATTTGGTATCTCTAATGCTAAGAACAATGCCATATACATAGTAGAAATGAAACACATCTTAATTGAATTGTGTGAAATAGTGGAAATTTCCAGCACAAGCAAAGACTAATATGGAAACATGTTTTTGTCTGAATGACATTTTCATTTCTGAAACAGCATTATTTTGGTGGCAAAGTATTCTAATTTACCTTTGGCCAAATACTTGAATTATAAAGGGGAGAAGGGTTATCGTAAAGGAGAAAGAACTTGCATCTTTCAGAGGCAAGCTATTCCACTAGTTTGGCCTGTAATCTGGTAATAGATATATATATATTTTTTTCTTGTTGTTTAGACACTGTGTGAATTTGGTCAAGTTACGTGTCTCTTCTGAGCCCTATTTTCTTTCATATTTAGTTGTGAAAACTAAATGAGCTAATATATGTACAGCTTGCACCACAGAGTTATGCAGTCAGTACTAAGTAAGCAGCACTTATTAATCATTTCAACATACCACAAAGAGAGAGAGAGACAGAAGGAGAAAAAAAGATAAAATTCTGAGAGTTTCTGTCAATCATTCTATAAATAAAGAGAAGCTAAAAAAGGGGGAAATTCTCATGCTTTGCCTTAAAATGTAGGTAGAAATTAGGCTCTTTGGAAATTCCTGGAAATGAGAATTTGTGTTCTGACACAATAATCTTATTTCTCATATCCTTGTCTGGGAATCAAAGGCAGGGCCAGAAAGAAAGACCGATGAGCACCTCTTTTTATCTCCTGAAACTTAAGGACTTCAAAGGTGACCCACTTAAACAAAATCCCTGACCTCTAATCCTTGTCCATTTCTGTAGAAAGGTCAACATCTCTCTGGTTCATGGCTCATGGCAAAAGGAGAAATATTTAGCTTCACAGGGCAGCTTCATAGATTGAGGCCTACATTGTGATGAGTTAATAGGCTTCATCTTCAAGAAGTAGAGTATCTGGAATTTTTTAAAGCGCTTTCATCATGCTACAATCCTGCTAAAGAAAGGTCTATTTTTCCTCAATTACTACAGGACACAGACAGGACCACAGTTCCAATGTCACCAACCCTTTGGCACCTACGCTGACCCTCCTAGGTAGCATGCTCCAGTGCTCTCCATAGCATGATGTTTACCTCTGTTATAGGACATGCCATTTGCCTGTACTCATCTGGCTACTTCTTGCATCCCTGACTTAACTGTGTATTTTGTTAATCTTTGCCCTACCAAGCACAGTGCTTGCTATTGGTAAGGCTTTCAAGAATTGAATTTTTTGAATAATTAAATGGATGAACAAATTAACCAATGAAACAAGATGGCCCATTGAAAATAAAACATACTTTCCATTGAAGGAGAGCTGAGTTCACACACTGGCCCTTCCCTGAACTGACTGTGTGGCCTATGCAAGCCATCTGGTCTCTTTAAATCATAGGGTTGTCATAAGTAAAGTGAGTACAAACCTACAAACTATACTAGCTATTCAGCAATTGCCTCTCAACACCAAACCTACATTTCTGCACTATATATTTGTTTTCTTTATCATCTGGGGAATGCTGAAGTGAGGCTTCAAGACAAGAGATGAAGGAAAAGACACACTCCATCCTACTATGTTTTTATCTCTATCAGTGTAACTCAGCCAGGCTTATTCACCCAGGCAGCTGCAGTGCATTTCTGTAGCAGCAGGTGGTTCTGGGTTGCAGTTTTCTCAACACCTTCAGAAGCCACCTCATACATCTCCTCGGAGACACAAGACACTCTTCCTTCTCAGAGACCTGAATCCCAGTTCCCTGGAGGCTTTCCTCCAACCTTTTCAGTTTTAATAATTCTCATTTCTTTCATTTTGCTCCTGACCTAGAAGGGATACCACTATCCTTTTTTTTTTTAATCCTGTTTTCAGCTTTTCAATTCTCTGTAATATGGTTAACCGTTTTTACTTTAAATATTATCTTTGCAAGTAACTGGTGCCGTTTTCGCCTTCTGATTAGACAAGCACTGATACATCAACCTTGTAGGATTGTGGTTTATGTGAGACAGCACATTCATAAGGTCCTGCATGCAATGCTCTTCCTTTAGGGGTGGCTTTTTACGGAAAATTTACCATTTTAACCACTTTTGAGTGTACAGTTCAGTGGCAACAAGTGTGTTGACAACATTATGTAACCATCGCTACTATTTCTTTCAAGAATGTTTTCGTTTTTCTAAACTAAAACACAATACCCACTAAACAATAGCTTCCCATTCTCCCCTCACTCCAGCCCCCTGGTAACCACAATTCCACTTTCTTTATCTATACAGTTGACAATTCTACATACTAAAATAAGTGGAGAATACAATATTTATCTTTTTGTGTCTGTCTTACTTTGATTACCCTAATATTTTTAAAGTGTATCAAATTTGAAGCATGTATCAGAATTTCATTCATTTTTATGGCTGAATAATTTTCTATTGCAGCGGCGCCCAACCTTTTTGGCACCAAGGACCAGTTTCCTGGAAGACAGTTTTTCCACGGACCTAGGGGGTCGGGGAGGATGGTTTCAGGATGAAACAGCTCCACCTCAGATCATCAGGCATTAGTTAGATCCTCATAAAGAGCGTGCAACCTAGATCCCTCACATGCGCAGTTTGCAAGAGGGTTCACACTCCTAAGGGAATCTAATGGATAGATTAGAGTCTATCTGCTGCTGCTGTGACAGGAGGCGTAGCTCAGGCAGTAATGTGAGCGGTGGGGAGCAGCAGTAAACACAGATGAAGCTTCACTTGCTCACCCGCTGCTCACCTCCTGCTGTGAGGCCTGTTTCCTAACAGGCCACAGACCAGAACCAGTCCATGGTCGGGGGGTTGGGAACCCCTGTTCTATTGTATGAAGATATGACTTTTTGTTCATCTATTCATACATCAATGGACACTTGAGTTGTTTCTACCTTTTGGTTATTACAAACAATGCTGCTATGAACATGAGTGTACAAATATCTATTAAAGTCATTGTTTTCCATTCTTTTGGGTATATGCCTTGTCTTACCATTAGGCTGCTATAACAAAAATACCACAGATGGGGTGGCTTAAACAACAAACACTTGTCTTACAGTTCTGGGGGCTGTCTAAGATAAAGGCACTGAGAGATTCGGTGTTTGGTGAGGGCCTGCTCCCTTGTTCATAGACAGCCATCTTCTTGCTAGGTCCTCATGTGTTGGAAGGGACAAGGAAGCAGCTTTCTGGGGTCTCTTTTACAAAAGCACTAATCCCATTCACGAGGTTATGCCTTCATTACCTAATTATCTCCAAATGCCTCACTTCTAAATACCTAACATTTAGATTAGGTTTCAACATAGGGGGGAATAAACATTCAGTCTATGGCGCACTAACAGTGGAATTCTTGGATCACATGGTAATGCTATGTTTAAGTCTTTGATTGGCTGCCATACTGCACTGCACATGATTTTACATTCCCACCAGAAATACACAAGGGACTTAATTTACCCACAGCCTTGCCAATGCTTCAACATTTCTGGTTTTTTCTACATATTAGCTATCCTAATATGTAAAGTGGTTTCTGATTGTATTATTATTATTAATGTATAAACATGTATAATGGAACAAATCTCCAATTTTAGAACTATGCATGGATACTGTCATTTTGGCATTAAAAAGACTCAATAGGTAAAGAGGGGTGGCTTAATTGATAGTTTTCTCATTTTAATTCTGACACTACGACCACCATTATTATGTTTGGGATGGCAAAAACCTTTTCTTTTTGTTGCTTTTACATAACACAGATAAGCTAGACTAAAAAAAAGTCTGGTAAATTTGGAAGGAAAGCATAAGAAAATAGACTAAAAATGTGAGGGGCAAGATAAATCATCTAACTTCTATTAATAGTTGATTTTATAGTTTTTATCTTACTTGGCTAGGTTCAGTTTGGTCTGGTAAAAGTTATTGAGCATCTAAAAAATGTTCCAGGTTCCATTTTATGCACTAGAGACATAGACTGAATTAAACAAAAACTTTGCCCACCCTCCCACGCCTGTCCAAGAAGATCACTACCGGCTAGTATCAGTCAGAGAGTTTTAATCTATTAAAGTATATTGAGGATAAATCATTACACAGCTCACAGGCTGTGCCACTCTACTATCTGGATTTCAGCCTTAAAATATGTTTTAATATATCTGGGTACCTCTTCCCAGCCTGACTCAACCTGTCAGGTCCTGTGCTACTTAATCTGGGTCTTGAGGAGATGATCAGTGGGGTGAAACTATCTGTTTAAAAGTAGCTTCAAAAATCTTTGGAGAGAGGAAACTGTCTTTGTCTAGGAAAATGCATTGAAAACCTTCCTGGGGTGGTTGATGCCATCCTGAAAATATGGATTAAATGGGTCTAGGAAAGAAACAGCTAAACCCATCTAGCAGAAATTTGGGGATGAAAAGAAAAATAAAAAACACAGAACAGAGATGGACAGAGAGGAAATGGGACAAAAGAAGACCTGAAATGTGCTAGAAGGATGAACATTGAGAAATGGAAACAATTAATGGACTTTCAGAGGCAGAATTGAGGTTTTACGTTTTGTGTGTGTATGTGTGTGTGTGTGTTGTCTCAGCATGAATCACTTTCTACCATTTAATTCTTCAATAAAGTCATCTACCCAGGTATAAGCCTGTCAATTTTTGTTTGTTCGTTTTTTACTTCTTTTTGGAAATCAAAGAAGGAAGACCTTGGCTTCCACATCTAAGTTGATCCAGTGTAGAACAGAAAGGTATCACAGCACTGAATGAGAAAATATTCCGAAGTGGTTTCACTGGAAGAAGCTCACAGCCAAAGGAGGTTCTGAGAAAAGAAGACTGAAAAATTCACAGAAAATATTGAAAAACTACTAGAATTGCTTCAATTTATGGCATGGATATTGGAATTATTCATAATTTGGTTTTAAAGACCAAGATGACTATGTGCAACTAGAATATCTAAGAACATTTGAAATCCACAACTGGAATATCAAAGAACATTTGAAATCCCAATAAAATGTGTTGCATAAAGTAGTAACTGGAAGCCGAGGCCTTAGATTCAGTCAGAATGAAGTTCATTTCTTATTTCTGCTTAAGTGTTTTGGGCATGTTACCCCTCTGAGTTTCAGTTTTCTCACTAGCTACATTGATAATAATGTCAAACTCATGGAGTGTTTTGAAGATTGAGTAAAATGATGCAAATCAAGCCTAGACTTCACCAATAAATCATAGATGTTATTCCAGACTCTTTTTGGTACATTCACAATAGGATTTATGTTACAAAATTCTGTTGACTTTCATCCTACCAGGGATATAAAAACTTGCTGAAAAAAACAAGTTTTACCTAGACATTACTGCGGCTATACTGCCAGCATTTTCTTAAGTGTTTATCTCCCTACTAGACTGTGAGCTCCCTGGGGCATGGCAGTACCTTATACACCTATGTAGCGTCAGTACTTGTCAAAGTCTATTGCTTAAATAGATGCCCACCATATATATGCTAAATGGATGACAGACGAATGGATGGATAGATGGATGAAGATGGATAGATGAATGGATGAAAAAAATTAATTACTGCTGATACAGGATCATCTAGTGCCAGTGTTCCAGAGAAATTCTAGGAAGAGACTAACCCAGAGACTTCTAAGCACAGACTTCAAAACCCTTCATGCACGCCCTCTGAGCTTAGTCTCCTATAACCTTTCTCCATTGTTTTATTTTCGATTAATTCTGATGTCATGGAAATAACAGGCATTTTAGATGCCTTCTCAGCTTTTATGTCTCCCCTCTCCAGTAGTCCCAAGTTTCGCTTGTGGTTCCCAGTGGTTCTGGGTCACAGTGTTTTGTTTTTCAGTTCAGTGTCCAAATTAAGCCTGCCATTGCAGGGTGAATCATATTTTTTCTTACAAAACTGGAAGACAGAACAAACTTTTCTCCTTTCTCTGGACTCTGTAGTATATCAATATGAGGCTGTAAGGTGTTATGGCCAACCTTACTATCATGAGAAAAGCCAGGTTGAAGACAGACAAGGAGGGAAATCTTCAGCATCATGGAGAGAAATGGTGCCAAAGCCATAATGGCATCATGAAACTCTGAATCAAACTATTCCTGAAGTCAACACCCCATCTCGTTTATTACACTATATGATAAAACAGACTTGGCCTATAATTATATTGTTATTTGAGTCAGCTGAAAATGGACATTCTATAACTGATAGAGGAAGGCTGTTTTTTAATTCTGAACAAACTTTCTTTCAACAATTTTTTTTCTGGTAATAGTAGGTTGGTGCAAAAGTAATTATGGTTTTTGCCATTAATTTCAATAATAGAATACCTATTTTTATTTTGGCGACTGTTTTTCCCTATGGCCTTGTGAATTTTGTCCCACCTCCTTCACAGCTAGGGCAAATCAGAGTTTTTCTGAAAGTCCAACATATAAACTGAGGATGAGGTATCATCCTGAGAATTGCTAACTAGATAGATAATGGAAACCTGGAGCTTTTCCATGGTTCTTTTTGGACTACAAGAAGATAACCCATGTAATAATTAGGCTAAAAAGACTAAAACAACATTGAATATAGTATAAGGCCTTGATGACATCATTTGAACACTTAGATACAACCATGCCTGAAGGTCCATCCACCAATTGCAAGTCTTGTCTATAAAATCAGTGAAAAGATTCTCAAAGAGATTTCATGGAGTTTCCATAACTTGTAGCTAGAACAGTGCTAATGAGAACATTGAACCTCTCATAGATCCTTTAAGTTCTCTTGATGAGTCCTGCTTCAGTGTTCTTGCATATGCTACTCTGACTCTCTGGAAAGTGATCTCTAAACATTTAGTTTTTGCCAGCCAATGATCCACTCCAAAATTTAGTGGCTTGAAACAATATCCATTCATTTGCCTCATGATTTTATGGCTGAGAAATTTGGAATAAGCAAGCTAGATGGCTCTTCCAGCCATGGCTGGGATCACTGATGCAGCTCTTTAGCTAGGCTCTCTGCTTTTGGAGTTTGCTGGCACTTGTCTGGAGTGACAGCAGTGACTGGGTCACATGGCTTTTCTCATCCAGCAAGCTAGCCTACATACATTTGGTTGTACGGTGGTCATAGGATTTCAAAGAAAGAGTAGAAGTATACAGAGCCTCTTGATGTTGAAATTTAGAACTGCCACAACATTGCTTATTGCTTCTACTGCACTCTTTTAGCCAAAGCAAGTCACATGTGACTATCCTAGATCTATGGAGCGAGAGAATAAGTAAGGAAGAGGTGGACTTTGCCCTTTCATGAGAAGAGATACAGAGTCTAATTTCACAGAAGCTTGGATACAGAGAAAAAGATAACTGCAGCAGATTTGGTAAACATCTTTCACAGTGTTCAACTAGCAAATTTTCTTCACCCTTCAAAACACGGCTTGGGTGCGACTCTGTCTTCAAAACCTTTCCAGATCTTGCCTGATTGCACATGTGGGCAAAACTCATCTTCATTTTAAACACATAGTAGCTATTCATGAAATATTTGTTAATAAGTGAATGGATTTCTTCTCTATAAAAACTTAATAATATAGTTTTTATTGTATATTTTACCATTCACTGAAGTTGTCTGTCTTCCCTTTGGGCTGGCAACCTCTTTAATTTTTTTTTTTTTTTGAGCTGTATCTTTCTCATCTTTCTATCCCCAGTGCTTAGCACTGTTGTGTGTAGGGCAAGCATACAAATGTGTCAATGAACATCTTTCTGCCCAGAGTGAACTTTACCTTCTTTCTTACAAAAAAAAAAAAAAAAAAAAAAAAGACTTCAAATGTAGGTCAGAGACTCTGCTCACTGACAACACTGACAAATTGGATTGCATTAGAGGTTCGGAACCACAAAAAGAACAAAACTCACAGTAGATAGTTAATCGTAATGAAATTAGTTCAGTGAATCTCCACCTAAATCAAATCAAATATCCGTTTTACGGGCTTATGAACAGATAGAATCATTCTTGCAACTGAAAGACAGTTAGGAAGACAGTAAGTGCCAGCAACGATGTGAGAGGGCTCATGTGCCTTTTTGTGTCACCTGGGACTGAGAGGTAAAAAAAAGAAAAACAAAAACAAATGAAGGCCCACATAAATAAATCGTAGTGGTTTAATATCACCAAATCAATTTGCAAATGGGTACAAGACGAAATTCAGTAGGCTGTTCCAGAGAACACATAGAAGTAAATTAATTATTTTATTACAGATGGAGAAATTATCAAAGATATATGGAATCTGATGAGAGACCCAGCTAACAATTTTTAGCAATATATTTTCTGTTAGCTTATTGTCCTATGTGTGCATATATGTATGTGTGTATACACACACTAATAATTTAAACAAACATTTTTACATGATTTTAAATTGGGTTTCTAATTAGGCATTTATCCAACATGAAAAAGATGCTTCAAAGAGTCCCTATATTTTTGGTCATCTTTATGGGAAAATGACAGGGTGGAAATTAGAAGTCGAGAAAAGAGATTAAAAAATGGATGTTTGAAGAAATTTTAGACGAGAAAACAGAGGTGGTTTCAGATATCAATTGTGCTTAGTAAAGATAATTTATTTAGCACTTACTATGCGCTACTCATTTTTTAGTATCAAGGCTATTTAATAGATCTCAGCTAATTTCTTTCAGACTTGAGGATTATGCCACTATGACCTTTGCTTTTTAGTAGGCTGCCAACACAGAAATCTGGGGTAATGGTGCTAATGTTAGTAGTACCCCAACTTTATCACCCACACTGGCACTTTTATTAATTTTAAGAATTATAATGATAATAACTAGAATCATCACTTCATGGCTTATCAAATCTTATAAATGTTATTGTACTGTAATGCTTATGTTGTATCAGATTGAAATCAATATATTTATTTTACAGATCAGAAAAAAATGTGGCTAATTGACATGACAAAGATCACAGAACTACATTTATGAAAATACTGATTCACACCACAAGCTGCTTTAATTAGTGTAGATGTCCCCTGCTAAACACATTTCAGCATTAAAAAAAAAGAGTAGGTTGGGATATTAGAACAGATGTCCTTCAAAAGTATGTTTCTCTACAATTTGTTTTTTATCAGTACAATTCAATGAAATACAATGGAACTAAAAGTTTATGAATATAGATTGGATTCCTTGCTACCATCTCTTAACCCTTCCTCTAATTCATTCTCTGTTGCCACAGTGGTCTTTCCAAAATGCCAATTTGATCGTTATTCTCCACCGATTAAAAATATTCAGTGGCTTCCAATTAATTTTCTACAGTTCAGTAATTCAATTTTCCTTGCAGAACATTTAGTTTCCTTCATTACTTCCTATTTCCACACTAGTCATACCATTTCTCACTTTCTTGATTTTGGAAGCTTCATCTCTCTCTTGTCCACTGGGAAAATATCTAAGCTTCTTTAAGGTTTATCATTGAAAAATACATTCATGCACTCATTCACTAAATCATTTACATATTCACAACTTATTTACTCCTTCATTCATTAAACTAGTATTTCTTAAACACTGACTATATACCAGGCACCCTGGTCATTACAGGGATATAGTGATAAAGTAGAATGATACAGTCTGGGATATTTTAAAACTACCCTCTCAAACTGTCCTTGATTCCTGCTGACCACAGTCACTTCAGTCTCTCTACTCTTGTAACTTCCCCTTTTAAACACCGTAAACCTAATGATTATTAACATATTTTACTACACAGCAGATATTTTCTATGAATATATTTCTCCAACTCCACACTGTAGGTAATTCAAAGGACAAAATTAAGCCTGATTCGCCTGTTAAGCATCCTCACTACCCAGCATTGGGCTTTGTGTGTATTAGGAGTTATATAAATATTCACTGAATAAATTAGTGCATGACTTGAGATTTTGAGAGAATGACACTGGTGTTATACGTTAAGTTCCTCAAGTGGGGCATCAGGTGGCTAGAGGCTCAGGCTTTAAGTTGAGGAATCCTAGGTTCAAATCCTGCCTCATCCGTCTACTATTTGCATGACCTTTACTATGTTATTTAACCAAAGTAAACCTCATTATTTTTATCTAGAAAGCAGGAGGAAATGGTGCCTTCTTGTAATTATGTTATGCAGATTAAATAAGCTATTCAATATGTTTTTTTACCAGCATGTCTGACATATAATACACATGAAATAGATAGTATCTAATATTATCAAAAATGAAGCCATTGATGCACTATCACAAGACAGATTTTAAAATAGGAGTTGCTAAATATCAAGCATGTGGGTGAGAAGTAGAAACATTCAGATTTTAGATTTTCACACAAGCAAAGCTTTTGTTTTTTCTTCTCACATTCGTGTTCTGGCTCTGTATATCTACTGAAGACTGAAAACTCTTAGTATCCATGGGAGTCTTCCACATACCCCTCCTCCTGCCCCACCCTCATTTCCGTAACCCAGTTTTAAGAGACTCATCTTAAATGCCATGAGACAGTCAGCAGAGTGATGGAAGTAGGTCTCATTAGCAGAATGGTCCAATTATGTCCAGCCTTCCCCACACCTTAAAAGCAGCTGTTCCCGTTTCAAGGGCTGTACAGAGATGCAGGGTTTTTCAGGGTTACAATGAAGGTATTTATGTTCAGGGTCATTGGAAGATTCTTTAAATGGGAAATATCAAAAGGAGATAAGTCTGTGAAAGCATTTCCCTTGCAGTATCCTTGGGCTTCTGCTAAATGATGACTTTGTGTAATTAAAATGAACAAAGTAAGTAGCAATGTTCTGTCTTCACAATCACAGCACTTTCTCTCTCCCTTTGTTTAACTGCTTTGTTCATCTGAAACTGATGTTAAAAAAAATAACAGAAATAGAAGTTGAACGTATTCCTGCAGGGCTGTATTTTTAGTAGCTCATCACTTTGTGGAAGGGACCTGAGGTTGCAGAGTCTAATTATGAACCTAAGAAGATGGCACTGGGGAGAAAAGGGACATTGGGTGGGAGTGGGAAGAAAGAAAGCGGAGGGGGCAGTTAATGGGTAGGCTGCTTCCTGCTAAACTCCAACCAGAACTAATCATGAGCTCCCTGGTATGGGGGAGAATAAATTATATCAGAAAACAAAAAGACACCCTGGGTTTAAACGTCACCAACACAAGTTTTTGATGTACAAGTTTTCCAACTGGTTGTGAGAAGAAACGCAACCTCTCCTCTAAACCACCTCCAAAATGACATTCCATGGTAAAATGCTTCCAGAATGAGATGAATCAAACTAAAGCAGACCGTCAGAGAGACAGTAAACAGAATGATGACTAATAGCGCAGGAAGCTGCATGGAGGTGCTGAGAGGTTAACCACAGAGAGGATGTTGGGGATGAACTTTTTATATCTTTATTGATGATCACAAAGAATTAAATAGCACTTGAATGCAATTTATTATTGGTATTGATTTATGGGTGAGCATGTATATTTATAACTCTTTCATATCTGCCAAGTTCTTTTCCATCATCATTTTCAGTGTTTTATGACTCAAAGCTGCGATAAGGAAAATATCCTGGCAGATGGTGAGGGGTAGGTGCCATTCATCATGTTAAAACTTTGTCTAACGGTAAACTGAGGCACTTGAATAAGATGGGTCACAGGGAGATTCTAAATTAAGAATTTGGACAGAAATAAACTAGGCCAAATAGAAGAGCGAGAGAAAAAAAGTTAGCTATATTGATCTAAAAGGACAGAAATAGGCCCTGAGAAATGTGCAAGAGATGCAGGAAAATGAACCAAGTTACAACTGGACAAAAAGGTGAAGAAACCCAGGTATTGAATTGGTGAGCAGGTTTTGCTCAGAGCAGCCAATAAGACTTGATAAATTCAGCAAGCGTGTTTTTTTAATGCAAGATGATAAAGGTGCCTTATTTAAAGACAGTACCACTTTGGCCTACTGTCTCTAGCTTATTCTAAAGTAAGCAAATGCTTCATTATAACACACAGTATTTAGACCCAAAATTATTACTTCTTTTTCAACCAATTACAAGCATCACCTCTGAGTAAACATTAATCAGATGATTACTGAATAAACAAATGATGCAAGAAACTAAATGGATACCATGGAATAAAATATGTGTTTTTGCTGTTGTTTTCTTGGTGTATCACTTATTTATTGTTGCATCACAAGCCAATCTAAGGAAATTAATAGCTTAAAGTAACCATCATTTAACATTGCTCATGAGTCTATGGATTAATTGAGTGGATCTGTTCTTCTGGGTCAGCTTGATTGATCTCAAGTGGGTTTGCTCATGTGCATGTGATCAGCTGGTGGCTTGGCAAAAAGGGGCTAGTCCAAGGCCTCACACACGTTTGGCAATGACAGGCAATGACTGGCTGCTACAAGGGTGACTGGGGCACATGGCTCTTATCCTGCAAGTTAGCCCAGATTGTTCACGGGGCAGTGGCAGTAGACCAAGAGAGAGTGGATGTGTTCAAGGTCTCTTGATGTGTGGGCTCAGAACTGGTGCAACATAAATTCTTTTACATTCTTTGCTCACAGTAAGTCACAAAGACAGCTTAGATTGAAGAGGAATGCAAATAGACTTCACCTCCTGGTGGAAATTGCTGCAAAATCACCTGGCAATGAGGTGAAGAGAGAAATGATTGCTGTCTTTTTGCAAACAATCTACCACACCTGAATTAAATTTGATTCTCAAGTGCTGATAATGATCATTCTCAAAAAACATCTGTATGTGGCACAAACAGAAAGTTAGACTGAGCCAAATTAATGCATCAACTGAGTTACATAATACTCTAATATGATTTATGCATGTAGTATAATATGAAGTATACAATTATGTCCCATTGAGGTAGAATATGCAAGGTTACATGCACAGTATTTATAGTCCTACAGCTTAAATTTGTTTTCTTACTTTACCACTCACTAATTCTTACTTATTCTAACATTTTTTAATCTAAAAATGGTCATCACACTAGTGTCTATCAAATGGGACTACCATGGAGCATTGCCTAAGCTAATACCAATATGTTTTTAAGCACCATGCCTTAACCAGAGTGGCCAATATATATTGGCTCTTGCTATCATCTGTAAGAATCATACTTTAGTGGGCATATACAATTCTTATGGGTTCTAATAAGAGTAAGGTAATTATCTGCCTTATTGTAATTTTATTGTAAATCACCTTAGTGATTTACATATCAAGCAAGACAAAACTTCTTTAGATATTTCTAAGATAAACCTCATCAACATACAAAATCACATGCTCCTCATATATGGAATCCAAATATAAGAACCCTCATATATGGAATATATGAAACTCCTCATATATGGAAACCAAATATAAGAAACCCATATAAGGCCTGTGATCACTTTCCTTAACCTTACCAAATTGATAACATCCTGGAGAGAGCAAAACTGTCTCTTACAAAGTTTGTGATGATGTTTTCCCACCCCAGCCTATAGATGTATCGGATTGTAGGGGAGAATGAGAACTGTTCTGTAGATCTTAAACCAGATCCTTTTGTGTTTCTGGACTATTTATTTGCTTTATGGGATGTGACTTCCTGGTTCCACAAGAAGAGCAGGCACATTGAAGGGGCTGAGATCCCATCTGCCCACAAGGCTGATAGCAGAAAAAACAGAAGGAAAGGAGGAAGAAGAGGGCATCACTGAAGATTTGAACCATAGTGAGAATGATACTGTTTTCCTATTTGTTCTTCTATAGTCCCTGATTCCAAGATGCACATACATTTTGGAAAAAAACAACCTTTAAGTTTTCTATTTTAATATATAAAACTTAATTATTTAACAAAAATAGAATCTGTAATGTTAAGTAACTTAAAGAAAATAAGCCAAATCTGTGGCAGAACCAAGTTCCTATAAATCCAGGGTATCAAAATTCAATCAGAGAAAACATCAAATTAAGAAAAATCAAAGTTAAAGAAATTCACCTTTTTATTTCCTTGTAATTGCAGAGCTTTTAGCAATGCTTTGGATGACAGTCTCTATCTTACTGTATACACATGCATGTATGTATTTGTGGAGTGTGCGTGTGTGTGTGTGTGTGTGTGTGTGTGTGTGTGTGTGTGTGTGTGTTTGAGAGATTGACTTCCTAACTGGAGTATAATTGAAAGTACAAGACTTGGGGGTCTATCTAGCTCTACAACTTACCAGATTTACCATTTTAGATAATTACCTTGACCAGTCTTACCTTCACATTCCTTTGTGAATGAAGAAGAGGTGGGTGAGTGAACTTATTTTCTTTATCTTTTATTTATGTACATTTCATCTTCTTGCCCTTACAAGTTTTCTATAATATTATTACTTCTTTATATTTTTGAGAGAGAGTGAATGTACATGAAGATTTTGTGTAAACCACAAGAGCCAATCAAAAGGAAATGGTGATTTTGGTCTATATTCTTACTAATCAAAGTACAACCTGTGGATTTTGGCATAATCTAGGGCTTACTAATGACCCAGACCTTTAAGCCCCACCTCAAAACACTGAATTATAATATCTTCATTTTAACAAGATTTACAAGTAGTTATTACGTATGAAATTTTGGGGGGCACTGGTGTATACTACATAGATGAGATTTATGATACTTTAAATGAACACTTAAAACTGTATGCACATCCCCATTGGTACATGAACTCTTTCTGGCTAAAAAGCCTATTGCATTCATATGATTTCAGAGATAGAGGAAGAAAAATGTACTGAAAAACTAAACATTCATTATTTTTCAATTGTATGCAAATGTTCTTAGTGCTATAGTTTTGATATTTGACCCCTCCAAACCTCATGTTGAAACTTGATCTCCAATTCTGCTGGTAGGACATGGAGGTGTTTGGGTTTTGGGGACAGATCCCTCATGAATGACTTGGTGCCATTCTCACCATAGCAGGCGAGTTCTTGCTGTATTAGTTCCCATAAAAGCTGGTTGTTCAAAAGAGGCTGGCACCTCTCCACTCACTCTTTGATGCTTCTTCTATTACCATGTGATCTCTGCACATGCTGGCTCCATTTAACCTTCTGTCACTGGTGGAAGAAGCCTAAGTCCCTCACCAGAAGCCAAGCAGATGCTGGTGCCATGCTTCCTGTAAAGCCCACAGAACCATGAGCCAAATATCATTTCTTTATAAATGACTCAGCCTCAGGTATTCCTTTATAGCAACACAAAACAGACTAAGACATTTAGTACCAGAAAAAAATGTAAATTTGCTCAATATTTAATGGAAAATGTCACACAAAAGCAACATAAGAAGAAGAGTGAAAAGTAGAATGATGAGAAGAAAGAGGAGGAGAATAAGTAAGATTTGGAGAAGGAAGGGGAGAGGGAGGGAGAGGAAGAGAAGGGGATGAGGGGGATAGGAACGAGAACCAAAGGAAAGGAGGAGAGAAAAAGTAAGAGGAAAACCCAAGTAATCAACCTCAGACCTTGAAGAGATGGTCAATATAACGGGATTTATTTGAAAGGTTACAGGAATGGAAACCTGAAGGTCTGGCTTTGAGTCTTGCCTTCAAGCAAAAATCTCTGTGTAACACTGGGGGAAGTCCCCTCTCTATCTTGAACTTAAATCTCCACTTCTGCAAGATGAGGATAGTTAGCTATGTTCTTTCTAAGGTCACTTTTAGTTTTAGGATTCTGTTCATAATTTATACTCTTATCATGTTTTGGACCAAATCTCCAGTACAGAAGCCAGAGATCTGGTCTCTTCCCACTGCTAGAACAAAGACAGAAAGACTGCTTCTCCCAGAATTTGATTATGAAATTGGAGCATCTATATTTTAAGTATATTTTGGATAACATAATGTTTTTCACAGACTAGAAAGGTAAAAACTTGAAGGTTTAACCTTCAAGTTAAAAAAAGTTAAAGTGGGCTGGGTGTGGTGGCTCATGCCTGTAATCCTAGCACTTTGGGAGGCTGAGGCGGGCAGATCACGAGGTCAGGAAATCGAGACCATCCTGCCTAATACAGTGAAACCCGTCTCTACAAAAAATACAAAAAAATTATCCGGGCGTGGTGGCGGGCGCCTGTAGTCCCAGCTACCCAGGAGGCTGAGGCAGGAGAATGGTGTGAACCCGGGAGGTGGAGGTTGCAGTGAGCCAAGATCGTGCCACTGCACTCCAGCCTGGGCGACAGAGAGAGACTCCGTCGCAAAAAAAAAAAAAAAAAAGAAAAAGAAAAAGTGAAAGTGGAAGTCTTTTAAATTAAGGGAAAACATGGAGGAGGGTGTTAGCCTTACGCATTCAACTGTAATAGAAGAAAATAATAAAACGTCTCCTTGGGGTTTGAAATGTTTTCAGATTTGCAACAAGCAGACCAACTCAATAATCATTAGCATGGGGTTATCAAGGTATATATCAAAAAACACTAATTCTCAATAGCACTTGGTGAGAAAATATTCCTACAGTCAAATTTTCAGAAAATGGAGTTAAAGCAATTGAAATAGCTTCATTTTTTTCTGCAGGATTTCTCAAAAGCTTTGATATGCAATATTAATTGTTCAGCATCAGTTATTCTACGAAATAGAATATGCAGCTTTTTGTAAGCTGATTTCATCACAAGCACTGCTTCATTTGTCAATGTTGTACTTAAGCAGAACTTAGTTTGAGAAATGTTATATGACTTTAGGAAAGTCACTTCTCTCTGTGTTATTTTCTCCTTCTGTACAAATGAGGAGGTTGGATTAAAAATCACTAATGTTCTTTCCAGGTATAAAATGGAACAGTTAAATAAAGCCTAAAGATATCATTAGTTGAATTTGAGACAATAATGAGTCAGTGCAAGATACAGAACAGGATAATAAGTCTGCCAATTTGTGTGGTACAGATGATCAATGCTACGGAAGATCAGGAAGGCTAGATATTAGTGTGGGCTCAAGCTGTTAGAACAGACTGGGCTTCTGAGCAAGGGAGGACAGGGAGGGGTGTTTTAAGGGGCTAGTGCTTTGAATTGAGGTGTCGGGAAAGGGAAAATTTTACCATCCGAATATTCTTGGACCTCAGAGGCAGAACCCAGTTGAACCAGCTTAGGCAGAAAGGATAATTTATTGGAAGATAAAGGATATGACCGTGGACAAGACAGAATGAAGATGGCCTTGGTGACAATTAGAACCAGGAACTGAATCACCATCAGAAAGTTTGTTCTTTCCTCTCTATATACCAGATTTATATTCTCTTTTGTATATTCTCTTCCTCTGACTAGAAGGAAACATAGCCTGCAGCAAACCCTGAGTCTCACGTTGTTTCTCTTACTACCAGAAAAAGACTGGTGTTCTTCCTTTATTTCCAGGTCAGATTCTTCTGAGGAATGCATCTGATTCGCCTGTTTGGCTCAGGTTCCTCCCTGGATTAGTTATTTATGGACAGACTATTAGGATCTCCTAACACAGACATGGCAGCTGAGGCTGTGGTTCTCATAGATGGAAAAAAAAATTACTATGAGCTGGGACTTGATCCACATAATCTACATTGAAACACTGATGAGATGGCCAAGACTTTGCCTAAGATATGTTCAGGCAGCTAGGAGGCAAAAGTAGGGAAGGTCCATTAAGTCCAAATTTTGTAGATGTTTTAATGCTAAGACCAAGGGTTCTTATTTTATCTGTATATTGTTTTCATCCAGTGGTTCTAAAAGTCCAGGCCAGCATCAGGCGGCCTATATATGAATTACTTGAGGGATGAGACAGGGAGGAGGAGAATATTAAATAAAATTAAATAAAATAAAAATTGTCATTATGGGCCCATCCTTAGTTACTCTGATTCAGTAGATTGGATTGGAACATGAGAATCTGTATTTATTAAAAATTCCCAGCCCGGCATGGTGGCTCACGCCTGTAATCCCAGCACTTTGGGAGGCCGAGGCGGGCGGATCATGAGGTCAGGAGATCGAGACCATCCTGGCTAATACGGTGAAACCCCGTCTCTACTAAAAATACAAAAAATTAGCCGAGAGTTGTGGCAGGCGCCTGTAGTCCCAGCTACTTGGGAGGCTGAGGCAGGAGAATGGCGTGAACCCGGGAGGCGGAGCTTGCAGTGAGCCGAGATCCCGCCATTGCACTACAGCCTGGGCGAAAGAGCGAGACTCTGCCTCAAAAAAATAAAATAAAATAAAAATTCCCTAGGTGGTGTTGATAATCAGCTAGTTTTAGGAGTCACTGATTAATCCAGTATAAATTTATTATGAACCTACTAAGTAGATTAATTGCTGTGAGTTTCTGAAAGACACAATTTACTAGTTTCTGGGAAACAGATTCACAACACATTCATCCATTACTTAAGAACTTTTGACTCTATTAGGGAATATATATCTTGGGCATAAATAGCCATAAAAGATAAAAAAAACTTAAGAGTCCAGAGGTATTATTGGAACTGGAGATGGAATGACATTAGGAGAGACTTGGTTGAGGGAGGGAGATTTAAGATGGGTTCTTGAACAATAGATTGATTTTGAATATTCATAGGAGGAAATTTATTCCAGGTGAAAAAAACAGCATAAAAAATACCTGAAGAAGGAGTATCTACAGTTGGGTTTCTTGATCTGTAGTCCAAGGATACTCCAAGGGATCAGTAAATATGTATTATAAAATATTTCATTTTTACCAACATTGAATGGAAATTTAGTAAATCTCAATCTGACAACCAAGAGTGGAGTTTAGCGATACTTGAAAATTTGTCACCAATACAAATCAGATGTTTTGTATTCGATTAATATTGTGATATTCAGCCTTATCATATTTTGCTCATCAATATTTTAAAATTATGGTAGTCATAGACCTGATCATAGCTCTTATTTAATGAGTTAACAATAAATGAGTTTAATGAGTAAAATTAAATTTATTTTAAAAATATTTTATAACTATTTCAATATACATTTTCTTTGTAATTTTACACATTTTATTCCATGCATTTAAAAACATTATTCTGAGAAAGTGTTCTTGTTAGCTATTGCTAGGTAAAAAATTACCCTAACATTTAGAAAATTACAATAACCCTTTATTTCCTCATGATTTTGTGGGTCAGGAATCTGAGAAGGGTCCCACCAAGCAACTGTCATATGTGATCTCTCACATGGTTATAGTTCAATGATTGCTATGATTTCACTCATGAAAACCACAAGCACCTTTTCAGGTGCTTTTTGGTTGCTGGACATCCAAGATGATTAGGAGTTCAGATGGGGCTGACCACCAGAACATCTACCTCCCCTTGTAACATGAAATTCTTGCACCATGGTGGCTGAGTTCTGAGAAGGAGCACATCAAGAGGTAGTATTCAGGAAGAGAGTGTGCTGAGAGACCAAAGAAGAAGCAACCCGCCTTCTCTGACCTTACTTCACATGTCATGCAGTGTCACCTCTACTTTCTCTTGGTTACAAATGAACAACTAAGACAAGCCCAAATTCAACAGAAGGCAAAAATATTTCCCTCCTCTTGTGGAAATACATGTCGAAAAATTGTGACCACCTCTAATTTGTCACAGAACAATTCCACAGACTTCACTGGAGTATCAATGATGTTCATGGCATAGTTAGCAATACTGTATTGTATATTTCAAAATAGCTAGAAGAGAGGATTTTGAATGTTTCCATCACAAAGAAATGATAAATGTTTCAGGAATGGGTATGCTAATTACCCTTATTTGATCATTACATAGCATATACATATATTACACTGTACCTCATAAATATGTACAATTGTTATGCATCAATTACAAACAATATAAAACTTGAAAGAATTTCAAATGTTAAGGACATTTGCCCTGGAGTACATGCTTAAGCAAAGAATGTATTCAGCAAAAGAGGAAAAGTGTTCCTAATTAATATTAATATTAGCTTTAGAGGGTGTCCAAGGTTGCTGGTAGTCAGCTACTAAGCCAAGATGTATAGATTTTCCAAGTCATATTGTTCTGATGTCTGTTAGAGACAAAAGAAAGAAAGAAATGAAAAACAAAGTTTACTTAACCTTGATAGGTCAAAAATGACAAAATGAAGCTTTGCCCTCAAACCAGAAAGAATGAGCAAATAGTTTCATAATGCTGAAAGCATCTTGCTTATGGGGAGATAAGGCTTGTCTTTCTCTGTTGAATGTAATTAAAAGAGATGGAAAAGAAACGTGAAGAGGTCCTCTATCCCCTCTCAGACATGCTGCAGTGATGGATCAAAGAGATGGGAACTGACACCTCTCATCTCCAGGACACCCGGAGTAGAAATACAGTCAATAAGATGACATGTTCATTGATGTGCAAGTCCTCTTCCCCTATCAGAGGGAGAAAGATGAAACTTGACAGTCCTCTTCTCACTAATTCCTTACTTCTTTTCACCTCACCTCTTTCCACAGGTAGAAGAAACTTCTGGATGAGAAAGACTTGACGTTTGTGTGTATGGGATCTTTGGGTGGGATTTTTATCTAAGTCTTTAGTCAAGGACATAAACATGTTCACTTACAGCCTCCAGCTAGAATATGGCTAGGGGAGTTATTATCAAGTGAAGAAAGCAACTCCTTAAATTCAAAGACTTACAGGCACAAGAACCTGATGAATCTTGTTTCAATTAGGAGATGTCTCCTTAATGGATCACAGTCCACTGAGGGTCAGGGAAACACATAGCTCAGGATTCTTATATGTATTCTGGGAGCCTAATTTGGGATACTGAGTATTTGGGATTTTAAATAATAACTGTAAGCCACTTAAAGGCAAAAATAACCTTAATCATTTTTGCATCTCTAGTTTTATCTGTGTCTGCTATATACTACTGATGATTGACAAATGAATAAATGATAGTGGAATGAAACTATTCAGAGGTCTGAGAACTCTATGTAGGTTCCTAGAAATTAAAATACAGGCCAGGTGCAGTGGCTCATGCCTGTAATCCCAGCACTTTGGGAAGCCGAGGCAGGCAGATCACGGGGCCAGGAGTTTGAGACCAGCCTGGCCAACACAGTGAAACCCCGTCCTACTAAAAATACAAAGAATTAGCCAGGCGTGGTGGTGGGCGCCTGTAATCCCAGCTACTTGGGAGGCTGAGACAGGAGAATTGCTTGAACCTGGGAGGCAGACGTTGCAGTGAGCCAAGATCACACCACTGCCCTCCAGCCCAGGTGACAGTGAGAGACTGTCTCAAAAAAATAAAATAAAATACAGGATATCTGACTACTTATAAGGCCCTATGTTTTCTGCCCTCTGACTAGTTGTCTAATCCAATCTCTCATGACTCTTTTTTTTACTTACCAAACAATGAAACTACAGTTGTATGTCTTAATGTCTTTGCCTGTGCTGCTCCAACTCTTAAGATGTGGACAAGGATAATCTAGGTAGATGGTAATATAAATTCCTCTGTAAGAAGGTAATCTTTGAGCAGAGGCCCAAAGGATAAGACAGAGTCAGCCACATGAAGTTCTGGAAGTGAAAGTGGATAGCATAATCTAAGCTGTGGGAAATGCAAGTATAAAGAAATGAGTTTGAGTTTTCTTCTAACAGCAAGGCAGCTAGTGTGGCTGCAGGTTAGTGAATGAAGACTTAGAACTGCACAAGATAATTTCAAAGATGAAACGTTTGGGCAAGGGCTGGGTCACATAGAACCTTGAAGGCCACAGTAAGGAGCTTAAATTTTGCTATAAGTGGAATGGTAGGTCATTCAACTGTATTAAGCAGGAGTGGGGCATTATCAGATTTTTTTTTTAAGAAGAGAATCACCTGCAGGAAGATAAGTGTGTATTCAGGGAGTCCAATTAGAAGGTGATTACAGCAGCTCATATGAAACAGTGGTTCAGATTAGGGTGATAGCAGTAATGTTTAGGGAGAGAAGTGAAAAGATTTTATGCATATTCTATCTGATGGGATGGAGGGATAAAATTTGATAATCAATTAATTAGAAAAGTATTTACATTTACTGGTAAAAAAAAAAAACATATAAATAAAAAAAACCCGAAATGTTTTTTTCTCCTATCAAATTGACAAGTGCTTTTTAAAAATGGTAAGATCTCAAAACTTTGTGAGTTTTTAAAAATCAACCAAATTGTCCAACAATAGGGATAAGTTAATACATTATAGGGCACACATATGCTTAAATGCTCCATGGCCATTACAAATGATGCTGTGGAGGAACACTTAATGACATGGAAAATGTTCTAGGAAAGTTTTATCTGTTCAACAACCAGCTGTTAGGGTTCATGCTTCTTGTTAAATATCAGATGGATTTGTAATGAAGGAAAATGTTAATATCTTTTAAACTTGCTGCTCAATTTCCCAATGGGAGGAGACTCTCATTTTATATGAAATATGCCTGGCAAATTTCTCGGGGTGAAAGCAAGACCCTAAGGACATATATCATCATGATACAAGGTTAACCGAAGAGGTCACCAAACTTCCTTACTGGAGAAATAAATAGAAATGTTGGGAAAGACAAATAATGTGGGCCATTGTCCCTTGCTGTGGAGTTTGAACAGGTGGCTGTGTTATTTTTGGTCTGCAGCAATGCAGAATGGACTAGAGTCCACACAGGCAGAATGACAAGGCAAGTCAGAAACTGAATTATAATGGCCGTGAGAAAATCGTTCTCTCCCATTTCATAATCTAACCGCTTTAGGAATTTTCAAAAACCAGAAAGGGCTTTTAACTTCTGTATATGGTGTGTCGTTCTCAACTAATATTTCAAATTTCTCAATGCAGTCATTAAAAATGGTAACCCATTAGTTAGCTCCCACTTATAAGTGAGAACATGTGGTGTTTGGTGTTCTGTTTCTGTGTTAGTTTGCTAAAGATAATGGCCTCCAGCTCCTTTCATGTCCCTGCAAAGGACATGATCTTATTCTTTTTTTATGGCTGCATAGTATTCTATGGTGTATTTGTACCACATTTTCTTTACCAAGTCTATCATTGATGGACATTTAGGTTTATACCCATGTCTTTGCTATTGTGAATAGTGCTGCAATGAACATAAACGTGCATCTGTTTCTATAATAGAATGATTTGTTTTTGTTTACAGTACCTAGTAATGGGATTGCTGGATAGAATCATTTTTTTGGAGGGTGAAGGGTGGGAGGAGGGAGAGGATCAGAAAAAACAAGTAATGGGTACTAGGCTTAATACCTGAGTGATAATCTGTACAACAAACCCCCATTACATAAATTTAACTAAGTAACAAACCTGCACTTGTACACCTGAACTTAACATAAAAGTTAAAAAAAATCAAAGATACAGCCCCAGATATTAAAGGTTTGCGAAAGACCTGATTTAGAAATTTACAAGGTGCTCAGTGTTTGGTGTTGGAAGGTACTCGGTGACTATTGGTTTATGTCATACAGAGTGGTTATGGAAGAATGATGACATTCAAGTATTTGCTATCCAGGGTCATTTTAAGAAAGATTTGGAGTAAAGAGACTAGGAAATGCACTTTTTATGTGGTTATACATAAGATAAAGAGGTGGATGATTTTTCTCTTCCCAGTTAAAACCCTGACCAAAATCTGCAACATAAATAAACATAAATGATTTTCTCACACTTAAAAAATGGTATCCCAGGTTAGGAACGTAATTAGATTCCAAGGATAAAAACTTAGGCAACCAGTATGGAGGAAGGTCCTTTGAAGAACATATAATCCAATCTAATAATAAAAGAGAAAACTGAGGTCCCCATAAAGATACACTACAAAAAGTTCTCATAGATGTTTGTCCACAGATTAACTCTAAACATGAAACTTTAAACGCATAAAGTTGATTTCAAAGTGAGATAGACTGTCTGTCACTCAGTACCCAGGCTCACCATTGCTAACAGATAGTAGAAAACTCATTACTCACTCTCCATGTGTAGACTTTTGCAAACTCACGGAAAGAACTGTGGAATTTGTTTTCGAGTTGCTATTTTCATTCTTTGTATTGCCTGTGGTTCCAGCAGCCCTGAAACACAAAGCCTGTGGCTCAGTTATTATTTCATTTCAGAGGTACCATCATGTGCTGGTACCCTGCCACTGCTGCAAGATGAATATCATTGCTGGCTGTCATTTCTAGTCATCATGCTTGAGGGAGGCAGCAGGGTGCACTTGAAGGCAAAATCATGGCTTAGTCATGCTTGAGTTTGGTGCACTTGGACAAAACCCTCAAAGTCACAGTCCTTAGTTTCTTCATTTGAAAATAAGAATAATAAATAAACTTGTCCAGCTTGGGAGTATTTATTTAATAGCAAAATATGTGTGAAATATCTATGTGGGCATTTAAATGCCTGCATATATAAAATAATGTTATTAAGCCTAGGGGCCTCCGTCCTTTAAGCCACTAATCTTTGCCATGAAAACTCCTCCTGCACACTCCTGATGCTCATCACTGTGACACAAACTCCATACAATCTGCATTGTTAAACATAAAGTCTCCCCATTTCTTTCTCCACTGGGGCCTACTGTATTCCACTCACCCACTTACTCCTTTAAGTGGGAAGTTTTTCGTGCCCTGATTTCCCAAGATACAATACTTGAATAGCTTCTTTAAATTAGCATTTTTTCAAAATGTGTCATAGTTGTGTACCATAGAAACAGCAATCAGGCATTGTGTTGAGATTTCACATGCATTATCTCATTTAATCCATAACTGCTTTAGAAGGCAGATATCACATGCTTTATATCTCCAGTGATGCAGGTGATTGATTGGTTGTGTCCCCACTCAAATTTCACCTTGAATTGTAATAATCCCCATGTGTCAAGTGGGGGGGCTGCAGGTGAAGATAATTGGGGTGGTTTCCCCCATGTTTTTCATGGGGTGGTTTCCCCCATATTTTTCTAATGGTAGTGAATAAGTCTCAAGAGATCTGATAAGTGGGAGTTCCACTGCATAAGCTTGCTTGCCTGCCACCATGTAAGACATGACTTTGCTCCTCATTTGCCTTCAACCATGATTGTGAAGCCTCTCCACCTATGTGGAACTGTGAGTCAATAAACCTCTTTCCTTTATAAATTACCCAGTCTCGGGTATGTCTTTATTAGCAGCATGAGAACAGACTAATACTCAGGAGTTCTATGAAGACAAAGTTAGGGTATAATTTATCGTCATTTCTTCAGCATGATCAAAATAGAACTCAATGAATGCATTATTATTACTACTATTACTATTCATTAAGTTTCTATAATACTGACATATTGGAAACTATGCTAAGCATTTTTCATGCATTGTCTCAGGCATGGTTATCCCCTTTTCAAACATGAGGATGCAGCCATAAAAAAGAATGAAATCATGTCCTTTGCAACAACAGGGATGAAGTTGGAGGCCATTATTCTAAGTGAGCTAACTCACAAGCAGAAAATCAAATATTGCATGTTTTCACTTATAAGTGGGAGTTAAACAAAGGGTACACATGGACATAAAGATGGAGAGAATAGTCTATGGGGACTCCAAAAGAAGGGAAAGTGAGGGGTGAGGGTTGAAAAATTGTCAATGAATAAAATGTCCAATATTTGGGTGATAGTAAACCAGAAACCCAACCCCACCATTACACATGTAATACCAGTGTAACAAACAAGTATATGTACCCACTGAATATAAATTTTTTAAAAATGGAACAGAAAAAATATATAATACAAATACATTTTCATTAAACAATGATCCCTCCCTCTAAACAATGAGGAACCTTGTACTCAAAGCAATAAAGCTATTTTCACAAAGTCACTAATGACAGAATCAGAATTTTGATACCAGACCGCCTGAACTTAAAACTAGTGTTCTCAACTGCCACCCTTCACTGGCTCATTTGAAAACATCGGGGAAGAATCTTGGACCATTTTTATCAAATGGAATGATCTTGGTGCAAATTTATTAATTAGACAGTCATATCAAGATACAGTTTCCTTTGCCCCACGGAATGACATCCGCCTTGTGACACCCCCAAATCATGTTTGCTCTTTGAACTCCATAGAGGAGTCTCAGACTACCACCATCTGCCACATGCCCTGTCTGGAGGTTTGCTGCTGGAGAAGAAATGAAGAAAGCAAATGCATCTCTTTTACTAGAAAGCAGTTCACAGTAGATTGAAATCGTATTTATATGTGAATACTCCCATCTCTGGTACACTTTTAAATACACCAAAAAATAAAGCAACTCATGGATATCTTGGCTATTCCAGAAAACTGGCGCTTCTCCTGATCACTGGCTTTGAAGAGGATGGTCAACATGGCAGGACACATGGCAGTGGTTAGCCTGAAGCTTCCTGGTTCTAACGTTCCCAGCATCAGCTGGTCAACACAGTCTAGCTGCTATTATGCACTCTCAAGAGAAAGAAGAACTTTACCCTTAAGATGAGCCCAGAAACTGGAGTGAGAAAAACAGGTCTTATTCTAGGAGAAACCAGAAAAAGAAAGTGTCATCAGGAACACAGAGAAATTAATGAAAAATAAAACTGATCCAAAAGTATTAAGTTGTCTGGGAGGAATAGTTTTCCACGCCTGAAACTAGCATATGTACTATAAAATAAAGCTAATTTAGAACAGTGATTGCCTTTTCATATACAAGAATCAGTTAACTACGCTGGTCAAAACTCTTCATTTTGCATAGATAGTCCATTTTTTTTTAACTCAGCAAAAGATAGGAGAAGAATTATAGGTCTGACCACTCAATCATTAATTCATTGATTCATGAAACCATTCATTAATGTATTCCTTCATTATGCCACTCATTTCTAAAGAGAATTTGACCAGCTTGCAATAGGAACCTACACTTAATAAAATCAGATTTCAAAAGGAAACAAATGTAAGAATCAGTAAATAAAAGCTATAGGAACAGAGCATAAGGGTTACCACATTCTTGACCAGGAGCCAAAGAGTAAATGGAAATAACATACTAAAGTCGATTGGGAATTATTTTTCTAAAGATACACGTTTCTTTGTCATAAAAAGAACATTCCTTTGCTGAGAAGTGTAACAGAAGCATTGGGAGAAAGTAATTTAGAAACTCTTGCATGATTTCAATATTTGTCCTCATGAAAAACAGTGGGTTAAAGGAAGGGTACAGAAATTATGCACAATGCCTAACTTTGAGCTTTTTAGAGGTGACAATAAAAAGAAAAACCCAATATGATATAAAAGGAAATTGAAAATTTTAAATTTCTTTCTTAGAAAAAAAATAGTTTATGTTGCTTTGAATTTAGGAAGAAATTGATTACTCAAGCACTTAAGCATCTAAAGGACATCCAATAATTAGTAAAACAGGGTAAAAGAGAGACAGTAATTTAATTTTAATTTTTTTTTTGAGACAAGATCTGGCTCTATCACCCAGGCTGGAGTGCAGTGGCACGATCATGGCTCACTGCAGCCTCGATCTTCAGGCCCAAGTGATCCTCTCATCTCAGCCTCCCAAGCAGGTGCGCATCATCACACCTGGCTAATTTTTGTATTTTTTGTAGAGACAGGGTTCCATCACGTTGCCCAGGAGGCTGTTCTCAAACTCATGAGGTCAAGCTATCTGGCTGCCTAGTCTTTCCAACTTGCTGGGATTGCTGGTGTGAGCCAATTCATCGGGCCTAATTTTTAAATTTAGTTTTCACCATGCCTGTAGAAAATTGACAGGATAGTGTAACCAACATCGATATAATTATCCTCCAGATTTGATCATTTTAACTTTTTGTTATATTTAATTTGCCTGATGCTTGCTTAAATGTGCTAAAGTATAATAAAGATAATATCATTTCATTTTAGCACTAATTTTAGTACACATTTCTAAAAACATAGAGCATTTTCTACGAGTGCTGAATACCATTATCAAACCCAATAAAATGGTAAAATAATCCTTAAATTTTCATCAAATACCATCTGTATTCAGAGTCAAACATTGTCCCCAAAATGATATAGCTGGCATGTTCAAAACAGGATCCAATATCATATCAAGGAACATGCCTAGGTCGACTTTACAATATTTGGGTTACCAAAATATAGGACCTTGATAATTAAGAATAATTACCAAGGGTAGAAATCTCCTAACCTGTTAAATATGGCAGAATCTACTTAGGAAGTTGTGGGAGGTAAATGGGAAATATAACTTTAGGGTTTTTAAAAAATATACATAAGTAATATGTTTTTTGTTCTTTTTTTATAATTAACAAATTTTAGATAAAATGAACAAGTGTGAAAATCAGTGGGTTTTGACAAAGATAAACTCCCTTGTTACCACCATCCCAATCAAGCCAGAAGCTGTTTACAACACTCCAGAAAATTTTATCATACCCATTTGGTGTCATCTCATACTCAATACACAAAATGTATCTCTAAGATGATAGAAAAGTGTTGCCTGTGTTTCGACTTCATAGCACATGGCATCATACAGCATGTATTCCTTGGTATCCTGCAAGTATTTTTTTTCAGCTTAGTATAATACTATTGAAGTACATTCATGCTTTAATATGTATCAGAAGTTTGGTTCTTTTATTGCTGCATATTATTCCACTGTATGAATGTATCACCATTTGTGATTTTGGTTGATACACATTTGGATTATGATGAGCCTTTTGCTCTTATGAATAAAGCTGCTATGGATATTTTTATACGAATAGTTTTGCACATGTACATTTTTATCTATTTTGGTTAAATGCCAAGGAATGAATTCACTGCATGTGTGTGTTTAACTTTATATGAAACTGCAAAATTGTTTTCAAAGTGGTTGAAACCATTTTACACTCCCACCTACAATGAACCAGAATTTCAATAATTCTATATTACTATGTACATCTAGCAGTGCCAGTCATTTTGATTTTAGTCATTATAGTGGGTGTATAGTGGTATCTCAGTGGTGTGGTTGAATATATTTTCACTTCTTTTTTTTAAAAAAAAACTCATGTTCATTTTATTGAGTTATTTATCTTTCACTATTGAGCTGTAGGAATTCTTCTTATATTCTAGATACAAGTATTTTAAAGTGAATATTTACTCCCAATGAAATGGCTGGCATTTTCATTTTTTAAAATAATGTTCTCTTGGAATCAACCTAAATGCCCATCAATGATAGACTGGATAAAGAAAATGTGGTACATATACACCATGGAATACTATGCAGCCATAAAAAAGAACAAGATCATGTCCTTGGCAAGAACATAGATGGAGCTGGAGGCCACTATCCTTAGCAAACTAACACAGGAATAGAAAACCAGCTGCATCTTCTCATTTGTAAGTATGAATGAAATGATGAGAACACATGAACACAAAGAGGGGAACAATAGAAACTGAGCCTACCTAAGGCAGGAGGGTAGGAGGAGGGAGAGGAGCAGAAAAATCACTATTGGGTACTAGGCTTAGTACCTAGGTGACAAAATAATCTGTTCAACAAACCCTTGTGACATGAGTTTAACTATGTAACAAACTTGCACATGTACTCCTGAACCTAAAAGTCAGAAAAACATAAAGTCTTTTAAAGACAAAAGAATTTTTAATTTAATAAAATGTAATGTATCTTTTTAAAATAATTAACACTTTTGGCGTCCAGAAAATTTTTGCTTACTCAAGATCATGAAGGAACTCTCTTATATTCTCCTATAACATTTTTTAGTTTTAGTTTTATGTTTAGGTTTATGAACTATCTCAAATTAATTTTTGTTCATGATCTGAGGTAGAGATCAAGGTTCATTTTTTTCCCTAATGGATATGCCATTGCTCTAACACTGTAGTTAAATATTGTTTTCTCAATGAATTACTTAAGTGGCTTTAATACCTAGACATTCTGAAAAAATCAATTGTCCAAATATGTGCAGATTTATTCTAGATTTCCTGGGTGTTTCATCAATTTATTTATCTATTCCCAATAGAAAAGCATCTTGATTATTGTAAATTTATAGTAAATGTTGAAATTAGCCACTGTAAATCCTCCACAGCAGTTCTTTAAGATTTTGTTGGCAATTCAACATCTTTTACCTATATATATTTTATAATGAACTTATTGATCCAATATGGTGTTGAATCTATATAGTTGTGTTTAGGAAAAATGGATATCTCAGGAACGTTAAATATTTAAATTAAAGGTCATGTTTTATCTCTAATTTGTTAGGTTGTTCTTAATTTCTTTCTGCAGTGTGTTTTTGTTTTTGATAGTTCAGTTTTGGTATCTCAGGAACATTAAATATTTAAATTAAAGGTCACGTTATATCTCTACATTTGTTAAGTTGTTCTTTATTTCTGCAGTGTGTTTTTGTTTTTGATAGGTCTTACATAGTTTTCATTAAATTTATCTTAATTATTTTATAGTTTGAGGCTAATTATAAACAATCTTCTAAAATTCACTTCCTCTTGTTACTTGTTGCTGTCATTTAAAAATACTTTTTCCTCACGCCTGTAATCCCAGCACTTTGGGAGGCTGAGGCAGGTGGATAACCAGGTCAGGAGATCAAGACCATCCTGGCCAACATGGTGAAACCCCGTCTCTACTAAAAATACAAAAATTAGCTGGGTGGGGTGGCGCATGCCTATAGTCTCTGCTACTCAGGAGGCCTAAGGCAGGAGAATTGCTTGAACCTGGGAGGTGGAGGCTGCAGTGAGCCGAGATTGTGCCACTGCACTCCAGCCTGGGTGACAGAGCAAGACTCCATCTCAAAAAAAAAAAAAAAAAAAATGTCCAGAGTTTTCAAAGTTTTGGGTTTTACATTTAAGTCTTTAATCTACCTTGAGTCAATTTTTGTATATGGTGTAAGAAAGGGGTCCAGTTTCCATCTTCTGCATATGGCTAGCCAGTTATCCCAACACCATTTATTGAATAAGGAATCCTTTCTCCATTGCTTGTTTTTGTCAGGTTTGTTGAAGATCAAATAGGTCTAAGTGTGTGGTCTTATTACCGGGTTCTCTATTCTGTTCCACTGGTCTATGTGTCTGGTCGTGTACCAGTTCCATGCTGTTTTGGTTACTGTAGCCCTGTAGTATAGTTTGAAGTCAGGTAGGATGAAGCCTCCAGGTTTTTTTTGTTTTGTTTTGTTTTGTTTTTGCTTAGTATTGCCTTGGCTCTTTTTTGGATCCATATGAATTTTAAAGTAATTTTTTCTAGTTCTGTGAAGAATCTCAATGGTAGTTTAATAGGAAGAGCCTTTTCCTTTGAGCAGTATGGCCATTTTAATGATATTGATTCTTCCTATCCATGAGCATGGAATGTTTTTCCATTTGTTTGTGTCAGCTCTGATTTCTTTGAGCAGTGTTTTGTAGCTCTCCTTGTAGAGATCTTCTACCCCCCTAAGTTAGCTGCATTCCTAGGTATTTCATTCTTTTTGTGAGAATTGTGAATGGGAACACTTTTAACCTATCAGGACATAAGCACAGGCAAAGATGTCATGACGAAGATGCCAAAAGCAACTACAACACAAGTGAAACTCGACAAATAGAATCTAATTGAATTTCTGCACACAAAAGAAACTATCATGAGAGTAAACAGCCTATAGAATGGGAGAGAACTTCTGCAAACTATGCATCTGACAAAGGTCTAATATCTGTAAGAACTTAAGCAAATTTACAGGAAAAAAAACAGCTTTCATTAAAAAGCAGACAAAGGGCGTGAATAGGCACTTTTCCAAAGACATACATGTAGCCATCAATCATATGAAAAAAAGCTCAGCATCACTGATCTGAGAATTGCAAATCAAAACCAAGATCATGTCTTTTACAGGGCTATGGGTAGAACTGGAGGCCATTATCTTTAGCAAACTAACACAGGAACAGAAAACCAAATACTGCATGTTCTCACTTGTAAGTGGGAGCTAAATGGTGAGAACACATGGACAAAAAGAAGAATCAACAAACACTTGGCTCTATTGAAGTGTGGAAGGTGAAAGGAGGAAGAGGATCGAAAAAATAACCAATGAGTACTAGGCTTAATACCTGGGTGAGGAAATAGTCTGTACAAGAAACCCCATGACACAAGTTTACCTATGTAACAAACCTGCACTTGTACCCTTGAACTTAAAAGTTAAATAAATAATTTTTTGTATATTGACCCCATATCCTGCAAAATTGCCTAATTCTAGAAATGTATATGTGCCCAAGTTCTAGAAACTTAAAGTCTTTAAGATTTTTCTGTTAATACCATTTCCTCTATGAACAAAAAGACTTCTGTTTTCTAAGTTCTGTGCTTTTCATTTTTCATGCTTTAAGTCATAATATAAGATATCCAGTACAAGTCTACATAGAAGCAGTAAAAACATATATCTTTGACTTGTTCTCAGTCACAGGGAGTATGTGTTCAATATTTCACCACTATGATGATAGTTCTTTGTTTTCCATGTAGGCCCTTACTCAAATTGAGAAATTTGCTTTCCATTTCTATTTTGGTAAAAGCTGTCTTCATGGCTTGTGTTTAAATTTTGCCAAATTGTATTTTCTGCATACAAATAAGATAAACATGTATATTTTTGGGTTTTTATCTTTTAGTGTGAGAAATTATACTGATTATTATTATTATTTTATTTAGTTTTTAACTTTAAGTTCTAAGATACATGTGCAGAACATGCAGGTTTGTTACATAGGTATAAGTGTGCCATGGTGGCTTCCTGCACCTATCTTCACGTCACCTAGGTCTTGAGCCCCATATGCATTAGCTATTTGTCTTGATACTCTCCCTCCCCTTGACCCCACCCCCAACAAGCCCCAGTGTGTGTTGTTCTCCTCCCTGTGTCCATGTGTTCTCATTGTTCAACTCCCACTTATGAGTGAGAACATGTACTGTCTGGATTTCTGTTCCTGTGTTAGTTTGCTGAGAATGATGGCTTCCGGCTTCGTCCATGTCTCTGCAAAGGACATGATCTCATTCCTTTTTATGGCCGCATGGTATTCCATGGTGTATATTTACCATATTTTCTTTATCAAGTCTATCATTGATGGGCATTTGGATTGGTCCATGTCACTGCTATTGTGAATAGTGCTGCAATAAACATACATATGCATGTATCTTTATAATACAATGATTTATATTCCTTTGGGTATATACCCAATAATGGGATTACTGGGTCAAATGGTATTTCTGGTTCTAGATCTTTCAGGAATTGCAACACTGTCTTCCACAATGGTTGAACTAATCTATATTCCCACCAACAGTGTAAAAGTGTTCCTATTTCTCCACAGCCTCACCAGCATCTGTTTCCTGACTTTTTAATAATTGTCATTCTGACTGGTGTGAGATGGTATCTCATTGTGGTTTTGATGTGAATTTATCTAATGATCAATGATGCTGAGTTTTTTTTTTCATATGTTTGTTGGCCACATAAATGTCTTCTTTTGAGAAGTGTCTGTTCATATCCTTCACCCACTTTTTGATGGGGTTGTTTTTTTCTTGAAAATTTGTTTAGGTTCCTTGTAAATTCTGGATATAAGACCTTTGTTAGATGGATAGATTGCAAAAATTTTCTCCCATTCTGTAGGTTGCCTGTTTGTTCTGATGATAGTTTCTTCTGCTATGCAGAGCTCTTTAGTTTAGTTAGAACCCATTTGTCAATTTTTGCTTTTGTTGTCATTGCTTTTGGCAACATTACAAAATCTATGCCCATGCCTATGTCCTGAATGGTATTGCCTAGGTTTTCTTCTAGGGTTTTTATGGTTTGGGGTTTTACATTTATGTCTTTAATCCATCTTGAGTTAATTTTTGTATAAGGTGTAAGGAAGGGGTCCAGTTTCAGTTTTCTGCATGTGGTTAGCCAGTTTCCCCAGCACCATTTATTAAATAGGGAATCCTTTCCCCATTGCTTGTTTTTGTTAGGGTTGTCAAAGATCAGATGGTTGTAGATGTGTGGTCTCATTTCTGAGGTCTCTATTGTTCCATTGGTCTATATGTCTGTTTTGGTACCAGTATCATGCAGTTTTGGTTACTGTAGCCTTGTAGTATAGTTTGAAGTTAGGTAGCATGATGCCTCCAGCTTTGTTCTTTTTGCTTAGTATTGTCTTGGCTATGTGGGCTCTTTTTTGGTTCCATATGAATTTTAAAGTAGTTTTTTCTAATTCTGTGAAGAATGTGCATGGTAGTTTGATGGGAATAGTAGTGAATCTATAAATTACTTTGGGCAGTATGGCCATTTTCATGATATTGATTCTTCCTATCTATAAGGATGGGATGTTTTTCCATTTGTTTGTGTCCTTTCTTATTTCCTTGAGCAGTGGTTTGTAGTTCTCCTTGAAGAGGTCCCTCATGTCTCTTTTTAGCTGTATTCCTAAGGTATTTTATTCTCTTTATGGCAATTGTGAATGGGAGTTCATTCATGATCTGGCTCTCTGCTATTCTGTTGTTGGTTATAGCAATGCTTGTGATTTTTGCACATTCATTTTGTATCCGGAGACTTTGCTGAAGTTGCTTATTAGCCTAAGGAGATTTGGTGCTGAGACAATGGGGTTTCTAAATACAGTATCTTGTCATCTGCAAACAGAGACAATTTGACTTCCTCTCTTCCTATTTGAATACCCTTCATTTTTTTCTCTTTCCTGATTGCCTTGGCCAAAATTTTCAATACTATGCTGAATAGGAGTGTTGACAGAGGGCATCCTTGTGTTGTGCCAGTTCTCAAAGGGAATGCTTCCAGCTTTTGCCCATTCAGTATGATATTGGCTGTGGGTTTGTCATAAATAGCTCTTATTACTTTGAGATACGTTCCATCAGTACATGGTTTATTGAGAGTTTTTAGGATGAAGCTGTGCTGAATTTTATCAAAGGCCTTTTCGGCATCTATTGAGACAATCGTGGTTTTTCTCATTGGTTCTGCTTATGTGATGATTACGTTTATTGATTTGCATATGTTGAACCAGACTTGCATCCTAGAGATGAAGTCAACTTGATCATGGTGGATAAGTTTTGTGATGTGCTGCTGGATTCGGTTTGCCTGTATTTTATTGAGGATTTCTGCATCAAAATTCATCAGGGATATTGGCCTGAAGTTCTCTTTTTTTGTGTGTGTTTTTCTGCCAGGTTTTGGTATCAGGATGAGGCTGGCCTCATAAAATGAGTTAAGGAGGAGTCCCTCCTTTTCAATGGTTTGGAATATTTTCTGAAGGAATGGTACCAGCTCCTTTTTGTACCTCTAGTAGAATTTGGCTGTGAATCCATCTGGTCCTGGGCATTTTTTGGTTGGTAGGCTATTTATTAATGCCTCAATTTCAGAACTTGTTATTGTTCTATTCAAGGATTCCATTTCTTCCTGGTTTAGTCTTGGGAGGGTGTATGTGTCCAGGAATTTATCTGTTTCTTCTAGATTTTCTAGTTTATTTGTGTAGATGTGTTTATAGTATTCCCTGATGGTAGTTTGTATTTCTCTGGGGTCAGTGGTGGGTGATAGCTCCTTTATCATTTTTTATTGTGTCTATTTGATTCTTCTCTTTTTTCTTCTTTATTATTCTTGCAAGCAGTATATTTTATTACTTTTTTCAAAAAACGAACTCCTAGATTCATTCATTTTTTTGAAGGATTTTTGTGTCTCTACCTCCTTCAGTTCTGCTCTAATCTTCGTTATTTCTTATCTTCTGCTAGATTATGAATTTGTTTGCTCTTGCTTCTCTAGTTCTTTTAATTTTGATGTTAGGGTGTTGATTTGAGATCTTTCTAGCTTTCTGATGTTGAGCATTTAGTGCTATAAATTTCCCTCTTAACACTGCTTTAGCTGCATCCCAGAGATTCTAATACATTGTCTTTTTGTTCTCATTGGTTTCAAAGAACTTCTTGATTTCTGTCTTTTCATTATTTACCCAGGAGTCATTCAAGAGGAAGTTGTTCAATTTCCATGTATTTGTGTGGTTTTGAGTGAATTTCTTAATCCTGAGTTCTAATTTGATTGCACTGTAGTCTGAGAGACTCTGTTATGATTTCAGTTCTTTTGCATTTGCTGAGGAGTGTTTTACTTCCAATTTTGTGATTGATTTTAGAGTAAGTGCCATGTGGTACTTAGAAAAATGTATATTTTATTGTTTTGGAGTGGAGATATCTATTAGTGCAGGTATTTATTAGGTCCACTTGATCCAAAGCTGAGTTCAAGTCATGAATATCCTTGTTATCATGAATATCCTTGTTAATTTTCTGTCTCATTTATCTGTCTAATATTGACAGTGGGGTGATAAAGTCTCCCACTATTATCTTGTGGGAGTATAAGTCTCTTTGTAGGTCTCTAAGAACTTGTTTTATGAGTCTGGGTGCTCCTGTATTGGGTGCATATGTATTTAGGACAGTTAGCTCTTCTTGTTGAATTGATGCCTTTACCATTATGCAATGCTTTTTTTGTCTTTTTTGATCTTTGTTGGTTTAAAGTATGTTTTGTCAGAGACTAGGATTGCAACCCCTGTTTTCTTCGGCTTTCCATTTGCTAGACAAATTTTCCTCTGTCCCTTTATTTTAAGCCTATGTGTGTCTCTACACGTGAGATGGGTCTCTTGAATACAGCACACTGATGGGTCTTGACTCTTTATCCAATTTGCCATTCTGTGTCTTTTAATTGGGGCATTTAGCCCATTTACATTTAAGGTTAATATTGTTATGTGTGAATTTGATCCAGTCATCATGATGCTAGCTGGTTATTTTGCACACTTGTTGATGCCGTTCCTTCATAGTGTCATTAGTCTTCACATTTTCGTGTGTTTTCCAGTGGCTGGTACTGGTTTTTCCTTTCCATATTTAGTGCTTCCTTCGTGAGCTTTTGCCAGGCAGGCCTGGTAGTAATGAATTCCATCAGCATATGCTTATCTGAAAAGCATTTTATTTCTCCTTCACTTATGAAACTTAGTTTGGCTGGATATGAAATTCTGGGTTGAAAATTCTTTTCTTTAAGAATGTTGAATATTGGCCCCTACTCTCTTCTGACTTGTAAGGTTTCTGCTGAGAGATCTGCTGTTAGTCTGATGGGCTTCCCCGTGTAGGTGACCTCGCCTTTCTGTCTACCCTTAACATTTTTTCCTTCATTTCGACCTTAGTGAATCTGATGATTATGTGTCTTGGGGTTGACCCTCTCGTGCAGTATCTTAGTGAGGTTCTCTATATTTCCTGAATTTGAATGTTGGCCTGTCTTGCTAGATTGGGCAAGTTCTCCTGGATAATATCCTGAAGTGTGTTTTCCAACTTGGTTGCATTTTCTCCATTTCTTTCAGGTACTCCAATCAGTCAGAGGTTGGGTCTGTTTACACAGTCCCACATTTCTTGGAGGTTTTGTTTCCTCTTTTACATTCCTTTTTCTCTAATCTTGTCTGCCTGCATTGTTTCAACAAGATAGTCTTCCATCTCTAATATTCTTTCTTCCTCTTAATCGATTTGGCTATCGATACTTGTGTATACTTTACAAAGTTCTCATGCTGTGTTTTTCTCCATCAGGTCATTAATTTCCCCTATAAACCAGTTATTCTGGTTAGCAACAACTCTAACATTTTCTCAAGGTTCTTAGCTTCTTTGCATTGAGTTAGAACATGTTCCTTTACCTCAGCAAAGTTTGTTATTACCTGCCTTCTGAAGCCTGCTTCTGTCAATTCACCCATCTCACCCTCCGTCCAGTTCTGTGTCCCTGCTGGAGAGGTGTTGTGATCATTTGGAGAAGAGGCACTCTGGCCTTTTGGGTTTTCAGCGTTTTTTCATTGATTCTTTATTATCTTCATGAGTTTGTCTAGTTTTGATCTTTGCTGCTGCTGACCCTTGGATGAGATTTTTGTGGGTACTTTTTGCATTGATGCTGTCTTTGTTGCTTTCTGTTTGTTTTTCTTTCAAAAGTCAGGTCCCTCTCCTGTAGAGTTGCTGCGGTTTGCTGGGGGTTCACTTCAGGCCCTATTCATCTGGTTTGCTCCTGTGCCTGGAGATGTCACTCAAGGAGGCTGGGGAACAGCAAAGATGGGTGCCTGCTCTTTTCTCTGGGATCTCTGAGCTTGAGGGGCACTGACTTGATGCCAGTAGGGATGCTGCTGTACAGATGTCTGACAACCCCTGTTGTTGCGGGGGTTTCACCTGGATGGGTGGCACGGGAAGCAGGACTCTTTTAATGAAGCACTTTGGCTGTCCCTTAGTAGAGGTGGTGTGCTGTGCTGGGGGGCAATTCGCTCATCTGGGCTGCCTGGAATCCTCAGAGCTAGCAGAGGGAAACACTAAGTCTGCTGGTCCATAGAGACTACAGCCACTCCTGCTGCTAGGGGCTCAGGCCCAGGGAGATCAGAGTTTTTGTCCCAGAGCCCCTGGCTGGAGTTGGAATCCCTTCAGGGAGGCCCTGCAGCTGCAGTGCTGGCTGCTGCCCCTCCTGCAAAGAGCTCAGATGGCTTAGACAGCAGGCAGCTTGCATCAGTGGTGATGGTCCCACCTCTCCTTGGGAACCTGGCTTAGGCTGCTTCTACCAGAGTTAGAATCTGTGTGGCTTTCTAATAGGGACCCAAGGCCCTGGTGGTGTGGGCTCACAAGTGGGATATTTCAATCCGGGGGTTGCATAGTTCTGTGAAAAAAGCAGTTTCCCAGGCTGGGTAGCAGGCTCACTCACTACCTCCCTTGGCCAAGGGTAGGGGCTCCCCAGCCCTGTGTGGCTTTCAGGTGGGCCACTGCACCACACTGTCCTTCCTTCCTTTCCATGGGTCACACCAGCTGCCTAGTCAGTCCTAATGACAGAACCTGGATGCCTTGGTTACCAGTGCAGGATTTGCACGGCTTTGAATCTTTTCCATGGGAGCCTCTGATTGCCACTGCTTCTAGTCAGCCATCTTGGTTCTGCCCCCACCAATCTGTTTATTATTTTTTTTAACATTGAACCAAACTTACATTCCTTAGAAAAAACACAGTTGGTCATGCTGTTTTATCCTTTAAAAAATATTTTCTGAGGTAGGTTTGACATTCTGATAAGCATTTTTACATCCATATTAAGGATGGATATTAGTCTATAATTTATTTTGTGTATTTGATATCTAATTTTGTTCTTAAGTTTAAAGTGATCTCATTAAGCAATTCTCTATTTTAGAAAATAATTTATGTAACTTTGGCATTATTTCTCATGCAATGATTGATAAAAATAAATAATGAATCTATTTGTACCTGGCACTTTATGACATACATTTTAATTATTAATTATGTTTATCTATATAAATAAAAAGGCAAAAAAGTATTTTATATAAATAAAACATTGTTTATTGTTAGTGTTTGAAGTCTTGATTGATTCATCAAATTAATTGGCCTAGTTAAAGTAGGGCTTTCTAATTTTATTCATTTTTTAAACAACACATTTTAGGCTTTGTGAATTTATAGTTTGCTTTCTATTTCATTGTCTTTATATTTTATCTTTAATATTTACTGTCTTGCACTTGCTATCAGTTTTTCTTTTGCTAGATTCTTAATTTGGAAAATTAGATAATGTATTGAAATCTTTCTCCTTTGTAACAGTGGTATTTAAAAGTGTATGTTTCCCATTACACTTTACCTGTATCCCACAACTTTTGATATATTACTATTCAGTGAAAAATATTTTTTTATTTTTATTGTGATTTCTTATTTGACATATAGGTATTTAGAAATGAGTTGCCTAATTTGAAATATTTATAAATTTTCTAGGTATTTTATTGTTTTTTGATTTATAATTTTATCCTGTTGTCTTCAGGAAACAGAGTATGTTTTGAAATTCATGAATACCTGTTTTATGCCTCAACATTGAGTCTACTGTAGTGACCATTCCACGGACACTTGAGAAAAGTGTTTGTCCTGCAGTTTTTGAATGAGTACTGTTGTCATATCAAATTGGTTTATACTGTAGTTCTAATCTTCTGTATTTTTATTAATCTTTTCTCTGCTTTTCCTTTTAATTACAAAAATAGAAGTACTGAAATCTCCAATTATGGCTAAGTTTTAATGTATTTGTCCCATACTTCTATAAAAATTCTTTCATTAATTTAATATTTGCAATTTTGATTAATTGACACCTACCATGGTGAAGTGATTTACTTTATCTCTGCTAAAAATTATTTTCTTGCATTTTGTTTTGTCCTGATAGTAACCAAGACACATCAGCTTTCATATGCTTATTTTTGCAAAAGTATATTTTCCATTTAATTTCTTCCAGTGCTTCTGTCTTCATACATAGAATGTATCTGTTGCAGCATAGAGCTATAAATTAAATGACTAGGCTCATGTTTAAATATAGCATTTTGCTGTCTGTTTTCTATTTTACCCTTTTAGCTTCCCATTTTAAATGTACCTATGTGTGTATTACATATAATTTAACCATTTTAATTGTACAGTTTAGTGGTACCAAGTACACTCAAATTGTTATGCAGCCATTATGCCCATCCATCTTCTAGAGCTCTCTACATCTTAAGCTAAAAGTCTGTACTATTAAAACAATGCCATTTTCCACCCCCACTGCCAGTACCTGGAAACCACTATATATTTTTAAATGTTTCATCTCTCTGCTCTTTTGGCCTCATGTATACAGAGAGAGATAAGTATACAAATATGTGTATCTTGTATTTTCTTTGATATTATATATGCATTTTCACTTATGACAGTGTAACTTTATTTATATGTGACTTTACATATAATATATTATAGAAGAATACATCTATTTATTACCTCTTTCATCCCTTTGCTAGTCTTGCCATACATTGTTTCTCAGTTTAGTCAATTAACTTCATAAGAAATTAAGTAGCACGCACTTTTACATTGACTTACATGTTTACTATTTCTAGCACTAATCTTTTCATATTATAGATCTCCATTTCCTTGTAACTTCATATGCCTTAAGTCTAAATAATTTCAATATTTCTTGCAGTGTGTATCTGCTACAAGATTTTTTTGTTTATCTGAAAATGTCTTTATTTTGTCTTCATTTTTGAAATATATTTTTGCTGTGTGTGGAATGATAGGCTGACAGTGTTTTTTGTTTTTCTCTCAGCATTTTAAGATGTCATTTCATTATCTTTTAGCCTCTTTTTTGTATGATGAAATGTCAGCTTTCATTATTATTTTTATAATCTTATATATAATGTCTCATTTTTCCTCTCTTTCCTCCGTCTTTTAAGGCTTTTCTTTTTTCAACAGACAAATCCTGTCCAGTTTCTGTCTGCTTTTGACTGCTTTCTATTGTCTTCAAACTATTACCATTTTTTCCCAGTTTTTCTTCCTCATCATCTGGACATTTAGTCTTATATAAGGTACTCTGCCATTACTAGAAAATAGAACTCAAGTTTGTATGTTTCTAATATTTACCCATTTATGTGCTATTTCTGGGAAGCTTCATTCTTTTGTGTGAACGCATGTTTTGTCATATCATTTTCCTTTTGTCTAAAACAATTTTAAGTATTTCTTTTGGATCACATTAGCTGATGACAAAATGTTCTCACCTTTCATTATTTAAAAAAGTATTTCACCTTTATTTTCAAAGATGTCTTCTCTCGGTATTGAATTCTTACTGTCTCTCTCTCTCTTATCTCTGTGAGATGAGAGAGAGAGACAGTAAGAATTCTATCTAGCTATCGTAAGAATTCAATACCTAGAGAAGACATGTTATATATGTTATATTGATTATATGTATATAATCAATACTTCAAAGAGATTGTTTCATTATAGTCTAGATTGTAAATCTTCAGGTAAGAAGTCTCTGGGCATTGTTATTTTCTGTGTAATATTTTTGTTCTCTCTGGTTGATTTTAAGAATTTTCTCTTCATCTGTGGCTTTCAGGAATGTGATTATTATATGCCTTTGTGTGGTTTTCTTTGTGTTTAGCCTTCTTAAGTCTTCTTGAGCATCTTGGATATATCAGTTTGTATTTCTCCTAACATGTTGAGAATTTTCAGCCATTATTTCTTCAAATACTTTTTCTGCAACTTTCTCTTATTTGAAGACTTGTATAAGAGGCTGCTTGATATACTCCAACAGGTCACGTTGACACTGTTTATATTTTCAATAACTTTTTTTCTCCATGTGCGCTATGGTTTGAATGTGTCCCTCCCAAAATTTGTGATGCAACTTAATTCTCCTTGCTGTGGTTTTACAAGGTGGAGACTTCTGTGAGGTGACTTACCCTTGAGGTCTTCTGCCTCATGAATGGGATTAATGCCCTTATATAAAACATGTGAGGGAACTGTTCAGCCCTTTTTACCTTCCTCCTGGAGGACACAGCATTTGTTCTCTCTGGAGGGCACAGCAGAGAGCAGCCCTCAGCAGACCGGACCCTGCTGGTACCTTGATTTCGGACTTCTCAGCTTCCAGAACTGTAAGAAATACATTTCTGTTATTTATAAATTACCCAGTCTTGAACATTTTGTTACAGCAGCATGAACATATGAAGATAACATGCTTTCTTAAACTTAGTTTCTGATACTTGAATTGAAGTTCTCTGATCTTTTCTGTCCCTAGTGGTATTTAATCTGCTTTAATCCCATCCATATATTTACTTTTCTGATACTGTATTTTTCATGTGGGAATTCATATTTGGTCCTTTTCTCATATCTTATATTTCCTTCATCATTGTGTTCACATTGTCCTTGAAATCCTTGCAAACATTGAACAGATTTACAATAGCTGTTTTAAAATCCTTATCTGCTAATTCAATCATTTTGTTTATTCATAGATTTTTTATTTACTAATTTATTTCCAGCTTAAGTGTCACATTTTCCTGCTGTGAGATTGAATAATTCATACTTAAAGCTGTTGAAGTTTTAACTTATTCTGAGCCTTGAAAGGAATGTGGCTATGTGACCTGACATAGCCAGGTCATGTGACATGCAGCTAAAAGTTCTGCATTTTTTCCTATAAATAATTAGGAAGACCACATAGAAGACTCTCTCAGATCACTGTCCCTCCTCCAGAATAATCAAGTAATGTTTTTTGGAATGTAGCCATCTGTAACCAATCAAATCACTGCAATGTACGCACTGGTCTTGAACAAAAAATGTTGTAATTCTACAAAAATTTCTCTGTCTTTGCCTATATAGGTGAAGCCTTAACTTTCCACTTTGGAGCACTGACCTCATTCATTTGGGGTTGGTGCTTCCCAGGTAGCTACCCTCAAGTTTTGCCCTCAAATAAACTCTATACTTAATCATATTTTCTGAATCTCATTATTTACGTTTGACACTGTTCTTGCCAGGATAATAATTTTTCATGGGATGCTTTACACTGTCAACTTTAGATCATAAAGTGCTGGATATTTTATACTGTTGTTTTGAAAAGAATTTGTTTTTTAAAGTAATAGTAGGTACACAGTAAAACTGAGAGGAAGGTATACAAAGACGTCCCGTATACCCCTTTCCTCACACATATGTAGCCTCCACCATTATTACCATCCCCCACCAGAGGAGTATATGTATTATAATCAATGAACCTAGACTGACACATCTTCATTACACAAAGTTCATAGTTTATACTTTAGGGCTCACTGTTGATATTGCTCATTATATGGGTTTTGAAAAATGTGTAATGACATATTTCCACTTTTATAGTATCATACAAAATAGTTTTCTGCCTTAAAGACACCCGATGTTGGGCTTATTCATTCCTCTCTCCCTCATAACCTATGGCAACCACTGATCTTATCTTTTTTACTGTCCTCATAGTTTTGCCTTTTTCAAACTGTCATATACTTGAAATCATACAATGTCCAACCTTTTCAGATTGGCCCCTTTCACTAAGTAATATGCATTTAATTTTTCTCCATCATGTCTTTTCATGGCTTAGTAGCTTACTTCTATTTAACACTGAATAATACTCTATTGTCTGGATGTACCACAGTTTATTTTTCCATTCACCTACTAAGAATATCTTGGTGGTTTCCAAGTTTTGACAATTATATGTAGTATTCTTTTGAAGTGTATTGGACTTTGTGCTTCAGCCCATTAAGTTACTCATGGAATATATTGATCTTGAATCATTTTCTTTTAAGAATTTTGAATTTGGGCATAAAGTAGACTTTTATTCCAGGACTATTTTAGCCCTATTACTAATGTGTTTTCTACCTGTGTTATCCATTGAATATCTATGCGTTCAATATATTTTATTTACTTTGACCAATCAGAGCCTGACTCTCTTTCATCCTTTGTAAGCTCCAGGAACTGTTCACCTCACAGCCCATCTCTGCCTCCCCATTCATTCTTCTCTTGGACTTTCGCCCTCTGCATGCATATCTTACTATTCAGCAAAAGACAATGAAGCCCACATACAGATTTCTGAAGTAATTTTTCTTTACACTGATCCTCCTCTTCTTCTGTATTTTGCTTTATAAATTCTAACCACTTCAGTCTTCCCTGACTATGATGTACATCTTCTCCCATGAGTTTTCTGAACTCATTTTTGTGACACTGCTTCCCCACCAGCTTCATGCACCTGCTAACCACAAAGTGTTTCCAAGTAGAAAGCTCATCATAAGGCTCACTTAATCTGCTCCCCTTGTTTCAGGGGACACACTCCTCCTCAGCCTAATGCCATACTTTTCTAGTGCTGTCATTTTTACAGTGGGAGGATGTTCAATCCTAGATACCCCACCTTTGTCAGAAAGAGAAGTTCTCTGTTATTTACTTATTTTTTAAACTCTCTGTTTGTCTTCTCTTAGTCTTTTCAATAGTTGATTTTGAGAGTTGTAATAGACTTAAAAGTTGAAATATTGATGTATCTCACATGAATCTCTTAGAATTATTCACCAACTTTGATGTAAACATTTAATGCAGCACAGATCTCACTGCATCTCAATAAGTCTATTTCTTTTAGAACATTCCAATTGTTTAAAAATTCCTACTTATTATTAGCTGAATTTAATATCTAAAGCCATCTGCTAAGCTAGGTAGTGTTAAATTTATTTTACAAATTCAAAAACAGATAAATTTGCTGTTTTCCTCAAATGTATACAGTTAGCAAATATAAGATTTGAGATTCTAATACCAATCATTCCGAATCCAAAATCTATGCAGGTACAACAATAATTTCTAGCTTCCAGCCTACTTAGAATTAAAAAGTAGGTATTGGTATTGACCATTTCTGTCTGGTTGTAAAGGTTGAACCATGTGTTTTTAGTAGGAAAATGCAGTCATTTAACACTGTATTTCAACCTACCATCTCTCTAAATAATCTATTTTTGTTAAAATGATAACGTGTTATTTAACTTCTAAAGAAGAGTGTTGTCCCAAAGATATAGCCAGATTACGAACAGATAAATACCTTTATAAGAAAAGTTAATTACTATCAATGATTACTTACTAACTTATTTATTTGTTTGCTTTTAAGCAGTGAAATGAGTAATATTTTGGAAATGTTTTTAGAATTTTTAATCAAGTAAACATACTCCGAACATATAAAGTCTGTGGTTAGTAATGGATTGGCCCATTACCTACTTTAGTAATAAAGTTTTATTGAAACACTAATTTGTTTATGTATAATCTATGGTGCTACAATAGCAGAATATGATCATTGAAGCAGAAATATTTACTTTTCAGCCTTTGACAGAAAAAAAATTACCAATACCTGGAATAGATCATAAGAATGTCTAAAGGGATAAGTTAATTGTTTAAAGTAGTAACAGAAACAGATTGAACTTCATATGGGAAAGATCCATGAGTGAATTGAGTGGGTTACAGAAAATATATGCAATGGTTGCTTATTTCAACAAATTAGCTAAGGATTGATTATTATTCACAAAAGACTCATGTGGAGACTCCGAGAAGAGGATATAAGTGGGTCAGCTTATGGTGAGGCATGTCATGGCAATGCATGTATCCAAGACCGTTTTAAGAATGAAAATTATATCAACTGCTGGAACTTAAATATGTCTGGGCACATCTAGTGCAGCAGTGGATTTGCCTTGACTTTCCTTCCTATAGAGAAGGAAAAAAACATTTTTTTCTTCTACTCTTCTGAGTTCTTAGCGGGGACCCCTGAACACCACCACCACATTATCAAGAGAAAAAACAAACAGAAGTTTAGTAACATGTATTTATATCTAATAGAAAATTCAGGGAAAGAGTCACTCTTAAAAGAATTGGCTTAGAACACTGGCATATATAGTATCTTAAACAAAGAACAATGCATTTTTAGAGAAATGACAAGACAAAGGTAAAGGATCTTGAGTCTCTAGGGGCAGCAAATTGTGAGGAAACAAATACATGGGAAATCAAAGGTAGATAAAGGTTAATCAGTAAAGTTTGTTAACCTATAATAGATTCTGCTGGTGCCGCCTCCAGGCTGATAAGGGTCTAAGATAGGTCCTCTCCAGGGATCAGCCTTTGTTTTTCATGATAGAGTTAGGAAGAAAACCTTTATAAATGTATGTCCTGCTTTTAGGCAAATAAGGGAAGAGCAGAGAGCTTTTCTTGTATCTGCTTCTTCTCAATTGGCTTCAGCTCAAAATAATCCTTATGCAACGTGGCATACTTTGGGTGGGGGCGTATTCTGCTACACTTCAATTCTAACAGAAGAAAGAGCAAGACATGGAGAACTTGATCCACAAAAAAAGTCGCTGTAATAATCAGCAATGAGATGAGAAGGATTGTAGCATAGTGTTTGACATTTGGGATGGTTGCCTAGCCTAATACCCATTGGGTTTCTGTCTGAATTTGATGAGGGCTGGTGAGATAGGGTTAGAGCTTGGTTCAATGTATATTATTTAAATTACAATAAAATACAACATAATAAAATAAGACCCAAGTAATCAACTCAGTGAATGATCTATCGGAAATACATTAAGCGTCAGAATGAGATGAGAATCTAGGCTGATTTTTTTTCTCTCAAATGGAAAGCATGACGACCATCATTTATTGACTATTCCATTTTATTTTTTCAAACCATGGATTTAACTATCTTTTGAAATTTTTAAATCTCAGTACACCCTAGTGTCTACTTTTGTAAGTTCTAAATTTCTTTATGTTTCTCTGTCTATATCCCAATAGAGGAACATATCTTACTTATTGTAGCTCTGAAATATCCTTAATACCCATGGGAGGTAACTCCTCTCTGAATATTCTTTTTTTTTTAACTTTTATTTTAAGTGTACAAGTGCAGGTTTGTTACATGTATGCATTTCTATTATACATTCCAAAGAAATTTGGGGATAATCTTAATAACATTATTCTAAAGTTCACCTGGAAAATTAACTATGCAACACTGATTAAATTATTCTTAAAAATAATATTTACATCTTCCAGATGAACTTTAGAATAATTCTATTAAGATTCCTCCAAAAATTCTTTGGAATCTATAGCAGAAATGTATATATTTCTAGAATTTAAGAAAAATTCCAAAGCTTTAAAATACGTCTTTCCATTCAAGCCATTTTTTCTTTTCCTGTTTAGAGTTTTTCTTCTTTAGCTATACATATAGCTATATATATATATATATATATATATACACACACACACACACACACACATATACATACTTATTATTTTTATTTTTACTTATTTATTTTTGAGACGGAGTCGCACTCTGTTGCTGTGACTGGAGTATAGTGGAGTGATCTTGGCTCACTGCAAACTCCGCCTCCCGGGTTTAAGCAATTCTCCTGCCTCAGCCTGCCAAGTAGCTAGGATTACAGGTGCCCACCACTATGCCCAGCTAATTTTTTGTATTTTTAGTAGAGATGGGGTTTCACCATGTTGGCCAGGCTGCTCTTGAACTCCTGACCTCGTGATTCGCCCGCCTCAGCCTCCCAAAGTGCTGGGATTACAGACGTGAGCCACTGCACCCGGCCAGCTATAATTATTTTAGAGATTCTGCTTTTTTTCTTGTTATATTTATTATTATACCTTTAAGTGCTCATGTCACAATTATACTTCAAATTATTTCTTTAATTATATATTCTCTTTGTTACATTTATTCATGGAATGATTAACTTTTGTGTATTAATTATAATTTTGATAGTTTGATTAATATTGAGTAATATTTTTGAATAAACGAATGAAGATAAATTAAGTAAAAAGGAATAATCTTGATTCTATGGAAGAAATTGAATGAGGATCTACCAAAATACCACCAGTATATTTTCTGACCTCTCATAATACTTGCTTTTTGCCATGATTTTTAAAAACAGAGTACTTTCACATTATTTGCCCCATTTGATCTTTACTTTCATTTTAGGGATATGAAATCTGAGACTGAGAGATGACAGGACATAACCAGAAATTCTGAATAACAGGAAGGCTTAGTCTGGATTTAGTGCCTTTTCCAACATACTCTACTGCACCTCATCATATGTCTGCCTCCTTTGAAGATTTATTCTGGCATTATCCAACTAAAAATTGTAATAGTCTATGTGACTTCTTTTTGAGATTATGTTAATGATACTTTTCAGAAGTGGAACAAAGACAGTCTTGAAAGTGCTGCCTCAGTTGATGTTCAGCACCCAGGAAGGGAAAAAGAAGGATCAGGAAGCATAGTGAGATGCCATTATGCCATATAAACTAGTAGAGACGAGGTGCATCTCATGTGTCCAGCTGTGTTGAAGGACCTGCCACTCACATGTTGGTTTATGTGGTAAAGGTAAGTTAATTCAAGTTAATATGCAGAAATGTTTCTAATAACAACCTGCCAAGGGTGGAGATGGCCTTGTTAGGAGAGAGACATGAGAAGAGAGAAGAAATACCAGAAAATAACTGAGAAATTAAGGGAACAGAACAATTTTCCATTATAATCATAAGGCAGGTGGCCAGAATTACTTTCTTACTAGCTATTCATCTTTGAGTTAGTAATGCTGTGTATTTAAGAAATCGAACTATGAAATTACATATAGT